>NC_000016.10:3760000-4385000 GCF_000001405.40 Homo sapiens
ACAGAGAAGAAACTGGAGGCAAAGATGTCTCAGGCATTCTGATGCCTTAGCTTATAAGTGATGTATTTTTTCTTGGTGTTCTTTAATTTTTAATTAAATTATTATTTTTGAGACAAGGTCGCACTCTGTTGCCCAGGTTGGGGGACAATGGCATCATCTCAGCTCACTGCAGCTTCAACCTCCCAGGCTCAAGCCATCCTCCTGCCTCAGCCTCAGGAGTAACTGGGACTACAGGTGTGTGCTACCATGCCTGACTCATTTTTAAATTTTTTATGGAGATGAGGTCTCACTATGTTGTCCAAGCTGGTCTCGAACTCCTGAGCTCAAGCGCTCCCCCTGCCTCAGCCTTCCAAAGTGCTGAGATTACGGGCACTAAGCTATCATGCCCAGGTTTTTTTTTTTTTTTTTTTTTTTTTTTTTGAGACAGAGTCTTGCTCTGTCACCCAGGCTGGAGTGCAGTGGTACGATCTCGGCTCACAGCAACCTCAGCCTCCTGAATTCAAGTGATTCTCCTGCCTCAGCCTCCCGAGTAGCTGGGATTACAGGTGCCCACCACCACGCCCAGCTGATTTTTGTAATTTTTAGTAGAAGATGGGTTTCATCATGTTGGCCAGGTTGGTCTCAAACTCTTGATCTCAAATGATCTACCCGCCCTGGCCTTCCAAAGTGCTGGGATTACAGGCATGAGCCACTGTACCCAGCCATCATGCCCATCTCATTTTATATTTTTAGAGACAGAGTCTTGCTCCAACGCCCAGGCTGGAGGGCAATGTAGTGGCGCCATCATAGCCACTGTAGCTGCAAACTCCTGGGCTCAAGTGATCTTGTCATATCACTATGTTGCCCAGGCTGGTATTGAACTCTCGGCCTCAAGTGATTCTCCTGCCTCAGCCTCTCAAAGCAATAACATTATAGGTGTGAGCCACTGGGCCTGGTCTGTTTTTTGTATCTTGAAAAGATTTGTTTTTTTTGAGACGGAGTTTCACTCTTGTTGTCTAGGCTGGAGTGCAATGGCGTGATCTTGGCTCACTGCAATCTCCGCCTCCCGGGTTCAAGCGATTCTCCTGCCTCAGCCTTCCGAGTAGTTGGGATTACAGGCATGCACCACCACACCCAGCTAATTTTGTATTTTTAGTAGAGACTGGGTTTCTCCATGTTGGTCAGGCTGGTCTCGAACTCCTGACCTCAGGTGATGTGATCTGCTTGCCTCAGCCTCCCAAAGTGCTGGGATTACAGGTGTGAGCCACCATGCCCGGCTGAAAAGATTTCTTACAACAGGTAAGTGGTAAACTGTAATTTAAAAATCAGATTAAAATATGGTAAACATTTAAAGTTCCAGTTGGGAAGCGGCAAGCATCAGGTACATGGACCTGCCATCAATTCTGTGTGGGGTGGGGATGGTCTAACTTGACAAATTCTGGAAAGCGTCATCTGATTCCTAACTGGTGAAAGCAAAAGTTAAAAGTTGGAAGGAAAAACCCATGTGTTTAACAGGCTCACTTTAGAGATGAAAACAGGCGCACCAAGAACATGCCTCAGGGCTCATTTCCATCAAAGCCCAGGATACAGACTCTTGACCAACCTCCGCAGACACCGCCTCCTCTCCAGGGCACGTGGCTGCTTCAGACCTCTGACAGCAGCCTGAGGTCCGGGCAACCAGGTAAAAACCCCGACGCAGCACTCCCCACGCACACGGTCCCCAGCACTTGAAGGTGCAAAGGCCTGGTCCAGGGTGCAGACGTGCCCTTCACAGTGGGAAGCGTCGGAAACACACAGCCTTGCTTCCTACTAACTCCTTTCTTCTGTTTTATGCACAGACGAAGCAGCATTTGCTAGTCTTTGAATAACTTTTTATGAGAAAACAATTATGTAACAAATAGCCTTTTGATTTCTCTGAATGAGGGGTTGGCAAATTATGACCAAGAGGCCAAATGTGGCCAGCTGCTTGCTTTTCTGTATGGCCCAAGAGCTAACAATGGATTTCACATTGTTTAATGTTTGGCAGAAGAAAAAGAAAAGAATACTATTTCATGACATGTGAAAATCACACAAAATTCAAGTGTTAGTCTCCAAAAATACAGCTTTATTGGCACATAGCTGTGCTCATTCGTTTATATAGGATCTGTAGCTGCCTCCGTGCCACAGTGGCAGCACTGAGGAGTGGTAACAGAGGCCTCAGGACGCACAAAGCCCACAGCGTGGATCACTGGGCCTCTGCACGGAGAAGGCCTGCAGACCCTGTCACCGCCCCAGTGGTAATCGGGAGTGACAGGGCCTGAAACAAGTGTCACTTTGGTTGATCATTTATTCATTCATTAAATAACTATTCAAATTCCGTGCTGAGGAGAGCATTTTCTTTCCTTTTTTTTTTTTTTTTTTTTGAGATGGAGTCTCGCGCTGTCACCCAGGCTGGAGTGCAGTGGTGCAATCTCGGCCCCCAAAGTGCTGGGATTACAGGCGTGAGCCACGGTGCCTGGCCGAGGAGAGCATTTTCAGACTCCTGTCTTCACCAGCACCTTTCTGTAAGAAGATCCCATATGTGCAGAAGTGAAGTCAGGAGTGTATGTGAACTGCGCCGCTCCCCTCCTCTGGCCCGAGGACCTGCTCCACGCGGCAGGGCTGTTGCAGCGCACCAGCATCTCCCAAAAACGCGGCTCTCGAGCCCTTGGAGGCTGCTGTCTCATATCGCAGTCCCCAGCCCCTGTGACTACTGAAATTTTACCAAACGAATAATATTACAAAAAATAAAAAACTCAGTTCCTCGGTCACCCTGGTCACATTTTTATTTTTTTGAGACGGAGTCTTGCTCTGTCGCCCAGGCTGGAGTGCAGTGGCGCGATCTCGGCTCACTGCAAGCTCCGCCTCCCAGGTTCATGCCATTCTCCTGCCTCAGCCTCCCGAGTCGCTGGGACTACAGGCGCCTGTCACCATGGCCGGCTAATTTTTTGTACTTTTAGTAGAGACAGGGTTTCACTGTATTAGCCAGGATGGTCTCGATCTCCCGACCTCGTGATCCGCCCGCCTCGGCCTCCCAAAGTGCTGTGATTATAGGGGTGAGCCACCACGCCCGGCCACCCTGGTCACATTTTAGGTGCTCAAGTTATAGCACTGCCCTAGGCCCTTCTATGTGCTGTAAGATGAAAACTATTTCACCAAAACTGAAACCAATTTTTTTTTTTTTTTTGAGACGAGGTCTTCTGGAGTGCAGTAGCGTAATCACAGCCCACTGCATGCAAACTTGACCTCCTAGGCTCAAGCAACCCTCCTAATTCAGCCTCATGAGTAGCATGAGGGACTATAAGCATGCACCACCATAACCAGCTATTTTCTTATTTTTTTCTACAGAGACAGGGTCTCACCATGTTGCCCAGGCTGGTCTTGAACTCTGGGCCTCAAGTGATCTTCCCACCTCAGCCTCCAAAAGTGCTGGAGTTGCAGGTGTGAACCCCAAAGCCCAGCCTGAAACAATTTTGTTTTGAGACGAAGTTTCTCTCTTGTTGCCCAGGCTGGAGTGCAATGGCACGATCTCAGCTCACTGCAACCTCTGCCGCCTCCTGGGTTCAAGTGATTCTTCTGCCTCAGCCTCCTGAGTAGTTGGGATTACAGGCATGCGCCACCAGGCCCGACTAATTTTTGTATTTTTAGTAGAGACGGGGTTTCGCCATGTTGGCCAGGCTGGTCTGGAACTCCTGACCTCAGGTGATCCACCCGCCTCAGCTTCCCAAAGTGTTGGGATTACAGGTGTGAGCCACTGCGCCCGGCCTGAAACAATTTTTATAACACTAAATTATCATTTGCCTTTTGCACTATGTTGGACATCTGCACAGATGGGAAAAAAGCAATCTTTTTTTTTTTTTTTTTTGAGAAGGAGTCTCACTCTGTTGCCCAGGCTGGAGTGCAGTGGCATAATCTCGGCTCACTGCAGCCTCCACCTCCTGGGTTCAAGTGATTCTCCTGCCTCAGCCTTCCGAGTAGCTGGGACTACAGGCGCATGCTGCCACACCCAGCTAAAAAGCAAAAACAAAGGAAAAGAAAGCCAACATCACCAAACTCTACTGTTATCACACACACTGCTGCTGCTGTACAGTCACAAGAAAAAAAATACCAGCCATGCTTAAGAAAATTTGTTTAAAATTTTTCTTCTTTTTTTTGGGTAGAGATGGGTTCTTGCTATGTTGCCCAGGCTGGCTTGAACTCCTGGCCTCAAGTATTCCTCCTGCCTTAGCCTCCCAAAGTCCTTGGATTATAGGCATGAGCCACTGCTCCCAGCCAAGAAAAAATATTCTTTATTTTTAAGACAGGGTCTCACTCTCTCATCCAGGCTAGAACGCACTGGCACAATCATGGTTCACTACAGCCTCAACCTCCTGGGCTCAAGCAATCTTCCCACCTCAGCCTCCTGAGCCATTGGGACTACAGGTGCACCACCACACCTGGCTAATTTTTAAACTGTTTTGTAGAGACAGGGTCTCACTACGTTGCCCAGGCTGGTCTTGAACGCCTGGCCATAAGTAATCCTCCTGTGTTCGCCTCCCAAAGTGCTGGGATTATAGGTGGGAGCCACTGTGTCCACTCATTTCTTAATTAATTAATTTATTTTTGAGATAGGGCCTTGCTCTGTTGTCCAGGCTGGAGTCCAACAGTGGCATCACAGCTTGCTGCAGCCTTGGACCCCTGAGCTCAAGTGATCCTGCTGCCTCAGCCTCCTGAGTAGCCAGGACTACAGGCATGCACCACCACACTTGGCTGATTTTTAATTTTTTGTAGAGACAGGGTCTTACTATGTTGCCCAGGCTAGTCTTGAACTCCTGGCTTCAAGTGATCCTCCCACTTTGGCCTTCCAAAGTGCTGAGATTACAGATGTGAGCCACCACACCTGGCTGAAAAAATATTCTTGATGAGATAGTAAAAAGTATTCCTTGTATTAAATCTTAAGCGTTTGGTACATGTGTGTGGTTTTTTTTTTTGTTTTGTTTTTGTTTTTGTTTTTGTTTTTTGAGACGGCGTCTCGCTCTGTCTCCCAGGCTGGAGTGCAGTATCTCGGCTCACTACAAGCTCTGCCTCCTGGGTTCACACCATTCTCCTGCCTCAGCCTCCCGAGCAGCTGGGACTACAGGCGCCCGCCACCACGCCCGCATAATTTTTTGTATTTTGTTTAGTAGAGACGGGGTTTCACCGTATTAGCCAGGATGGTCCTGATCTGCTGACCTCGTGATCTGCCTGCCTTGGCCTCCGAAAGTGCGGGGATTACAGGTGTGAGGCACCGCGTCTGGCCGCCTGGTACATGTCTTTTATTCTGTGTGATGAAACATTCTGCCTATCTCCTCACACAGAATAAAAGATGTGCGCTGCATAGGCACAGTGGCCACATCAGGAGGCAGTACTTGGGCAAGTGTTGGAATTTACAGCTGAAGTAGCTGCTTGCCCTCGTGGAGCACATTAAAACTTTCAGGAATGACTGAGAGATAAGCTATAGTTACTAAGCTCTGGTTATATGTCAGACATTTTCTCAGAAATGAACAAAGAGGGCCAGTTACTTCAAGGACAACTGACAGTATTTGTTGCCAATGCTAAAATTTGGGCTTTCATAAAAAAATCAAATGCTTTGGAAAACTTGTACATGGGCTTCACAGCTTCTCAAAATTTATTATTAGTATTATTTTTTGAGACAGGGCCTCACTCTGTCACTTAGGCTGGAGTACAGTGACATGATCAAGGCTCAGTGCATCTTTGACCTCCCAGGCTCAGGTGATTCTCCCACCTCAACCTCTCGAGTAGCTGCAGCTACAGGCATGCACTACCATACCCAGCTAATTTTTTTTTAATAGAGATTAGGTTTCGCCATGTTGCCTAGGCTGCTCTCGAACTCCTGAGCTCCAGGCTAGAGTGCAGTGGTGCAATCATAGACCCTGAATTCCTGGGCTCAAGCAATCCTTCCCCCTCAGCCTCCCAAAATGCTGAGATTACGGGTGTGAGCCACCATGCACGCCCTGCTTTTCTAAGTTGGTAAGACTTGTTTGAAGAGACTGATGGTGGTATTAACAAATGTTGATTTTTTTTTGACACTGTATAGTGAAATATGTCAACATATGGAAAATCTGCAGAACTTAAGTGTCAATTGAAAAAAAAATCATGCAAGCACAAAAGATCCATTCCAAGTACAAGATGGATCAATGGATTCTAATGTCACAGACTATGAAAAATCCAGTGCTATAGATTCTGGTTCAATGTCGCAACTAACCTTTAAGAAACCTTCACTGGCTGAATTTTGGTATAGTATCAAAGAATATCCACAATCAGCTGAAAGGGCTACGAAAATACTTCTCCCTTTACCAACTACAGGATTTTCTTCATACACTTCAACCAAAATAACCAATCACAACACAGTAAATGCAGAGGCAGATACCCTTAATAACGCCACTATTCTTACTTATTTTTGTTTTGGAAAAATTGTTTTTCATATAAATGTTTTCTATGGGTGCCATGTAACAGACTATTTTAAATGAACTAAATATTTAAAAATTTTTCTCTTTTTTTTTTTCAGACAACAATCTCACTTTTGTCTCCCAGGCTAGAGTGCAGTGATGTGATCTGGGCTCACTGCAGCCTCAAACTCCTAGGCTCAGGCAATCCTGCCGCTTCCGCTTCTCGAGCAGCTAGAATTATAGGCGTGCACCACCACACTTAGCTAGTTTTATTTTAGTTTTGTAGAGATGGAGCCTTGCTATGTTGCTCAGGCTGGTTTTGAACTCCCAGCATCAAGCAAGCCTCCCATCTCAGCCTCCCAAAGTGCTGGGATTACAGGTGTAAGCCACTGTACTCAAATTTCTCAACTTTAGTTTCCAGTAGAGTAAGCAATGATAGATAATCCACACAACAACTCTCTGGGGCCCTCAATTTCTAAGAGTATAAAGAGCCCTGAGATTCACTGTACTCCACACTCTCCAGGGTCCCTTCCAGCTGCAGAGTAACATGGTCTCAGTCTCTAACATTTCTCTGCAATCTTTCCCAAAAGTGTCATCTGCAGCCTTGGACTTTCTGAGTCCTGTCTCCCATTTCTAAGGTTCACTTGACAATTTTCTGATACCCTGTTATCTCTTTACTGTGGATACATCTCAAATGGATTCCATCCAACTTCCACTGTGAGGCGGGCTTACCTCACACATCTCAGACCCCAAAGATGCCTAACCTACCCCTCCCCCATGTCTCACTACACAGGGTCCCTAGGCGCCACCCTGCCCCTCACTCTGCATGCTCAGCTTCCTCACTGCACCTGCAGAAACCTTCTGCCTCCAAGTCACCCTGTGCTGTCATAATGACCATCTTCCTTAAATTATGGCTTTTTTGGTTATTCTCCTACTCACATACATCACTGGTTCTTTATACTTTTATGAGTAAAGCCAAGCTCCTTAACCTGCTCAAGGACCCAGACACATTTCAACTCGGCCCCTGCCAGCACCATCAGAAGACAGCTCTGCAGCCTGGGTGCCCTCGGAGCAGCAGCTCATCTCTCACTCCTGCCATGAGCCCCACAGGCACAGGGCAGGGGTCCTGCTCAGCCTGAGTGTTTCTGCAGGGGAAAGTCTGGGGAATGGCAGGCAAGAAAGGTAAAAGGGCAGATAGAATTATGTTTCTACTTTAGCTTTTAATCCTCCACATGGAATCCTAACACCGTGGAAAAGCAGCATGCTTTAATAAGGTAATGAATAAATGGCCTACTTTTTTTGCGCGGCTGCGAAGGAGATGTTGACTGAGAGGCTGTGCCGTTACTGCTACTCTCTTCTTCCTCTTTAACTTCTACTTTCACTTCAGGTTTCTTTTCATCCACTTCCATTGGTTCTGATTTCTGCTCTGCTATGTCTGTTTCTTCTTTAACTTGGGAAGCTCCTTGCAAATCCTCCTCCATCATCTTGAGAAAAACATTACAGATAACATATGAATATCAAACACCTTTATGTTACCGCAACCTCACGGGAAGACTCTTACAAGCCTAAAACAGGTTTGTTAAAACCTTCCTCTAGTCAGAGTTGCATTTATGATTCCTCTTCTCTTCCGGAAGAAGAAATAAAGTACTTGGTGTTCATTAAGTCGCTTCAGCACAGAGTCAGTGCAATTATGGTCCTAAATTTAAAAGTGTTTTTTTTTTTTTTTTTTTTTTTTTTTTTTTTTGAGACAGAGTCTAACACCCAGGCTGGAGTGCAATGGCAAGATCTTGGCTCACTGCAACCTCCCCCTCCTGGGTTCTAGCAATTCTCCTGCCTCAGCCTCCCGAGTAGCTGGGATTACACGTGTGTGCCACCACACTCGGCTAATTTTTTATATTCTTGGTAGATATGGGGTTTCATCATGTTGGCGAGGCTGGTCTCGAACTCCTGACCTCAAGTGATCCACCTGCCTCGGCCTCCCAAAGTGCTGGGATTACAGGTGTGAGCCACAGCTCCCAGCCTAATTTAAAAGTTTTTAAATGTAAAACTGCTTTAAAAATTGCACATACTCAGATTTTTCACTACAGATATTTCTAATTTGGAATAAAAATCTCCTTGAAAGTTGGGGCAGGGACCAAAAGTCCTTCTCAGAGGCAGGTGTGGTATGAGACAGGAAGGAGCAGTGGGGACTGTGGCTAATTGGAGAGCCCACTACAGTTGGTGCTCACAACCAGACTGCTGTCACACAGGGATGCAGGCACAATGCTGAAAGCATCTCATTTTTCAAGAAAAGCCAGAAATCTAGAGTTTTATTTGCAATTTCCTGATTTTTAAGGTATTGTGTGGGCCAAACACATTTAGAGGCTGGATCCAGCCCACGGTCTGCCAGCTTTCAGCTTCTGCCATAGGTTAATTAGTAAATGAATCCACCACCCCTTCTGTAGTCTACCTCTGCAGAACTAGAAATGAATGGAGAACATAAAATAAAAGGCTGTTGGATGATTCAAGTATTTCAAATATAAGCCAGTATTCTTCATTTCGGGCAAAATAAACCCACCCCTCATATTTAAAAATGAAAAACCAAGCTGTTTTCAATCAATTTCCTATACACCAAACCCCGAACCCACATTCAAACAGAATATTTTAACTAAAGTCAGGGATACCCATGGCAGGCTCCAAGCCTCGCCCGAGGACACCTGGGTAAAGTTGCGATACGCAGTCAATGCATTCCTAGGGAGCGGCACCCACCTCAGACCTGGGCTCCCCTTTGGATTCACCAGGATCGGGCTCAGTGTCCTCTGCTTGGGTCTCCGTCTTCATTTCCAGCACAGGTACGTCAGGTCCTGGCTGCTGGGAATTGGTTTCTGCGCTGGCCACCGAGGAGGGGGTAGGGACTCTGTTATCAATGCTGGCTGCTGCCTGGGAAAGCTGTGAAAAAACCGAAAGCACTGACTTCAGTAAGCAAGGTAACATAAATGATCTTCAACTATGCTGCTCATGCAACCTACAATTTCCCATTAACATTTCTCAATACTGATCCAGCAGGTGCCCTTCTGTGAAACCGAAGAACAGGGGTTAAAGTAGGAATGAGTTCTAGAGGGAGGTAACAGCAGCCAGAGGTACAACTCAGGTCTTGCCACAAAGGCAGAGGAAACAGCAGAGCTTTTCAAACTTTGACATAAATTTATTTTCTCGAAGTTTTCTAGCTAAATCATGAAATCTCATATTTTGAAATTAATTCCCTTCAATATGGTGGTTAATGTGTATGGTAAAAGGCTGAATTATGAATGCCTAAGCACATCTGAAGGGAGGGAAATCAAGTGCCTACCCAAAGACAGTGTTACCCAGCCTGTGTGAACGGTAGGAACACGGGTGCTGGTGGAGTAAATGAACATTACACGAAGGAACCACTAAAAGAATTCCTAATTTGCAAATTCTTACTCAATGGAATTTTTTTTTTTTTGAGACGGAGTCTCACTCTGTCACCTAGGCTGGAGTACAATGGCGCAATCTCGGCTCGATACAATTTCTGCCTCCCAGGCTCAAGCGATTCTCCCGCCTCAGCCTCCCGAGTAGCTGGGAATACAGGCACCAGCCATCATGCCCGGCTAATTTTTATATTTTTGTAGAGACAAGGTTTCACAACTTTGGCCAGGCTGGTCTCGAACTCCTGAGCTCCGGTGATCCGCCTGCCTCAGCCTCCCAAAGTAGTGGGATTACAGGCGTGAACCACCGCGCCCAGCCTCAATGGAGTTTTAAGTAAACAAACAAAAGATGACAATGTCTCGCTCTGTTGCCCAGGCTGGAGTACAGTGGCGTGATCTTGGCTCACTGTAACCTGTACCTCCTAGGCTCAAGTGATCTTCCCACCTAAGCCTTCTGAGTGGCTGGGACTACAGGACTACAGGCACACACCACCATGCTTGTCTGGTTAAAAAAAATTTTTTTTTGCTGGAGACGAGGTCTCACTATGTTGCCCAGGATGGTCTTGAACTCATGGGCTCAAGTGATTCTCCCACCTTGGCCTCCCAAGGTGCTGAAATTATAGGTGTGAACCACCGCGCCTGGCCTGACACACAATTTTTATGGGAAAATTATCTTCTAAGAGTCTTGGCCCAAAAACAGCAGAGACAGAGAGGCTTACCGGTGTGCCAGGAGGCTGGGCGTGCACAGGCGTCGGCTGTTGCTGCGATGACTGAGGGGTAGCCACAGACGGGGGCTGAACTGGGGTTTGAGGCTGCGGGGTCACCTGGGCCTGGGCTGCTGCCTGGACTGTAGGGGTGCTCTGGGTTTGGGTAGCACTGGGCACTGAGCCAGGAGTCGGGGTGGGAGTCTGCCCGGAAGACGACACAGGAGTTGATGGCTGAGTGGGAGCTGCTGGCTGGGGAGGAGTCATCCCAGGTGGTGTCGTGTGCTGGAGAGATGGCATGCCAGCAGCCGTGGAAGCAGGAGGCGGTGTTGGGTGCAGTGGTGACTGTGTCACTGGAGGGCAAGGTAGCTGGCTGGCCTGAGGCCCCAGCATGTTGAGAGGGTTAGGAAGAGCAGCACCAGGCACCTGTCCCTACCAGAAATGGACAGAGTATGGTAAAATTATTTCCCCCGTTTGAAAATGTGATGAAACATTTGAAAAATTAAATGTATGAAAAAAAAATTTTTTTTTTTGAGACAGTTTCACTCTTGTCGCCCAGGCTGCAATGCAATGGTGCGATCTCGGCTCACTGCAGCCTCCGCCTCCTGGGTTCAAGCAATTCTCCTGTCTCAGCTTCTCGAGTAGCAGGGATTACAGGTGCCCGTCACCACGCCCAGCTAATTTTTCTGTTTTTAGTAGAGATCGGGTTTTGCCATGTTGTCCAGGCTGGTCTCAAACTCCTGACCTCAAGTGATCCTCCCGCCTCGGCCTTCCAAAGTGCTGGGATTACAGGCGTGAGCCACCGCGCCCAGCCAAATGTATGGGAATTTAATCACATTTTCTTGGGAGTGTTCTGCTTGTGAAAATTCATCGAGCTATACACTTGTAATGGGCACTCCTCAATAACGGTAAAACTACACACGTTTCTTATAGTCTGATTTATATAATTAAAACAACCATTGAAACTTATGGCTTAAACACACACATCTACAGCAGTCCCCTCATATCCACTCGGATACATTCCAAGACCCCCAGTCTTGGAACGCCTGAAACTGCGGATAGTACTGAACCCAATATTTACCAAGATTTTTGGATCTGACAACCAAGGTGGACACTCAGTGACTAAGAGGTGGGTAGTGTCTACAGTGTGGAAATGCTGGACAAATAAATGATTCACATCCCTGGGGGCACAGAGTGGGATGGTGACAGAATTCATCATGCAACTTGGAATGGCACTCAATTTAAAACTTTTTTTTTTTTTTTTTAAAAAAAAAAAGACAGAGTCTCGCTCTGTCACCCAGTCTGGAGTGCAATGGCATGATCTTGGCTCACTGCAACCTCCATCTCCCGGGTTCCAGTGATTCTCCTGCCTCAGCCTCCTCAGTAGCTGGGATTACAGGCGTGCAATACCATGCCTAGCTAATTAATTTAAAATTTATGAATTGTTTATTCCCAGAATTTCCCATTTAATATTTTTGGACCACAGTTGACCCCAGGTAACTGAAACCTCAGAAAGTGAAATGACAGATTGGGGGAGCTACTGTACATTGACCCAGCCTATAAGCTTCATGTTCTATAACATGTACCCAATGTTCTTTAACATTTTCTAAGCTTAGCTTAGAAAAAGGTATTTTTTTTTTAAGTTGCTTCTTCCCTGGGGACTATAAAATAAATAAATAAAAATAAGAATAAAAGTTATTGACCATAAATATATACATCCATAAGTACCCTTAACAATTAAAAATTTAAAAAAAAAATTCTCTCTGAAACACAAACACACACACACACACACACACACACACACACACACACGTTAGTTACTGAAAGAGAACTGTTTCAGTGCAGTGGTTCTATACTGGGGATACACTTCAGAATTATTTGTGAACATTTTAAAAATGATTCTGAATCACTGTTCTAGAGCAGGGGTTGGCAATCTCCCAGGGCAAACACACTGAGCTGCTTGTTTCTGTAAATAAAGCTTTATTGGCACACAGCCACCTCATTTATGTACCACAGCAGCTTCTGCACTACAAGAACAGAAGTGATGAAAACCAAGATTGAATGGCCTGCAAAGCTGAAAATATTTAGTATCTGGCCCTTTACACGAAGTTTGCTAATCCTTGTTCTAGAGAAATGAAATGTTATGGAAAGTTAAGAATAATCATTTAGTGAGGAAATCTAATATATAATAATGACTTATGCAGCATTATTTCACATTAAAAACTCAAAACAAGGCTGGGTACGGTAGCTTACTCCTGTAATCCCAGCACTTTGGGAGGCCGAGGTGGGTGGATCACCTGAGGTCAGGAGATCGAGATCAGCCTGGCCAACATGGTGAAATCCCGTCTCTACTAAAAATACAAAAAAAAAAAAAAAAAAAAAAATTAGCTGGGTGTGGTGGCGGGCATCTGTAACCCCAGGTACTTGGCAGGCTTAGGCAGGAGAATCGCTTGAACCCGGGAGGCGGAGGTTGCAGAGCCGAGATTGTACCACTGCACTCCAGTCTGGGCAACAAAACGAGACCCTGTCTTAAAACAGACAAACAAACAAAAAAAAACTTAAAACAAGAATTTTATCTTTTAGGGAGGATTTGGTGTGTTTTAAATACATGTATATTTTGTATACAGTAGCAATGATACGCACTACAACTAACAAAAGAGGAAAAAAGGAAGGAATAAATGGAAAATCAATTTCTTCAGCTCTAGATTGAGAAATTAAAAACATTTAACAAGAAGGGAACTATTGAAATGATTCTGTTAGCTTGATTTCACCTGGCAGTGGAGACAGGTCAAAAGAAACAAAAGCCAAATCATCAAGAGTGAATTCATGGGTCCTTCTCACTCGCTTTTTAAAATCCTAATGCCTCTCAGGGTCACGTTAAAGTTAGAATTTAAAATACACAAACAAAAAATAAGAAAACAAAAACTCAAAGATCAAAACACAAAAGCATACAAACCAAAAATTCTAAATCCATTCCCACTTTTGCATATAGTTAACCCAGAAAGGATAAGAGAAATTCCAAACGAGTTAAGGACTACAGGACAAAGGTGGAGAAAACAAAGAGAAGCTGATACAAAGACATGAAATGTGCATTCTGGAATTTTAATTTCCACGAAGGAAGACAGAAAAAAAAAACCAAAACTTAACACAAGAATTTTATTTCCTAGGGAGCCACGGTCCCAGTGGGGCACAGTACCTGTGACACGCCTGTTTGGGCTGGCGGCTGCCCCATGCCCACACTCATCGCCCCGCTGGATGACGGGAACTGGTTCTGTGGCAGAAACTGGCTCTGAGCGGGCGCCTGGGCCATCATGTTGTTGGTGTGTGCACCCATCATGTTCGGAGGCTGAGGCATTCGGGAAGGAGAAATGGCCATCTACGAGACAACAAGCACCACCAGAGCTGTAGTTCGGAAGCTGACGGCCAGAGTTTTCAAGGTGAGCCAGAATGATCCAAGGCTTCACAACCCCAGAGGATGGCAAGCACAGGGCTCACATCCTGCCCTTCCTCATGGGAAGAGACCACCACTTGCTAAGAACTCCCGCGCTCCTGGGCACCTTACACACTTTCTCAGGCAATCTCTCAAATGAGCCAGCTTCAAAATGTCCTCTGAATAGAAATCAATAGCAGGCTATAATTTAAAGTTTAAGACATGCCTATGAGTTCTCTAAAGTGTTTAGAAAGCAGCCTCGGAACAGCGAGCTCTCAGTCAACAGATGCTGACAATTCCCTGCTGGCCACATATCTGAGGCTGCCTTCTCCAGCCTTGGAACTCCCACATTCTCACAAAGCCACACATTCCTATGAATTTGTTATTCCAATAAAATAACTAACAGTCAAATAATTCTGTGTAGTAATAATTTTTTTAAAATGAGAGATGAAAGAAATAAAGCATAACCCAAATTCAAAGGAACAAGAACCACAGGATTCTCAAGTGACATGAATTCTGCTGCTTAGATAATGTTCCATGTGAGAGGGAGGGCTATCTGCAGCACAGCGAAAGAGAACACTTACCCCTGGCACTGAGCCCATGCTGTTCATCTGGACAGAGTGGTTCATTGGGGAGGCTGCACGAGGTCCCATGGGTGCTTGTGGCAACTGGACGTTCCCCAAGGACATGGGGTTAAATGAATTCATCCCTGTAAATGTACCCACAACGGTTCATTAGGAAAAGCACCCACAGGAAAACAGAATTACAACTTGCTAAATAAACTCTTAAGTAAAATAAGATGGAACGCACAGGCAACAGAAAACTGAAAAGAAATCACCCAATTAATCAATGAAGATGATGAAGGAACAGACTTCTCCATATCCAGAGAAAACGGCATCAATGTGGGGGTGGTGACGGTGGCATGGTGAGGGGTACCAGGGAAGGACGAGGACATGAAGGCATAAGGTTGGGTAAGACAGGAACAAGTGAGACATTAAACGAGGCTGTGGTAGAGCTGAGCCAGAGGGCACAGTACCAAAGTGTCATAGCAACAAAGAGGGTGAGGAGGTGCCCTGAAAGGACAGCACCCTCACAAGCTACAGAAGAGATGTTTCCAGAGACCAGGGCAAGCTTCTGTGCACACCCATACCTAATGCCTCTGGAGCAGCTGACGCCCATCATCCGAGGATTCCCAGCTCCTTGCTGGGTTTACATTCATTGTTAGAATCTGTGCTAAGTCTCCAAATGTTCTTTTAATTTTGCAAGCACCTTAAGCATTAAGAAGTGCCCAAGGGTCAGCCGTCCTCAACCTTAGCCTCCTGTAGTTTACAGGAACACCACATCACTGAAAGACACTTCACAGCCAGTAAGTGTCTCCAGACTGCGGTGTCTAGTTCCTTCCAATTTCCAATAATACTCTGTAAACTCTGAGTTCTAAAGAAGCACCAGTTCAAATTAGTCTTAGGACCAACACTAGAATCTGACAGAACCCTTTAGAGAATTTCTGGAAGGTGCTGCCTTAGCGCTGCTGTAGTCATGAGAAGGCTCAAAGGATGACTCACGGAGCACTACCTTCAATGGCTACCTAGAAATGGTACCCTCAAATAACGGAGTGCCGATGCAGACCAGGAAGACTTTCCAGGGAGTCTATAATGTAAGCTTCCCCACTCCTTGAGAATTTTTTTAAACAAAATGAAAAACAATTACTAAGGAACAGCACTTAAAGAAATCTGTATTTACCCAGATGTGCTGGTAGGGAGGTTGCTAAGTGCATAACTAGAAAACATCTATTCCAATATTCTGCTGGTAAACAGCAGGGGCATCATACCCCACACCAGCAGCATCTTCCTATCCAGGCTGAAGTCCTGGACCAATCCCCAACACAGCATCCAGCCACTTTCCCAAGGCTCAATTTCTCTGACTCCTTGATTTCTTTCTTTTTTTTTTTTGAGATGAGATTTCGCTCTTGTTGCCCAGGCTGGAGTGCAGTGGTGTGATCTCAACTCACTGCAGCCTCCGCCTCCTGGGTTCAAGCAATTCTCCTGCCTCAGCCTCCCGCGTAGCTGGGATTACAGGTGTGCACCACCATGCCTGGCTAAATTTTGTATTTTTAATAGAGACGGGGGTTTCACCATGTTGGCTAGGCTGGTCTCAAACTCCTGACCTCAAGTGATCCTCCTGCTTCGGCCTCCCAAAGTGCTGGGATTACAGGTGTGAGCCACTGTGCCCAGCCTGACTCCTTGATTTCTTTCAAAAATCAAAGCCTGAGCAAAGCCTCTTTCCTTAGAGTCTTCTGGATAATGTCACCACCTTGTTTCACAACCTGGAAAAATGTCCTCCTGCTTGGGTCTCAATGGTCAAGAGCTACAGGGTTTTCAAATGCTCCCTGCCCCAAAATAAAAATCACTGCTTCAACCAACCAAAAACCAGAGGCTCTCTACTTAAGAACCTTTCAAGGTTGTTGAGACAGCTGCTGACACCCCAACCTGGCACAGGACCTGTGTGTACACTCTCTCCAGAAGTTGACATCCAGCCAGCTGGGCTTAACCCCTAGGGCCAAGAGCAGCCCGTGCCGTCCCCATTTCAGCCTCTGCAAGTGCTCAGCAGTCTAGGACTGTCTTGCATGCTTCTCCTTCTCAGCATTCAGAAGCACTCCCTCCCCACATCTAGGGTGCTTCTTTCTCGGACTCTTCCTAAGAGTAACGTACCACACCCCCTTCACCATCCATTAAAAAAATAAAAAGCTGGCCGGGTGCAGTGGCTCATGCCTGTAATCCCAGCACTTTGGAAGGCCAAGGTGGGCAGATCACAAGTTCACGCGATTGAGACCATCCTGGCTAACATGGTGAAACCCCATCTCTACTAAAAAAAAAGATACAAAAAATTAGCTGGGCGTGGTGGCAGGTGCCTGTAGTCTCAGCTACTATGGAGGCTGAGGCAGGAGAATGGCATGAACCCGGGAGGCGGAGCTTGCAGTGAGCCCAGATCGTGCCACTGCACTCCAGCCTGGGCAACAAAGTAAGGCTCTGTCTCAAAAAAATAAAAGAAAAGAAAATAAAGTAAAATAAAAAGCTAAGGCCGGGTGCAGTGGCTCACTCCTGTAATCCCAGCACTTTGGGAGGCTGAGGTGGACGGATCACGGAGATCAAGACCATCCTGGCTAACACGGTGAAACCCCGTCTCTATTAAAAATACAAAAAATTAGCCACGCGTGGTGGTGGGCGCCTGTAGTCCCAGCTACTCAGGAGGCTGAGGCAGGAGAATGGTGTGAACCCAGGAGGCGGAGCTTGCAGTGAGCCAAGATGGAGCCACTGCACTCCAGCCTGGGCGACAGAGCGAGACTCCATCTCAAAAAAATAAAAATAAAATAAAATAAAATAGAAATAAATAAATAAATAAATAGCTAAATACTGCTTCTTATCTCTTGGAAGATCTTTCCTATAATCTCCAAACTTCATACTATAAACATATCCATACTACCTGTAGAACTGAATTCTGCTTATCAGCAAAAAGGAATGGAAAGAAGAAAGGGTTAGAAAGAAATATACAGGGGGAGAGGAAAAAACAGTGAAAGTTATGGCTGTTGAATGTAAAACTAAAATATGATTCACCACAAACAGTTCAATACCTTGAGAAACTTGCATGCGATTCACTGGCAGGGACAGGGGTCCATCTATGGTGGCAAAACAAAAACAAAAACAAAACCACCCTAGTTATTTAATATAATCCTTGATTCAGGAATAGGAAATTTCTTATTAGGACTTCAAACTTAAAAGGGAAAACAGCCAATAGGTCCAAAAGCACGTGTGTTCCAATGCCAGCGCACCCTGTAAAGGGCCTTCCCAAGAGAGAAACTCAGTGTCCCAACACAGCCTGAGGCAGGTGGTCAGGGCCACTGCCACATCAACAGCTTCTGCAGGGCATGCATCAGATATTCTAATTCTCTGTTCTTAGAAATACACCCCAAACACGAAGGAAAACCAAGGAAACAGGCTAAGGGATGGCAGTAGGAAATAAAATCCTTACTTGGAGGTCTCACAGGTTGTGCCTGTGGAATCACAGGGGGCTGAGCCCCCGGGGCTGGTAAGGCTGGCTGGTTCCCCAAGATGCCTTGTTTATGTAAACGCGACCTCCGTTTTTCTTCTAGTTCTTTTTGTATCTTGTAGATTTTCTCTGCTAATAAGTGATAATATTCATCCTAAAAAGCAATAATATTCAATATGAAACAGTTAAAACTGTAAAAAGCAACTGAATGATCTGTGTTGTAGGTTCTAACTAATGAACTTCCTCATTGAGTACACTGGCAAAAGTAGTATGCAAATACCTGATACACCAGAAGCCCACATTCTTGCTGAATTCCCAATGACTTTATAGGACATATCAAATAGTAGGTACTTAATACATGTTCCATTTCATTCAAATGAACTTCTTGAATATTCACTGATGCTAACAATATTACAACACCACCTACTATGAAAAATATATCCCATGGATATAATGTAAATTTATATACTCCATGCACCAATGTAGCTAATCAAGAGAGTTCTGCAGGAGATTTGTGTCTTATCTGGGAAGTCTCCTTGGTCAGTGGCCTCAAGGGGAGGAGTCTGTCCCAACTACATAGATTCCACTATTTCCAGATAACAAAGCAGACAAATGTAGTGCTGTCTACTACAGATGCTGTAGAGGCCAGAGCACGGTAAACAGCAACCTACCCTGCTGTTGGCAGACTCGTACATGTCCCCTTCCACTTTCTTAGCATAGGCTACCAGGTTTTCCATGCGGCGATCCTTTAGAGCTGCGGGATCAGGTGTTGGGAAGATGGCTTGGACGCTGAAAGGATAACACATCTATCAAACTACTTTTTTTTTTCTTCTTTTTTTTAAAGACATGGGGTTTCGTCCAGGCGCGGTGGCTCACGCTTGTAATCCCAGCACTTTGGGAGGCTGAGGCGGGAGAATCACCTGAGGTCAGCAGTTTGAGATCTGCCTGGCCAACGTGGTGAAATCCCGTCTCTACTAAAAATACAAAAATTAGCTGGGCATGGTGGTGGATGCCTGTAATCCCAGCTACTCGGGAGGCTGAGGCAAGAGAATTGCTTGAACCCGGGAGGCAGAGGTTGCAGTGAGCTGAGATCGTGCCATTGCACTCCAGCCTGGGCGACAGAGTCAGACTCCATACCAAAAAAAGAAGAAAAAAAAAAAAAAGACACAGGGTCTTGCTCTATCGCCCAGGCTGGAGTACAGTGGCATGATCATAGCTCACTGCAACTTTGAACTCCTGGGCTCAATGATCTTCCCACCTCAGCCTCTAAAGTAAGCTGGGAAGTACAGGTGCACACCACCATGCCTGGCTAATTTTTAAATTTTCTGTAGAGATGGAGTTTTATTATGTTGCCCCGGCTGGCCTGAACTCCTGGGCTCACATAATCCTCCCACCTCAGCCTCCCAAAGCACTGGAATTACACGTGGGGGCCACTGCACCTGGCCTGAAGCTACTTCCAATGCCATCAAATAAGCACTACAAAATCAGGATCATGTATCTCTGGTGGCAATACAGTGTGGAGAGAAATGCCAAGCCTCTCTTGCCTCGCATGTCAATACATGAATGAAGTTAACTCCCTGGAGACAATCCTGACCTATCAACTTATCTACACATCAAACACATCAATATTTTGCTATTAACAAGTATGTGCTGGGTCATTTCCAGAATAACACGATTTTCAAATCCCTAATTTTTAAACTACTTATTACTAAAAAAAATTTGATCAAAATAAGGAAGGGAAAAAACTCAAAGGGAATGTAAGTCTAGCTCATTTAAAATAACTAGCTCAACAACGTTAGGCTTGGTGTGGTGGCTCATGCCACCCAGCACTTTGGGAGGCCAAGGCAAGAGGATTACTTGAGGCCAGGAGTTTGAGACCAGCTTGGGTAACCTGGCAAGACTCCGTCTCTCTCTCTCAACAACAACAACAACAAAAAGGCCGGGTGCGGTGGCTCATAACCCCAGCACTTCGGGAGGCTGAGGTGGACGGATCACTTGAGGTCAGGAGTTTGAGACCAGCCTGGCCAGCGTGGTGAAACCCTGTCTCTACCAAAAACACAAAAAGTAGCTGGGGGTGGTGGCACGTGCTTGTAATCCCAGGTACTCGGGAGGCTGAGGCAGGAGAATCACTTGAACCTGGGAGGCGGAGGTTGCAGTGAGCTAAGACTGTGCCACTGCACTCCAGTCTAAGCAACAGAGCGAGACTCTGTCTCAAAAAAAAAAAAAAAAAAAAAAGTTAACTGTTAACTTTCCGTTATGTTAACTAACTGTAAGGTGATAATGACATGCCATCTATACTCTAAACTTTTCCAATTCTGAGGGGTCTCCACAACTAGAATCTGGAACTACAAAATAAGGTGAGGCTCTTGAGCTAACCCCAGCCCCCTCACGCAGCCTAAAGTGCAGAAGCACATTAAGGCCGGGCTGCACTGAGGGTCTTTGCCTCGGTGATAGGGGCTGCAAGTCAGTGCCCCTCGGCAGTACAGAGCCACCAATGCTCTCTTTGTCACCCCCGCTCACCGAGGACATAGAGTGTGGGAATCTCTGGCCTGCCTAGGGCTGCCAGAACTCTACCAGCAGTGAGAGTGGCTCCCTAAATAAGCACGTGACTTGTATAGGCTCCTAGGGTACTGTCATCTGGTAGCCAATGGGCAACACAGGAATAAAATCAAACATCTATGAAACTGCAAAACTGTTACGTACAGTTTATGCACTAGATGGCTCCGCAGGTCCTGAGTGACATGTTCGTGCCAGCCTTTCCTTACACCGGTGCTAGAAGGAGGAGCTGCTGTTGGTATAGTGCTGAGGGTTCCAATGTTACCAGAGTTGGAGCCATCGTTCATCAGTGGGCTAAGGAGGAAATAAAGACACTTCATCCATCTACTGAAGTGACTCAAACACACTTTGTCTAGTAAGGTTCTTCTGCCACCACATGTGACTTTTAAAAGTTTAAGTCAGGAGAGCCAAGTGATGTAAATAAATAAAACTTAAACTATGTTTTAATCTATTATCTGCTCTACATTTATAATTAAAGAAAAAAAGGAAAACAGCATTCACCCCTCACCACCCCATTTAAACTATTTTCTCTGCCACACATTTAGAAAGAATCAGTTTTGTGTGGTTCTCAGTCCATGCTCCTGTTGGACTGTCACTCAGATCTGAAACAGGGTCTTACTTTGTGGCCCCCAGGGAAGTCGGAAGAGCTGATTCTGAAATCAAGTTTGGGGGCTGCTGATCTGTTGTTATTCCTCCTGCTGGAATGTTCATTGGATTATTTCCTTTAAAGACAGAAAAGAAATCAATCAACAGTTAAATTTTAATATATACTTCAAAGTTTTGATGACAGATAACCAACATGCCACCATATAAACAATTGGTGGTTATTTAAATAAGTGATTCTGGCCAGTTATAGTAAGCACTGCGGCAGGAACTCTGAGTGTCATATTTTCAATAATGGTAATCAACGTGCACAAATAATCAGTAGACACCCTCCCCACTCTACTTTGTAACCAAAGTAAGGTGTGTTTATGGAGGTTAGCTGCTATCTAAGTGAAAAAGTTATAAATGACCCACATGCAGCCTCTTACTTTCATTCTGCTTCATTAGTATCGCTCCTGAGTGACTCAGCTGCACTGACACACACCTCTGTGTCTCCACCCCCAATATCAGAAAATAAAATCATAGAAATTAAGCTCAGGAAAAAAATATAGAGGTCAATTTGTCTACAATCTTCCTATTAAAGGAAACGAAAGCTGAGACTAAAAAAGGTTAAGCTAGTCCCAAATTATACCATCAACAGGAGAGGAGTTAGATTAACACTTGGGTCTCAGGATTCTAACTCAGTCTCCTGGCCAGTATTAGTTAGACATTCATTAGGGCAGTTGTTTTCCAGAAAGCAACAAGTAAGATGACTTTAGCTGGGCATATTTTAAGGAGTAATTTTTAAGTGTAAAATAGTTACTCTATTAGGGAAAGAACAAAACTAGCACAACTAGTCAGCCAGTCTTGACTTCACAGACATCACTGCTTAGCTTAAGCCTAAATGTAAAGGGACTGTGTCCACTTAAAGAAAAATATTAAGGAAACCATATGCAGAAATGGCAAAATCATGGCGATGTGTGAGCAAACGATCAAAGGCTGGCAAATAATGGGCTGGGGTGACAAAAGAAACCATGACATGTCCAGCAGCCTGAGCCAAGAGTTTCCAGGACTCCTGTCATTGTCATTAACCTGCTGAAGTCCAGGCTGGTCACTTCCAACTGAGGGGTAGACCCTAACCAAGATGTGTGAGAAACTGGCAAACACAAGTACTCCAACAAATAAATGACAACAGTCAGCATGAGGCGTCCAGTCAGCATCCTGACTTGTGAGATCTGCATTCTGAGGCACATGGCACATTCTTTATGAAAACCGTCCAGACAGAAGTGGCACAGCAAGCAACAAAAACATTGCTTCATTTGCAAATGCTGCTCTTTTTATAAGCATGTAACATTTTCCTTGCATCAGATACTTCAGCTTTTTCCTGGGAGATTTTTTATTTCAACCACCGTAGTAAAAAACACAAAACAAACTGAAAACTGCCTTGGGTTCCATCACTCCATTCCCTTTGCTGCATGTGGACAAGTAAGAACGAAGTTGAGAGTTCCTTCACCTACCCAGGGGGTTGAGAGTCCTCATCTGCTGGTGGGTTTGAGGCTGTGCTGGTTGCTGGCCAGGAACCTGAGGCTGCAGCTGCGTCTGGGGCTGGTTCATGTAGGGGAGTCCGAGAGCAGCATAGGCTCGCTGCATGGAGCTGGGGTCTATGGGATTTGGGTTACTTAAAGAAGTGGCATTCTGTTGCCCTGTGCCAACAGAACCAATTGTGTTTTGAATTCCACTAGCTGGAGACCCCAGGATGGCTATAACGACAAACAGACAGACAGACAAAAACGAGAGGTAAGTAAAAGGGAGAAGCCCACGAATGATTTAAAAACTATTGAGAAGCAAATACATTTCATCAAAATACTACACATGAATATCATAAAGCAGTAAACAAGCCTAGGGAGAAAGGAACTGTGCTGAAGGACTCATTTATTCTGCCTAGCAGTAAGTGAGGAACAAAAAGTTAAAGAAAAGTCAAGTTTCTATCTTAGCATGCAACAGACCATAAAATCTCACAGATAACACTTGAAAAAAATTATTATGTCTTAAAACCTAGAGACTCCTCAAGAAGTCAGTTCCAGGGAGTGGCAAATGTATGACAAGGGAAACGTCTGATTCTCTGGGGACCAGCAGACACCTCTGAGATGAACAGAGGAGCCCCCTCCTGTTGACCCCAACCCTGTCCTTCACTGCTCACCTGCACAGGTACAGAGGGCTTAAGAGAAGGAGCAGAGATGATACCTGGTCGGTCAGTTTTGATTAATAAATCTATAATGTGCTCTTCCAAATCACATAATTGCAAGTCCTTGAAACATACACAAACAATGACAGCATGGACATATCCTTCTGATGGGATTCCTATGCAGCAGAGCACCATGCTGAGCTCTCCGGCTACATGAAGCTGTTCAAGAAATACTGTACTTGATTGATTGACTGACTGAGCTGTTTGAAATTAAGGTTGGAGTGAGGCTTCGCAATTCTGCATGGGTCTTATTATCCAGGGGCTACCTCAGCACCTCTGATATTCAGGAGGTGGCTCTGCCTCACGTGGCCAAAGTCAGCTTCTGCTACTGAGGCCCACTGCTGGCTGGCAGGGAAGCTGCCCCATCCAGCTAGCTAACCCCAGGAGACTAAAGGAAAAACTGGTGTCAACATAAGGAGCTCCATCCCAAAGGGCTTCCAAGGTAATGGAGAGACAACTCCAAACTTGCATCAACTTGGACATTTCAAGGTCAATTCATCTACCCACCTACCTACCCACCTGTTACCTGTTTGCCTGCCCCCTCATCTGTCGCAACAACCCAAATGCTGTTGTGTGAAAATTTATCATATGGCAGAAGTTCTATATGATACCATTTATTCCTATTTTTGAGTTCCTTTCTAACTTCCACAAATTTTAGAGTCATGTTAAAAATAGCATCTTATAGTGTTGTTGCTATAACACACCATTTTTGATACATAAAACACGACCACAAAGCCTTTCTTTCAAATCCCAACCACTATGTGTAACAGTAATATTCTCACATTCAACCATCAGCACACCTATAATAAACCCAATACCTACCAGAGCAACTTAATTAAACTAAAATGTGTGAAAAAAAATTCCTGGTAATTATACTTTCCATACTATTAACTTTTCTAATAATGATATTCAGATCAACTCATTAACACTCATCAGACACAACTACATACACCAAGCACTCATTAACATAAATGAAAAGCAACTCCCAAGGTGCACTTTATGACAAGTGTGTAGCTGAAGTAAGTCACGCACAATACCTTTAAAAGTATTCTAATACTTACTACTCCCCAAAACTTTAAACATGTGTCCACCATACTTCTGAAACCGACATCCTACATTTTTAAGAAGCACTATGGTATAGAAATCAAAGTTAACAGTGGTAGGATAGTTTATTTTTCTACAACCTTGCGCTGTAAGGAAGAACAGGGCTACACTATATTTAACACACATGGTGATGGACTGTGGAGAAGAACTTAAAAGAAACAAAGTATGGAGCCTTCCATTTCCCGTAAACCCTTTATTGACTTCTTCCTACTACATTTCTCTTTTATCCACACCTCCCCAAGTGCCATCTACTTAACTAAAATGCCCCACCTTACAGTGAATGCCACTCCTAAGCTCACAGCACTTACAGGGCAGCCAACGCCTCATACTCACATAGGCCTCCCACGGAAGCTGCTGACACGGTCACTGCATTTTGTGTTAGAGGCATTCATTTTCTAAACGTAAACATTATTATATTTTTATTTTAAAAGAAAATATACCTATGAGAAGCATTTGGAACTCATCATTTCTAAAATTCAGAAGCAAAGGAAATTAATTATGAACAAATAAAGAAGGTCTCTGCCATTTAAGCATGGCTGAATTTGAAGTCCAAATGATGCTATTACATGAAATGACACAAATACTGAAGGGTAAGGGTGCTCAGGCATTCACTGCAGGGTGATGGCTGACTGAAAGGGGAGTCACTATGTATAAGCCACCATCAACTGTACTGCAACCTCAAGGTGCTCCAAGTGCTCCATGGTGGTATTCCCAATCCCTCTCTGAAATCCCACAGTGACTCCTGTACCCGCTTGTCTTTAGACACTGACCCTTCGTGTATTCACTCACTCACGTGACAGACTCAGTGAGTACACTCTGCCAGGCTCCCAGACATGGTGTGGGCACAATCTCTGCATTCCCTGAGCCTAGGGACAACAGATTATCTAATAATCACCTAATGCACCCAAACTGCACCTTGGAACCCTGGGACAGGGAAAATCAGGCTCATGTCACGTTCCCTGTGCATCCCTGAAAGGTGGGATTAATGTCAAATTCGGTTTTGCTCTTCACCACCTGCCACATGGGCCACGTAACCTGCTGTGCAGAGTCCAGGGGACGTGCCAGCTATAGCGCAGCGGCCAGCACATCGTGGGCCCTCGCAGCGCAGCCCATGGAGTGTCTTGGAACTGAACAGAAATGCACGGAGATTGGTCCATCTACCTGGCATCCCTAAGGATGAAGTTTCTCTATTTATCCTTTCTGTATTATTGCCACTTAACTTCTTCCAATGTCAAGGCCGTGTGCTCATTTGGCCATTTTTACATCTTTTTTCCTCGCTAGAGCATAAAGCTCTAACTTTTAGGAAGTCACAACACACCTGCAATGCACTAACACAGTGGCTGGGTTCTTCTGGGCCCATCAGGCAACACTCCTGTCCCGGATATTTACCTCTTTAAAGCTCCCCAACATCCCCTAGTCTCACCACCCCTTCTGATGTTGCTGAAGAAGGAGCCTATGACCTATGAACAAAAGGCCAAGTTTTATAGCAGGCTCTTTCTCGGACTCACCTGCCACTCTTCATGCACAAACAATGTTCCACTAAGAGGCCGGGTACGGCCAAGTGTAACTGGGTGCAGTGGCTCATGCCTGTAATCCCAGCACTTTGGGAGGCCGAGGCAGGTGGATC
The DNA here is from genome assembly GCF_000001405.40 of Homo sapiens. Lineage (NCBI taxonomy): Eukaryota > Metazoa > Chordata > Mammalia > Primates > Hominidae > Homo > Homo sapiens. The sequence goes on from NC_000016.10 coordinate 3,786,143, forward strand.
ACTTGAGGTCAGGAGTTCGAGACCAGCCTGGCTAATAACATGGTGAAACCCCATCTCTATTAAAAATACAAAAATTAGCTGAGTGTGGTGGTGCGTGCCTGTCATCTCAGCTACTTGGGAGGCTGAGGCAGGAGAACCGCTTGAACCTAGGAGGTAGAAGTTGCAGTGAGCTGAGATCGCGCCACTACACTCCAGCCTGGGCAACAGAGAGACTCTGTCTCAAAAAACAAAAGAAAAAAGGAATGTTCCACTAAGAGGTTTTCTGTACAGTCTATGTTGCTGATGCAAAGAACTCAGTTACTCAGACAACTTAAGCCCCTAATCATCCTCAATAAAACTGAACTCCATTTGGAAATTCAGTGAAAACGGACATGAATCAAATCTCCAAACTTTGTGAGGGTAGGGGGAGACAGACCATGAAGCAGAGCAGTAGTTGCTACAGCTGATGCTTCACCAGCACGAGAGTGAGCCACGGGGTCACCCAACGCAGGCCAGAAACACAGTGCTTGCGGGAGGCGAAACTTGTGTATGGGGAAGGCCAGCTGTAGGGCTTGAGTCCACCTGGTTTTGGTATACCTGGGGTGTCCTGGAACCAAATTCCCAAGGATACCAAGACACTTAGATTTCTACTAAAAAAGCAATGCTAGAATTTATTCAGGTGGCTCACGCCTGTAATCCCAGCACTTTGGGAGTATGAGGGTGGGGAGATCACCTGAGGTCAGGAGTTCAAGACCAGCCTGGACAACATGGTGAAACCCCATCTCTGCTAAAAATACATAAAGTAGCCAGGCATGGTGGCATGTGCCTGTAATCCCAGCTACTCGGGAGGCTGAGGCAGGAATCACTTGAACTAGGGAGACGGAGGTTGCGGTGAACTAAGATCGCGCCACTGCACTCTAGCCTGGGCGACAGAGTGAGACTTCGTCTCAAAAAAAAAAAAAAAAGAATTTATTCAGACCTGCAGCCATCTCTACAAAGTTGCTGGTGGCACCACCGTACCTTGCGGGCATTGTGTGGGCCAGGACCTACTTCCTACCTGGCACCTTCCTATGCACTGCGTGGGGCACCACAGTGAAGAGAAGCACTGAGGGGAACCCAGGCACTGCCAGGCTGGAGACTCAGCCTCCTATCAGGCACGGCCACAAGCCCTCAAGCAAAAGGCTTTCTTCAGAAGCCAAGTGACACTGGCGCAGTGACACTGCTCCTTGCTAGCAAGGAGAAAAGCTGTTCAGATGAAACACATCACCCACGACCCTTTGGTGCTTAAGTCAGGGTCAATCAAGCCCACCATTCTCTCTACAGCCTTCAGATTCTGCTCCTTGCTGTCCCCCATCCCACTACAGTCTGTCAAAAGAGGTGAAAATCTCTGAAGGGCCCTCAAGTGAACAAAGGGCCTGCTCCACACACACTCACTGGGCACCTGATGGGCTATTCGATGAGTGGCAGTTCAAAGGACGGAGATCTTGACTCCATATAAAAAAAGGAGGTTTTTTTTTTTGTTTTGTTTTGGTTTTTTGTTTTGTTTTGTTTTGTTTGAGACGTAGTCTTGCTCTGTCGCCCAGGCTGGAGTGCAGTGGTGCGATCTTGGCTCACTGCAACCTCTGCCTCCCGGGTTCATCAAGTCATTCTCCTGCCTCAGCCTCCCACCTCAGGATACCGAGTAGCTGGGACTACAGGCGCATGCTGCCATGCCCAGCTAATTATTTGTATTTTAGTAGAGACGGGGTTTCACTGTGTTGCTCAGGCTGGTGTTGAACATGAGCTCAGGCAACCCGCCTGTCTCACTCAGCCTCCCAAAGTGCAAGGATTACAGACGTTAGCCACTGCGTCCGGCCAAAAGGAGGTGTTTTAAACAATCTGAGGCACCTACAGATGGAACATGTTGCCAGGTGAAGCAGTGGGAGCTACACTCATGGAGATGCCGGGCAGCAGCTGGGGCCATGGCTGACGCAGCCGGGACAGTGCGTGCATTAGGCTGGCTCTGGGGCCGACCCTGCACACTTGCTTCAACAGTCCCTGGGGGACTCTAGGTTGGAAAACCCCTGGTCTCTCTCTCAGAGAATGACTCAAACCCTCTCACCAGCACTGGCCCAGATACCTGGTCTTCCAAGGCATCCAGAGCAGTGCATCTCAGATTTTAATGTGCACACTAATCACCCAGGATTTTTATAAAAATGCAGGTTTTAATATAAGAGGTCTCAAATGGGGGCCCAATTTCTTTATTGCTTACAACCTGGGAGCACCTCTATGGCTTCCCTGAGGCCTACACTTTGAGCAGCAAGAACTTCACAAGTGAGGCAGCATAAGCCCCAAGAGGGGAACCTGCTCACGGGTCCCAAAGCCCAGTCAACCATGCCACTCTGTGCACTGAATTTACTGGAGGTCAGATGCCAGGACTGACATAAGATACTTATCTTGGCAAGTCCTAATTATTCAAAAAAAATTGAATATTGCTATAAGGGATGGTTAACTCGAGATCAGTGATTACAGAATCTTTAAAAAACAATTCAAGGAAAAATCGAATGAGGCCAGGCGCGGTGGCTCACGCCTCTAATCCCAGGACTTTTGGGAGGTCAAGGTGGGAAGATCACTTGAGCTCAGGAGTTCGAGACAAGCCTGAGCAACATGGTGAAACCCCATCTCTACAAAAAATACAAAAATTAGCCAGGTATGGTGGCAGATGCCTGCAGTCCCAGGTACTCAGGAGGCTGAAGTGGAATGACTGCTTGAGCCCGAGAGGTTGAGGCTGCAGTGAGACTTGGCTATGCCACTGCATGCCAGTCTGGGTGACAGAGCAAGACTCCGTCTCAAAACAAACCAACCAACCAAACAAAACTCAACACAGGCCAAAAAGGTAATCAATGGTCTGGGCTTCATTTCAAAGAACCTCAGATTAGCGCCACAGGTGATTCTGGAAGGTTCTCTCAGTAGAGACATTAATCACAGAAGTTAAGAGAGTGGAGCATGTGCTGACCAAGGAAGTGTGCATCAGGTAAGACCAGCGCTGGCCTGTGGGAAACACTGCCTAAAAAGCAGAGTCCCGGGGCCCCTAAGGCAGTCTCCACAGAGCGAGCACAGGTGGGTCTCGGCAGAGTCCCTGAGGCTTCCAGGAGCTCATCACAGTCCACCTTTCTGTTCACCTCGTTTGCACAGGAACCCCAGTCCAGTCAAATGCATGCCCTCACAAGCTGTGCACTGTGCAGACACTGTCCCCACTGTCTGAAATGTTCTTCCTTTGTTATTCTGTTTGCACTGGGCTCCACCAAGTCCCACCTTTCTCTACAAAGTAGTCAGGTGCGCTCCAATTCTCCTCGAAAAGAATGCTGATTGCACTGACTTGTCTCTACCTCGGTCCTTTGAGGGAGGTCACCCTTACGTTATTTTTAACATATATATTGTCTTCAAAACCCAACCTTAAGCCAACGTAGGGTCAGATTCACATTTTCCTCTCTGGGTTCCTAACTCAAGAGTTCACACACGATAAGCATAATTTGCTTTGGGAGAAGAGAAAAAACAATAAAATTTACAAAAAGGATATTGCTGAAACCTTGTCAATCATACTTTTGTAAAAAAAAACTACCAAAACCTTGCAGCAAGTTAATCTAAATCTTCCTTGTGACTTTATAAAATCATCCTGGTAATATCTTACATTCTGACTAGTAGAAAACCTGTGGTTTACCACTTGAGAGAGCATGCACAGAATCAATTTTCACAACACTCAGGCCGTTATAAGGATGGTTTAAAAAAAAAAAACCACATACGCTTCTTTTTTCTTTTAAAACAAAAACCACATAAGTGTTTCTTAAAAAGAGAAATCACCAAAGTTTACAACTGTCATGGTAGTATGTACTAAAAACAAAAGATCCTCAAAAAGCCACACCCCCAAATTAAAGTTAAGAATAAAATTCTAGCTCATTATTCATAGAATATTGTATAACTACAAACTTGACAATGAATATTTTGGCACTTAAAGAGCCTATTACTGAAATGTGCCCTAAAACACAAGAAATTTAGCCATCACAATATACTAAAGAAAAAACTTTTACAGTAATGTGGGAGGAAAAACAGACTGTATTCCATTAGAACTACTGTCCCAAATATCTGGTTCTAGAAGACCCAGGATTCCAGAATGTCACTTTATATAAGAAATGTCCAGGGAAATTGTTTATTAATTCAAATTTTAGTCAATCAAAGAATAATTTAACTGACTTTTAGGAAACTGGCTTTTTTTTTTTTTTTTTTTTTTTTTGAGACGGAGTTTCGCCCTTGTTGCCCAGGCTGGAGTGCACTGGCGTGATCTCGGCTCACCGCAACCTCCACCTCCCAGGTTTAAGTGATTCTCCTGCCTCAGCCTCCCAAGTAGCTGGAATTACAGGCATGCGCCACCACGCCCGGCTAATTTTGTGTTTTTAGTAGAGACTGGTCTCCAACTCCCAACCTCAGGTGATCTGCCCGCCTCGGCCTCCCAAAGTGTTGGGATTACAGGCGTGAGCCATTGCGCCTGGCCAGGAAACTGGCTTTTAAAGGAAACTCGTTGTGGTTCTTCTGTAGGGAGGCAGATAACAGGCCCCATTACCCTGGCATTTCTCTTCTCTATGACAGGGACACCCTGCTTTAAAGGAAGCAGGGTCAGCGTCAGCTCGCTGCCTACTCCCTCGCCGCCAGAGGGAGGTGGGCTGGACTCAGTAAAAGGAAAACCACGGGGGCTGTCACTGGCACGCCACTCCACAGTACTCTTAGGAACAAAGCACTTTTTCCATCTTTCCCTGGGCCACTCAGAAACAACCAGAAAGAAAAGCAGCACATGTTCTCCAGGCAGCTGCGGGGTCTTGAGGAAGGATGATCAAGAAGAATGAGAGGAATGAACACGTAATACACAAAACAGGGGAGGGTGGCAAGATGGCACAGACGAGATGGAGGAAGATGAGGAAGACTGTGCTGTGCTGGAAGGGTCGCTAAGGGTACAGCTCCAGCCAGAGGGGACAGGAGACTGAAGGGCACTTCCTAGCTGTCCGAAACTGAATGACACACCCAAAGACCACAGTTTTACCTCTAAAATGACAGGAAGATGGTTGAAAAACGGGAGGGAGGTTCATCCTTCTTACTGCCTGAAGCCTACAAATGGCAGGGAGCCCCAGAGCCCCAGGCGGACCTCCCAACAAGCAGGGATCGCTGCGTAACCAGCCGTGCCGAGGGCTACAGACAACCTAGACAACGGCAAAACGACTGGGGTGATCAGGATGCAGCAGCCCTAGGGCAGAGGCTCTCACTGTGAAGCAGAGTGAACGTTTAGTTATACAAAGAGTTCTGGGGACCATAGCTCCACGTAGAGGGAAACCTTCATAAATGTCTGTGTGGGATTTTATACTGACCCAGACTGACTGACAGAGCCTTCAAAATTTACTTCAGGATAAGGGCTTTCCAATTCCAAAAGAAGTATCCCCTCTATCCCCCTCCCTAAGACGTCACTGCCATTATAGCGACATGGAATTTAAATTCTCACGTATGGAGTAACTGTCAGGAAATACCATGTCTTCGTGTTGGCTCAGTGAACAAAGTGACTCTGCTGTTCCATGCTGCTTCAAGTGCATGTATGCAGGGGGCAGGGAGAGGGAGAGGCAGTGAGTGAGTCAGGGTCCAACATTATCACAGCCGTTCCTGACACGGAGAGCCCGCCTGCCCTCTGAGCTTGGCTGTACCTTGGGCTGCTGTCCGCCCTACCTCACCCTGCACTCCATGGCTCATAACCCCTGCCCACTCCCTACCTACTCTCTGAATTTTCTTTAGAAACAACTTCTATTCTCATCTCCAAGCTTCTCTGCCCCCGTGCTCACTTACTTTGTTGGTTTCGCTTGTCACTGGCATTTTTCAAAGGGAGGCAAACAGGACAGTCATGTCGTGTGCAGTTCTTCCAATGAGAGATGATTTGTCGTGAAGATGCACAATGGGCAACTATGACCAGAAAAACAACGAGATGTTATTTTTCTATCCAAATCGTCACACTTTCAATTATACCTAAATTATAATGCCAGATTCCATAAGAAAATGGTAACAAGTGTAACCATAACACAGTATAGGCAGTCCTCAACTTACAAACAGGCTGTTTTCCAAAAAGTTTGTAAGTTGACTGTTGAGAAATCCAAACAAAACTTCCCCTAGAAGCAATGTTATGAAGGATGGGTGATAAAGGGCAGCCCACAAAACAAAACAAAAACTATTCAACCTGGAATAGCGAACAACTGCAATGAAAGGTAGAACAAATAATAGTTCTGTGATGTCACTATTTAAAATAAAAATGTTCAATTATGTTTCAAGATGAAACCACCTAAATACTACAGTGAAGAAATACAGATAGAGAAGCAAATGAGAAGTCTGTAGAGATTCTGAAAGGGACTCTGGGCACTTGGTGAAGAAGTACTCGAGAGGCTAACTGACCCTGGTTATTCCGTCTTCATCTTCTAAAGGTCTAACCTTACCCTTCTCTGCTTCTCTGTTACAACAGGGTTACTCTGGGGACTCACAAATGTCACAACGGGAGACGGGGAGACCAGGGGGAGATTCCCCTAAGTTTATGAGCATAAGCAGAGAAGGAAAGAGAATAAAGATTAAAGGAAAGTACAGCTGTTAATAAGAAACACTTCCTTCGGTAGAAATGAGGTGTCTGCGGTAAAAGGGGAGACAGAGGGCACGTGAAGTGCCTAGTTCACCACCCCCCCTGGGATGATACAGTGCATAGTTCCCCATGTCACTGCCAGTCACCCAGGACAACTTCGCTGTCATCCGCACTTGCCTCAAGACACAGGACAGAGGAGCAAGGCCGCAGGCCACCAAGACAGATGTTGGGATGCAGGAAGGGCGTGTGCCTGCACGTGCCTGTGCTATGTTCATTGCCCCAAAAGAAAACCACAATCTAGACATTCACAACAAAGACAGTGCTCAAGAAGTGACCAATGTCTTCCGTGACAGAGGAAGGAGGAAAAGAACAAATACGGGGCACAGCTTCAAGCAGCAGAAGTTCACAGAGTATCAGAAAACCAAATCGCCTTTCTCTTCAGCAGATAAGACTTCCTGGAGCACCTGACTGTCGTCGCGTGGGGAACGTGAGCGCAACATGTCTTGCCACACCCAATGGAAGGCAGCACTCAGGCTGCCGGAGCCTTATGAACCAGAGAGCTGCTGTAAGAACAATAAAGGCAAATTCTTCCTGACCTCTACCACTAGGAGTTCCAAAAACAGCACTTACCTTGGCAGGCTTTCCCAGCCTGACAATGCGTCATGTGATTCAAAACGTTTTTCATGGTTCGACAATGCGGGAGCGAGCAGGCCCGAACCTCTCCGTTTGCTTGCTCTCGTCTCTGACACTTATGAGCATGAAGCAGTAGAACCAGCTGCTGCTGTATCAGTTTGCGTTTTTCAGGATCTGCAGTGGGGCCTGTTGCAATTGCTTGTGTGGGTACAATTCCCACTGATGTTTGCATCTGAGACTAAAATAAAGCAAAATAATAAAAATACTTTAACCTCTCAGAGTTCCAAGTCATATTCATTAATTATTTCTCAAACAAAAGCAAAAGCTGATGGATAATACCGACCACAGAGAGAAGGCTGGTGTAGTTCTCTAACCCACTGATGACTTTAAGAAGATCCAGCAGCACAGAAATCAACCCAACTCAGCAGCAAGGCTGATTCAAGTTCACTTGTATACAATTATCATCCAAGCAAGACAATGGCTGGCTCTTCACTGTAGCAACCAAAATCCAACTCACTCTACAATATACACAACTACAGGAAAAGCTGTGTACTATACCAGCTGGACCATATGAAACTGCTGTTTCTGTAGGTCCCAAATGGCCAAACACTGGCAATTTCATAGGGTACAACCTAATTAAAAAGATTGCCAAGGCCTGGCCGAGCGCGTTGGCTCACGCCTGTAATCTCAGCACTCTGGGAGGCCGAGGCAGGCGGATCACGAGGTCAGGAGATCGGGACCACCCTGGCTAACACGATGAGACCTCATCTCTACTAAAAAACAGAAAAAATTAGGACTATAGGCGTGGTGGCGGGTGCCTGTAGTCCCACCTACTCGGGAGGCTGAGGCAGGAGAATGGTGTGAACCCGGGAGGCGGAGCTTGCAGTGAGCTGAGATGGCGCCACCGCACTCCAGCCTGGGCGACAGATCGAGACTCCGTCTCAAAAAAAAAAAAAAAAAAAAAAAAAAAAAAAAAAGATTTGCCAAGGCCTGACCAATTGCAATGTACTACAAACATTTGATGTAGCAAAAAGAATCAGAGCCACCTTTTGGATTTCATTATCACATGACTAGAAGGACAATGCGTGCAGCTTGATTTCACAGCAACCATTACCTCTCCTAAAAGAATAATGACAGTTAGCCTTAATACAACCACCCAGTGCAATGGGAAATGCATTCTTGTCCTATGCTTTGTTTTTCATTACAATTTCCACTCAGACAGCTGACAATTTTTAAAGATTTGGTGATCTGCTAAAAATACAGAAAGGGTTTGCTTTCAGTTGCCTGAAATAACAAGCCAGACCAAACAAACCTTTTAACAGCAAGGCAAATGGAAAAGGGGACCCATAGAGTCTTCTTCTTTACAAACTATAAGCATTCTTCAGATAAACTTACTGAAAAAGACTTAGGCAGTAAGAGAAGTGTTCCTAATGTGCAACAGTATCATCCACAGTTCCGGGATTTCCAATTTTCTCTAGTACTCTGATATTTCCAGCTTGCTTCCACGACCCTCATTACCTCCCCTAAAGTACGCCACTCGGATTTTTTAAAAATGTATGAATCAAAACTGTATATTCACAAAGAGGAGAGAAAACTATACAAATAATTTTTAATGAATCAAAGCTCACTTTTAAAAGTTTATAGAGTTTTCTGTTTTGATTTTACCTTTATGAGAACTAGAAAATAAGTACGTAGAAAAGCTGGGTGGCTGGGCTTGGGAGCAAAACTCTTGGAAGTCTGAGAAGGACCCAAAGCAATTCTGAGAAGGACCCAAAGCAAAATCAGCATCCTAGCTGAGAAGCAGAACACCATGAATGCAGGGCTCAACTCCTAAGAGAAAATAGCCTCTTATGTTTATTTTTTCCTGATTATAAAAGTATATATATACACTGCAGGAAATTTGGAAAGCTAGAGAACTACTACAGAAATAATTAACAACAATTAAAATCCCATTATCCAGGAGTCCACTACTAAAGCGTTGATAGGTTTTTTTCCCTTCTTTTTTCTATATAAATGTTTACGTATGAACCATAATCAATAGAGCCTCGTATCTCCCCTGCAACACACATGTTTTGCTTAGTGTTTTTTCCATGTTCTGCCCCATACCACTAAACTGTCTCAGATAGTGGGCTGGAATGACTTGTAATGAACAGCATGTTACTCTTTTAACTTTATACTCATTTAACTAGTTCTTGTTATGGGGCATAAACTGGAATCCCTGGCCCCTCCTTTATTTTTTATAACTGTAAATAAAGCTTCAGTAAGCAAACAGGCCTTGAGCTGCCCCTGCAAGCATGCAGTACTGGTGTTAAGTCCACTGCTCAACTGGCTTATCCCTGTGGATTGGAAGGTCCATCGAGAAATCAACAGGAATGGAGATATGGAGGAATGGGAGAAACACAAAATGAGCCTCATTTAGGACTCTTTCTTTTACGTTTATGAAAATTTCAAACATACAGAAAAATGGAAAGGAAAGGATATCATCCTTACACCTAAGAAAAAGAACCATCCTTCTTGGGCATCAGCTAATACTGAGTCATATCCCAATTTCTCTGGTTGTCCAAAACATGTCTTTTAGAGCTGGTGTTCACAAATCAGGACCCCAAGAAGGCCCACATCCTGTATTTGGTTGTTTTTAAGGTTCTTAATCTATTGTATCTTCCCTTTTTTTACTCCTGACACTACCTTGTTGAAGAGACCACACAGTTGTCCTCTCACTGTGTCTTAAAGTACAGAAATATCACATACCAAAAAAATTATATAAAAATTAGGCAAAAAATTTAGCTCTACAAGTAAATTATAACCAGACTGTTCTTAATTCACCAACAATTAACACACTGATTTCATTTGGGACTTAAAAATATTCTTTTTTTAAAATTTCAGAGACAAGGTCTTGCTATGTTGCCCAGGCTGGCCTCCTGGGCTCAACTGATCTTCCCACCTCAGCCTCCCATGTAGCTGGGATCACAGATGTGTGGTGCCACCTAACTGGCTTGTACTTTTTTTTTTTTTTTTGAGACGGGAGTCTCACTCTATCGCCTAAGCTGGAGTGCAGTGGCGCCACCTCAGCTTACTGCAACCTCTGCCTCCTGGGTTCAAGCGATTCTCCTGCCTCAGCCTCCCAAGTAGCTGGGATTACAGATGCCCACCACCACGCCTGGCTACTTTTTGTATTTTTAGTAGAGATGGGGTTTCACCATGTTGGCCAAGCTGGTCTTGAACTCCTGACCTAAAGAGACCGGCACACCTCAGCCTCCCAAAGTGCTGAGATTACAGGCATGAGCCACCACGCCCAGCCTGGCATGTATTTTTAATAGTGTCTTTTGCACTACACCTGACCATATGTCAAAACAGGATGGTTGGAAACTATATGGCAAATTTAAAATTTGTTCTGTTATTTGTCTACCTCTGGATGGAGGACAAATGCACAGTTTAATGAGCTCTACATATTGTTTACAACATGCATCTCAAAAGCCATTCTGAGGGTGAATCAACAGTGGAATGGAAAATGTCTTATGTCCCTGTCTCTGTCTTTCCCCATGGAATTCTGTATATTTGTCTGGGACTAGCTTAGTTTTGCAAAGTACTTACAAATACAGGGGCACACTTAATTTCCTCCTCTCCCAGGCTGGTGTTCAATGAGCCATGAGAGTTAGATGTGAACTGCAGGTGGCCCCCAAATCTGTCAGAAGCATCCTTCAGACTTTCCCAACCTCCCTGCCCAGTTCCCACTGGCAGGCAGGCACTGAGGATGGAGGGAGAGTACTTCGGAACCTCCCTTTAAAGCACAGAACAAAGCCATCGTGGTGGAAGCTGCCCCAAAAGTAATCTACGTTTTGTGTGATTTTGTTTTTCTAAGAGCCAAGAAAATTTTGAAAAACAGTAAAAATAAAGGGGCAATCTATATTGCCAGATACTGAAACATACTATAAAGCTAATTTCTTTACTTAAGTCCAGAAACAGACATAGGTGTATATCAAATTAGCATATAGAAGTCCCCCCTTATCCTCAGAGTTCAGGTTCCAACTCCCAGTGGATGCCTGAAACTTCAGATAGTACTGAATCCTATATATACTGTATTATTTCCTATACACACACCTATGATAAAGTTTAATTTATAAATTAGGTATAGTAAGAGATTAACATTAACTAATAATGAAATAGAACCATTACTAACAATACACTGTAATAAAAGCTACATGAATGTGGTCTCTCTCTCTCTCTCTCTAAACACCTTATTGTACTGCACTCACTTATTTTGTGATTGCTGGTAAGTGAAACCCCAGAAAGTGAAACCCCAGATAAGAGAGGACGATTGTCTCCTAAAGGTGGTGCTTTACATTCAAGAGTGGTGAGGCATCTTTGATCCTTATCTTCCCTTTTATTTAAAAAAAAAAAAATTCACATGAACTAAAGTGAATAAAAATGGCTTAAAATGGAGAAAAAAATTTAAAAACTTTTAGGACATGAGGATGAGAAAGCCTTCTTAACATAAACACATAATGGAGTTTAAAAAGTGAAAAACTGCGAGCAAATTGGTTGATCTTTTATGCAAATGCTCTCAGGAAAGAAAGGATACTATCCCACTAAAAAATTGGGCAAAGAAAATGCAGACACCTCACAAAACACAAAGAAACGACAAATACAAAAATGTTCTACACCTTGGTGCTGAGGCAACACAAGGGAGGGAGGGATCGTTTCTCAATGACAATGAGGAGGAGCACAGGCACTGGACAGCCCAGGCAGAAGGATGCAGGCAGCCTCCTCTCTACCTCCCACTCAAAAATGAACTCAAGGTGGAGCAAACACTTCAACGTAAGAGTGACAATCGTACCATTCACAGAAGAAAACCGAGAATAAATCTTCACGACCTTGGATTAGGCAGTTTCTTACTACGTCACCAAAAGTGCAAGTGATAAAAGAAAAATAAACTGATTTCATAAAAAATTAAACTTTTATGCTTCAAAGGATACCATTACAAAATAATGAACTGTGAAAGTGGAAAGTGAAAGAGAAAATATTTGCAAATCATAGGTCTGATAAAGCACTTGCATCTAGAACATATTTTAAAAACTCTTACAACTCAGTAATAAAAAGACTAATAGCCCAATTAAAAAATAAGTGAAAGCTCTGAACAGTTATTTATGCAAAGAAGATACACGAATGGCCAATAAGCACATGAAAAGATGTTGAACCTTATTAGCCATTAGGGAAATGCAAGTTAAGACCACAGTGAGATACCACTTCACACCCACCACATGGCTATAATAAAAAGTCAAATGCTAACCAATAGCAACAGGGTGGCCAGGACGTGGAGAACCTGGAATCCTCATACATTGGTGTGGGAATGTAGAAGGCAGCAGCCACTCTGGAAAACAGTCTGGCAATTCCTCAAAAGGTCAAACATAAAATTACCACATGACCTCTGCAATTCCTATTTTAGGTATACAACCAAAAGAACTGAAAATGCACGTTCACACGAAAACTGTAAAAAATGTTCACAACAGCCTTTTACAAATAGCCAAAAAGTGGATACAATTCAAATGCCCATCAAGTGATGAAGGGAAAAACAAAACACGGTGTATAACCAAAACGGAATATTATTCAACCGTAAAAAGGGAAGTAACCACACATACTACAACATGAACTCCGAAAACATGCTTCGTAAAAGAAGCCAGTCACAAAAGACCACATATTCTGTGATTCAATTTCTAGGAAATGCCCAGAATAGATACATCCATGGGGGTAGAAAGACTAGCGGTTGGCTGGAGATGGGGGTTCAGGGGAAATGGGGAATAACTGCTAATGGTACTAGGTTTCTCTTTGGAGTGGTGAAAATGTTTCAGAATTGACTGTGGTGATGGTTACACAATATACTAAATACCACTCAACTGTACACTTGAAGCAAGGACTATATGGTACATGAATTATATCTTAAAAAGCTGTTTTTAAAAAGTTCTTACTAATCACTAAAGGAATAGAAATAAAACAATGAGGCATGTTTAATCTATCTATATGGCCAAGATTTAAAAAATGCTAATTGGTATTGATGAGGATATAAAGAAATGGCAATTCTCAAGTACTCTGGCAATTCGGTGTAATTTTGGAAAGCAACATGTATCAAAAAGAAAAACATGCATTTCTTTTGACAGTAACTCCACTTCTCATGATTCATTGTTAAGGAAGTAATTGGACAAGTATGTTAAAATATGTGTGCAAAGATAATGCATCACATTCTGATTAAATATTGAAAACTGGAAAAAATTCTAAATGTCTATTAAAGGTGGACTAATTAAACATCCTATGGCTACAGACTTATAATGAAACAAGAGGCACCCATGAAAAATAAGGCAGACCTCAAATAACCCCTGTCAAAGCCATGTGGAGCAGGGGAATGGGCCAGCCAAGCCCTGTCTGAATTTGTGGGAGAAAACATCCAATGACTGTTATTTAAGGCAACGAATTACTAACAACAATAAGGCAGACCTTTATGCTTTAACAAAAAGCTGTTTAAGTGACTACTATTTTAATACCAAAAAGCATTCCATTTTGGGGGGAAATTCCCGAGAAAACAAAATCAGACGAATCAGTAAGAAAATGATGAGGAACTAAATATAAAAAATTAAATTGTAAAAGTATGGGAAGGTAATTAAGGTGGGTACTTTGTTACGTAAAGGCAGTAAAGGCTTTAGTCACAGAACATAAAGCAGTGTTCCTCACTATTACCAGTAAAAATTCTTTTTATTTTTGGAGACAGGGTCTCACTGCTACCCAGGCTGAAGTGAAGTAGTGCAATCATGGCTCACACAGTCTCACCCTCCTGGGCTCAAGCGATCCTCTCACCTCAGCTTCCTGAGTAGCTGAGATGACAAGTGTGCATCACGACGCCCAGCTAAGTTTTAAAATTTTTTGTAGAGACAGAGTCTTGCCATGTTGTTCGAGCTGGTCTTGAACTCCTGGGCAGAAGCAATTATCTCGCCTTGGCCTCCCAAAGTGCTGGGATTATAGCTATGAGCCATTGCACCCGGCCTTCCAGTAAAAATTCTTAAAATACAGATCCTCTCATTTTTCCCCTAAGAGACGAGCCTGCTTTGTTTTTTTAATTTAGACTTTTCCCAATTTTTCCAAAATTAACATATATGTGCCTTTACAATGAGAATAAAGACATTTAAGAAGCCAGGAGTGGTGGTACACCTGTAGTCCCAGCTACTCAGGAGGCAAAGGTGGGAGAACTGCTGGAGCCCAGGAGATCAATGCTATAGTCTCCCACGACTGTGCTTGTGAATTGCCACTGTACCCCAGCCTGGGCAACATAGCAAGACCCTGTTGCTAAAAAAAGACAAAAACAAAATCAAAAACATTGAGAAAAGAGAAAAAAGAACAAAAGCCCCATGGGCGACTCCAATGCAGGAGAAGACTGTACAATTAAATAGGTGTGAGAGGCTAGATTACATAAAGACTGGCATTCTTTCTATGACTAAAATCACTAGGAACAAGTGTAAGGGCCATTTATGAACTAGGAAAAATTAAATCTGAAAGACACAAGACAAAACAAATCATGATGGAGCTATTATTTTTTCTCCTCCCAGTCCATCTTTATTCCTCACTCTGTGCCAGGCTCTGTGTTCAGGGTCCAAGGTACAGCAGTTCATTGAAGACACACACATCCCCGAGGGAAGAGTACTCTGGGGACTAGCCACACACGACAGGTGAAGTAACTGAGGCCCCAAGGAAAGGGCCTTGCCTGGGTGATGAGCCAACCAACTAGCAGCAAAGCCCCAATCCTGCAGCTCTCTGTGCCCCTCCTCCACAGAGGGCTGACCACCTTGCATTATAAAGTGTTCTAAGAGAATCTGACAGGAAAACTGGTGAACAACAGGACCAAAGCAACTCAAATAAATGCCTATGTCTCTAAACATAAGCACTTTAAATCTTACTCATGAGAGAAATGCTCATCAAAGTAAGATGACATCATTTTCTCCTATTAAAGGACAGGGTGGGCTGGGTGCAGCAGCTCACACCTGTAATCCAGCCCTTTGGGAGGCCGAGGTGGGCAGATCACTTGAGGTCAGCAGTTTGAGACCAGCCTAACTAACATGGTGAAACCCCATTTCTACTAAAAATATAAAAAATTAGCTGGGTGTGGTGGCGCACACCTGTAATCCCAGCTACTCGGGAGGCTGAGGCAAAAGAATCGCTTGAACCCAGGAAGTGGAGGCGTCAGTGAGCAGAGATTGCGCCACTGCACTCCAGCTTGTGCAACAAGAGCAACATTCTGTCTAAAAAAAAACAGAAGAACGGGGTAACAGTCCCTAGCCTTGGGAAGATGGTGTGATGCTGGTAATCGGGTACATGGCTTTTGATGGAAAGCACTATAATGGTATCTGTCAGAAGCCTTAAAATATATGCAATATGTGTTTCTGGAGCGAGGATCATTTCACATGCAATTTGTAATGTGGAAGGAGGAGGTGAGTATGGTGTGAGAGCCATACTGGTTTAAACCTTAGTCTCCCCTGCCTGTTACTATTTTGAGCCACTGAGTAAAGGGAGGTTAACACAAAGCTCACTGAGCCCACTCACCCCACCCATCATCTTCACTCGGTTTAGCCACAGGCTCTTTGCATGTGTTGCTTATTACATAATTGGCAGCCTCAACCACTGTGTATACTCCACTGTCAAACTACCTTTAAAAGCAAACTCTTTATATTTACTCTGGTATTCCTTAATTTTTTTTTTTTTTTTTTTTTTTTTTTTTTTTTTTGTGACAGAGTCTCGCTCTGTCACCCAGGCTGGAGTGCAATAGCATGATCTCGGCTCACTGCAACCTCTGCCTCCCAGATTCAAGCAATTCTCCTGTCTCACCCTCCCAAGTAGCTGGACTTACAGACGTGTGCCACCACACCTGACTAATTTTTGTATTTTTAGTAGAGACGGGGCTTTACCGTGTTAGCCAGACTGGTCTCAAACTCCTGACTTCAAGTGATCCACCCGCCTTGGCCTCCCAAAGTGCTGGGATTACAGGAGTGAGCCACCGCGCCCAGCCTATTCCTTAAATTTTAAAAGAATCTAACATGCATTTTTATTAGGACTGTTATTGCTACATAGGTTTTGGGTAATTTAGCCCCAATGCCATTTTTCCTATAGTGCCTGTATTCTATGCTAAGGACATAACAGAGATGTGCATACAGAATGTGGATAATAACGCTTATCCTCACATTCCTCACAAAAAAATAAGTCATTTTTTACTGTGTGTCCAAGAGTAGGTTATCATGTCTTCAAAGGACCCTGTGTTCCAAACAGCAAGAGACTGACCAAGAAAGAACAAGGAAGGACAGTGTCACCCCTCTGTGCAGCCAATGCCCCGGATCCACACCAGGCTGGGATTCTTGCTGCTCGTCCTCAACCTTCCACATCGCAACAGGGTCCAAACCTATGCTCCTCGGATACTCCCCCACCCACCTGGAAACCTGACTCCTCCACAACCTCCACCTAGAATCAGAAAACGATACCAAAGCGAACATCAGGCAGAACAAGGGCTGGCTCTGCAATAACCACTTGCTCAGGTTCCCTCATAAGGACCTACAACAGCTGGGTATGCAAAGCTGTGGCGCCATAAAACAAAGAAAATGCTCATTAAATGTACACAGCTGCCAACCTGGGAAGAAGCGATAATCACCTCAGAGGTGATAAACTGGTAAGAAACACAACATAGCTATTTTCATAGAGGAAATGTTTCTTGTGTTTTCTTCTTTTTGCTTTGTGTTTATTGATTTTTTTTAAAAAAATAAGATTATCTTAAAATTTAAGATCTAAATTCAGGCCGGGCAAGGTGGCTCACGCCTGTAATCCCAGCACTTTGGGAGGCTGACGGCGGGGAGGGGGGGGGGGGGGGTGGATCACGAGGTCAGGAGTTCAAGACCAGCCTGGCCAACATGCCGAAACCCTGTCTCCACTAAAAATACAAAAATTAGCCAGGTGCGGTGGCGGGCGCCTGTAATCCCAACTACTCGGAAGGCTGAGGCAGGAGAATAGCTTGAACCTGGGAGGCAGAGGTGGCAGTGAGCCAAGATCGCGCCACTGCACTCTAGCCTGGGCGACAGATCGAGACTCTCTCTCAACAACAACAACAACAAAAAAAACAAAACATCTAAATTCAATAGGGAAATAATCCAGAATGATTTATAAGTAATCTTAAAGCTGTGATTTAAAGTAGAAAGCAAATGGCTAAGGGGAGCAGGAAAGCCTGAGCCCAAGGCCAAGGCTCAGGGTAAGAAATGTGGCCAAGGGCGAGGGACTTGCCACTCCCTCCCCACTCTCTTCCTGGACCCACAGCCACAGCCTTCAGAACCCAGCATTCTACCTAGAAGGGGTGGGAGTTACTTGTTACAGCACAAAGAAAACCTATAAGGTGGCCGGGAGAGGTGGCTCACACCTGTGATGCTAGCACTTTGGGAGGCCCAGGTGGGTGGATCTCCTGAGCTCAGGAGTTTGAGACCAGCCTCAGCAACATGGCGAAACCTGTCTCTACCAAAAAAAATACAAAAAATTTGCTGTGCATGGTGGCACGTGCCTGTGGTCCAAGCTACTCGGGGGCTGAAGTGGGAGGATCGCTTGAGCCTGGGAGGAAGAGGATGCAGTGAGCTGAAGACTACACCACTGCACTCCAAATGGGGTGACAGTGAGACCCCAGCTTAAAAAAAAAAAATCACCCGACCAACCAACCAAAGAAACAACAAAAAAGACAACCTGCAAGATAGAAGATAGAAGGCACCAGATCTATTCCTACGGTCAAAGTGACTGCTGGACCAGACCAGGAGTCGAATGACCAAGTTCAAGAGAATTACCAATTTACTAAAAACTTAAAGTTTTTAGAATACTCTTCTTGAATACTGTTGATATATACATATGTATTCTTCAAGAATACTTACGACATTTACAGGTTCTAAGGATTAGAGGGAAAAAAAGGAACATAAACAAAAATTTACACAATTTTTTGATAACTTGGCAAATTAGTTACTGGACAGACTGTCTTTTTGGTGACGTGAACCTCAGGGCCATCTCAAAGGGTTGTGGAAAAGGTAAAAGGAAGTTAGGGTGATTTGGGCTGTGCAGAGACTGATGTAGCTCACACCGCTCCAGAGGAAGTGAAGTATTATATTCGCATTACTGCTAGCTACGACTGACCTCACCCAGACCCATGACCTGTGCTGTTTACTGAGTTGTTGCTTCTTGCAGGACTACTGCGGTGTATTTACTCGGTTCTTCTAAAAGTCACTTCATTTCTCAGAAATGCCTGCTATCCTCATTATACACTTCCAGCAGGCAGGCAGAGGCTGCAATGCTGGCTGTTAGTAAGTATGCAGCACATCTTGTGTAGACAAAAAACAAAACAAAAAAAACCTTCTGGCTAGGCCTCCACTTTACATGAGTATCTTTGAGATGATTTATGCTTCCACCTAGGAGGTTTTGCTGAAGAAAGGATTATACTAATCAGACTCTAGAAAAGATACTGCTGGTTAATGGGAAACCCATACTGGAAAGTAAGTTAAATGACCTTGACTGAGGCCTTGTAATATGTGGGGCTACCCCTAATACCAAAGGACTCGCTACTTTCTCTCAATTTATAGTTTCTTCTCATTTGCAACACATCACGTATCATTATTTTGTGCTTAAATTATGTTTCCCAGCTGATACTTATTGCCAAAACCAACGGGGATAAGTTTGAATAGAAGATTTATACTTAGCGGCATTTGAAGGCCCTGCATACATGTTTTCTCAGTGATCTTCAAGATACAGATGGAGTCAATAGATGTAAACTCTTAAGAATACACAAACACTTAAATCACTAATAATTATAGACAAGGGCTTACTTCCAAACCTTCCCCACGTTTTCCAGTTCAATTAGTGAGACACAATTCATAATCATAGTGTAATTTTTCTATAGACACTGTTATGGTAAAGAGATGACATGACTATTCACCTGCCGTCTCCACAGAACTCTGTAAGGACTCTCTTTAGTCCTAGGATAGAGGGAGGTATTAGACAAGCAGTGATTTTACAATTTCTACTTGTGCAGTGAAAGGAGCTTGTGTATAATGTTAGGGAACACAGGCATTTGTGCAAGGAAACCAAAACTAAGAGGAGCTCATCAAAGACGACAACAGAGAGAGATCCTGGCGTTCACGAAGCTTAACCCTATGCAGCCAGTTTAAGTCTTGCTCCCTCAATGATCACAATCTAGACAGGGGACAGAAAATTATGAAAATATGACAAACAAGGTTGGGGAGTGGGGGAAGATTAGTGAAGCCTTCTGAAGTACTAAAGTGGACATGAAGACCAACAAAGTAAGTCCACTCCACAGTGGGACAGCTGGTCACAATGCCAATGGCTCATGGTGTCAGTGGACAGTGGCTTTCATGATCTTTATTCCACATCAGAATCACTAGACCAGCTCATGTAAAACCACGAGTTCCAGCAGAACACAAAGAACCGCAAGCCCATGTATTTAAGAATTATCTGAGTTATAATTAGAGGGAATTAGGTGGAATTGGGAAATTGAGAAAGAAAAAAGCTGAAGTTTCACAAGTTAAGAGTGACTACAAGACACAGATTCTGCACCTTCGTCCTAAGAGATTGTGAATCGGGAGGACTGGGTGAGGCCCAGGAACTGCCAGTCACTCGGATGCAGGTGGGGCCATGGACAGGTGCTGAGACACAGCAATGGAATGAACCCCTGGACACAGGGGGCCCTGGAGGGCATCCTAGCACATGGCTTGCCGCTCAGGTGCTACCAGTGTCACTGCCGCAGCTGTGATATTCTGGCAGGACACAGAAGACCACTCTCCCATCCTCCCGTCTACACAGTCTTCCAGCCACACCACCCTTCCATTCAGAGACGTAGATCAGCAGCTGCCGTGGGCCCTGTCCACAACCTCCACTCCAAAATTCTGAAACTCAGTCACAACAAATCGTAACATCACTCATGAGCAATTTTAAATAAGCAGCACTACTGATGAATCTCCTGCATCTCAACTTTAATGGTGAAGTCTCCATAACGCAGTTCTTAAAAAAAAAAAAAAATCACACCTACGAACTCCACATTAGAAATAACTCTTGCAGGAGACCACGTGGGAGAACCTGAAGATGAGGCCCCTCTGGTCACTGAATGTTCTCAGTCTAAGACGTATCCCACTTCTACACGGCATTTTGTGAAAATGTCAGAAAGCCCAATCCAAAGCTTAAGCAAGACGTCACCAAGAATCAGGTGGGTTCCACTTCCAGAAGGATCGCCCTTGAACTTCTCCTCCTCACTCAGCTAAAGTGGCTTCAACTTCCTGCATCACACCCCACCCTGTAAGCCGATGGCCCATCTTCCCTCCAAGGCCCCCTGAAATGGTTCCTGCTCAACCCCCAACTTCCACTCACGCCCTGCTCCCTTCCCTCATGGTGGCCTTTCTGGACTTCTACCAGTTCCTACGCAAGCCAGTGCTGTCCCAATACCCTGGGGTCTCTGTGGCTTCTTCTCAACTTTCCAATCTTGCCTTTAAATCTCCTTCCTCAATGTGGCCTTCTCTGATGGCTCCATCTAAAGAGGTCCCTATGACAATCTGAACCGCTGAGTGCTACGCAGACCTCTTGGAGCAGTTTGTAACGATTTGTTTTCCGTGGCCACTACACCTTCCATTTCACAAAAGTGGAGTGAGCTCTGTGTCACTCCCAGTTGCCTTCTGGGGAGCCGACTCCAGCACCTGAGCCCACAAAAGGCTTTCAACACATGTGACAAATTAATTGAATGATCATATCCTTCCCTTCCTCAATGCTACCCAGTGTTGGACTCCTATAGAAACTAGGAGGGGAGAGGAACAAGAGCTCCCTGGCCCAAGACCACGTGGCTAAATCACTCCAGGAAAGAGCTGCAGAGGGCACCAGGTGATTTGGCACTGGAGTCCTGACTGGGATTGTTTGGGACACCAAATTTAGTTGGGTACCCCCTAAAGCATGACAATAAATGCAAATATGTTTGACACCTCATTTTTTCAGTAAATAGACCTAGATTTCTTTGTAAGTGTTTGCCCTCAGTATGCAAAAGTCTGTGGGTTTTGAGGCCAGATATAATTTTCAAAATTCAAAAAGACTACAAAACACATCTGAGGAACTGCAGACAAACTGTGTAAGCACGGGCTGGTGAAGCATTCCCGGCAGGCTCAGGGCTGCAAAAACATGACCTCAGAACATAACTGAAGAGTTTCAGGCTTTGCAAACAGGAAGCTACATAGCTTTGAACAACCCAAACTCCTCAGAGTCTCAACTTGCTCAGCTGTAAAATGGGACCTGGAATGATGTCTCTCAAGAGGCTATTGCAGGAATATGTTAAAAATTACCTAGAAAGATGTTGGGGAGACCATGTGTGCTGGTACCCCACTTTCCCACCAGCCCCTCTGGTTCCTACCACTATGTGGAGCACTGAAGGCTGTTCCTGGGTCAGGCTGCCTCACAAAGGCACACGTGGGCACAGCCCCATCTGATCTGTGCCCTCCAGGGTCAGTGGTGTCATTCAGTTTACCCCCAACAGGCATTTGTGGATCTGTCTCAAAGTCCACAGGGGTTCTTGTGAGACAGTGGCCACCAGGCAACCAATGCAGTTCCCATGGACAAAAATGCTTTCTCAGTTTACCCTGAGAAGATCAGAGACAGACCAAGAAACAGGAAGAGAGGGAGAGAGAAAGAGAGGGGGTGGGGAGAGAAGGGGAGAGGGAGGGATGAAAGAAGGGGGGGGCAGCGGGGGAGAGAGAGAGGCAGAGAGGAAAAGAAGTGGTTCTACTTTTGTCAGATGTCTGGAAGACAAGCAAAAGGATGAGATGCTGTTGCTACTGCTTCTCCTAATTACTCTCCAGTTCTCCAGAGCAGGAGTTTTTAACTAGGGGCGACTATGCCCTGGAGAACATATGTTGGTGCCTTGAGCCATTTTTGATTATCATGGCTTAGAGGAGAAGGCTGTAAGCACCCAGTGGGTAGGGCCAGGGATGCTGCCCAACATCCTCTGGGGCACAACCGGCTCACAGCAGAGAACTGCCATCAGTGCAGAGGCAGAGGGGAGCCTGCCCCAGACCAAACGGCTCCAGCCCTGCTGCAGGTGAAGGGAATGAGCAGCCTCTTTGCAGTCCCGGGCAGAAACTGCCCTTGACAAGCATACCACATCTGCCAAGTTCAGCCCTCTGGAGCAGCAGTGGAGGCAGCAGAGGGGCCCGGAGCACAGATTCTGTCACTAAGTTGTAGATAAAGGAGAGGGGATGGGGAAGTGGGGCTGGAGAATATTTTAAAAGAGAAAAGGGAGCAAAATGTTAGGTCAGGGTTTCCCTGACTGTAAAACACAAGAAGTCTTGGAAAAAGCAAATGCTTTCACTATGAAGCCAAAATGTGCTCCTGGTTACTGAGCAGGCATAATCGATGACAGCTAACCCCAGAGTCCACACTACTGTCCTTTCGGTGAGGACTGGAAAAGGAAGCACAGGAGAGAACGGGATCTGTGTGGTGCCAGAGCCCAGCATTATGCAGGTCAGTACCGTTCCCTGAACTTGAGGGGCTGACCTAGGGTCCTCTGGGCTCTGTTTCAGGTTCTGGACCTGCACTATCAGGAACAGGACAATCCTGGCAACAAAAAGTTATTGGAAAGAAAGAAGCATATCAAGGAAAGTTACAAGGGGATTATCAGAAGAAATAAAGAAGTCCTAAGAACTTTAGGTTGTTTTCACAGTTTTGAGAGCAAGTTTTGTTACTTGTACATACCCAACCACCTTTTTTTTTTTTGAGACAGAGTCTTGCTCTGCCACCCAGGCTAGAGTGCAGTGGCGCGATCTCCGCTCACTGCAACCTCCACCTCCCAGGTTCAAGCGATTCTCTTGCCTCAGCCTCCTGAGTAGCTGGAATTACAGGTGCCCGCCACCATGCCCGGCTAATTTTTGTATTTTTAGCAGAGACGGGGTTTCATCATCTTGGCCAGCCTGGCCTCGAACTCCTGACCTAGTGATCCACCCGCCTCAGCCTCCCAAAGTGCTGGCATTACAGGTGTGAGCCACCACGCCCGGCCTCAACCACCTTTTTAAATGGAGGTACCATACAGCAGGGAGCCAGCACCTGACAGGACACCTCATTATTCCCATTTCCTGATTTTATCAAACAAGTAAATAAAGAGATCTGGCTCTCTCTGCTTCCCAGCAACCTCAAAACTTCTAAGCACTGTAAGCAATGTTAATTACTTAGTTTTGAGAAAAGACCAAGGTTATGTAAGATGCATCAGAGGAAGCTGGATGAGGTGAAAGATATATAGGAATTCTCTGTGCTATCTTTACAACAAATACTTCAAAATAAAAAGCATAAAAAACCGAAAGACAAAAAGCAACTTTTTCTGAACATAATCCTCTCACTTTCTTGTGATCTTCCCAAATCACTATGGCAGCTGGGAAGGTCAGGCTCTCAGCAACAAGCACAGTGGGGAGAGATGGCTGCTTGTGGTCCTCACCCACCACCAAGAGCACACCAGACATGCAGCACTGGGGGTGAACAAGAGAGGCTGGACAAAAGAACGCACTACCCCTCAGTGTTTTGAAATAAAAGAGATTCTATTATTTGGTGGTGCAAAAGGAGATATTTTCCCATTAATATCTTGATTCATCAGGTTGAGAAGTGATAAGGATAATTCCCATTTTATAGATTTCCCATCTATAAAATCCCTTCAAACCTCAGGGAGGATGAAGACACGTGGAATCATCTATTGTGTTGGACGTAATATGCATCTCATCAACAGAGTATTGTCTTTGGAAGATAAATGTCCATCATCTGACGGTAATACAAATCAATGGGCTTCTACTGACATCATCAAGCCACTAACAAACAGGAAGTGTAAGAAAAGCCAGTGTCTCTGGTTCTCATGATTCTGGAGAGAAAGGTAAAGTGATTCGTGCACGTGAATTCTCTCCATCAACAAAAGGAGCCTGGGAAGAGCGGCTGAATCATCCTCACCTATCTCTCCTGTTGCTAGCTCATCACAGAAAATGTTAAACTCATTTAGAGAGCTACTCATGAGAAATCTGGGTTCTCTTCCTATCACCTACTGACACACTTTTAGTTATAGACTTTCACTGTGAGAATGGTAAAAATCCACAGACCACAGCACCCACCGGAGAGCCATAACACTGAGGGCCAAGGGTAACTTACCATATTTGGCACGTTGGTGACTGAAGTATTCTTGATATCTGTAGGGAAGGTGGGCAAACTGTTGACCATGCTCTGTTTGCTGGCTAACTGGGGGTTCACTCCAGTGGCTCCCATTGGCTGCCCTCCAGCTTGACTAAAGGGCTGTCCAAATGGACTTGTGTTCCCAGTTATTCCCATCTGAAACAAAAAAGAGGTAACATCAGCTGTGGTGACGCAGTCAATATAAAAGGAAGGGCCTGGGAAATGCTCACACAGTTTCCTATGAAATACTCATTGCAATGATAAATTCAAGGTTCATTATCAGGTTCACATGCTCCAAGCAGAAGGCTCATGAAGCAGCTCCTAGCAGCCACTCTCTCCTCACCCTAAACCCCATCCCGCAAGTAGACGAGCTGTTTCCCCCCACCCTCAGCCACTCTCCTCACTCAATCCCTCCTGCCCCAACAATGGCACCAACACCCGAAGAAAGTCATTTGGAAAACAAAACCTTCCAAAGCTGCTACCCAAGGGGAATTCTTTCAGTTTAATCCTTAATTACTCTATAGGTATCTAGTTTCTGTTAGGTTCCCCATCAGATTTGAACTAAGTTTCCATTAGTTCAAAACACACAGTGGAAATATTGCAATGAAATGATACAACACCTGGGATCTCCTTTAAAATACACCTGACCCATGACCAACATGGGTTTGAACTGCATGGGTCTACATATATGGAAATATTTTTCAATCTCTCCTGCTCCTCTTCAAACTCCTCAGCCTCTGCCAACCAAGAGATCAAGACCAGCACCTCCTCATCCTCCTCAACGTGAAGACAATGAGGATGAAGACCTTGATGATGACCCACTTTCACTTAATGAATGGTACATATATTTTCTTTTCCTTATGGTTTTATTTATTTATTTTAATAGAGACAGCATCTTGCTCTGTCGCCTAGGCTGGAGTGCAGTGGAGCTGTCTCGGCTCACTGCCAACCTCTACCGCCTGGGTTCAAGCGATTCTCTTGCCTCAGCCTCCTGAGTAGCTGGTACTACAGGCACGTGCCACCAGGTCCGGCTAATTTTTTTGTATTTTTAGTAGAGACACGGTTTCATCATGCTGGCCAGGCTGTTCTCAAACTCCTGACCTCAGGTGATCCATCCACCTTGGCCTCCCAAAGTGCTCGGATTACAGGCATGAGCCACCGTGCCCGGCCCCTTACGGTTTTCCTAATAACGTTTTCTTTTCTCTAGCTTACTTCACTGTAAAGATACAGTATATAACACATAAAACATGAAATTTGTGTTAAGCAAATGTGTATGCTATTGGTAAGGCTTCTGATCAACAGCAGGGGATTAGTAGTAGTTAAACTTTTATGGAGTCAAAAGGTTACAAGCAGATTTTCGACTGGCAGGGTCAGCACCCTTAACCCCTGAGTTGCTTAAGGGTCACCTCTAATCCACTGGGCAGGAGGAGGTGGCAGGAAAAGGGCATAGATGGAGAGAGCCTGGTAAGGTACTGATAATCACTAACCAAGCAGTAGGCGATGGGTACAGAGAGGTTATAGTATCCTCTCTACCACTGTACAGGTGTAAAATTTATGTATTTATTTATATTTTTTGAGAGTGTGTCACTCTGTCACCCAGGCTGGAGTGCAGTGGCGTGATCTCGGCTCACTGAAACCTCCCTCTCCCAGGTTCAAGCAATTCTCCTGCCTCAGCCTCCTGAGTAGCTGGGATTATGGGCTCGTGCCATCACACCCAGCTAATTTTTGTATTTTTAGTAGAGACAAAGTTTCATCATGTTGGCCAAGCTGGTCTTGAACTCCTGACCTCAGGTGATCCGCCCACCTTGGCCTCCCAATGTACTGGGATTACAGGTGTGAGCCACTGCGCCCGGCCTAAAATTTTCCATAATAAAGTTTTTTATAAAATTAAAGTGCACTGAAATCAAATATATACTAGATAAAGGCAGGAATGGGAAAGAGGAACCCTCAGCTATGCTTCCGTGAGGGCCTGCAACCAACTGGAATTCCTTCCATCAACAGATGTGGGCCAAGTTCCCTGATGACCCCCAGCTCCAGCCTCCACAGGTCAATTCAGGAATTGCCATGGCAATATCCCAGTGCTTATCTTTCTCCCTGTGGAGAAACAACGACTAATTAAGAAACTGGATGCTTGGGCTGCCTGTCTTTGCTTTTTTGCAAAGCTCTAATATTCCACCTTCTGTCTATTGTGTGTTCTGTATTTCTGGAGTAGTGGTCAGTTTGATGGACTGGGAAGGTCCCCGCATAGGGAAAACCTCCCAGGGGTGAGTTTCCAGTTAAGAAATCATAGCTCAGTTCTCTCCATCAGCCTCACCTGGTGACTGCCACGCCAGCATGTCCACTCTGGGTAACTTAACATTCCTTCTATGGACTTCAAACTCCTCGCCTGTAAGATGAGTGTCTTGAACAAGATGGATCGTATTATTTCTTTCAGCTCTAAAAGTCTAGGCTACAAACAAATCAACACTCAACACAACTGGCCCTTTCTGCTGAAATGCCTGTACAGAAACACAAATAAAAACCAAAGGAGTATAACCAGAAAGTTCTAGCTCTGTGCATTTCATACGCAGGTGATTTCCTTCCCCATGTAGTCCTCCTAGGTGACATTTCTCACCTTTTGGAAAGCAATCACATTCTTGTCACCACTAGGTGCTCTACTTAAGTGAACTGAGACACTAATTCTTCTGCAAGTCCACAAACCAGACTCAATTTCGAGTTCAAATGACTTAATCTAGGCAAGATGGTAGCTCGATAAATATTAAGCACATTTCTGATTTGCAAGAAGCTTCCTTCAACTGTCATCTGAAACTTAATTGAAGCAGGAATTTATATTTTCAGAAACCACTATACTAAATTAATTCCATGGAACACTTACTACTCTCAGAATTTGTCTTATTACATATAACCAAACCGCTGAAACATTGTTCTTAGAAGCCTAGAATTTGAATACAACAACACGAACAACAACAAAAAATATAGTTTTTTTTCCCCCAGTTCCTAAATTTCTGACTTCGGACAAAATATGACAGAACACCCACACTCATTTTCCCTCGATCAATTCATCCTCGAAGTCAACTGGTATTCACCAAGTGCCTGGTATGAGCCAAGCCCAGTTCTGAGGCTGCGTAGATGCATTTCCCACTTGTCACGGAGCTCACACCTTATGTCAACCAATTTGACAAACAAACAAACAAAAAATCAACGTCTTTTGGAAGTTTCTAATTAATTAGGCCCAGCATTGACAAACCAAAGTGGGTGACAGCTGAAGGGGTGGGGAAGGGAACAGGTAACCATCTTCCTTCCACACCAAATGCCCAGGCACCCTGGCTCCAGAGAAGAGGGGACCTAAGTACCAAGAGGCCAGTGTGCTCTGTGGACCTCAAAGTTCACCTGACTTGCTTCAGAAAGTTTATTTCCAAAACTTCCCAGATATTTTGACAATTTTCCTAAGATAGCCCTGCCAGGGTGAGTATGAGTGTGTGATCAGATGGGTAATACTTGCCTGGCCTGGGGCCCTTTTCTAACTGGTCAATGTTGTTTAGTGTGTGTGTGTGTGTGTGTGTGTGTGTGTGTTTGAGACAGAGTCTCGTTCTGTGTGTGTGTGTGTGTGTGTGTGTGTGTGTGTGTGTGTGTGTGTGTGTGTGTGTTTGAGACAGAGTCTCGTTCTGTTGCCTAGGCTGGAATGCAGTGGCATGATTTCAGCTCCCTGCAACCTCCGCCTCCCAGATTCAAGCAATTCTCGTGTCTCAGCCTCCCAAGTAGTTGAGTTCACAGGCATGCACCACCACACCCAGCAAATTTTTGTATTTTTTAGTAGAGACAGGGTTTTACCATGTTGGCCACGCTGGCCTCAAACTCCTGGCCTCAAGTGATCCATACACCTCAAGCCTCCCCAGGTGTTGGGATTACAGGTATAAGCCACCACGCCTGGCCATAACTGGTCAATTTCAAAGGGTAACCCAGTGTTTGGAAGCGCTCTGACAGATTTCATCAAAAACGTGTTTGTACCTTTTCTTCTTGGCCATCAGATAAGAGAGTGAAGGAAACAGTCTCAACAAGTTTTTACCTTGATTCTCACAAGGTAAAAAAGATGGCAAGTCAAAGATCATGAACGGTATGTAAGGAACGTCCAGCTCATAGGGATCTACACAATTCTCAAAAATAGGGGAAAAAATTCCCGTCTTTAGCCTATGATAAAAACAAAACCCAGGCTACATGCAGGAGGTTAGGGTTCAAATCTCTGGCACCAGGGCCAGCCCCAGCCTCTCCTTATCAGAGAAAGTTAATAACCAGGCTAAAGAGGTCAGCTCTCTCACAGGGTATCACTGCTCATTGCCCAGGCAAGGCTACCTCCTGGTGCCAAACCACCTCCTGGCAGAACTCAAGAGCCATGCACTGGTCCTAGCCTGCAGTTATGAATAAAAACCATTTGCTTCTAGAGATTCTAGATTTCTGAATTCCTAGTATATATCTATTCTCCATTAATCAAACTGAGCACTGTGGTCCCCCACCCTAGGCTAACATATACTTCTTAGGACCAATGCCCAAAATGAAATACTAAAATCAAGATGTCTAACGCTAATTAATGAAAATCTACATTTCTTTAAACGTCCCAACAGGTACTTGATAATAGTTTGGTAGGCTGGGTGCTCATGCCTGTAATTCCAGCACTTTGGGAGGCTAAGGCAGGCGGATCACTTAAGGTCAGCAGTTCGAGACCAGCCTGGCCAACATGGTGAAACTCCATCTCTACTAAAAATACAAAAATTAGCTAGGCATGGTGGTGCGTGCGTATAATCCCACGATGAGCCAGAATAAACTGCTTGAACCCGGGAGGCAGAAAATGCAGTGAGCTGAGATCTTGCCACTGCACTCCAGCCTGGATGACAGAGGGGAGACTCCATCTCAAAAAAAAAAAAAAAAAAAATTTTTTTTTTTTTTTGTAAAGCTGGCTTTATTTTCAATGGAGGTTCATCAGGATTTGGTTTAATGCTGCTAGAGAACCTCTATATAATCTTTTAAAAAGTTTTTTCATTTTTAATTTTGGGAGGTACATAGTAGGTATATATATTTATGGGTTACATGAGTTTTTTTTACAGGCATGCACTGTGTAATAATCACACCCAGGTTAAATGGGGTGTCCGTCACCTCAAGCATTTATCCTTTGTGTTATAAACAATCCAATTACAGTCTTTCAGTTATTTAAAAATGTAGAATTAAATTATTTTTGAATAGTCACCCTGTTGTGCTAGCAAATACAAAGTCTTATTCATTCTTTTTTTTTGTATTCCATACACTCTTTTAAATAAAATTAAAAAAGCAGAACAGAGAATAGGCAACTGTTCAGTTAATAGTAAAATTTATATATTAACAAATTAAAACCCATAAAGTATTTATATTCTGCCTCATTCAACAACAGCCCATACATATTAGAAGTTTCTTTTACTCTGTTCTTCCTAACAGAACTCCTTTAAGCATTTAATTCAAGTTTAATCTCAGAAAATAGGAAAAGTTAACTATAGTAAGTACCCAAAAAAAGAACAAGAGCTTCCATAATGAAACTAAATTAAACAATGCCTCACAGCTCTCCCAGGTTTCCCATTAAAAAGCATTGTGACCAAGCGTATCAATCAATTAACTGTTTGAGAACCTACTTCTGTTTTCTATCACTTCACTCAGAGAGTAAAAATATGTAATGCATAGTCCCTGTGTATGATAAGAAAAATATTGAAGCCAGATCCTGAGGTTTCCCCAACTCCAACCACTGCCCCCAAGAAAGAATGGGGGTGAAACTGGATTAGCCTTAACATGACTGCAGTGTGAGCTCTGATGAGGAAATTCCTCTTTAAGTTCAGCTCAAAACCCAAGAACAATACAAAGAGGCACCTGCAGCAAATCCTGGTGCTGAGCCTAGCCCATCCATTAAATCCTGTGGCTGCGGGTCTGAACTGTCTGGCAAGTAGGTGAGTGACCATGATCAACAAAGAGGAGGGAAAAGGCAGACTGTGACTGTCCATCTACTCCAGCAGACATGGGTACCACGGAAAGTACAAAGTACCACACGGCTCTAGAGGATTATCTGTCACATAAATGTTTGTAATAATCTATCCTGAACCTGTTTTGGTCACAAAACTAGGATAAAACTTCTCACCTTCCTGGAACATTCTCTGCATCCCCTGCAACATACCAGGGATGCAGCGGAAGGACCCAAATGAATGAACACGCCAAAGCACCACCATGCCACGCAGCCCCTAGGAATAGAGCCAGGAAGGAGGTGGTCAAAGAACCACGAACAAGTGACCAAAGTCAAGGCACAAAGAGGGTCAGCAATGGCTGGAGGGGGCATCGGAAGAGGCAGCAGGAACAGTGCCCTTTCTATCTTCAAAACTTCCAAACAAGGATCTCAGCTACCAGTTGGAGTGGACAGGAGTGGACAGCTACTTTCCCATGCTGAAAAGTCGGGCAGAACGAGAACAGGCCTTCGGAGTTGGTTTTCAGAATGGTGAAACGGGTGTGTGTGATCACAGCAGATACACAAGTCCAGTCTGGCTATAAAATGGGTCCTCTGTGCTACATCTTTGGGCCAGGAAAACCCTGACTTTGGTACAAGGCCCCACTCATGCCCTTACCCAGAGCTTTCCACTTGCACACAGAATTACTGACCCATCAGCCTCCATGGTCACTTCTGGCTGCCAACAGCCTCCTCTGTTTACCTCAGTGTGTGGGACAAATACTATCATTTTCTACTTGTAATGATATGACAGCTATCAAAACATTAGTAAGAAAACAAGCTCCAGGCTCAGAAAGACCAGAAAGATTCTCTCCACTCACTAACCAGGAGAATCTCTCTACTACTCACCTAACTCCCCCTTCTCTCAAGTGAGATCTAGTCTCGTAAAAAAGTTAGTAAATGGAAATCCAAAAACTAATTAAGGGTTTAAGGAGAGAGAAAAGTCAAGTCAAGTCCTTCAATATCATCAGAAAAACTCCTGATATTGAAAAGGGGTTTAGACTGAAAGGTTATAGAAGAAATCATCAAAATAGAAGTATTTCCCCAGAACAGGTTTCTACAATAGTAGCAAGCCAAGCATCCATTTTCTGGCTCTTCTGTCGAAAAGGTCAGAGAAACACGTTCTTTGCAGGCCAAACTCCACTGGGGGGAGGCAATGGGCCAGGCAGTCCATGGGGGCAGGGGAGGGAGCATTTGGGTGGGCACCAGTTCACAATTTTGTGTGATGTTCATTTCTGAGGGTCACTCTAAGATCTCCTAAAGATTAAGAATACCTGTCCTTGGAGGAAGGAAACTTCCTCCATGCCCCTCATTTTCAGGGAAGGGCAAGCTGGTTCCTCATCTCACACAACCCTGAGCCATGTATGGGAGCCTTTGCAAATAGTCCACTTCCAGAGACATCAACCACTCATAAGAACAACCACTCCGACAAACAAACTCCCCCAGTTTTCATCTCCAAACGTCATTTTGAAGTGCACACTCACAAGAAGGGGTTGACCATAACCACTTATGAGTATGCACCTGAGGGGGCCACCATGTGACCAATGGGGGGCCGGGGAGGAGGACGGCCAGAAATGGCACTGCGACGCAGAACTTGACCTAGAGTCGGCCAGGCCATCAGAAACTCTCAGTGCAACAAGTGCCGAGTTTGATGTTTAGGTTTTCTTTTCTTTTTTTTTTTTTTTTTTTTTGAGATGGAGTCTCACTCTTGTTGCCCAGGCTGGAGTGTAGTGGCACCGTCCCAGCTCACTGCAACCTCTGCCTCCCTGGTTCAAG
Organism: Homo sapiens; assembly: GCF_000001405.40. NCBI lineage: Eukaryota > Metazoa > Chordata > Mammalia > Primates > Hominidae > Homo > Homo sapiens. The sequence continues at coordinate 3,818,410 of NC_000016.10, forward strand.
CGATTCTCCCGTCTCAGCCTCCTGAGTAGCTGGGACTACAGGCGCGTGCCACCACGCCTGGCTAATTTTTGTATTTTTAGTAGAGATGGGGTTTCCCCATCTTTACTAAAGACCACGTTGGCCAGGCTGGTCTCAAACTCCTAACCTCAAGTGATCCGCCTGCCTTGGCCTCCCAAAGGGCTGGGATTACAGGCGTGAGCCACCGCACCTGGCCTTAAGGTGGTTCCGAGGAGCCCACTAAGTCCATTTTTGCAGCAGCTGACTACTTCAGCAGTTTTCCTCACACCTCAAGACACGCCTCAAGCCACAATACACAGCAGACCACTCAGAGGAAGTGGGCTTTGGGGGGTGTCACTGATGCTGGTCAAAAACACACAAAAAGGAACCAAAATATGATGTTCAGTAATAAGCTTTGCAAAGACAAGTGGAGAAATAAGACTAGCTAAAACCTACCACTTTATAGGTGAGGAAGGGGCCCCCCGGAAAGGGCAGGGACACACTAAATCAGCCTGAGAACTCAGCAGACGCTCCCCACAGCCCCCACTAGAGGCTTCACCCTTGCACGGGGGCTCATCACCTCCCCGCTTAACGCAACTCTGTCTCCTTCAAGTTCACCGGCCTCACGCCAGTAGCCGGGACAGAGACAGGATCTGTCTATGAAAACAGGGTGGCAAAGTGCGGCCTGTGGGCCAAAGGCAGCCCAATGCCTCTTTCTGAAAAAACCAAATTTTTCTTATTGGAACACAGCCACAAATACAATTTCATCCATAGAGGCAACATGCCATTGCGGTCAACTATGTGGGCTCTGGGGATATCTGAATGGCGACTCCACCACTTGCTAGGGATTTACTTAAACCTCTCTGCACCTTGGTTTTATCATCTGTAAAATGGAGATCACAGCACCTCCTCTAAGGGTTGCGTGAGAACTAAACAAGTTCCTATATGCGAAGCACTAAGATGAGCAGCTGCGACAGTGAGTACTAGGGGTGAGGAGGTGAGAGACAGCTTTGGGAGCAATCATTCTACACTACATATGATTTCTTTCCTGACCATGCTTAAACAGTAATGAAATAAAGGAATGCTTTACAGAGAACGTGTAATGGTGGAGAGTGGTTCCAACATGTAGGACGATAGGGAGAGGCCGGCTGGGATTACTGGCATTTGGATTATGGGACATTTTCAGAAAAACACTGTGACAACAACAATCTTGTGCATTTGCTATTTGTAGAAATACTCTGAAAAGGCCATTATTTTCTAATTGTCCTGGTAAATCATAAGCGTTTCCAGTTTTCATTCTACATTGTTTTTTAGCTTTAAGAACAATAAACTCAGGGTGTTTATTTCAAACTTAAATCATAAGCAATAATGACATATGATTAAAATACCCTAGCCTAACATTCTTGGGTTAAAATTTAAACCAAAACATAGAAGAACTGAACATGAAAGAACACTCCCACGAAAAAAGAAATGGATGCAACTACCACTCATAAGCCAGCCACGACACAGCAACAAACTTCCATTTGATGTGGCTTCAGCCTAACCTGACATATTTTTCAAGCTGGAGTTTTTTTAGCATCTTTCTCCACAAGTTGGTATACATGTAAAACCACAAATTCATATAAGGTGTAAAAAAACAACACAGTTCAGTACATCAAGAGCAAAAGTTTGCTAAATAATTGAATAGCCAGAAATATTTATCATTTTCAATGACATAAAGAACCAGAACCACCCCAGACTACGGCCAGATCATTTGTAAAGCCAAAAGCATTTTCTCTTGGCAACCTACCATTGTTGGAAGAAAGCCAAGAAAAGCAGTTTTCATGGAAAGACATGACTGCATTCAGTTGTCTGCTATCACTCGCTTGCTCTTGGAATCCTTCCAGTATATCAACTTGGTAAATATAGAGTAAGGAGAAATACGCCACTGATTACAGTGCCACAGACAGCACTTGGCTGTCCAGGGTGCACCTGGGGCAGGAGAGTTGGGCTAAAGCACCTGGGCAGGTGAACAGCCCACCTTCCCCCTCAATTGAAGTCTTATGTGCTGCCAACCTGGAATGCATTCAGGAAAATGTGCGGCCCCCAGGTCTGAACATTTGCCCTGGAAGGATAAGTCCTAACTGGAAGACTAGTAACAAAGTATTTAGCAACTCTCACTGTATTTCATTTGGATAATGTCTTTCAAGAAGCATTCCTTGTCTTCTTGGGTTAAGATCCTCCCAGGCACGAGGATTGCTTGAGGCCAGGAGTTTGAGACCAACCTGGGCAACGTAGCAAAACCCCCTTCTCTACAAAAAATAATTAGCCAGGTGTGACGGCGTGTGCTTGTAGTCCCAGCTATTTCGGAGGCTGAGGTGGGAGGACTGCTCGAACCCAAGAGGTTGAGGATGTAGTGATCCATAATTGAGCCACTGTGTACACACACACACAGCCACGACCAGAATGTGACTTAGAAGAAGAGTGGAAATGCAGGCCTGTATCCTCACTGTTAGTCACCCAACTGCTCCAGAAACTTCTAGCAGTGAAACCGGCACCCTAATACTATTGGTACACCTTGGCAGGTCCCTACAGTTAGAGACGCTGGTTCCCCAAGGTGCAGTCTGCATTAATGCATAAGCAAAAACGACGGGTCAAGGTCACTGGAGAAACTATTTCTAATCCTGTTTCTGCCCCTCATCAGCCATGTAACTGGGACAAACCTCTTGGTCCCTCAGTTTTCCTTATCTATAAAATAGGAAGCATTTAGATTATCATTAGGTGATCTTTAAAGTTCTTTCTGATTCTAAAAATCTGATGACATTTTTTATTTCAAACCATCAGTGCTTGATTCACATAAAGGCTACACTCCTGGGAGATGTTGCTACTCGCAGTGAGTGACAACTGAGGGTTCTGAGTCTGCAGACTTAACTGTCAACCCCTGGACTGGGAGGCCCTCACCATGGCAATCCTCCCTGTGGGGCCCAGAGTGGATGGCCAGCAGCCTTTCCAGGAGACTGGGGAGTTCGTGGAGCAAGGTCTTCCATCCCCACTGCCCAGTGACTGGGATTCCATAGCCCCGCACCCTGGACACCACTTCCCAGAGTATTTTACACAAAGAACAGCTAATCTGAGGCAAAATGATCCAAGAAAAGGGAGATAAAATTTGAAGGCACTGTTTCTCCTAATTCTTTTAAGTCCTAATATTTTTTTTTAGGTAGAAGAGTAGACTCTCTTCAGGATTAAGTGCCCCTTTCATGCCAATCCAAGCCAACTTCACACGGGCAATGGAAAAAGAGGAAAAAAGAAGAAAAGGTGATAAAAAATGTGAGAAAAATTTTATTCTATAAAGACTGAATCTTGGCTGGGCGTGGTGGCTCACGCCTGTAATCCCAGCACTTTGAAAGGCCAAGGCGGGTGGATCACCTGAGGTCAGGAGTTGGAGACCCGCCTGGCCAATATGGTGAAACCCTGTCTCTACTAAAAATACAAAAATTAGCCAGGCATGGTGGCACACACCTGTAGCCCCAGCTACAGGTTTAGGCAGGAGAATCGCTTAAGGAGAGGCTTAGGCAGGAGAATCACTTGAACCCTGGGAGTAGGAGGTTGCAGTGAGCCAAGATTGCACCACTGCACTCCAGCCTGGGTAACACAGCAAGACTCTGTCACACACACACACAAAAGAGTGAATCTTTGTAAAGACGAAATTAATTTACACTGCAATCCAACTATGGCCCAGCGGGACAGAGGGCCTCAATAAGTCACCTGACAAAGCCACCCGATGTTTTCCCCAGACCTTCCACATAGAGCGCTCATGCAAGGCAGAGAAGCACCTTTTTCCACGGATCTACACTCCACTCACTCATAAAAAGGGACGTCAAGAACGCACAGTAAAGGAGGCGGCAATAAAGGAAGGCGTGAATGTGTATAGGTAACGCAACGGTTCAGAGAAAAGGAGAAATAAAGATCGGACAGAACTCACAAGGCTTTAAGACAGACAGCCACTGACTATTTCTAGTAAAATTTAAAGGAGAAAGAAAGATGACATTTCAGAGGACTGTGTTCCTCCTCTACTTTGGGGCAGGAAAACAGAACTAATTCTTGAACTGGGCAGGCCGTCAGCTCTACTGTGGGAGCAGGAAGAACAGCTCGTGGGATGAGCCCTGGGAGGTGACGTGAGGCTGCCTGAGGGTTCTGTGTCATCTCCTCATGGCGAATCTCCTGGACCTCAGTGGCAAGAGGAGGACTGCAGCAGCCAAAGAAGATCTTGCCCAGCTTATTAAATGCCATAAATCTAAAAGTGTAAAGCACACTCAAAGATATATTGTTATCAAAAATATGTGGCTCTACCTCTTAACAAAAGCTGAGGTGTACAGAGTCCTAACAAAAACATAATTAGCAAAGTAAAGTGCTCTTAAATACAGTCGTCCCTCCTGACTGGTGATGTCAGCGAGGAGACAAAACAGGGAAGGGTGCTGAGGGAGCCAGGAGCTGGCTCAGTCCGCTGCAGTCTCTGTGCCTTGTTTCGAGAGAATACACAGGAAGCGCCTAGAAAAGGGAGAGGGGTGAGGTCAACATAAGGAACCGCTGGTACCACAAAGGTGACTCTGATTACTGACAGAGAAAACGTTCCTTCTAAGTTACAAAATTAAAAAGAAAAAAAGGACACAAATGTATAATCCCCATAAAACACACACCTATACACAGCAAGGAGGACAGAACACCAAAATATTTCATAGTGATTTCTCTGGATGGCTTGTAAGCAAATGTTCTTTCTTAATACTTTCTATTATGACTCATATTCTCTATACAAAGCATTATTTTAAGGAGGAAAAGTTGTTTCTTAAAGTCGTTCTCTACTCAAACATTCTGAGTGCCCAAAATGGCAAGACGACCCTGTTAGGCTGCACAACTCTACTTAAAACATTAAACTGTCATTAAACACTGAATAAAACTAGGTAGATCAAACTGTTGGTGACAGAGATTGCCGCTGAGTGGTAACTGAAATCAAATTTGCCCTGGTCACAACGTGGCCGCGTAACCTGTCAAGCTTTGCTCGAATGCCTTATACCTGTGGCTAGAAGACATTTCAAGGAGCCTCAGCACAGGCCCACCACTCTCTGCAGGGAGGGCGGGAGGAAAGAAAATAGAAACAAACAAGGTCGACACCTACTCAGGACACAAAAAGCCAGGCGTGGCTCTAACAGCTTCTGCTTTTTCTCCTCAGACATCCCACGTTTGGCTCTTGGTACCACAAAGGTACAATGATCCCTGCTGTTTGAACTCTGGTTCAAAGTTTAGGCAGCAAGGGATGCCCCTTCATCCTGATCTATCTGGCCTGAGCTTCAGGGAGCAGCAAGCAAGAGACTGGAGCATGAGGGATGGACCTGAATGCATTTAGTTCCCAAGTTTCCATGGCAAGGCACACTTCTAGTCAGACAGTTCCTATCGAGCAGCAGACCTTCCCAGCAAGGAGACCACTAGGCAGCTATCACGTTGCCACCCGCCCCTAGCTCTCTTCAGCAGTGATGCTCTTATCTTTAGGACACTGGAAGTTGAAAAGGCTGTGGCAACACACACACACACACACACACACACACACACACACTCATCTAGGAACATGAAGTGTGTTAAAGTCTTTCAGGAGGGAGGTACTGTGCAGTGGTGACACACACAGGGCCACGTTCTCCCAAGCCAAAGGTAAGAGACACAAGCCACAAGGAAATCAGACATGTGCGGTTAACAGGTGCCACCAACATCGACTGCTAAATGGAGTTTCAAAAGGGAGAGGGGTCCTGACTGGGAGGCAAACAAGGGGGTCAAGAGCTGGGCCTGCAAAGGCGAGCTAAATGGTAACAGACACAGTTGACCGAGGCTACGCCTCTGCAACCTCATCATAAACAGGAATGGGGAAAAACACCTCTGGGATGGGCCTGGATAGCCATGAATCTTGCAGTTTCAAAGTCTATCTCTAATCAAATAATCTAAATGTCCACAAAAAAGTGGTAGGATGTGCAGCCACCTGGCTGGGGGTTAACTGACAGAGCTAAAGTGTTAATTAAAATGAACACGGAAACTGGAAAGCTCAGGAGAGAGCTGGTTATTCATACTGATGGTTAGTCACAGAAGGCAAGCACTGTCTCAGAAGAGCATCACTCATAACATCGACAGACAGGAACAAACGCTGCTCTGATCTCTGCATTCAAATCCTGATGGACTCAAGTCAAGAGTGATGGCCTCCCACCTCTGGCCACTCCCATCCCCACACGCCTTTGCCTCACCGAGCCCACACGCGGCGGCAGCAGCACGCCTAGGCTGAACCATACCCGGTCAACTTGGAGACTACAACTGCCAAGCAGGCCGGTGCTTCCCGTTCTACTGTAACTCTCTAAGCAAAATGTGCCAGGTTTTTAGGGGAGAAAACACACTCAGTCCCCTCCTTGCACTGTCCCCAATCTCTACGCCTCAATCACTCCCTGTGCCTCAACAGTGTGCCCACTCATCGCTGATATATACACTCCTGTTTGCCATTCACGCAGGGCCGCTCTAACTTGTGGTTTCTGGTTTAAATGGGATAGCACATGGGAAAATGCTCTGAAAACTACAAAGCACTGTGCAATCTTGAGGTGGCTCTAAGATCTCTTTGCAAAAATAGAGCACAGAAAATCTCTAACATGAGACAGGATTCTATAAAATGAACAGACTTTCTACAGTACTTAAAACAGGCATGCATCCTTACTACAATAATTTAAAGTCAATAACTGCAAGACAATGTCTAAAGTTGGCATTTCTCAGTATTATCTATCTCTTGCTTTGTTCTAGGAAGAGTTTCAGGTGGCTTGTTTTCCAGTTCATTCTTCATTACTTGGTAGAAAAACATGAAATGAATAATATGACTCACTGCTAAGGGCATTAAGTTTTTACTTAGTAAATAAAAATGCAATCCCTGCAATCACACTACTTCAGACCATGCGCCATTTTTTGAAAGCCACAAACCACAGTGCCACATTCTTATCCAAAAATATGTAATAATTACACAGATGTATATCTATGGAAGTATGGCCTTGGAATTGCAATTAGTTGATAAGCATTTATACTTGCTGGCAAGAAAATGTCACTGACATTCAGTTCCCAGCTCTAAGTGGAGGGCTCTGGACACTTTGCCTCAGTAGAGCACTCAGAAAAGGGGTTCAGTCCTCTTCTGACAAAAAAAAAAGAAAATGAGATCTACATCACAGTTAGAAGGCATTTTTTATCAAGTAATCAAAGATGATTAAAGATGCTGGGGGGAAACCTAATTTGTGAGTAACTTTGCCTTTATTTTAAAAATTACTAAGACAAAATCTCTTGTTTCTGAGATTCAGCCACACCATTTGAACCTCTTATAAGAGACAAAGTTTTCATTAAAATGTCATTGTGTATCTTCAAAAGCATAGAGAAAACTGTAACGGAAAAAAATACAAGGAAGAATTCATAATCATATGAACAGGTTAGAATAAATGAATCAAATCTTTATGTATGAATTTTAATACTGTTCTTAAAAAAGCAAGATGAGGCCAGGCATGGTGGCTCATGCCTGTAATCCCAGCACTTTGGGAGCCTGAGGCAGGTGGATTGCTTGAGCTCAGGAGTTTGAGACTGGCCTAGGCCACATGGCAAATCTCCATCTCTACAAAAAACAGCCGGGTGCAGTGGCATGAGCCTGTAGTCCCAGCTCCTCAGGAGGCTGGGGTAGGAGGACTGCTTGTGCCCCAGAGGCAAAGGCTGCAGTGAGCCAAGATAACATCACTGCACTCCAGCCTGGGTGACAGAGCCAGACCCAGTCTCGGCGGGCGGGGAGCAAGATGAATACATATCATGTAAAAGACACTTTCATTTATCCTGTTAAAATTGATTTCATTTAGTAAAAAACTATGAAGAGACAGATCTCCCACACTGAAGAAGTCTAAATAAATTATGTAGACACTTTGCCTAAAGAAGGTAGAATATAAACCCCCTATCCTTAAACATAGTGAGTCCTTCCAAAGAGGATGGCATGGAGGAGGGAAGCGGAGCATTACAGTGGAGAAACCTGAGAGGCACGACCTCAACCAGGTGGCTGTGGGCAGCATCAACCATAGTGGTAAAGTCACCATGACACAACGCACCCTCAAAGTGACGTGGTAAAAATGGCCCTTGGCTGCTGAGATCTTCCTTTCAAAAGCCCATAAGCCCAGTCTTACCATGAGAAAAACATCAGACAAATCTGTACAGAGGGGCATCCTATAATACACCTGACTCGTTCTCCTCAAAACTGTCAAGGTCATTAAAAACCAAGGAAAGGCTGAGAAAACGTCACAATCAAGAGGCGCCTAAGGAGACAGGACGATTAAAAGTAATGGGGTATCATGGATGGTATTCCACAACAGAAGGACATTAGGGAAAATTAAAGGAAATTTGATTAAAGTATGGACTTCAGTTAATCACAAGTATCAGTATTGGTTCATTACTTATGACAAACACAACACAGGAAAGGTAAGAGGCTAACAATAGGAAGTGCGTGGATGGTGGGGAGGAGATAAAGAACCCTGTTGTACTATCTTTTAATTTTTCTGTAAATCTAAAACTGTTCTCAACATAGAGTCTACTCAGTCAGTTGCACCGCCTGTAGTTTCATCTACTGAGAAAGTTGAGGCTTGAGGATCGCTTAAACCCAGGAATTCAAGGCTGTAGTACACTATAATTGAGCCTGTGAACGGCCACTGCTTGGGCAACATAATAGCAAGATCTATCTCTCTAAAAAAAATTTAAGTCTACTTAAAAAATGAAAAGAAAAAAAAAAACTATGAAGGAAATGTGATAAGTATCAACAGGCATTAATTCTAATGAAAACACAGATGTTGGTTATACTATCCTTTGTTCTTGTGTTGAAAATTTAAAAAACTCAGAACATAAAAATCAAACCTTTCCTTGCTACCATAATGTAAGAAAAATATTTTTCAAAAAGTGATCTTGCTTACTTTTTATTTTATTGATTGATTGACTGAGACAGAGTCTCACTCTGTTGCCCAGGCTGGAGTGCAGTGACGCAATCTCGGCTCACTGCAACCTCCCCCTTCCAGGTTCACGAGATTCTTCTGCCTCAGACTCCCGAGTAGCTGGGACTACAGGCGCCCGCCACCACGCCCGGCTAATTTTTTATATTTTTAGTGGAGACGGGGTTTCACCTAGTTAGCTAGGATAGTCTCGATCTCCTGACCTCGTGATCCACCCACCTCAGCCTCCCAAAGTGCTGGGATTACAGGCATAAGCCACCATGCCTGGCTACTTACTTTTTATTTTTTTAGAGACAGGGTCTCTCTGTAGCCCAAGCTGGAGTACAGTGATACAACAATGGCTGACTACAGCCCCGGCCTCCTGAGCTCAAGTGATCTTCCTACCTCAGCCTCCTGAGTAGCTGGGACTATAGGCACGTGCCACCACACCCAGCTAATTTTTAAAATGTTTTGTAGAGATGGAGTCTCACTGTGTTGCCCACACTGGTCTCAACCTCCTTGGCTCAAGCAATCCTCCTGCCTCAACCTCCCAAAGTGTTGGGATTGCAGGTGTGAACCACTGCACCTGGCCAAGATCACTTTAAAAAATAATGTTTAAGAAAATTAATTATGCTGGCCTCTTGCACATAGGCCAAGGCACATTTTTCTAGCCAGAAAAGCTGACTTCTTTTTTTTTTGTTTTGTTTTTGAGACAGAGTCTCTCGCTCTGTCACCCAGGCTAGAGTGCAGTGGCGCAACCTCGGCTCACCGCAACCTCTGCCTCCTGGGTTCAAGCTACTCTCCTGCCTCAGCCTCCCGAGTAGCTGAGATTACAGGCATGTGCCACCATGCCCAGCTAATTTTGTATTTTGAGTAGAGATGAGGTTTCTCCATGTTGGTCAGGCTGGTCTCGAACTCACGACGTCAGGTGATCCACCCGCCTCGGCCTCCCAAAGTACTGGGATTACAAGCGTGAGCCACCATGCCCGTCGAAAGCTGACTTCTTTATGGGTCTTACAAAAATTGCTTGGCTGAATTAGTATTTCAGATTAAGAGCCATAACCCAATCAGACCACAGGCAAAGCTTACAGCATACAAGGGTATGTTTCTAAAAAGGAATAAGCAGTAAATTCTTTCATTTGACAAAAATACTCCTGGGAAATTAGACTCACTCTCCAGGTTACCTGTTCTATAAATTTCGTGCATGGGGGAAAACCTGACCCACACACAGAAAATAAGGTCTTATGTATTTCACCATCATAGTTTGAATACAGCTGTATTACAGACAAAATGATGCAGTCGAAAAAAATACAGGCTTGGAGTCAATCACAGGTGGATTTTAAGTAAAATTCTACCACTTTCAAACATGTGTCGTCTTGAATAATTTTCTGCATAGGCAGGAAAGTGGTTCAGAATATTTTACTCCTTGTTATAAAAGACATATGGCACCCACCTCACAGGATTATTAAAAATGAGAAAAAGCAAGATCATGTTTGCAAAGCACCCAGCACAGTGCCCAGTACAATAGGCATGTCCTTTTCTGCTCTTCCTCTTACTGTTATTCAGGAAGAATAAATATAGTAATTGTTATCCTTGCTCATACCTGGATCACACTGAAATTTTATGCTATAGTCATATACATAATTTTGAAAAATGCAAAAAAAAAAAAATTACATGGTAATCAACATAAAAACCCTTAGATATTTTAACTTGGTGACAGATGGACAGCAAATTACTGTCTATGGTAATTTGTATAAATATAACTCTTTTTAAAATATAGCAAAAATATTTTGGAAAAGTTGGTCCTTGAAGTTATGATTTGGACCCATTTACATTAAGAATGTTAGATGTGGCACTTCCCAAGTTTCTACAGTGAACTTAATCCTCAGACGATTCAGAAGATGAGAGATAACGTTTAAAGTGTGAAATACACAGTCACTACGGGACAACCATTATATATCATAATGTTACGTTCACACCATTAAAATGGAGAGTATCTCCCAGTGCGACCACACACAACAATCACATCACCAACACCTCCTAGGGCTTACTGGAGCTGTAACTAAGTGTGCAGGACTACGAAGGAATTGTGAATTGAACAGATTCCAGAGGTGGCACAGTGCTAGAGACATAGAAGTTCTGATCAGTCGGAGTTTCAAGATCTTGCTGAACATCCCAGGAATTAAACTGAGACCCCAAGGCCATGTCTAAGGAACAGGGCTTCAAGACCTGCCCTAAGTTAAGTTTAAAAACAAGCTTTGAGAGAATCAAACTGATCTGAGTAATTAAGAGCCTGCCAGAACAAAACAAACTAATAAAGGACAATAAAACCCATATTCAACAACATTATCATCCACCATTTCCACTACACAGTCTAAAAGTACTGGACATGCCAAGGAGCAGGAAGATGTGACCCATAACCAGGAATTCTATATTTAAACAAACAAGACTGTAAATGAAACAGATACAGAGATGACAGAGATGTTGGAATTTGCCTCTACAAGAAGAGCAGGAAGGGAGAAAAAAAGGAACAAAACACAGAAGCAGCAAACAGAAAACAAATAAGATGAGAAACCTAAACCCAACAATTATCAACATTAAATATAAATAAACTAAACACTACAATTAAAAGACTAAGGTTATCAGAATAAATTAAATAAGATCTAATGCTACGCTGCTTACAAGAGACATACTTAAGAGACAAAGTTAAGAGTGGGCTGGGTGTGGTGACTCATGCCTGTAATCCCAGCACTTTGGGAGGTCGAGGTGGGCAGATCGCTTGAGCTCAGGAGTTTGAGACCAGCCTGGGAAACATGGTGAAACCCTGTCTCTACTAAAAATACAAAAAAATAGCCAGACGTGGTAGTGTGTGCCTGTGGTTCCAGCTACTCAGGAGGCTGAGGTGGGAGGATCACCTCACCCGGGGTGGGGGGCAGAGGTTGCAGGGAGCCCAGACTGCGCCACTGGACTGCAGCTTAGGTGAGAGTGACATCCTGTATCAAAACAAAACAAAACAAAAAGAGTGAAAAAAAAATGTGAATGCTAATCATAAGGAGTCTACATTAAATATGAGAAAAAGGAGATAAAGACAAAGAATATTAACAAAAACAAATATTTCATAATGATAAAAGGCTAAATTTACCAGAGGCATTACAATCCAAAATACATATTAACCTAATAAAACAGTTTCAAAACACATGAAACAAGTACTTACATTTTGTTCTGACTAAATGAAAAACCAGACAAACCTAAAATTGTAATTGTAGATTTTAATAATCCTCTCTTAGTAACCAATAGAACAAAAAAATCATAAGGATTTGAACACCATCAACCAACTTATTCTAATAGACAATTATGAAACATCACATCCCACAACTGTAGGATACACATTCTATTTTTATGAGACAGAGTCTTGCTCCGTACCCAGGCTGAAGTGCAGTGGCGCGATCTCAGCTCACTGTAACCTCTACCTCCTGGGGTGAAGCGATTTTTGTATCTCAGCCCCCTCAAGCAGCTGCAACTACAGAAGCGCACCACCAAGCCTGGCTATTAATTTTTTTTGTACCTTTAGTAGAGACAGGTTTCACCACGTTGGCCAGGCTGGTCTAAAACTCAAGTGATCTGTCCGCCTTGGCCTCCCAAAGTGCTGGGATTACAGGCATGAGACACTGCGCCTGATCATTCTTTTCAAGTATAGATAGAATATTTGTCAAGAAAAACCATTTGCTGGGCCGTAAGACAAGTCTTCAATTTCAAAGGACAACCACCATACAAAGCATGTTTTCTGAACACAGTGGAGTTAAAAACCAACAATAAAATATCTGCAAAATTCCTAAATATTTAAAAGCTAAACACACTTCAGCATAATCCATGGGTCAAAGAATAAATCACATGTAAAATATAAACATATTTTAAACTAATTTAAAAAATGTATTAAAATTTGAGATGCAATTAACAACAGTATTTGGGGTACTTTTTTATGTTTATGGATTTAAAGGATTCAAAGAAATGGGGAAATAAAAAAGATGCATAGGGTTTAAGGAGAAATTTATTGCCCAAATGTTAATATTGGAAAAGTCTAAATAACCAGTGATACAAACTTCTACCCCAAAGAAAAGCCAACATAAGCAGAAGAAAATAAAGACAGAAATAAATGACATAGAAAACAAACAAGAAAAGGCTGACAACAACAAAAGCTGGCTGTTTGAAAATATTAATAAAATGGACAAACCCCAACCTAGATCAATGAGAGAAAAACAAGAGAGCACACCAGACATTATTATAAATTCTATCCAAATTAAGAAAAGAGTACAGAGGCCGGGCATGGTGGCTCACACCTATAATCCCAGCACTTTGGGAGGCTGAGGCAGGCGGATCACTTGAGGTCAGGAGTTCGACACCAGCCTGGCCAACATGGCAAAACCCCTCCTCTACTAAAAATACGAAACTTAGCCAGGCATGGTGGTGTGCGCCTGTAAGCACAGCTACTTGGGAGGCTGACGTGGGAGAACTGTTTGAACCCAGGACGTGGAGGCTGCAGTGAACTGAGATGATGCCACTGTACTCCAGCCTGGGCAACGGAGTGAGACTCTGACTCAGTTAAAAAAAAAAGAAAGAAAAAAAAGAAAAGAGTAGAGAAATGTTATGAACACCTTCATGCCAAATCAATTCAAGAACTTAAAATGGATATATTACTCAAAAATACAAATTACCAAAATTAGCACAAGAAGCAGAAAATTTGAATAGCTAATACCTATTAGCTATTCAAATTTAAAGTAACTGAATCATAATTTTAAAACCTTCCCACAAGGAAAACTCCAGACCTGGATCGCTTCACTGGTGAATTTTATCAAACATTTAATGAATAAATAATACTAATCTTAAATGAACTTTCAGAACAAAGGGAACAATTCCCAGGTAACTTCATGAAGCCAGTATATTATTGTTATCAAAAACAAATAAGAACACTCCAAAAAAACAGAAAGTTATAGACCCATATCACTCATGAATATACCAATCATGCTTCGCCCAAAGACAAGGACATCTTCTGAGAAAAGTGTCATTAGGTGATTCTGGTCACTGTGGGAACTTACACTTTGGGTGTACTTAAACAAACCTAGATGGTGTAGCCTACTACACACCTAGGCTGTATGGTATAGCCCACTGCTTCCAGGCTACAAACCTGTACAGCTTGTTACTGTGCTGAATACTGGAGGCAACTGTAACAAAATTGTAAGTATTTGTGTATCTAAACATAGAAAAGGCACAGTAAAAATATATTATAGTCTTAAGGGGCCACTGTTGTATATGTAGTCTGCTGCTGACCAAAATTCGTTATGTAGCACATTACTGTGGAAGCATAAATCCTGAACAATATTTTAATAAATCTGATCCAGTAACATATAAAAAAGATAACACTCCACAATCAAGTGGGGTTATCTCACAGGAATGCAAGGCTGGTTCAACACTCAGAAAGACGTAATTCACATTCAAAGAAAAAAAAAACACCCTATGATTCATCTCAATAAATGAAAAAAGATGTGGCAAAATTCAGTAATCGCTTATGATCAAAAGACTCAGCAAACTAGAAACAGAATTCCTCATCCTAATGAATGATACCTAAAGCCTACAACTAACATTATACTTAACGAAAGGCTGAATGCTTTTTTCCCACAGATCATGAATAAGACAAGGGAAGAACACTGTCATTGGTTTTATTAAACATTGTGCTGGCCAGGCACGGTGGCTCACACCTATAATCCCAGCACTTTGGGAGGCTGAGATGGGCGGACCACCTGAGGTGAGGAGTTCGAGACCAGCCTGACCAACATGGTGAAACCCCGTATCTACTAAAAATACAAAATTAGCTGGGTGTGGTGGCGCAAGCCTGTAGTCCCAGTTACTCAGGAGGCTGAGGCACGAGAATCGCTTGAGCCCCAGAGGTGGAGGTTGCAGTGAGGCGAGATAGCACCACTGCACTTCAGCTTGGGCTACAGAGTGAGAGTCCATCTCAAAAGAAACCCAAAACAAACAAACAAAACATTGTACTAGAGGTCCTAGGCAGAACATTAAAGCCAGAAAAATGAATAAAATGCATACAGATGAAAAAGGAAGAAGCAAGCTATTTTTATTCTCAGACAACATGTCCCAGAAAATTCTAAGACATCTTATAGAATTAATAAGTGAGTTTAGCAGGGTTACAAGATACAACATTAATACAGAAACATTTATTATACTTCTCCATACTAGCAACAAATAATGGTGTAAAACCTAGGAATTAAACAGAAATGAAAACGAGAAACTAAGCAACCTGACTTTAATACTTACTGTAAAGCTAAAGTACAACTATGAAAGTTTCATCTATGAAACTTTTGTGATTGATAAAATTGACTTCATTAAAATTAAAACTGCCCCTTCAAAGATAATGTCAAGAGAATGAGAAGACAATCCACAGACTGGGAGAAAATATGTGCAAGAAACACATCTGATAAAGATCTATTTACAAAAATATATAAAGAACTCTCAAAACTCAACAATAACAACCTGTTTAAAAAATGGGCCAAAGACCTTAACATACACCTCATCAAAGAAGACACACAGATGGCAAATAAGCGTATGAAAAGATGACCCACATCTTATCACAGAAATGCAAATGACAACAATGGGATACCACTATTTGCCTATTAGAACAGCCAAATCCAGAACACTGTCAACACGAAATGCTGGCGAGGATGTAGTGCAACAGGAACTCTCATTCATCACTGGTGGGAATGTAAAATGATATAGACACTTTGGAAGACATTTTTGCAGTTTCTCACAAAACTAAGCATACTCTTACCATATGATCCAGCAATTGTGCTCACTGGTATTTACCCAAAACAGGTAAAAACTTAAACCTGCACATGGATGTATATGGCAGCTTTATTCATAATTGCCAAAACTTGGAAGCAACCATGAAGTCTTTCAGTAGGTAAAGGGATAATTGCCATGAAAAGACCCAGAGGAACCTTAAATACATATTATTAAATGAATGAGGCCAATGAGAAAAGGCTACACACTGTGTGACTGTAACTTTACAAAAAGGCAAAACTATGGAGACAATCAGTGGTTGCCAGGGTTTTGGGAAGGAGAGAGGGATGAAGAGGTGAAACACAGACGGCTTTTAGGGCAGTGAAAATACTCTGCATGACACTACAATGATGCACATCATTATACATTTGTCCAAGTCCACAGAATGTACAACACCAAGAGTGAACCCTAGTGTAAACTACAGACTTCGGATTATGATGTATCAATATAGGTTTATTGATTGTGACAAACTGTACCATTCTAGACAGCGGAGTTGGGGAGGATGTTGAAAATGGAGGAGACTATGAACTAGGAGAACAGGGAATAGATGGAAAATCTCTGTACCTTCATTTCATTGTGAAGCTCAAACTACTCTAAAAAAACCCAAAATCTTTAAAAGCTTTTCTTGGGCCAGGCGCAGTGGCTCACGCCTGTAATCCCAGCACTTTGGGAGGCCGAGGCGGGCGGATCACGAGGTCACGAGATCGAGACCATCCTGGCTAACACGGTGAAACCCCGTCTCTAGTAAAAATACAAAAAATTGGCCGGGCATGGTGGCAGGCGCCTGTAGTTCCAGCTACTAAGGGAGGCTGAGGCAGGAGAATGGCATGAACCCGGGAGGTGGAGGTTGCAGTGAGCCGAGACCACGCCACTGCACTCCGGCCTGGGCAAAAGAGCGAGACTCCTTCTCCAAAACAAAACAAAACAAACAAACAAAAAAGCTTTTCTTAAAAAACAAACTAAATGAATAGAAAAATAGATCAATAGAACAGACTAGAACAAAGGTACAGGGATTTTTTTTTTCTATGAAGGGCCAGTTAATAAATAATTTAGTCTTTGCAGATGACCTGCGGTTTCCATCCCAGATTGTTTTCTTTTTAAACAATCCTTAAAAAATATAAAACCCATCCTTACGTGGCAAGCCATATAAAAACAGGTCATGGGGCTGGATGTGGTTCATGGGCTATAGTTTGCCCTTAGACTACAGAGTCCAGAAACAGACACCTCCTTGTACAGTGAATTTCGTTGCTAGTTATTTATCTAAGAGAAATGAAAACTTCTATGCCCACAAAAAAAGCTGTACAAAAATGCTCACAGAAGATTTCTTCTTTTTTTTTTTTTTTTTTTTTGAGACGGAGTCTTGCTCTGTCGCCTAGGCTGGAGTGCAGTAGTGGGATCTCGGGTCACTGCAAGCTCCGCCTCCCAGGTTCACGCCATTCTCCTGCCTCAGCCTCCCGAGTAGCTGGGACTACAGGCGCCTGGCACCACACCTGGCTGATTTTTTGTATTTTTAGTAGAGATGGGGGTTTCACCACGTTAGCCAGGATGGTCTCGATCTCCTGACCTTGTGATCCACCCGCCTTGGCCTCCCAAAGTGCTGGGATTACAGGTGTGAGCCACCGCGCCCGGCAGAAGATTTATTCTTAATAGCTTCAAACTGGAAACAACCCCAATGTCCATTAATGGGAGAACGGACAAGCAAATTATGCTCTAGTCACAAAACAGAATACCATTTAGCAATAAAAAAGAACTAGTTCATGCCAACAACGTGGATGAATCTCAGAAAACAAGTTGTGAGCAAAAGAAGCCTTATAAAAAAGCACATACTATAAGTCATCACACTACATGATTCCATTACGTGAGGTCTGAGAACAGGCAAAGCAATTCATGGTTACAGAAATTAGCAGCTGGGCGCGGTGGCTCACACCTGTAATCCCAACACTTTGGGAGGCTGAGGTGGGCGGATCACTAGGTCAGGAGTTTGAGACCAGCCTGGCCAACATGGTGAAACCCTATCTCTACCAAAAAGAAAAAAGCCAGCTGGGCATGGTGGTGCACACCTGTAGTCCCAGCTACTCGGGAGGCTGAGGTAGGAGAATCGCTTGAACCCATGAGGTGGAGGTTGCAGTGAGCCGAGATTGCGCCAGTACACTCCAGCCTGGGTGACAGAGCGAGACTGTGTCTCAAAAAAAAAAAAAAAAGAAAAAAAAGAAAAAAAAGAAATTAGCAGTAATTGTCGGGGGATGAGTGGGGACAGAAAAAGGGAGGCATACAAAGGAACTTTCTGGGCTAAGAGAAATGTCCTGAATCTTGATAGGGGTGTGGGTTACATGGGTAAAGGGTTTTGACAAATATAAGATCTGTGCATTTCATGCTATATAAATTACAACTCCAAAAATAATCAAAGTAAAATAATAAAAATATTTTAAAAATATAGGTAGGTCTTTAACTCCAAATCTTAATAGCTACCTTTAGTTGATAAAGCAACGAAGATAATGGTTTTTCGTACAAGAACAGTCATGTGTTGCATAACAACATTTCAGTAAACTACAGACCTCATACACAGTGGTCCCAGAAGATTACCATGGAACTGAAAAATTCCAATGGCCTAGTGACGTAGTAGCTGTTGAAACTGTCATAGCATAAGGCATTACTCAGGTGTCTGTGATGCTGCTGGTGTAAACAAATCAATGCACTACCAGCTGTATAAAAGCATGGCTCAATTATGTATAGTACATAATAGCCGATAATGATAATAAATGACTATGTTACTGGTTTATGTATTTACTACACTTATTAGAGTATAATCCTTCTACTTTTTCTTAAGTTAACTGTAAAACAGCCTCAAGGCAGGTCCTTCAGGCGGTATTCCAGAAGGCAGCATTGTCATTATAGGAGATGACAGTCTCCCATACATGTTACTGCTTCTGAAGACCTTTCAGTGGGACAAGATGTGGAGGAGAAAAACAGTGATATTCATGATCCTGACCCTGTACAGGCTTAGGCTAGTGTGTGTGTGTCTGTGTGTATGTGTGTACATTTATGTTTTAGCTTTTAACAAAAAAGTTTAAAAAATTAAAGAACTGGCCGGGCGCGGTGGCTCACACCTGTAATCCCAGCACTTCGGGAGGCCGAGGCGGGCAGACTGCCTGAGCTCAAGAGTTTACGACCAGCCTGGGCAACATGGTAAAACCTCGTCTCTACTGAAATACAGAAAATCAGGTGGGCGTGGCGGCATGCACCTGTAGTCCCAGCTACTCGGGAGGCTGAGGCAGGAGAATTGCTTGAACCCGGGAGGCGGAGGTTGCAGTGAGCAGAGATTGCACCACTGCACTCCAGCCTGGGATACACAGCAAGACTGTCTCAAAAAAAATAATAATAATAATAAATAAATAAATAATAAAAAATTTTAAAATAGAAAAAGCTTATAGAATAAGTACAAATACGTTTGTACACCTGTACAATGTGTTTAGTGTTTTAAGCTAAGTGTTAATACAAAAGAATAAAAAAGTTTTTAAAAAACTGAAGTTTATAAAGTGAAAAGTTACAGTAAGCTAATTTATTACTGAAATTTAAAAATAAATAAATTTAGCATGGCCTAAGTATATAGTGTTTATAAAGTCTATAGCAGTGTACAGCAACGTTCTCAGCTGTCACATTCACTCACCACTCATTCACTCATCCACAGCAACTTCCAGTCCTGCAAACACCATTCATAGTAAATGCCTTATACAGGTGTGTTTTACACACACACCCGCCCACCCCTGCCACACACACCAGGATCTATGCTGCCCAGGCTGTTCTCCAACTCACAGGCTCAAGTGATCCTCCGGCCTCACCCTCCTAAAGTGCTGGGATTGCAGGCATGGGACTGAGTGTCTGGTCAGGTGTACTATTTTAAATCTTTTATACAGTATTTTCTACTATACCATTTCTATGTATAGAAATGTTTAGGTTTATAAACACTTAGCATTGTGGCACCGTGTTACAACTGCCCAAGTATGCATTACAGTAACATGATGTACAGATTTATAGTCCAGGAGCAACAGGGTACACTATATAGCCTAGGTGTGTAACAGGCTATGCCATCTAGGTTTGCATAACTACTCTATGATGTTCCTAGCATAACATAATCACTTAATGATGCATTTCACCCCCATCAAGTGACACATGCCTAAGTTACTCTTCAAGATGGTCCCCTGGGAGACATGTCAAATGAAAATCTTCATTGTTGTTATTATGCTAAACATTCATTCCGTTTGTGTTACAGAAAATAATCAGCCAAAAAGTTAACTGGAAATACTACTCCAACTTTGACTTTAAAAAAGATACATAATTATAGATAAAAGACTGGTAGAGAAAACATCAGGAGTATGTTTTCTTTAGCGCTAAGTATGACTGGATGATAGGCTTACAGGCAAGATTTTCTTTTCTAGACATTTCTGTGCTAATTTTGTATAACAAACATCAACTTTTTAAAAGTTGATATAGGATTTTGATCTGTTGCCCGGGCTGGTGTCAAATTCCTGGCCTAAAGCAATCCTCCCACCTCCGCCTCCCAAGTAGCTGGGATCACAAGAATGAGCCACCAAGCTCAACAGCTACTTTCACTACCAAAAAATGTTTTCGGAAAACATTAGAAAAGCAGTCTCATTATCACTTCAAATGTTGTGTGGCTATCTCAAATATTTTATGTGGCACAGCACCTCGCTAGTTCACTACTCAATATTCTCTGGAAGGTTTTCAGTAAACCTATGCATATACTAAGAATGTTACATACACCATCTCATTTAATTGGCATGCGATTCTGTAAGATAGAGATTATTATCCATTTTTAATTGATAGAACAATTCTCAATGGCAGCTACTATTATCCTCATTTAAAAGCCAAAAAAACTAAAACCCAGAGAGATTAAATAAGTTTCCCATAGCTAATAATTAGTGAACCCTGGATGTGAACTGAGTCAGCTTATTCCAGAGCCCACGCCAGGCTTGAAAGCAATTAGCCACTACATCTGCAGAAGGCAGTCTGAGCTGCCGCTATTACTACTGCTGCTGCAGTAAGTACACTAACTACTATGTGCGTGTCAATCCATTTAATATACATATGCAATCTCATTAAATTAAAAAGTTTAAAAAAGAAATTCATAAGGCTGGGTGAGGTGGCTCATGTCTGTAATCCCAGCACTTTGGGAGGCTGAGGCAGGCGGATCACCTGAGGTCAGGAGTTCAACACTAGCCTGGCCAACATGGTGAAACCCTGTCTCTACTGAAAATACAAAAAATTAGCTGGGCATGCTGGCGCATGCCTGTAATCCCAGCTACTCAGGAGGCTGAGGCAGGAAAATTGCTGGAACCCAAGAGGCAGAGGTTGCAGTGAGCCGAGATCACGCCATTGCACTCCCACCTAGACAACAAGAGTGAAACTATGGGGAAAGAAAGAAAGAAAAAGGAAGGAAGGGAAGGGGAGGGGAGGGGGAGGGGGAGGGAAGGGAGGGAAGGAAAGGAAGGGAGGAAAGGGAAGGAAGGGAAGGAAGGAAGGAAAAGGAAAGGAATGGAAAAGAAAGAAAGGAAAGAAAGAAAGAGAAGGAAAGAGAGAGAGGAAGAGTGAGAGAAAGAAAGAGAAAAGAAAAGAAAAGAAAAAAGAAATTCATGATTAATTATCATGGGAAGGTAGGTACATCCTGAATCATACATTCTATAGGACACCTATGATCATCTCTCATTAGAGTCATAATAAGATCCCTGAGCCAGTCCTAGGCTACTTAACATGTCTACTAAACAGCTGTGCCCACAGGAATTATATACATCCCACATTACCCTGTATTAATTCATGGCACTACATAGTTTCATTCTACAAACTATTTTTGTTGTGATCTTTTAAGAGGCCAAATTAAGATATGCTTAATATAAAATTCCCTTATTTCTTTGTGTTAAGAATCAGATGACTTCACGTGAAAAAGTGAAAAGCAACAGACAAATGTACAGTATTATTTCTCTTGCTATTAAATATTAGAAATTCCAGCCAGGCATGATAGTTTCACACTTGTAATCCCAGCACTTTGGGCAGCCAAGACGGCAGTCGGCTTGAGTTCAGTTCAAGACCAGCCCAGGCAACATAGCAACACCATGTCTGCATTAAAAAGGAAAGAAAAAGATGGTTGGAGTTCGGGTTTTCAGGCTCTTTCTGGTCTACCTTGTGGCAATTTGAGAGTCCAGCAACAGTTTCTGCTGGGTTTCAAAGATCCAGGAGAAGCTCAGTGTTGTGTTGAGACACAATGGACCCATCACAAAAGTTTAATCCAACCCTGGTCCCAGTCTTCAAAAATGCTCACTGAAGAAAATTCCCAGGACGATTCAGGGGCCTCTCAAAACTTCTGCTCTGAGATGTTGATAAAGAACCTTAGTAACTTGACTATCAACCCTAGTACCAAATTCTCTTCCCCTCTACCAGAAGGCTCACCCCAACAACAGTATACGGGAGCAATGATCCTCAGGGAAATCAGAGATGACTTGCTTTACAGGAGAAGATTTAAGAACACTCCTGTCTATGCAGAAAGAAAGGATGGCAAAATTGAGATACCTGTTACTCGGCAGAGTTCCTAGACTTGAACGAGAACTAACAAACACTGGGCTTAAGGGAGTTCAGAATGAATCAAGAAGTGGACATTTCAGATGCTGCTGCAGTTTCTGCATGTGTAACAGATGGGGTACTTTTGAGAGTGCTAGAATAGGGAATTACAACACTGAGCCACTTCAGCCATAAACCTTATTCTTGTACTTTTTTTTCTTGCTGGTAATTTTATGTAGCAGGTTGAGAAAGCTACCTTATGCTACAATAGACTATATATCAAAAATTTTGATAATGAGTTCTAGGATGTATTTTTCTTGTATCTTTTCCTTTCTACCATGATACTAGTGATGTATAAGGGGTCTGTGTAGTTTGAACGTATCTGAATAACTTCAGTATACTTCAGCTCTACTGCTTAATTTGACTCGAAGCCAAGAGGACATAAGCATCCCCATGTGTTTTAGAAGCCCAAAGCCAGTGAGATGAAACCCAACACCGAGAATTTGAAGCAAAGTCACTTGTGGGTAAAGAAAGCATTGGGTAGTTTGGCTACAGCGTAATAATAAGAAAAATTTGGGTTGCAATAAGAGGAAACTTTGTGCTCTTTTTACAATTTTTAGTACAAATAAAGGTGTATATAAGAGAATCAATTTTTTAAAAAAAATCAAAAAAATTAGCCAGGCATGATGGTGCACACCTATAGTACCAGCTACTTAGGAGGCTGAGACTGGAGCACTGCTTGAGCCCAGGAGTTCGAGGCTGCAGGGAGCCATGATAACGCCACTGTACTCTAGCCTGGGTGACAGAGTGAGGCCTTGTCTCAAAATAAATAAATAATATTAGAGATTTCCAATAATCTACCCAAAATAGAGAAGGTAGATTAGTCATTTCTTAGCCAACTTGGTTCTATTAATTCTTTACTGACTATATTCTGCTAATCCATTCCTTTAGAGCACAGATTCTCAGAGTGTGGTCCCTGACCACCACAATTACGGTCACCGGTGAGCTGGTTAGAAATGTAAATTCTCAGGTCCCAACCAAAATCTGCTGAATCAGAAACTTGGTAAGTTGGAGGCAGAAATCTGTCTTGACAAGCCTGCAGTGACTCTGCTGAATATTCAAGTTTGGGAATCACTGCTTTATAGTATCTGACCAAAATGATGGCTGACTGAGTACTGGGAGCTGATCTAATTTAAAACTTTTACTCCAGGAACACCTCCAGTCAAAAATCAACCCCGGGGTTTTCTGACCACTTTCTAAAAAAGACGAATATTCCAAAAACTTTATTCAAAAAATAAGCCCTAATCTGACCCCCTATGAAGATGGATTACCATACAAACTATTTTGGTCACGTTTCAGATTTGTTAGTTAAAAGAAAGTACTTAAAAGATTTCTAAGGTCACAAAAACAAATTCTTATCAACCTTAAAATCAGAATGCCTCCGGACCCCTTGACCCGAAATTACACCTTCCTCTTTCTACCAGCTTCTGGCTTCCTTCTGTCATCTCTGTGTCAAGCAACATCTCTCAACACCCGTAGCCAGGAAAGAGAGTGTCTGTACGGCTTCTAAATCCTACCTAAATTGGTCTTTTTTGCTTTCTTTCTAGAGGACAAGTGTATGAGTTATTTTCAGTAGAAAACAAGAACATGCTCCCCTCATAAGACGAAATGTTAAGTTTTGCTACTGTTGAAATAAAGAAATTGTTTTTTCTTTAAAAAACTCTTATCATGCCTTCTATCACAAAAGTAAACAAAAGAAAAAAATAGTAATATCATGTATTGTTAATATTGCCATGTTGTCAACAAGGGTCATGTTTTTCCTACTGTAAATATTTTCAGAGTCACATAAAATTAGAAATGAGATGGCAGTGCACGGTGGCTCATGCCTGTAACCTCAGCACTTTGGGAGGCTGAGGTGGGCAGATCACCTGAGGTCAGGAGTTCAAAACCAGCCTGGCCAACATGGTGAAACCCCGTCTCTACTAAAAATACAAAAAATTAGCCGGGCGTGGTGGCGGGCGCCTGTAATCCCAGATACTCAGGAGGCTGAGGCAGGAGAATCGCTTGAACCTGGGAGGCAGGGGTTGCAGTGAGCTGAGATCATGCCACTGCATTCCAGCCTAGGCAAAAAGAGCGAAACTCCCATCTCAAAAAAAAAAAAAAAAAAAAAAAAAAAATTAGGAATGAGAAGAGAAATAATCACAAACATCAAAAATGACAAAGAACTGCACACATTTTTGCACAGCTTTAAGTTAACAAATTTTAAAGATTAGATGAAAAGAATTTTCTACTAAAACAGAAACTGTAAAACTTACGAAAGAACAGGCTGCATTGCATTAGTGTTAACAGGCCTCTGGCCAGACCGTGTGGATGCAAGCCTGGTTCTGCCACTCACTGGCAGCCTCCACTTCTTAATCTGTAACATGTGACTTGCCTACCTCCTATCCTTTTTTTAAACAAAGATTAAAAGTTAAGTATCTTTTAGTTTTTCTCAAAATCAAAGCAAATTTAGACTTTACTAAATAAAAACGATACTGACCTAAGAGACTACTAAAAGCCTAAAAGAGCCAATATTTATAGAAAATAGCAATAAAGTTGTCAAAGATTTTTTTTTTTTTTTTGAGTCAGAATCTCACTCTGTTGGTATGCTTGATTGTAGTGGTGTGATCATGGCTCACTGCAACTTTGCACTCCTGGGCTCAAGCAATCCACCTGCTTCAGCCTCCTGAGTAGCTGAGACCACAGACATGTGCCACCATGACCAGCTAATTCTTAAATTTTTTTTAAAGATAGGGTCTCCCTATGTTCACAGGCTGGTCTTGAACTCCTGGGCTCAAGCAATCCTCCCACCTCAGCCTCCTAAAGTGTTGGAATTACAGGTGTGAGCCACCACGCCCGGCACTATTGTCAAAGATCTTCAGTCACTTCCTAGGGAAAAAAAGGCTTCAGGCCCACATCACTGTAAGGGTGAAGTCTCTCAATTCTTCATGTAATAGATAATTCCAAATCGATTTAAACTGTTTCACAGAATAAATATGAAAGACTTTCGGCCGGGCGCGGTGGCTCACGCCTGTAATCCCAGCACTTTGGGAGGCCGAGGCGGGCGGATCACGAGGTCAGGAGATCGAGACCATCCCGGCTAAAACGGTGAAACCCCGTCTCTACTAAAAATACAAAAAATTAGCCGGGCGTAGTGGCGGGCGCCTGTAGTCCCAGCTACTTGGGAGGCTGAGGCAGGAGAATGGCGTGAACCCGGGAGGCGGAGCTTGCAGTGAGCCGAGATCCCGCCACTGCACTCCAGCCTGGGCGACAGAGCGAGACTCCGTCTCAAAAAAAAAAAAAAAAAAAAAAAAAAGACTTTCAAACTCTTTTTGACCAAGTTAACGTAACACTGATATAAAAATTGACAAAGCACAAAAAGAGCTATGGATCAATTTCATCACTGATAAATGAGAAACAAAATTCTAAATGAAGCACTAGCAATTAAAACTCAGCATTAACTTTTGATTTTACAATTACAGAGATGGTTCAATTTGATATTATAAAACCTACACAGATAATCTGTCACATAAATAAATGGAAAGTGAAAAATCACAGGTTAATCAACATAGGTAGGTATCAAAAAGAAATTTGATAAAACCTAACATTTAGATATTATCATTTATTTTATGACGAACAGATTATGCCCCAATTTTAAAAGAAATATACTACTGACTACAAACCAAAGCTCACATTATTCTTAATAACAGAACACTAAATACACTTCCATTTAAGTAGGATACGAGACAGGGATGCCTAAGAGCATAAACACTGGCAAAAAATATTGGCAAGGAGAAAATAAAAGTATCAATAATGCAAAAGATGACTATCTCCTTGGAAAACTCAAGAGAATCTCCTGAAAACGTATTAGAATAATTAAGATAACCCCATAAAGCAGCCAGATTACCAGAGTAGCGTATACATAACATCTTTCCTATATTAAAATAGCCAGTTAGATAATGAAATATAACTCATCACCAACAGCAACAAAAACCACGTAATACCTCCAGAAATAAACTTAGTAAGAAAGATTTATTACACAGATAAAGAAAACCATACTATGCTTCCAAGCAACATAAGACCCCCAGAAAAGATAATTTATATGTATAAGAAGACTCAGGAAGTCACAAAACTGTTAAAATGTCACATCCCTCCTAAAATGACTTATAAAGTTGTAGTGAATCTTATAAATCCAAAATCCCAAAGATTTTTTGTTTTTAAAATTTGAAAAAAAGTCCTAAATTTATCTAACACAGTGGGGTTCTCAACCCTGGCTGCCATGAAAGTCATCTGAGGAACTACACACTATACGAATGTTTCTACCATATCCCCCAGATTCTAACTCAATTGCTCTGTAGTGGGGTTCAGGCATCATATTTTTAAAAATTCTCCAGATAAATCTGATAAAGTGTAGACAGAGTTGAGAACCACCTGTGTGAGAAATAACTAGTGAGGTCATATACTAAAAGTCATCACACAGCTAGGTTAATAGGTTTCTGGCACAGGAACAAGCAAAGGTCAATGGAACTAAAGAAAAAGAGTTCAGAAATTAGACCCAAATCCTATATGTTTGAAAAGAGAATAAAGTGTATACCAAAAACAGCATATCGTATCAGTGGGAGAAAAGATGGATTACCAATACTAAATAAATGGTACTAAGATGATTATAACAAGAAAAAATATATACTGCTGGATCTCTGTGTCTCACTCCTTATGCCAAAATAAATTGAGTTAAAGATTCAAGGAGGCCAGACACGGTGGCTCACGCCTGCAATCCCAGCAGTTTGGGAGGCTGAGGTGGGTGGATCGCTTGAGCTCAGGAGTTCAGGACCAGCCTGGGCAACATGGCAAAACCCCGTCTCCACAAAAAAATACAAAAATTAGTCAGTTGTGGTGATGCGCGCCTGTAGTCCCAGCTACTGGGGAGGCTGAGGCAGGCGGATCACCTGAGACCAGGAGGCAGAGGTTGCAGTGAGCTGAGATCATGCTACTGCACTCTAGCCTGGGCAACAAACTGAGACCCTATCTCAAAAAAAAAAAAAAAAAAAAAAGTCATGTAATAAGGAGAAAAATACAGGAAAATATTTCTTAATTTTTTAATAGGAAAAGCACTTCTAAAATGTGACATAAAACCTAAAAGCCATAAAGGAAATAAATGGATAAATGTGTTTCTATACAAACTGAAAACATATACTTGGTAAAAACATATTGTAAACCTATGTGACCATATTCCTGGTGAAACAGACTATGGCAAATAACAAAGGGGAAAAACATGTTTTAAGAGACTTAAGAATATAAATTAATGAGAAAAAATGACAAACAATTCAAGAGACAAATGGACAAAGATTATGAACAATCAGTAAAATACAACTGCCTATGACCTTATGAAAAGACACACTTAACAAAGAAGACAACTTGCTTAACAGAATGTCAAGTAAGTAAAAGGATGGTAATATTCAGTGTTGGTCAAGATTTGGACAGAGGCTCAATCACTCTTGATGAAGGTGTAATTTGCACAATATTTCTGAAGAGTATCTGAGATTATCTATGCTGATTTAAAATCTCAGTATCTTTTAATTCAGAAATTGCATGTCCAATAAATTATCTAGCAGATATGGTCACTCAGCTGTACAAAGATATATGTACAATGTGTTCAAAGCAAAACTGTGAAAACAGCAAAATACTGGGAATAACCTAAATGCTCAGCCTACATGGCACAAGTCCTTAAATTACGATATACCCAAATCAGGAATTCCTATTGTACCTATGAAGAATGACTGACAGCTACGCGGAGCATGGAAGAATTTCCAACTTGTATTGTTAAGTGGTGGGTGGGGAGGGGAACATCTACACTCACAAGAAAACGCTGTGTAATGCTACTCTTTATGTCTGGGGAGATAGCACACACATACCCACACCCCTCTCTCTACGCCTCTATACGCATACATCATCACTGGCAGGACAGATAAGAAATAATAGTTGCCTTTGGTGAGAATTTGGGAGAACCAAAATTCAAGAATTAAGAATTAACTCTCTGGTTCTTACTCTTAAGAGTATTTTTATGGTTGTTTGTCGTTAAACCATGTGCATGTTTACTTTCTAAAAACAAACTTTAAACAAGTCTGTGACCCATTAATTCTCCTTTTCAGAATCTAATCCATGACACATGTGTACAGGCATTGCTGCACTAGCAAAAAGTCAGAAACAATCCAAATGTTCATCCTCAGAGGATGAGATCAATAAATTATGATGTATCATATAATGGAATACTTTGCTATCAGTAAGAAAAAAAAATCTCTGTGCAGTGTCACAGAGGCCATCTAAGGTACACTGCCAAGTAAAACAGTAAGGTGCTTATGTAGTCTGGTTTCATTATGTATTTTAAATCTTTATCTGTAAGGAGGATGTTGCTCTTTTCCTACTATTTTAATTATTTCATAGGATATACTTCCTGTGTAATCGTTCTTAAAACAAAATTATCTTAAAAAAAGCGCCTTTTCCCTGTGCATCTTAAAATCTAGTTGGCTCTGCTATCGTAAGGTTCTAGAGAGGGAATGGTTTAAAATGGACTTGTCTCTCCCTCTTACTTTCTGCCCACCACTACTTGGTCTTTCATTCCACCCAAAGGCAACGACACATCTTTAAAAAAATGCACTCTATCCACCTCTAGTGGGCTGCTTTGAGATACCTATAGGAAACAAGAGACAACTGTCCCCAGCACGCTAACGAGGCTCACTTTCCAGTGACATCCACGAGTTGCTGTTGGAAAGAAAGACCACTCTGTATAAAGGAACCCCAGGATGGAATGAAAAGCCTGGGTGGACAGAGAAGCATGAAGTGTTACAGGTGTAATCAGCAAAGTCCAACTTCTGGAAGACACTCTCCAGGATAAATAGCAGACAACAACCAAAACATGTTTCTTCAGTAAATTGTAAGGATCCCACAGACCAACAGAGAACAGATTCTTAAGAGGCATATCAACTAACTGAAATGTAGATTTTGAGTAAAAATCTATAAAAACTACTTATAGGCCGGGCGTGGTGGCTCACGCCTGTAATCCCAGCATTTTGGGAGGCAGAGGCAGGTGGCTCGCTTGAGGTCAGGAGTTCGAGACCAGCTTGGCCAACATGGTGAAACTCCGTCTCTAATAAAAATATAAAAAGTTAGCCGGGAGCAGTGGCACGCGCCTGTAATCCCAGCTACTCAGGAGGCTGAGGCAGGACAATCACTTGAACCCAGGAGGCGGAGGTTGCAGTGAGCCCAGATGGTGCCACTGCACTCCAGACACTGGGCAACAGTGAAACTCCATCTCAGAAAAAAAAAAAAAAAATTACAACATATGAGACCACTGGAAACGTGACTATTCTGTGGATACTGGCTGACATGAAGTTACTGTTAAATCTGTTAACATGTGATAATGGCTTTGTGTTTAGGTGTACAAAGTCTAACTT
The DNA here is from genome assembly GCF_000001405.40 of Homo sapiens. NCBI lineage: Eukaryota > Metazoa > Chordata > Mammalia > Primates > Hominidae > Homo > Homo sapiens. The sequence continues at coordinate 3,848,309 of NC_000016.10, forward strand.
CTACATACATGTTATCAAAAGCTCTTGAAGTGCAGTCCAGGGTCCCAGACCTTTCAGGGGGACCATGATGTCAAAACTATTTCCATAAAATCCTAAGATATGATTTGCCTTTTCCCTCTGATTCTCTCCCAAGAACACAGTAGATCTAGTTTTCTAGTTACTTTGTGATGTGTGATTCCACTGCACTGGACGGATGATGAAATGTGTTTCAATATTCTGTTTTACTATTTAATATAGTAAATATTGAGAGGTATACTGCACATGTTAAAGAAATCTCTTTGGGGTCCTCAGTAATTGTTAAGATTATTCAGGAGTCTTGAGATTAAAAAAAAGTTTGGGAATCATTGCTTTATACTATTATGTCGACTTCATATGATTTAAACTCTCCAGAATAGACAGAGTTTTAAAAGTAAGGAGTAGAGTGATGAATGAACTGGGAAAAGGAACAAGGATCAATCTCTCCAGGAACCATAAACCCATGAGAAATTCCTTCTCAATTGACACACTCATACAGACTCTTCTTAAAATGCCAGGTACAAGTAAAACTTAAGTTCACGTTCCTCTCTACTAACATTTCAAAAAAGACAAATGCAATTTAAACATTGAGCATTACTTCATCTTCATTTCTTAAGTTAAAAAAAAATCCTCTCGTTTCCGACATTCACAGGGTTTTGCATCCGTCACCCAACGCTCTCATCAACCTTCTGGGGAAACTGTGTTCTACTCTTATTCTCCCTCACCCCTACTTGGGACTAAACAAATCCAAAGAACAGCCCAAACTGATTTTCTGTTCTGGGATGTGCTGAATTCCACTGCCTGAAGACGTGCCTGGTGGCTGCTGTTGAGAAGCCTCTGGCCGCAGAGCATCCACAGTGTTTGTCACTTCAGTGGGAATAGGCTGCCCTTCCTTCTCTGTGCTCCTGTCAGTCCTGGGCTTTTCCAGCTGTCTCACATCTATCCAGGCATCTGCCTTCCCCCTTCTCCAAGTCCAGTTCCTACTCTAGAAGGCAGCTGCAAGGCTGGTGGCTGCAAATCCCAGTCCAGGCCTTTCCCTAGCAGAGCTCTTGGCCGTGTGTGTGTGTGTGTGTGTGTGTGTGTGTGTGTGTGTGTGTGTGTGTGTGTGTGTGTGTGTGTGTGTGTGTGTGTGTGTGTGTGTGTGTGTGTGTGTGTGTGTGTGTGTGATGTGCGTGACCTTGGAGCCACCTGGAGGCTGCTGCTTTTTTTTTTTTTTTTTTTTTTTTTCCAAGAGACAGGGTTTCGCCACATTGCCCAGGCTGGTCTCAAACTCCTAGAGTTGAGCTATCCACCCACCTTGGCCTCCCAAAGTGCTGGGATCACAGGCGTGAGTCACTGTGTCCAGCACCCATCTGGAGGCTTCTTAAAGCCCAGGCCCCACGCCGAGCTTCTGAGTCAATAAAGAAGTCTGCATTTCTAACAAGCTTCTAGGGGATGCTGCTGCTGCTGCTGGTCCAGGGGACCCCACTTGAAGAACCACTGCACTGGTGTTTCCTCTGGGACCCGAATGCCTGTGCTTCTCCCCGGCTCTGCCACCTCTTCCTTGTTAACATAGCAGGGAGTGAGCTGACAACCCTGGAACACAGCTTTCTCATTCAGTGAAATGGATACTGTGCCAACAGATACTTCACTGGATGGCCACAGAGGAGCATACAGACCAGTGATCACCTCCTCAGTGGGCAGTACACAGGCAGAAAGCAACCTCTACCAGGTTCACGGACACATTAGGCCCTGTACTTTCCAACTGCCTGACCTGCAAGCTGTCCTACTTCTTTAAGAATTCTCATTTTAAAGACAGAAATGGGGCAGAGATCTTTATCCTAGAAAGAAATCTGTCTCTTCCAAGCATGAGTGGCACGTGGAGAGCCCAAGAGGAAAAACAGGAGTGGGCCACGTGGTCCCATTTTACGCATTACTCGGAGGGAAAGCCCGCGGTTAGGTAGGAAGTATTGAAAGTGCTTCAGTTCACTTACCTTGGCCATGCCTCCTGCCTGTGCGGTGTTCAGTCCCGCGTGACCAGTCATTTGCGGGGAAACCTGCGTTAGGGTCTCAGCCAGCACGCTGCTCGAGGCGCCCTGCATGGCTGGAGTAGGGTACGGCATTCCAGCTCCCCTTCCTCTGCCAGCAGCCCCAAGAGATCCATTCATGACTTGCGCCTGCCCTTGTGAAGCCTGATTAATTAAGCTATGGCCAGAGTTACTATTGAGGAGGCCTGGGTGGGTCTGGTTAAAGTTAGCATTCATGCAGATACCAGGTCCAGTCTGTGACGTGGCAGGGCTGCTAGTCGCCAGCCCCACTTGCTTTTGTGCTTGCGGATTCAGTGCTTGGGAGGCAGCGGGGGTGGGCCCAGAGGTGCTGGCTGCCTGTTTAGGCAGGCTGGGGGCTGAAGAATCTCCCTGGCTCAGAGGGCTCTTGCCCATGGCACTGAGGCTGGCCATGTTAGCACTGTTCGGCTGCCCTTGAGCCTGGCCACCCAGGCCCTGCTGCACGGGGCTGCTGGCGCTCACATTTCCTATTCCTGGGTTGATACTAGAGCCGCTGCCTCCTCGTAGAAGCTCCGACAGTTGTTTATGTTTGGAAGCAGCATCTGGAACAAGGTTCCCACTGTTTAAAAGGCCTAATTCTCCTCCATTGGGTATCAGCTCATCAGGAAGATCATTTTCCAAGTCAAACAATGATCCAAAATCTAGAAATTAAACAGAAATGGAAATGAGAAACTAAGCAACCTTTACAGCTCTCCAACTGCCACGTTTCTATGATCTTAACCTAATGGGGCATTCAGCACGAACACTAGCATGTCTTAAGAGTCATGTCATTAGCTGGGTGTGGTAGCGCATGCCTGTAATCCCAGCTACTCGGGAGGCTAAGGCAGGAGAATAGCTTGAACCCGGGAGGTGGAGGATGCGGTGAGCCAAGATCACGCCATTGCACTCCAGCCTGGGCAACAAGACCGAAACACCGTCTCAAAAAAAAAAAAAAAATTAAAAAAAAAAAAAAAAAAAGAGTAATGTCAAAATGATTTACAAGTTTGTTTGGGAAAATAAAGAAAAAATACCCTTCAAATTCTGAAGACAGAAAAGTTAAACAGAGATGAGAAGGACAGCCCTACTATATTTATCATATTCTAAAACAATAATTAAATAGTGTGGTGTTGAGGGCAAACTCAGATATACAAATTAAAAGAAAACAATGGGAAGACTCCAAATTCACTGAATTATAATTTTAAAATGCTTTTAAGAATGTATGTGTGGCCGGGCATGGTGGCTCAAGCCTGTAATCCCAGCACTTTGGGAGGCTGAGGCAGGCGGATCACGAGGTCAGGAGAGCGAGACCATCCTGGCTAACACGGTGAAACCCCGTCTCTAGTAAAAAGACAAAAAATTAGCCGGGCGCGGTGGCGGGCGCCTGTAGTCCCAGCTACTCGGGAGGCTGAGGCAGGAGAATGGCGTGAACCCGGGAAGCGGAGCTTGCAGTGAGCCGAGATTGCGCCACTGCAGTCCGCAGTCCGACCTGGGCGACAGAGCGAGACTCCGTCTCAAAAAAAAAAAAAAAAAAAGACAAAACATTAGCCGGGCATGGTGGCGGGCGCCTGTAATCCCAGCTACTCAGGAGGCTTAGGCAGGAGAATGGCGTGAACCTGGGAGGCGGAGCTTGCAGTGAGCTGAGATCGTGCCACTGCACTCCAACCTGGGCAACAGCGAGACTCCATCTCAAAAAAAAAAAAAAAAAAAAAAAAAAAAAAAAAAAAAAAAGAATGTATGTGTGTAACAAAGTAACTGGGCATTGACTTAGATGAACAGCAATTTGAGGACAGTAAAGCCAATCTTAAATTTGTTTTTTTTTTTTTTTTTTTTTTTTTGAGACAGAGTCTCGCTCTGCGGCCCAGGCTGGATGGAGTGCAGTGGCGTGATCTCGGCTCACTGCAAGGTCCGCCTCCCGGGTTCACGCCACTGTCCTGCCTCAGCCTCCCAAGTAGCTGGGATTATAGGCGCCCACCACCATGCCCGGCTAATTTTTTGTATTTTTAGTAGAGACGGGGTTTCACCGTATTAGCCAGGATGGTCTCGATCTCCTGACCTCATGATCCATGGGAGGCCTCAGCCTCCCAAAGTGCTGGGATTACAGGTGTGAGCCACCGTGCCCGGCCGATTACATTATTTAAAAGTTAAAATACAAGAAGTAAACTAGCTTTAACGCAAAATGAAATCAGTGATTTCTTAAAAGTGTTGAAGCTGCAGCAAATGATAATAAAGACATACACAGAAACTACAAAGAGTTAAAAATAAGAGCCTAAAAGTATTTGTAGTATATGAAAGGGGTAAATGTCAATCATACAGGAAGATGAGAAGCACAGTGACTCCCGACTATAAATGGACAAAAGACATAAGCAGGTCTTCACCCCAAAGGGAAATAAAACACTAAACAAAATAATCCGTCTTTCCTGATAAGGAAACAAATGGGAACTAAAACAACCCTTTTTCTGGTCCCTTTCAAAGTAACTTTTCTCTGAAGCGTGGTCTACACATGTCATCTCTACCCTCTCATTTCCCACGCACTCTAACCCACAACGGCCAGGCTATTCATGTATGTGCAAGGAAGAAGTATGTAGAAATATGTTCATCTTAGTATTATCTGTAGCATCCAAAAAAAAAAAAAAAGCACAAAAAATACCCAGAGGCAGTTTTTCCTAGTGGTTACAGACTCTATACTGGGGCTGCCCACACTGGACACCAGCTCTGCCTCCAGCTCCCTATTCATTAGTGATGTGACCTTGGTAGGTTACTCAGCCTTTCTTTGCCTCAGTTTCCTCATCTGGAAACTAGGGGTAACAATGGCCCCTACACCTCATAACGCTGTTGTGAGGACCAAATGAATAAGTAAGTGTAAAACACGACTGAGAACAAACAGTGCCTATGGGTGGTAAATGCTAAGTACTGTCTATTATTATTACTGCTATCCATAACAGGAGGTTTAATAAGCGGCTGTATAATACTTTAAAACATCAGGCCGGGTGCGGTGGCTCACGCCTGTAATCCCAGCACTTTGGGAGGCCAAGGTAGGCGGATCACGAGGTCAGGAGATTGAGACCATCCTGGCTAACACGGTGAAACCCTGTCTCTACTAAAAATATAAAAAATCAGCCAGGTGTGGTGGCAGGCACCTGTAGTCCCAGCTACTCTGGAGGCTGAGGCAGGAGAATGGCGTGAACCCAGGAGGCAGAGCTTGCAGTGAGCCAAGATTGCGCCACTGCACTCCAGCCTGGATGACAGCCTGGGAAACAGAGTGAGACTCCATCTCAAAAAAACAAACAAACAAAAAACACCATACATCGGCCAGGCACGGTAGCTCATGCCTGTAATCCCAGCACTTTGGGAGGCCAAGGCAGGCAGACGATCTGAGGTCAGGAGTTCAAGACCAGCCTGGCTAATATGGCGAAGCCCTATCTCTACTAAAAACACAAAAATGAGCTGGGCGTGGTGGCAGGCGCCTGTAATTGCAGCTACTCGAGAGGCTGAGGCAGGAGAGTCGCTTGAACCTGGGAGGTGGAAGTTGCAGTGAACTGAGATATCGCCATTGCACTCCAGCCTGGGCAACAAGAGCGAAACTCCGTCTCAAAAACAAACAAACAAACAAACAAACACACACACACACACACACACGAAAAAGAAAAGAAAATTAAAACCTTTTTTCTGCATGGTGGCAGACCCTAATGTCTGCTCACCCAATACCCCTGGCCCCATGCTGCTGGCAACACCCACATGATCTGAAGTGGCTGCCTGGGAGGTTCCTCTGAGGAACGTTCCCTGGCCACAGGAGGGAGAGTAACCAGATAAGCCCACCACCACGATCACGTTCCCCTTTGCAAGTGACACAATCTCAGCTAAGGGAATCTGAAGGTACACTGAACCAGGACCATTGTGGAAAAGGTGTTCCTTCCTCACAGCAATGGATGCTCAGAAAGAAATCTCCCTCCTCTTCTTCACCAGATCTCGTCATGGGCAGGTGACAATCACCCTGTAGCCAGGAGAGCAGACACCACTTGCATGCTAAGGATGGCTGTAGCCAAAAACATAAACACCTGGGGTGGGGAGATCATCTCTGAACTGCTGAGTGATGCAACCCTAGTACTTCCCCACCTTCAAACTTCATGTTATGTGAGAAAATACACTTACTATCACTTAAGCCATTTTAGCTGGAGTTTAACCTCACCCTAACCCTAACAGACCCATCATGTCTATGGAAGAAGTTCAAACACCTTCTCATGGCACGTGAGGCTATCTTCTTGGCCTTCCTTTACAGGACAACACCAGATGCCCCCTACTTTCCAGCCACAACACTGAGAGCTGGCACAGGCATTGGGAATCTTTCTTCTTGAATCTCTCATTCTAAAACTCACCTCAGTTCCCACTCAGATTAAACACAGCAACTATGAAGACTTTCTTTGGGCTGCCCCTGCAGAACAGACCAGTCCCTCTTGTCAGTCTAGAAAACCACGTCTAACACACACTTGTTATCTTCCCACCTGTCTGTAAGGAATGAGATGTGATTTAGGAGTGTGTACATGCATGTAACAGTTTTTGAAGAAAAACCGAGACTGAGAGTAAGTTGCAGACGAAATAACACTGTTCTCCTAAGTACTTCAGTACGTATCTCCTAACAACATCCTCTTACATAATCACAGTATGCATGTGCAACTCAGGAAATGTAACACTGATACAATACTGAATATACTGCCCTTACTCAAATTTTGCTGGTTGTCCCAATAATGATCTTTATCACACATCTGTCTCTTCAAAATGACATGTCCTATAGCCATGAGATTACAAGATCCAAGATCTAATTCAGGATCATGGTGCATTTAATTGTCATGTCTTTGTCACCTTGTTTAATCGAAAAAGGATCAAAGGTTCCCTGGCCTTTGTCTTTCGTAAGTGACATTTTATTCTTATTTGTTTATTAGACAGAGTCTTGCTCTGTTGCCCACGCTAGATGGAGTGCAGTGGCACGATCCAGGCTCACTGCAACCTTTGCCTCCCGGGTTCAAGCAATTCTCCAACCTCAGCCAGAATAGCTGGGATTACAGGCGTGCACCACCGCACCCGGCTAACGTTTGTATTTTTAGTAGAGACGGGGTTTCGCCACGTTGGCCAGGCTGGTTTCGAACTTCTGACCTCAGGTGATCCGCCCGCCTAAGCCTCCCAAAGTGCTAGGATTACAGGCGTGAGCCATTGCACCCGGCCATAACTGACATTTTTGAAGAATAGAGGCCAGTTGTTATTGTAGAAGGTCCTTCAATTTGGGGTACCTCCTCATGGTTACAGGGCATGTCATTTTGAAGAGAAAGGAATCTGATCCCGGATACAGCAGACAGTTCCATGAGGGCACAGGGCCTGTACCTGGTGAAATAGGTCTCAACATGCTTCTGAGGGTTCCAATCCATAGTTTTTACGCTATTTTGCTATCCTAAATTTGGAGATTCACTGAGGTGTCCAGACACAAACTGTACAATATTTATTAAATATGTATTAAAAAGTCCTCTCTATCATAACTACTGTTTTGTTTGTTGCCCTCCAGGCTTTGTCCACCTGCACACACAAATTTACTCGGTACTCCTTAATAAATATTTTTGTCCAACCCAAATGATAAACGTTTGAGGTGGTAGATATCCTAATTACTATGATTTGCTCATTATGCATTGCATGCATGTTACAAAATATTCTGTAACCCCTTAATATATACAATCACATGTCAACTACAAATAAAAGGAAAAAAGAAAATATGTACCCCCCCAAATAACAACATTTTATTTTTTATTTTATGTTTTAGAGATAGGGTCTTGCTCTGTCACCTCTGTGCAATGGCACAATCACAGCTCACTGTATCCTCAAACTCCTGGACTCAACCAATTCTCCCGCTTCAGCCCCCTATAGCTGGGACCACAGGTGTGCCCCACCACAAACAGCTCATTTTTTATTTTATTTTTAATTAATGAATTAATTAAATAATTATTTTGACAGGGTCTTGCTCCGGCACCCAGGCTGGAGTGCAGTGAAGTTGCAGGCTCAATGCAGCTTCCGCCCTGCACCAAAACACCCACCTGATTTTTGTACTGTTTTGGAGAGACAGGGTTTCGCCATGTTTCCCAGGCTTGCCAGCTAATTAAAAAAATTTTTTTTTGTAGAGATGGGGTCTTGCTATGTTGCCCAGGCTGGTCTCAAACTCCTGGCCTCAAGAAATACTCCTACTTCAGTCTCCCAAAGCACTGGGATTACAGGCATGAGCCACTGCAGCCCAAAATAACTACTTTTAAAAATGCAGTGTTCCTTAACTGATGAGCATGAAAATGAAACTTCATCTAAACCAGGAACTGGAGCCATTACCATTAGAGATCAGCTCTCCTTCCTTTCTGTCCAGGGCGAGGATGAAGAGACCGTGTCAAGCACTGTAACCCAGAAGCAAACAAGGGCCAAATATTTTATATTTAAGTTTGGAAAAATCTGCAAAAGGCGACCTAACTGGCTATTTTGAACATCCCTAAGCACTCTTCCTAGGAGAGGGAGGCCAGGCCACAGAAGAGCAGATAAACTCAGAGAGTACTTAGTGAAACCCAGGGCAGGGCTGGCCTCAGTGTAGAACAATGGGAACAGAACAGCTGGAAGCTGAGCACAGGAGTTGAAATCCTGCATCCTTAGGCAAACTGCTTCATCTCTGCATCTTCATACCCTCACCTGTAAAACAAGGGTACCAACGCCCCAGAGTTAAAAACTTCACCCATCATCCTGCCACTCTCAGAGCTATCAGTTTTCATTTATGGTTTATTCTAGTTCTTATCAAATTCACAGGCAAGTTTCAAAGTTGTAAGCAGGGCTTATGTCCTGGGCTAGTGTTTTTGTTTTTCACTGGTCTGCTACACTCTGACCACCGTGACCACTTTTTCATCCTATTTCAGTCCAAATACATATACCAGCTGTTTGGGTGAAGGCAGAGTTAGACAAATTCTTCTTCTGTAATTCACCATATGAATATGTGTAAAACCAAATATACAGGTGTGGCTTTTTAAAAGGCAAGATAGGGCGCACACGTAGTCGTACCATCACCCTTCTGTTTACCACTGTCACCACATTTCCATATTCCCTAGTTCAGCAAAACTGACAAAGGGGAGTGAAGGAGGCAGGCCAGGATATTGCAACACAACACAGCTTTGCTTTCTACACACCAAAGTGTCCCAACACATGGGTTAAGCAAGAGCAATCTGTATCATCGGAAGTTCCTAAGGTTCACGATTGACAGCGATCCAGTCCCAGGTAAGCCCTCTTCTCTCTGACCGTTACCAGGGGGCCCGGGAGAATGCAAAGAAAAGGAGACTGTGGGCACCCTGCACCCAGAGCATTTGCACCTCAAGGAAACTTCACCAGCCGATATCAAATAGCGAACACTGCCTGTCATACTTCCATAGCTAGGGAAAGGAATTTTCCCTTTTGCAGCTTCCTGGCTGCCAACCAGGAGGCTACCCCTTTCATTAAGCTGAAATGAGAGAAAAGAGAGGCTACACATTTCCCCATTTCTATCACACTCATACGAGGCTGGGAAGACCCAGTGAGGAATGAGGAAAATAGTAGGGACTTAGGAAGGAGAAAGTTACAGCCAAACTCAGCCAGCCTCAGGAAAGGCAACTGTTTACCAAGCAAGGTACAGAGGACATTCACTTCTATACTAGGAAACCCAAGCCGGTGGTCTGCATGCAGACTGTTAGGTGGGGATCACTCCTAAACACTGAAAGACAAATGGTACCTACATCTGTTCCAGGATCCATTCTTAATAATGATGATCAGAAATCAGCATTTCACCTTAAGCAAGGAATGAACTACTAGAATCAAACACCAGGTGGGTGGCTAAATCAATCTGTGCAGCCAATAACATTTGAAAACAGCCTCATCTGAAAAAAATTTCAAAGCCATCAGCCAAAGTATCCACAAAACACACCTTTCTTCAGGTTTTCTACAGCCTCCTCTTCCATAATACCTTATTTTCTTCTTTGAATTCCACTTGGAGCCCCAGATTATTTGTACTGACAGGACTGGTCTATCACACCTTCTCCTGGAAATAAGAACTCTTTTATGCTCCTACAGACACAATGCGTTAAAATTATGCTAACAATTTCACGTTATAACGTGCGTGGGGCTGTAAGCTCCCTGAAAGCAGGGATCCTGTCTTGCTTATCTACTCAGTGCCTAGCATAAAATGCTTCGTATGTACTAGGCACTCAATAAACCCACGTGCTGAATGAGTGCTCACATTATAGAGGATACACAGTATCAACAAGCTGCTTGTCTAGTCAAAGATATAAAGCAGTAATCTTAATGTTTACTACTACTTTCTGAAAACAGAAACAATAACGAATTCTCTAGAAATATTACACTGGGTCATCTTTCTCTTTAAGACTTTTTCCTATTGCCCTCTTTACCTTTTAGGGGACCACCCAAGTATATTTCACTCTTTGGCTACAAACTCAGCATCAATGAACCCCAACCCTAGAATTGATACACAGATTAAATGGCATAATGTAGGATGAGCAACAGTAGTGTAAGAAATAAGCATGTAAGAGTTCAGATGCTGTTTTGTGATGTGTTCATACTTCTCTGCTTTCCCTCCCACACATATTTTCTCTTCCTCACCCACTCCTAATTTCTCTCTCACATCCCTATTTCCTGTGAAAAAGGTCTCCTTTCTTTAGATTTTTTTTTCATGGTTTCTTTAGATTGTCTTTTGCATTACTTTTGTAATACTGTGACTATGTATTTGGTCTTCCACCCTGTCTCCTGGCATACAACTCCTAAAATCCTTGGAATCTCCAAAATAGAATTTTTATTTTTTATTTTTTTATTTTTATTTTTTTTTGGCTCTGTCGCCTAGGCTAGAGTGCAGTGGCACGATCTTGGCTCACTGCAGCCTCTACTTCCCGGATTCAAACAATTCTTCTGCCTCAGCCTCCCAAGTAGCTGGGATTACAGGCGCATACCACCACACCCGGCTAATTTTTTGTATTTTCAGCAGAGACGGGGTTTCACCATGTTGGCCAGAATGGTCTAGAACTCCCAACCTCAGGTGATCCATCCGCCTCGGCCTCACAAATTGCTGGGATTATAGGTGTGAGCCACCACACCCAACCAGTAATGTCTTTTCGTATGCTCACGAATTGACTGATGGCTGGCAGCTCCTAGGTAGCTTCGGACAGGAGCTGGTCACCAGGAAGACCAAGGCATGACTGATTAGAGGACTGGGACTTTCAGCCCATCCTTAATTTCCAGGGAAGGGAGAGATACTAAAGCTTAAGTTGATCACCAACGGCCAATGGTTTAATCAATCATGCCTATGTAATGAAGCCTCCATAAAAACTCACAAGTACAGGGTTCAGAGAGCTTCCAGATAGCTGAACACATGGAGGTTCCTGAAGAGTGGCACACCTGGACGGGGCAAAAAGGCTACATGGCCCTCTCACACGCCTTGCCCTATCACCTGATATTCAGTGGTATCCTTCATAATATCCTTTACAATAAAAAACCAGTAAACATGTTTCCTTGAGCTCTGTCAACCGCTCTAGTAAATTAATTGAACCCAAGGAGGGGCTTGTGGGAACCCCATTTATAGCCAGTCAGAAGCACAGGTAAAACAACTTGGGGCTTGCAAATGGTGGGGGGCGGGGGCAGTCTTGAGGACTGAGCCCTCAACCGTGGGATCTGACACCATCTGCCTGTCAGCTGGCGTCTGCTGCAGCACCGAGTGCCTACTCGGTGTGTGTGTGTGGCTGGGGGCATCTCCACAAATCTGGTCCCAGAGGTGTTCTGTGTCGACTGTTGACACTGAGTATAGGAATAAAGGAGTATAGGAGAAACCTGATTTTTCCCTACATCCTCAGACTTGTACTATAGCCCTGACTACTCAAATGCTTCTATTAAATCTTTCAAAAGCTAAACATTTTTATTCACCTATTTACCTACCCTCGAAAAACTTCCAAAAGGAATTTTTTTTAAGAGATGGGGTCTGTGTTGCCCAGGCTGGAGTGCAGTGGCCATTCACAAGTGTGATCATGGCTCACTGTAGCCTCAAACTCCTAAACTCCTGGACTCAAGCAATCCTCCTGCCTCAGCCTCCCAAGTAGCCAAGACTGCTGGCATGTGCCACTGTGGCTCCAAAAAGAATTTTTAATTTCTAAGTTAACGGACACAGGAAGAGGTAATGCACATGTTAATTGGCTCAATTTAGCCAATCCACAATGTATAGATATTTCAAAACATCATGTTGTATATGATAAATACATACAATTTTTATTTGTTAATTAAAACAAAATTTGAAGGAAAAAAACTACATACAAAAAACTTGATCCAGCAAGGGCAAAGCATCCTGGAAAAGTTCACTCCTAGAGATGAGGAATCTAGAGAGTGGTGGAAGGATTCACAGTGTTGTTATTATTATTGTTAAATGACCTGGAGGCCACACTACGCTCTCGGTGTGTTTACTGATCTATTACTAATTAGACACTACGGACACAGGAAGTGCAGTCTGGTGTAGTGAGAAGAGTACTCAACCAAGCCCTGGTTCAGATCACAGCTGTCACCACAGCTACTGCCTCCCTGTGTACCCCTCCTTAGCTCTAAAATGGAAGGACAGCTGGGTGCAGTGGCTCATGCCTGTAATCCCAGCACTTTGGGAGGCAGACAGGTGGGTCACCTATGGTCAGGAGTTCGAAACCAGCCTAGCCAACATGGTGAAACCCTGTCTCTACTAAAAATACTGAAAATTACAAAAAATTAGCTGGGCGTGGTGGCAGGTGCCTATAACCCCAGCTACTCGGGAAGCTGAGGCAGGAGAATCACTGGGAGGTTGCAGTGAGCCGAGATCGCGCCATTGCACTCCAGCCTGGGCAACAAGGGCAAAACTCTGTCCCAAAAAAATAAATAAATAAAATAAAATAAAGGACAGTAGCACCTGCTTCGCAGGATCGTTGATGAAAGAATTAAACCATACAGCATTTAGCACTGAGCTTGGCATGCAGTAAGGACTCAAAAAATATTAGTCATTACTATCACTGTCCCAATCCCATCTCCCAAGGCACCTATGAGGGCTGAACCAGCCAAAGCCTTTAAGAACCTGGCACTCCAGGGTTGGTACAGAGCAGGCGCTCAACAGCCGCCACTTATCAATGGTAGTGACTTGCTAATAAACTCATCCCTGCTGATCTGTGGCAATTCTAGTAGAATTAAAGGTTACTTTGCTTTGAAAGTTCTTGGGGATTATGCAAATAAATATAATGGAACAACTCTCTATACCAAAAAAAAAAAAAAAAAAGAAAGAGAAAAGCTGTTTTATTAATATTTATGCCATCGTAAGTAATTTTTATCTAGGCATTTAAACAAGTTCCCAAAAGACATCTAACTTTTTTTTTTTTTTTTACAATGACTATTAGGAAATAATTAAAGCAACCTCCTTCTAAAATCTTCCGTAATTCAGGCTTCTTTTATGCAGACACACCAATCCCTAATTAGAACAGAACAATGAGGTTGTACTTCATTCTGAACAGTGATCTTATCTTGAGTAAGTCTTGCCCCTCCTCAGAATCACTGATCTGCTGAAGAGCCAGAGAGCTCGGCCGGCAGCCCCCACCCTCTCCTCCCCAGGAGAAGGAAGCGAGTCACTGCTCAGGGGCCCTCACTCGGTGCAGGACCGGCTGGGTTTGAGATAGAATAGAAGTCGGCCTCCCCAGAGGACTGTACTCTAATTGAGGAAGACAGCCAATGGACACCAAGCCACAAACTTAAATTAACACGTATGTCATATTTTACAGCCAAGTGGAATAAGGCAGTGAACAAAAGTAGGAAAGGCTTCAAATAAGAGGCTCTGAGCAGAAGTTTAGAGGAAAAGGACACTGACAACTCCAAAGAGGCAGGGACAGAAGACAGCAAGACAGGCAGGCAGAGATGGCTGCTCTGCTGTGGGGAACTTCAAGGGAAAAGCTCCAAGATGGCAGGAGCCCCAGGGTAGGTACAAGTTCCATACGGTGGGAAGGGCCTCACTACGGTAGGCAGGCTTGCTCTGTCGCCCAGGCTGGAGTGCAGTGACACAATCTCGGGTTATTAAATTTGGGTTTAATAAACCGAATTGTCTTAAAACCCTCAACACAGCACTTACATTTATACTAGAGCTTAGAATTTGGGTTTTCTTGTTTTCCTGTCATATGCTGTGTTTTGTATGATGAACGATATTTAAGTGGACATTAACAACGACCTTCCCCAAGAAGTCCATTCTTCATATACGACATTCTAGTGGGGTTCTTCCTACTGTATCAGATCCACATACCTACCAAAGTGACGCCCTTCCCACTGTATCGAATTCGTACCTACCGAGGGGCTCCTGCCATCTTGAAGTTTTTCCCTTGAAGCTCCCCACGGCAGAGCAGCCAGCTTTGCCTGCCTGCCTTGCTGTCTTCCGTCCCTGCCTCTTTGGAACTGTCTTTTCTCAGTGTCCTTTCCCTCTGAAGTTCTGCTCAGAGTTTGCCTCTTATTTGAAAGCTAAATTACAGGACAAATATTCTTCATGTCACAGAAGGGTCCATCCAGGGGGACTCTTTTACACGGAAATGTGCTTAGTAAGTTCATTTAACATGGAAACATGATGAACTTCAAAGTTTGAATTAAGGGGAAATAAATCAAGCTATGGTATCAGGTTAAACTAACTGCAATAAAAATTACAGAACCTTAGAAACTGTAATGTGAATCAGAAGGGAAATACTGATTTATCAAAATGCACTTAATACAATATTCAAGAGTGCTACCTGGAAAAGGTAAAATCTACTTTTGCATAATTGATTATAAAATTTTAGCTTTTTTATTCATTCTCAAATGCACTTGATGGCTGTACTCTGTATCAGGTATCAAAAAACATCCTGCTTCGCTGAATGATTACTATTTACCTTCCATTTAAAAAACCCAAGCAAGACAGGGCCAGGCACAGTAGCTCATGCCTGTAATTCCAGTATTTTAGGAAGCCCAGGCAGGAAGATCACCTGAGGTCAGGAGATCAAGACCCGTCTGGCCAACATGGTGAAACCTCATCTCTACTAAAAATACAAAAATTAGCTGAGCGTGGTGGTGGGTGCCTGTAATCCTAGCTACCTAGGAGGGTGACACCGGAGAATTGCTGAACTCGGGAGGCAGAGGCTACCGTGAGCCGAGATCGCGCCACTGCACTCCAGCCTGGGTGACAGAGCAAGATTCTGTCTCAAAACAAAAACAAAAACAAAAAACCCTAGACAGTCCTTATTCAAAGTTCTTTGTCACCTGGGACCCTAAACTGTCCTGGAAATGCAGCCAAGTCTATTTTTATTTGGTGCACTTAGCAGTCACAGGGAAGTGCCATTCCCAGACAGCCAAGACAACGTTAGTTTCCTCAACATGGTTTGCGTGCTGCTTCCCTCAGCCCTGAAGGGTGGGGACAAGGGTGGAATGGAAGGTGCCTGTCATAGCAGCCAGCTGCCACCAGAACACAGTAATGACCCAGCAGCCCCTGCACGTTAGCCCAATCATCTGGGACAGGGGAGCAAAAACGGGTTGTTTACCACCACCACAGCTGAGAGGGGCACCAGACCCCGGAGAGGTGCTACAGTCAGCTGCCTATCCACCCTGCTTACAGGGAGAGGATTCTCCAGCCAAGAACAGTCCTGGAGGAAGAAGAATGTGGGGGCTGAGCTAGGAGCTAGCCTTTGCAGAAGCAGCCCCAGACCCCAGATTCCCAGCCACCTCAGATTCCCCAGCCATATTGTAAGAACAAGCAAACAGACATCCAGAGACCAGGTCCTTTGCCCCAAATGCTGTGAGATGTAGCTGGCAGGCGGCAACAAGAAGTCAAGAAAGGGGGAAAGAGCATATTCCAGACGTGAAAGCAGACTTGGAAGTGCCAGTCCATGTACAACGCGTGGAGGCGTGTGGGCTATTTGAGAGCCACAAACAGAAAATGAATGCCTTAAGTCCAAAAAGTATGCCAGTACCAGGTATGTTGGCTCACACCTATAATCCTGGCACTTTGGGAAGCCGAGGCAGGGGGACTGCTTGGGTCCAGTAGTTCAAGACCAGCCTGGGCAACATAGCGAAACCCGGTCTCTACAAAAAAAAGTACAAAAATTAGCCAGGCATGGTGGCACATGCCCATAGTCCTAGCTGCTCAGGAGGCTGAGGTGGGAGGACTGCTTGAGCCCAGGAGATGGAGGCTACAGTGAGTCAAGATCACGTCACTGCACTCCATCCTGGGTGACAGAGTGAGACCCTGACTCAAAATAATAATAAAAAGGTACACCATAAAATGAGAGAATTCAGAAACAACTGAGAAGCACAACATGATGGAGAATCACAAGCTGAAGAACAACCTTAGTGTTACTCATCATAGACTATGCTGATAAAGAATATCCGTGGCTGGGCATGGTGGTTCACACCTGTAATCCCAGCACTGTGGGAGGCCAAGGCAGGCAGGTCACCTGAGGTCAGGCGTTCGAGGCCAGCCTGGCCAACATGGCAAAACCCCTCCTTTACTAAAAATACAAAAATTAGCGGGGCATGGTAGTGCATGCCTGTAATCCCAGGAGGCTGAGGCACCAGAATCACTTGAATCTGAGAGGTGGAGGCTGCAGTGAGCCAAGATCGTGCCAATGCACTCCAGCCTGGGCGACAAAGCAAGACTCTGTCTCAAAAAAAAAAAGAATATCTGCAACACATCTAGCAATGTATACCTGGAGAATATATGTGCTGCCTTTCACATTTTAAGACTCTACCAACACACAGGCTCTTGAAGGAAAATTTGCTATGATCAAAACTATAAATGCATATGCCTTTTAACCACTAATTCTATTTCTATGAATCTGTTCCATAGATTTGCCTGTCCGCATAACTTTACAAGGCTATTCATTAAAGCACTGTTTGTGAGAAGACAAGACTGGAAATAACCTAAATGTCCACCAGTGGGGAGAGGATTAAAGCAATTATGGCACAGGTCACATAATGGAATGGTAGACAACTGTAAGAAGACAATAAACGTATGCAGCTGTGTGTACACTATGCTACCTCAGTTAAGAAGAAAAAGGCAGGAAGGGGGAAGAGAGAACTAAGAGTCAACAGCGTCTGCCTGAATACAGATAAACCCTGGAAGACAGCACTACTTCCAGTGGTTACCTGGGAGGAGCTAGGTGGAGGGAGGCTCTCTCTACAGGTTTTGTCCTCTGAGTTTTCTGAGCCATGTGAATGAACTACTAGTTTAAGTAATTAAAGGAACTAATTTTTTTTTTTTTTGAGATGGAGTCTTGATCTGTCGCCCAGGCTGGAATGTAGTGGCGCGACCTCAGCTCACTGCAACCTCCACCTTCTGGGTTCAAGCAATTCTCCTGCCTCAGCCTCCTGAGTGGCTGGGACTACAGGTGCACGCCATCACACCCGGCTAATTTTTGTATTTTAGTAGAGACGGGGTTTCACCATGTTGGCCAGGACGGTCTCGATATCCTGACCTCATGATCCATCAACTCAGCCTTCCAAAGTGCAGGGATTACAGGCGTGAGCCCACCGCGCCCGGCCAAGAAACTGATTTTTTTTTAAGGCACCCCCACTGGGGATATACTGGCCCAGGTGATTAACTTCAGCACCAGGTGGTAACACCTGGAATGGTTCCCAGTGCTCCAGTTTCCAGTTAGGGTCCTTATGATTTGAGGATAAAATGTGAAATGGGTTCACTATTAGTTCAAAATATATTTAGTGTACAAATAAGCTTAAAAGGCTAGAAAAGAAAAGGGCACTTTAAAGAAGAACTTTTCGAAAGTATTTTTTTCTAAAGGGATGTGACAATCGACATGTAACATTTTGTACCCAACGCTCACACAGGGAAATCTGACATTATTTCAAAATACTCAAAAATTAGTTGGCTGTCATGTCTTGTGGCTTCTAGCAAATCAATGAAGAAACCTCTAATATAAAGATGATGTTAAAAATGGAGCTTGTGACAAAGCAAGTGATGATCAGACGCCACACTAAAACACAATCCATTTTCCTATCTCTGGATGGCGCCTCTTAGGGGTAATTTGTACTTTGTTCAAATAATTCTCATTAGAGGTCTAAAGGTTTTGCAACAGGAATTAACTAAAACTTTGCTTCTCACCATTTAACAGATTCTCTTAATCACAAATATAAAAATAAAACAATACAAAAACATATATACCCCCAAAATGTTTTGTTTTGAATTTTTTTAACTAGTTTTTCTTTTTTCACTATGAAAGTAAATACATTTATGGTTTTTTGCTTTGTTTGAAAAAAAACCCTCAGAATATAAAATGAAAAACAGCCCCCAAAACATCTCTAGCTCAACCCCGAAAAACAATTTCTAGAGATTCCCTTCTAGAAATTTCCTACATACACCATTAGCATATCTTTCTACCCCTAAAAGAGATCTAATTATCATTTTTGCTCTCCATCCTTTGTTTATTGATTCTCAGTCTTTTCTCCCCTCCTAAGTACCCATCACTCTCCCTCAACTGGATCTGCAATGCCAGGGAACTCAGCTACTCTTCTGAAGGAACTTCACTGATTTTACCCTTTCTTTTCTAAAGGATTTCTGAGTCATACTCAGTGTTTTACAATCTCTACATTAATTAACTAAATTAACGAAAAGGTCTGGAGTTAATGAAAATGTTCTTAGAAGTCCTACCCATCAAGAAACTTTATCTGCTTGGTGTTGAAGTAGGTTGCTAACCTACAGATATTTCTATTTCAACTATTAAGGTGGGTAATAAAAACCAGAAGTTTTAAGAATCTATTCCAGGAATTGAGAAACAATAAACACAACTTCTGTGTGAGCTGGCTGCATGACATGCATTTTGATGACAGTAGCAAAACCTCTAATATTCTTTGAGATGACATGGAATTAATTTTAAAAAAACTTTAAGCCTAGGCAACATAGCAAGACCCTGTCTCTACAAAAATAATAAAAAATTATCTGGGCATGGTGGTGCGTGCCTGTAGTCCAAGCTACTGCGGAGGCTGAAGTGGGAGGATGGCTTGAGCCCAGGAGTTTGAGGCTAGAGTGAGCTATAATCTCACCACTGCACTTCAGCTTAAGTGACAGAGCAAGACTCCGTCTCAAACAAAAAACAAGAAAACTTCAATTATTCCTATTTATATAACATAGAGAAAACATTAAAATTGTTTTGTGTTATTTATCTAAATGCAGCACCAAAACATTTTACCGTTAAAAAAGAAGACTTAATTAATTAAAAGAAAGCCTGGGCCGAGCATAGTGGCTCACATCTGTAATCCCTAAACTTTGGGAGGCTGAGGTTGAAGGACTGCTTGAGCCCAGGAGCTCAAGACCAGCCTAGGCAACATAGGAAGACCCCGTATCTCTACTAAAAAAAAAAAAAAAAAAAAAATTAGCCAGGCATAGTGGCATGCACCTGTCATCCTAGCTACTTGGGAGGCTGAGGTGGGATTGCTTGAGCCCAGAAGGTGGACATTGCAGTGAGCTGTGATCAAATAAATGCACACCAGCCTGGCGGACAGAGTGAGACCCTGTCTCAAAATAAATAAAAATAAATTTAAAAAAATAGAACAAAGCCTGCATTTCTAATACTAACATTTCCAACAGCTCTGAGATATGTATCAGTCTGAAAGGCACTGATAGTAGAGTTACATAAAATGGGCTACTTAGGGCAAAAAGAGTAAGAAGAGACCATATTTGCCTGGCTACGCACAGTCCATCTCTAGAATACGTAAGAAACAGCTAACACTGGTTGCCTATGGGGAGGGGAATGACCAGTGACCCCAGAAACAGACAGGAGGAAGAGTTTTCACCAATTACTCTGCTTTTTTGGAATTCTGAACCATATGAATATATTATCTACTCACAAGAACTTAAAAAAACTTTTAAAAGAAAATTGTTTGTACAAAAATTTACTAACATCTTAAATAAGAACACTAGTTCCAGTTCTTAAGCTGCTTTTCATGGGGCCCTTTTCCTGCCAAAAACGGGGCTCAGGAGGGGAAAGCATTGTCTACTCTCCCTACAGACCTGAACTTGGATGAAAAAACACACCTTGAAAAAGCTAATCTAGACTTCTGGAAAATAAATCACAGGAGCTCCCCCAATCACTCTGGACACGGGTTTTTTAAAGCTTAATTTTGTTTTATAAGCCCTAAAAAAAAATAATAACCTGGACTCCTAGGTCTGACATTCAAGGCCCTTGGTGATGTTATCTCGCCTTCAGATGCCCAAGCTGATGCTCTACTCACCCTCAATGAGCTCTGGTGTCCTTCCTCCAACAAGCCTCCCTGACCACCCAGCCTGAGGCATCCACTTCCTTCCAGTCAGACATCGAGCTGAGTGTGAAATGCTATAGGCCACGGTGGGCACCACGGGACTGCTCACCCACCACACCACACAACTCAGAGTTCCATGAGGACAGAAGCAGCTTCTGCCACTACTGTCATCACCACAGCCCAGCAGGGTGCCCCACACGTAAAATGTGCTTAAATATTTGCTGAATAAAAGAATGAAGTGGTAGGAGTCAAGACTGGATCCCGGGCCGACCAACCCCCGCAGGGCAGAACCACACCTTTAGTCTCCACCATCTCAGAAGCAAAACCATGAGGCCTCCTAAATTCTGGTAGCCCAGTGAACATAACCCAAAAACTGTCACAAGAGCCAGACCTCCACCCTGCTATGAGTGCTGTTCCCTCTGCCTGGAACAGTACTATCTGCCATCTCCTATTCACCCTCAGGTGTCAGTGCTAACGTCACAGCCCCCGGGGACTTCCAATACCCTTCAAAACAGGCTCAGTCCCCATCTGGTGCCTCAGTCAATGCACAGTATGTCCCCTCCAAGGTCACACCTGACTGCAGTTACCTGTCCAGTATCCATCACCACCCATGAGGGCAGAGATGGGGCCTGTCACATCCCCACTGGATCGCCAGGGCCTACATCACAGCATAACAAATATTTTCTAAATTAGTGAATAATCCTGAACAGTGTGACCTAAGCCGTGAATATTTTTGAAGGAGTCTTTCATCATTTTTAATTTGGAGTCTTGCATCTTTAAAAGATGATCGTTTTAAAGGAACTTTGTCATAAATATCTAGGTGATACGTATCTTAAAGAAAACTCTAGACAAAGAGGATAAGTAAATGTACTTACAGTTGTGCTGTCCAATACCGTAGTGACTAACTACATGTGGCTATCTTCATTTACTCAAACCAGGTAACATTTAAAATTTAGTTCCTAAGTCACACTAATCACAATTCAAGTACTCAACAGCCACACGTGGCTCGTGGTTCCAGTACTGTGTCATATAGACACAGCGTAGAGCCGCCCTCCCAATAACGACCACTGGACAGCGCTGGCTTGGAGGGCATCCCGAGAACACAGGCATCCCCAAACAAGGAAACATCTCAATTCACCCTCTTCCTCCTGGGAAAGAATCCGTTCTCCCCTAAAGTTTCAGTGACTGAGAAAGCCATCAGTGAAAGCAAAACACTTGATTCTCTTGCCATCATTCAAATGATTCCCTCAGAGACTTCTCAACAGAAGTTCAACTACGGGCAGGTGTGCTCTTCAAACAAAAACCGATTCCCACAGTAGTAGAGGAACAACCACAATGACACAGAAAACCTATCAATATGTTATGTCTTTTTGTTATTTTCAATAAAGGTGACGTTCTGAATATGTAAATCAGATTTAAGTAAAGATATCCACAAATCGGGGAAAAATTTTGTCCACCACGGGGTAACTTTTACTTATAAAAAAAAAAAATCACACCAAATCTAGGAGAACAGAAAAACAGTAATCTCCATTAAAAGAATTTCCTACTATAGAATCTGCAGGAGGAGAAAAGTCACACAGTACAGCACAGAGCTGAATCTGTTCCTTTCAAGATCTGTGTAGCTGAGCCCGAGAGGCAATTGAGTTTCACTGGTATTCCTTTCAACCAACCTGACTAAACTGGACAGTGATCCCAAGGCCATTTTCTTCCCAACTCTGTTTTCAATAAAATACTATATTTATAATTTCTCTGCATTTACTTTTCCCTTTTCTCTAAGTCCTAATCTAAATCAAGCCCTTGTTCTGAAGCAATAACTAGAAACAGAGTTCCATTTAATTAAGAGTTCAATTTTCCAATAAAAAACAGTTGAACTGCAAACACAGACGGAGTAAAATGAGTCAAACGATTACCCATTTTGTAAGATTCTCGAATCTTAGTTCGTTTTCTTACAAACTGGTTCCCAAACTGCACTAGAGCTGGCACTGAAAGCCAAACAGGCAGGGGCAGAAGCTTCCCATGTATTCAGTGAGAAGCCTCCTGATTCCGGGTCAGGCTACATCATCTTAGTCCTCACTGGCCCAAGAAGTAGGTGATGGCTAATATTTTCCCATACAATTAAACAATAAAAACAGCTGCCTCAACCTGCTATATGCCAGGCACCCTAGTAGCCCCATGTACCAAGATAATCAAAGTAAGCAGAAGTAGAGCCAGGCACAGTGGCTCCATCTCACACCTGTAATTCCAGCTACTCAGGAGGCCGAGGCAGGATTGCTGAAGGATGGGAGTTCAAGACCAGCTTGGGCAAGCAAGACCCCATTGGAAAGAAGAAAAGTAATGTAAAGAAGGGGAGGGGAAGGGGAAGGGGAAGGAAGGAAAAGAAAGAAAGAGAAAAAAAGAAGGAAGGAAGGAAGGAAAAGAGAAAGAAAGAAAGAAAAAAGAAAGAAAGAAGAGAGAAGAGAAAGAAAAGAAACAAATGGAATACTGCAGGGTAAAAAGCCCCTTTTAGAGATCTCTCTCTCTCTCTCTCTCTCACTCACACACACACACACACACACACACACACACACACCCCACCCTGCAAAACTCAAATGTGATGTCACCAGCCCAAGTCACAGCGCTGCCGAGCTGGGAGCTGGGACTCACAGTCTACTCTGAGCAGGAGCCAGGGCTCCCTCCTCAGCACCACACTGACCGCCTCCCCGTATAAAAAGCTGACATTTCCTTCAACTGTGACTCACAGTTAGAAGGTTCTACTTTTAATCAGGTGACAAATACTCAAAATATTTTAATCCAAAGCAACTGGGTCAAACTCGTAGAGTCTATAATTGTCTAAGCAAACCCTAATTACCTGATAAATTTCTATAGCTCCTGAATGTCCTCATTCAGTTTGTAATCAAATACCCAAATCTCCTTATTTAAATGTTGTACAAGCCTTCTCTACATGTTATCATACAGAACAGTGACTTATTTTTCTATTTCACTGGTTATTTTAACCATAAAGTTAAAACATGTTTAGGTGGTGCAGTTTTAATAAGAAAAATCCAAACTAGGGGGAGGAGAAGCAGCTTGTGAATTATAAAAAGATTTGCTTTACAACAGAATTGTACAACTCCACTACACAACTACTTTTTCTCCTTACCACAGATTATGCAAATTCGAAAGGTTGAATTAGGTGCAACTGGAAAATATACCTACTGTATACAATATAGTACAGGCATATTAGAAAGGCAAATTAAGACATTTTCAAACAATAGCAGACAGTACAACTAGAAATGGGAAAGTAAAGTCAGATTTAATCATGTAGAATTATTTTCCCCATTAGATTTTACTATTCTTAGCAATGGTTCAACTAAACAGTCTTTTGATTAATGGAAATGAAACACCGGGGAAAATGTCACACGGGATAATATCCAAATCTTTCTTAAGGGTAAGTTTTAAAAGGAATTCAACTTTTAGAGACAGAGCTCAAAAATAGCCTTGCTTCCTAAATTTAGAACCAGAAAACACCCTAAAGGCAGTATTTTAAATACAGCCACAGTCACCGCCTATATTGTCTAGGAACTTAATAAAAAAAACTTTAAAAAGAGAGGGGCCACTTTTGTTTACTTCCATGCCTTTCACACAGCCTTGCCCAATTTGATTTGTGTGCCCTTGCTCAAATCTCTTCAAGTCACAGCTCAAATGGCAAAGACCTGACCACTCCAGGACGCCCCGGGGACTCTGCTCGTGGCCTATTGTAGCACCCCTGTCAGCAGAGCACGGCCCCAGGGAAAGGAGAACAGGCAAAAGCCCCCACAGGCACTGCTCCCAAGGCTTACACTTCTGCATCAAAGACTCATGCAATAGGAGAATTTTGCCGAAAGCCAAGTTTGAGCCTGACTGAGAAGAGCAGCATCCTTTTCCAGTTAAAGCAAGGAGTGTATCCGGAGGGATGCACTGCAAGGAAAAGACCTCAGAGAGGACTAAAGGGAACGCTGAGCGCATGTGCTAAAAAGCAGACGGCACGGCCAGGAGCTTCAGAGCCTAGGAGAGACGGGACAACCAGAAGAGGACTCAGATGTGAGCAAGCCATGGGCCTACAACGATACCCCAGGAAACAAACTGTCATGGTCAGGGTGCTTTTCCCAACAACCAGGAATGCATGGAAAACAGGCAGGCTTCCCCAACTCCTGGCTCTGTGCTGGCTCAGCAGAAGAGCTGTCACAGGAGCCCAAGGCTCCTCAACCATCCCAGGGCCTGCCTCCCACTGGGGCATGCGGCCCTGGACTTCTGCACACGGGGACACTCAGGAAACAGGGGAGGGAGTAAATGAAGCCTTATTCAGATCACCCTTTCTGGTTCCAGAGTTTTTGCACTTGACTGCATTTCTGTACCCTTTCCTTAAGTTTTGCCTCGAGGTTTCATCTTCTCAAGATGGTTCTAAGTACTCACAGGCATCTATCAGAATCCTGTGTACACTGCTAATGCTTAACAGGTACCTCAAGATAAATTATACACAGTAAACAAACAGAATCACATACTTGTCTGCTGCTTAAACAGTCCATGAAATATGCTTCAAAATTATCAATAATTTTCAGTGTACATCCTGATTTGATTTAAAAGAAAAAATAATTCAGAACACACACCATTTAAGTTTTCGTAATTTTAAGCTTTCATGGCCATCACGTTCCTATTTTTAAAAATACAATAAAAAATGGAGACAGAGTCAATGGTATAGATGACAGAATTCCCGGCTATGTATCTGCTGAGGTGCTACACTATCACACGCGTGCCTGCACACTGGTTTCTGTGGATACGAGCACACATGGCTTCTGTCCTTTCCAGAACTGCTGAGAAACAGGTCTTGCTCCAATCAGACTAGCACTCCCAGTAAGTCCTAGGACTTACAAGGTACGACAACGTCCCTGGTTAACGCTAGTGTCAGTTCCCATTGGGCGGATATGCCAGACACACATCATCTCAGGCTACCCTCATAACCACCCTGAGATGGGAATTGTTATTATCTCCATGTTACAGATGAGGAAACTCTGAGCTCAGAGAGCTGATGTAACTTGCCCCAAACATGCTCTGGCCTCAGCACTCCTAAGGCCAGCTGGTTTGGTGGCCGGGTGGGAGCCCATGGGTACGGAACTCGGAAGCAAATAACAGACCCAATTAGAAGATAGGTGGCAATCTGCTTGAAAGTAAAACCTTAACAAGAAAATGATAAGAACTTTAAGGGACAAATACTATATAATTCTTTCACTAATTCCCTCAAATATTTCCTGAGGGCCTACTATGTGTCAGGCACTGCCCCTGGGGAGGGAAGTGCTGGGAAGAGGGCCGTGGAAAGGCTCTGGAGTTCTTACTGACGCTCACCTTCTGGTGTCACAGGAAGGGGAGCAAGCCTAGAGCCTGAGATGACAAAGACGGACGAGAAATGCCATGTGGGCCACTGGGGTCAACAAAAAGCAAAAGAACAAAGAAAAATGCAACCGGTCACCAGGCTTTCTGATAAATTCGTCTGATTTTAAATCAAGTCATCCATATAACTGTTACAGAGGAACAAAAAAGACAGAGAGAGAGGGCCCTGCTAAGCTCTGAAGTGCTCCAAGACAGGAGACCCAAGCTAGCCTGCTGCTCACCTGGGCTCTCCCGGGCTCCACATCATGCAGCTCAGAAAACTTGCCCTGCTGCTGTTTTCCTTAAAGCTGTCTGTGCAGCCGTGGTAGGCCAGTGCTCCCCAACGGGTGCTCAGAGAATGAAGTCCCACGTTATATCAGTCACCAAATTGCAGCCCATGGGCGAAGTCCTCAGATGCCAGTCTTTACAACTAGAGTTTTACTGGAACACAGCCAGGCCCACTCGCCTATGGCTACTTTCTTGCTGAAATGGCAGCCTTGAGTAGTTGCAACAAGAGACCATATGGCTCAGAAAGCCAAATGCGTGCTCTCTGGCCCTTTGCAGAGGAAGTCTGCGGACCCATAATAGGCTAAAAAGAGTTCTAGCGTCAAACAGGATTGAGAGTGGTCCAACTGTAGCCCCTCTCTCACAGTGCCCAATCAGGACACCAAGGCTCTGGGAAAGTCTGCAGTCAAATTCCTCAGCTACAAGCAACAGCATCTGAGCACAAACCATTTGTTGAGAAATACCTCTTAGCATGCCCTCTAGTTTCTTGGAATACATGTGAAGAGCTGGTTTGAGTAAGGTAAAGAGGGGTGCCCTCACTAATGGGACCCCAAAAACTAAACTGACAAGCTTTTGCAATCTTCAGAAACTCACAATAAGGTACATTTCATCTTAACTAAGGTAAGACACACTTTGGCAAAATCATTTTCCTAACTGTTTTCAAATACATCAAGTAAAAACACAAGTCAGCAATTATGGACCCCCCAGGTAATCACATACTTTGCCACACAATTACAACACACTACTTAGAAGCTGTGAAAACACAGGCGACTAATCTAAGCATCAACTTCCAACTGCAGGACTCAGTCTCTTTGTAAGTTATGTTCAATTCTGTTTACAGAATCAAATCTGAATGTTCAGCCAGGAGCGACTTTCCATCTTCTGAAGGCCCTCTAAGGCGCCCTGCACATGACTTGTCCTTGCCTACCTTCATCCCTGACGACCTTTGAATGGGGCCACCGCTCTCACCCCTCTCAGTTATTCAAAAACGAAGCACGGTCATGAAATGTCCTAGTCCTAAAAGTCTCTATGACAACTTTTATTCCTACTTAGCCAGAACTCACTGATGGGGTAACATAACCGTTTCTCATTCTCCCTGAGGTAAACAGGAACACGAGCCCACACACGTCACGCTGAGGATAACACCAGAACCAGAGGGAAAAGGGGGACGCCCTAACCCAGGAGGAAGAATACACTCCTGGCTGCCCCCACCACAGGTGGTTACAAACCTCCCCCTTAGTGATCTCATTCATGTGCGGGAAGGCCGCTACTGAAACTCACTAAGCTTGGCAGGTTCCTGGGTCGATTCAAGTAAATGCATTGTTTACAGATAGAGACTTAGAAAATAAATATATAGAGCTACGGACTTTAACAATCTAGTTTGGATCTGGTTTTGACCCTGTATCACCTCTCAAGTCCAGTTCCTCACCTAGAAAATAGCAGTAACAGCATCTTCCCTTCCTCACAGGACGCTGTAAGGATCAAACTGAGGTGACGTGGAGAAAAGCACTCTGATACATAAAGTACCAGACATACATAACAGACCATTTGGTTGACAACCATATTCGCCACCAGCTTTCTTTAAATAAGCTTCCCTATTGCATTTAAAAGGATTCACGTCATAAAATGTAATCACAACTGCTTAGAGCCACTTATACAGCACAGGATGAAACACAGCTATGTTCAATCTTCAGAATGTAGTTTTTCTTTTCCTTTTTCCCCCAGAGACAGGGTCTCACTCTGTCACCCAGGCCAGAGTGCAGTGGCATGATCACAGCTCACTGCAGCCTCGACCTCCTGGGCTCAAGCGATCCTCCTGCCACAGCCTCCTGAATAGCTGGGATTACAGGATTGTACTATTACACCCAACTAATTAAAAAAATTTTTTGTTTAGATGGGGTCTCACTATGTTGTCCAGGCTGGTCTCCAACTGCTGGCCTCAAGCAATCCTCCTGTCTCAGTCTCCCTAAGCACTGGGATTATAGGCATGAGCCACCACCCTGGCCTGCAATTTCAAAAAACTTTATAAACAGTCTGTTGTGTGCAAATTTTGCAATAAAGCTGACCAAAAAAAAAAAAAAAAAAAAAAAAAAACAACCCAGAAAACAAAAAACAAAAGTCTACTGCTTGCCTGGATATTTGTCTTATACTGTTAAATCATGAATCTCTGATGTTGAAAGACACAATATGCTATTTTAACTTGGACATATTAAATAAAGAAGTTTCCAAAACACCCAACTAACTATATACCGGTAATATAAAGTCCCCACTTATTGTAAGGGTGCCAAGTAAAGGAAGACCTCATGTATGAGAAAGTGTAAAGGCTTCTACATAATACAAGAAAATGCTACTTTAACATCTGAGGCCATCAAATTCTGTGCCTCTCCAGGGCTGCTGCTTCAGTGGGGTGAAAGGTACCGTTTCTCTCTTGCTACCCTCATTCGCAGCACATTCCGTATTTCTGCATCATCTCTGCATAAGCTTCCCAGGCTTCGGCAACTTGTTTGTCATCAGTGGCAGTGACATTCATCACTCTGAGGTGCTGCATGACCTTCGGGAGTGCTGTTTGCAACATCCATGCCCCCAGATGAGCAGCACCCTGGCTGAGCAGCTCCCCAATGTCGGGTGCATTTTTCTCTCAGCTCACTGCCACCCTTCACAGACACATCTAAGTGACACTGGTGGCCCCACAGGCCAGTCTCTACAGACATGCACTGCAGTCCAAGTAGATCCTGTTTCTCAGGCTGCCAAGGGCTCCTCCTCCTTTCAACCCCTCAGCTCCTAGACAGAGGTCCCCTCCCTCAAATTTGATCACATGCACCGGGCACACACCCTGCTCCACTAGGCCCAATTTTCCCCTGGGAGCCTCAGAGACACATCCCGTCACTAAAATAAGATTGAGTTCCTCAAGAATGTTATTCTCAGGTCTGTCCCACCTAACCAAATGCCTTCAGTTTTTGAATGTATTTAATGTAAAAACTCAAGCCATTTATTTGTTTAAAATACATCCCTAAGATCTCTGTCCATCTCATTACTCAATTTCTTAGTGGAGCAGTTACAACAGACAAAGTGTCCCTCGTTTCTTTTGGAGACAGCGTCTCACTCCATTACCCAGGCTGGAGTGCAGTGGCGCGATCTTGGCTCACTGCAACCTCTGCCTCCCGAGTTCAAGCAATTGTCATGCCTCAGCCTCTCAAGTAGCTGGAATTACAGGTGCATGTCACCATGCCTGGCTATGTTTTTGTATTTTGAGTACAGATGGGGTTTCCCCATGTTGGCCAGGCTGGTCTTGAACTCCTGACCTGAAGTTGATCCACCAGCCTCCGCCTCCCAAAGTGCTGGGATTACAGGCATGAGCCATGGCGCCCAGCAGCCCCTTGTTTAATGTGCTTGATAATGAGCCCTTCCTTGGTCCCCCATACTAACAGACCCTTTCACAATAGTGTGATGGTGATGAATGTGTAACACATGACCCAACTTAAGTATGATGTTGACTTTCTACTTTGGATTAAATCGGAGCCATTTAAAGCTGACTTTTGGTCCCACGAAAGAGCCCCTGTGCCTTACAAGGATCAAAATTGTAAAGGAAGGGGGAAAAGGTGGTTAAGTGTGGAAAATCCTTTCTGATCAACTTATTAAGCATCTGATCATCCAATAATGGACACTACTATGGAAAAAGCTAACCTTTGGGCTCCATCTTGGAAACAGCTGGATGTACATATAAGGACATGCCTTTTTGTTAAGTCTTGTGTTACTAATTGTCCCCCTTTTTAAGACAAAATCTACAACAAATTCATTCAACAACAGCAAAGCTACAAAGCCATCCAGGTTACCAGTTTCAGAAGACAAGCTTCAAAGCTGAACTCGCCACGTATGACCTACGTCTCACAGAACTGAAGACTACTCAAACACAGCAAGATTAATGAAGCAACGGAGATCTGTTTTGCAGTACAACGGCATTTAAACTACTGTTTCCAAATTTCTCACTTCAATAAGTTCATTTTATAAGATTAACGTCAAACTCAACTTTTATCAGCTAAAAAGAAAAGCATTAGTGATTTTTATATACCATGAGCATCATTTACTCCTCCCCACTGTTTAACAAATTTTAACTAGATAAGAATCTCCTTATGATTGATCTTTAAAAATCGCTTTTCACTTCTACATTAATATTAAACGTCGCTTATCATAACTTGATTCCAGGAATTGTATTCAAACTTAAGCCACAAAATTCAGGTTTTGTTTCAACAGCAATAGCAGTTTTTTTTAATATGCTAGTGGTCGGTCACAGAACTATTTCCACAAGTTGAACAGCTGTGTCTAGTGCAAATCTGAAGGCAGCGATGTAATTCAATTTGGACTCATTCATTAGAAACTGATTTTCAGATGCTACCACTGCAAGACTACTGGAGAAATGCAAGCTGCGCTGGAGATGGAATTGTTCGCAGCGGCACACAAGTTTTTGCGGCAAAGGAGAGAGCTCTAAAAGAGGAAATACAACTAGTTCATGTTACCATGAACCAGCGCAGTGGGACCCAGAATTACTGAATTAATAGAAAACTAAATACTTCTCTTAAGCAGCTATGATAACTTAAGAAAGTTTCCAGGGAAGCCGTTTAATGAAAGGAAACAAACAAAAAGATGATTTATTCAGTATCCTGCTCCATTTTTTTGAAAAATTGGAATTCCTACATTCCTTAATTCTTTGTACATCTACACTGTGAAAGCAACACAAACTCAAATGGAGATTGCAGCCCAAATGAACTTAAACCTGCTGTTTAACTTTCTTTTGAAGTTATACATGGAAATGAAACACACCACAGCAACTTTCATGACATCTTGCTAACGAAGTTTGGGTTTTGAAAAATGGAATGACTAGTTGACTAAAAACACACACGCGCGCACACACACACACACACACACACACACAAAACAAGGAGTTTTGAAAATAAGCACTAAGCATCTTTCCAAGGAACTCACTCATTCCAAGAAACTTCGGTTCTAACTCGCAAGCTGGCGGCTGCTGTGAGTGTCCTCTGAATGCAGCCTGGTCAATGTGTCGCCAATCCAGAAAACACACTGCCCTACCTTTGGCCGCGATCTTGCTTTCTCTAAGCATCAAAGGTACCCTCCGCTGTCATTCCTCTGGACGGCCACGCGTGTGGACACGGCCGCGGATGGATGCGTAGGACATTACCAAACAAACCCACACGCTGCACTTTACTTCTTCCCTCCTGGAGTGCCACTAGGGTCCCCGCGAGGAGGGCTGATCGGGTGCGGGGAGGCCGAGTGCACCGGGCGTGTGCTGACCAACTCGGGCCCAGTGACAGTCCTGCGACGAACTTCCACCCTCCCGCGCGGGGCGAGGGGAACGGGCTGCGGGGCCTGCTCCGAGCTCCCGGCTCGATCGGTATCCGCGACCACGACCCCCGGACGCTCTCTTTCAGGTGGGGGTGACAGCGCGCCCCGGGCCCCCGCCGCCCCGGACCCCCTCCTCACCTGTGCTGTCATTCGCCGAGAAACCGGGCGAGCTGAGTTTGGCTCTTTTGGGGTTGGGCGGTCCGTCCAGCAAGTTCTCAGCCATTTTCACCTGCTCGCGAAAACAGCCCCGGGCACGGGCGGCCGGGCCGGCGAGGGCCCGGACGGGGGTCGGGGGCCCTGCCGGCTGCGAGGGAGAGGAGCGAGCGCGGGCCGCGAGCGGGCGGGCGGGCGCCGAGGGAGAGGGAGGGCGCAGGCCGGGTGGGGGAGGCGGCGGCCAAATCTCAGCCACAGCAACAGCGCCCCGCAGCGCTCACCGCCCGCCCCCGGCCGCCGCCGCCGCCGCCGGCCGCGGCCCCCTCATCCCCTGCCCGCCTCCCGAGCGCGACACTCCGCGGTGGGGGCGCCCCGGCGGCCCGGCCGCCCCCCCGGGCCCGGCTGGCAGCGACGGCGCCCGGCCGGGCGGCTCAGGCAGTCCCCGAGAACATGGTGCCGCCGCCGCCGCCGCCTCGCTCCCCCCCCGCGCCCCACTTAATGAATTCGCTCGCGGCCCGACGACGAGGGGGCTCCGGGCTCCGCTCCCGGCCCGCGGCCCGCCGCCGCCGCCGCCGTGAGGAAAAACAATGCGCCGAGCGGGGTCGCCGCCGCCGCCGCGGCCCCCCCACCCCCCGTTCCGCCGCCGCCGCCGCCGCTGCCGCCGCCGCCGCCGCCGGGCTCCGGGAGGCCGAGCCGAGAGGCGAGCGGGGCCGCCGGGGCGGGCGCCGAGGGCCGGGCGGAGCGGGCCGGCCGGGCGGAGCGGGGTGCGCGGGCGGTTGTGGGGCCCGGGACCGGCGGGGCCGAGTAGATCGCGCTCGAAGCCCCGGTCGGGTCCGCGACAAGATGGCGGCTGTTGATTCCTCAATTAAAAAAAAAAGAAAGTTTTTTTTCTTCTCTTTCCAGAGCCTGAACGGGGAGGGGGTGGGGGCGGGGCACGCCGGTGCGTCACCCCCCCGCGGCGTCACCACGCACGGCCCCCGCCCCGCCCCCTCCACCT
Organism: Homo sapiens; assembly: GCF_000001405.40. Taxonomy (NCBI): domain Eukaryota; kingdom Metazoa; phylum Chordata; class Mammalia; order Primates; family Hominidae; genus Homo; species Homo sapiens. The sequence continues at coordinate 3,880,844 of NC_000016.10, forward strand.
GCGCCGGCCGTGGCGGAAAGAGCCGAGCGTGCTCGGGCCGAAGGGCTGAAGGCGCGGCCGCCAAGCGTAGGGAAGCTGGCGGCCCGGCGCGGGCCAGGCCTGCGGGGCGCCTGGGCTCCGGGCTGAGCCACAGCTTTTGTTCTGATGGCGACCAGGCGTAGAGGGCCGGGGCTCCGGGCCCCAGCGGGCTCCGGGAGCGGCGGCCTGGCCGCGGGCTGGGCTCTCGGGCGCGGATTCGACGCCAGCCCGGGCCCGCCCGTCCCGCTGGGGCGGCGCTGCGTGTTCCCAGCTCCTCGCGTCCCCTTCCCCAGACCCTCCTAGGTGGCGTCGGTCGGGAACGGTCGGGGCGACCCCAGCCCAGGCCGCGCCACTAGCCTTCGCCGCCGGCCAGGGAAGTGGAATGGCCTCTGCAGGTTACAGACCGCCCTTGGGTCCTGCCGACGAGGTGGGCGGATGGGGAAACTGAGGCGGGGGGCGAGCAACTGCTCCAAAGTGGTCGAGGCAGGAAGTGGCAGGGCCGGGATTCGGGTCCCGCCCTACCTCGTGACACTAGGGAGTGAGGGGGCCTCACGCCTGTTCGCATCCCAAGGCGGCAGGGCAGACACCCTCACCTGTGAGAGCGGGGTGGCGAGGGCCGGCCTGGGCGGAGAAGGGCCCGCGCATCGGGGCTTAAGCCTGGACGCTCAGGCCGCACTCCCCGCCCCAGGCAACTTGCCTGGCGCCTCGCAGGTGCCCCAGACAGGGGTGCGGGCCTGGGGAGTCCCCCACGCGAGACCACAGCCCGCGGGACACTTCTACGAATACCCGAGGTGTTCCCATCCCAGTTAGTTATCTGCCCCTCCAAACTTGCCCGGCTTCCTCATAAAGGTATCAGCAGCTCCACTGTTTCCTAAGCCAGAAACCCGTGAGTCAGCGCGGACTCCTCCCTCTCACCCGCCACGCGCCCCTCTACCCACGGTCTTTACCTGGGAGACTGCTCCTCCCGCACTGTCCCGGTGGCTATGGTGGCAGCTACTCACTTAAGTGTTCTTTGCTCTCCACGTTGCTCCCCACGCAGCACCAGAGTTAACATCCCGAAAAGAGAGGGAGAAAATCTGTTTAAAACAACTCCCTGGCCAGGCGCGGTGGCAGATCACCTGAGGTCAGGAGTTCAAGACCAGCCTGGCCAACATGGTGAAACCCCATCTCTACCAAAAATACAAACATTAGCTGGGCGTGGCGGCGTGCGCCTGTAATCCCAGCTACTCGGGAGGCTGAGATGCGAGAATCACTTGAACTGGGGAGGCCAGTAAGCCGGGATCTCGCCATTGCACTCCATCCTGGGCGACAAGAGTGAAACTCCGTCTCAAAAACAAAACAAAACAAAACAAAATCCCAGACATAGAAAAAGAAAACACTACATAGTCTTTCTTTAAAAAAGAACACGTATGAATTCTCTTAAAAACATAGGTGTATGTACATATGGTGACTGTCCTTGAGTGTCAAGATTGAGTGATCGTTCTGCTTTTCTCTGTTTACCTGTACTGCTCAAAATCTTGGGCCGTGATACCGCTCTTGAATCTGTCTCTTCTACTTTACATGGCTCACTTCACCATCATCATCCTACACCCACTTGGCCAGTAGGCAGTTCACATCATTCAGGCTTTTTTTTTTTTTTTTTCAAATGCTGGTCCCTGTGCTGAGAAGACATGCCTGGCAAATTCTAACTCATCCTCCAGAACCCAGTTCAAATGTCACCTACTCCAGGAAGCCCTCCTAGCCCACTCCTCGGCTCCCATATCACTTCTGGGCTCTGTGAGAGAACACATAACACATCCTGCCCCATCTTCCCCGCCTCCACTGCCCCCGAATTAGTTCATGTTTTTACTTATGCATCAAATAGCTCTTGAGAATCCCAAGGGCATTGAGACTGTGCTAATCCCCTTGGCCAAACATAAAGAGATCCCCATATATTCAAGGAGTTAAAATAGCACACCCTGGAAGCCATAAATGGAAGTATTCAAGAAGTCAGTTTGCACAGGAATGGCAAGAAGTGTATCAGTGGCACAGGGCAGGCCACACCCTGTATCTGAATGCTCTGGGTGTCCGTCTCACCAAGGGTCTGTGAGCTCCTTCGGGGCAAAGATGGTGTCTTAGTCACAGAAACAGTGCTCTGCAAGAAGAAGTAGGTTTGTAAAACTGAATGAGTGATGAGCTGTGTCAGGTGCTCTGAGTCCTAGAGGCCTTCAGGCCACTGAAAAGGGTGGGCCCCAGCCTGAGGTGGCTCCAGGCCACTCTTCAAACGGGACAAGGTGTCCAGCCACCTAGAGGTCTTAGGGCCTGCCTTGGGGCAGTGGAGACACCATGCAGCCCCCCAGGGGTCCATTGGTGAGTGGTTTACACAGAAGTGGGCACAGGAGCTTGAGCCATTCCCTGACAGGTTTCCATTTTACAGAGGAAAGCAAGGGAACTCAGTCGCAAGGACTCAGAAGTAAATAACCCGGACATGGCAAGTCTGGGCCTGGAACCCATGTCCTCACTCTCCAAAGACCCTAGTCTTCCTGTCTCACCATGTTCCACCCTCAAAATATACCGGCTCTGCAGTCCCTTTTTCTGTCTCATTGTTCTCACCTGTATCATTTTGATCAATTCTGGTATTCACTGATACCTGTTTTTTCTTTCCTTTCGATTTCTTCTCCCTTCAGTCTGACTCAAAGAACCCTGAGCTCAGACACTGATGGGGGAATAGCAAGGAGGGAAGCGTGGCTCCTGCCTGCACTCACTTAGCTGGGGATCACCTTCAACAAGTGAGTGCCTTAGGGATACCAGGCCGCTCTGCCATGCCTCCCATGGATAGCACTTCCTACAATCCTGGAAGGAAAAATTGTCCTCATTTCACAGATGAAGAAATAAGGCACAAAGGAGGACAAGCCACCCAGCCACGAAGGGGCTTCACTCCGGTGCACACCTAAGGCTTCCTGCTCTTTCCACAAACCTCACCCTCTCCAGTCTCAGATACCACATTAAAAAACAATCAAAGGACTGGGCATGATGGCTCATGCCTGTAATCCCGGCACTTTAGGAGGCCGAGGTGGAAGGATCTCTAGAGCCCAGGAGTTTGAGACCAGCCTGGGCAACAGTGAGACCCTCATCTCTACAACAAAATGTTAAAAAGTGAACTGGGCGTGGTGGCATGCACCTGTAGTCCCAGCTGCCTGGGAGACCAAGGCAATAGGATCACTGGAGCTCAGGAGGTTGAGGCTGCAGTGAGCTATGATCAAACCACTGCACTCCAGTCTGGGCAACAGTGAGATACTGTCTAAAAAAAAAGAAAAGAAAAGAAAAGAAAGAGAAAGAAATGGAATTGGAATTGTTGGCTGGATGCGGCGGCTCACGCCTGTAATCCTAGCACTTTGGGAGGCTAAGGTGAGTGGATCACTTGAGGTCAGGAGTTCGAGACCAGCCTGGCCAATAAGGTGAAACCCTATCTCTACTAAAAGTACAAATAAATGGCTGGGCATGGTGGGGGGGCACCTGTAATCCCAGCTACTTGGGAGGCTGAGGCAGAATTGCTTGAACCCGGGAGGCGGAGGTTGCAGTGAGCCAAGATCGCACTCCAGCCTGGGCAACAAGAATGAAACTTCGTCTCACAAAAAAAAAAAAAAAAAAAAAAAGAAATGGAATTGTTGCAATTTGATATTGATTGTCCCTTTCTAGGCTTAAATAGATTAAAAGATAGCATCAGGTTTGGACTTTGCCTTCAAGCGATGCAGAACAGCATTGGGGAGAAAAACACAAACAGGACACACATTGAAAAGATAAGCAGAGAATCCAAGTCAGAATAGCACAAAATCATAATAACTGATCCCCCAGGGGTGGGAGTCCCGGGGTTGGGGGGCAGAGGCCTGGGGGAGTAGTCCCAGGAAGGCAGGATTCCAGCCAGTTCCTGGTGGACAGAAGGCAGAATGTGGTCTGGTGGTGTGGAGGGATCCAGACAGAGCTAGGTTCAAGTCCCAAACCTACTGCTTTTTCTTAGCTGTTTTGAAAACAAATACCTCGGCCAGGTGTGGTGGCTCACACCTGTAATCCCAGCACTTTAGGAGGCCAAGGCGGGCAGATCACCTGAGGTTGGGAGTTCGAGACCTGCCTGACCAACATGGAGAAACTCCATCTCTACTAAAAATACAAAATTAGCCGGCCTTGGAGGTGCATGCCTGTAATCCCAGCTACTCGGGAGGCTGAGGCAGGATAATTGCCTGAACCCAGGAGGCGGAGGTTGTGGTGAGCCAAGATTGCACCATTGCACTCTAGCCTCGGTAACAGGAGCAAAACTCCATCTCAAAAAAACAAAAAAAGAAAAAAAAAAACAAATACCTCCTCACCTGCTGAGACAGTTGAGGTGCGGTGGAGATGAGATGGAGGGTGCACAGGGTCCCTGGCACACCAAGGCACCATATAGCTGCTATTTGGGGCAGTGGGAAGCAGGCGCTCAAGGGTGAGAGGCCCCTCTCCTCTCTCTGCCGTCCACATGGGAGGCTGCACCCGCCCCTCTCGTGGGGGACTTGCTGTTGCTTTTTTTTTTTTTTAATTATACTTTAAGTGTTAGGGTACATGTGCACAATGTGCAGGTTAGTTACATATCTATACATGTGCCATGCTGGTGTGCTGCACCCATTTACTCGTCATTTAGCGTTAGGTATATCTCCTAATGCTATCCCTCCCCCCTCCTCCCACCCCACAACAGTCCCCAGAGTGTGATGTTCCCCTTCCTGTGTCCTTGTGTTCTCATTGTTCAATTCCCACCTATGAGTGAGAATATGCGGCGTTTGGTTTTTTGTTCTTGCGATAGTTTACTGAGAATGATGATTTCCAATTTCATCCATGTCCCTACAAAGGACATGAACTCATCATTTTTTATGGCTGCATAGTATTCCATGGTGTATATGTGCCACATTTTCTTAATCCAGTGTATCATTGTTGGACATTTGGGTTGGTTCCAAGTCTTTGCTGTTGTGAATAAAGCCGCAGTAAACATATGTGTGCATGTGTCTTTATAGCAGCATGATTTATAGTCCTTTGGGTGTATACCCAGTAATGGGATGGCTGGGTCAAATGGTATTTCTAGTTCTAGATCCCTGAGGAATGGCCACACTGACTTCCACAATGGTTGAACTAGTTTACAGTCCCACCAACAGTGTAAAAGCATTCCTATTTCTCCACATCCTCTCCAGCGCCTGTTGTTTCCTGACTTTTTAATGATCGCCATTCTAACTGGTGTGAGATGGTATCTCATTGTGGTTTTGATTTGCATTTCTCTGATGGCCGGTGATGGTGCGCATTTTTCATGTGTTTTTTGGCTGCATAAATGTCTTCTTTTGAGAAGTGTCTGTTCATGTCCTTCGCCCACTTTTTGATGGGGTTGTTTGTTTTTTTCTTGTAAATTTATTTGAGTTCATTGTAGATTCTGGATATTAGCCCTTTGTCAGATGAGTAGGTTGCAAAAATTTTCTCCCATTTTGTAGGTTGCCTGTTCACTGTGATGGTAGTTTCTTTAGAAAACCCCATTGTCTCAGCCCAAAATCTCCTTAAGCTAATAAGCAACTTCAGCAAAGTCTCAGGATACAAAATCAATGTACAAAAATCACAAGCATTCTTATACACCAATAACAGACAAACAGAGAGCCAAATCATGAGTGAACTCCCATTCACAATTGCTTCAAAGAGAATAAAATACCTAGGAATCCAACTTACAAGGGATGTGAAGGACCTCTTCAAGGAGAACTACAAACAACTGCTCAGTGAAATAAAAGATGATACAAACAAATGGAAGAACATTCCATGCTCATGGGTAGGAAGAATCAATATCGTGAAAATGGCCATACTGCCCAAGGTAATTTATAGATTCAATGCCATCCCCATCAAGCTACCAATGACTTTCTTCACAGAATTGGAAAAAACTACTTTAAAGTTCATATGGAACCAAAAAAGAGCCCACATCGCCAAGTCAATCCTAAGCCAAAAGAACAAAGCTGGAGGCATCACGCTACCTGACTTCAAACTATACTACAAGGCTACAGTAACCAAAACAGCATGGTACTGGTACCAAAACAGAGATATAGATCAATGGAACAGAACAGAGCCCTCAGAAATAACGCCGCATATCTACAACTATCTGATCTTTGACAAACCTGAGAAAAACAAGCAATGGGGAAAGGATTCCCTATTTAATAAATGGTGCTGGGAAAACTGGCTAGCCATATGTAGAAAGCTGAAACTGGATCCGTTCCTTACACCTTATACAAAAATTAATTCAAGATGGATTAAAGACTTAAACGTTAGACCTAAAACCATAAAAATCCTAGAAGAAAACCTAGGCATTACCATTCAGGACATAGGCATGGGCAAGGACTTCATGTCTAAAACACCAAAAGCAATGGCAACAAAAGCCAAAATTGACAATTGGGATCTAATTAAACTAAAGAGCTTCTGCTGTTGCTTTTTACCATCACTGCCCCTGAATCTTTTCTCCCTTACTTACCCCAGTACCTCCTTTTCCTTAAACACATTGGCAGTCAGCTTCAGCTTCAGCCCTGATTCCACCCTGTCTCTTCCATTCCTAGCTAAGGAAACTTGAACAGGGTGTCTACAAAGGCTGGGCTCATTTCCTCTTCTCCCATGCCCTGTGTTTATTTTTATTTTATGTTATTTTATCATTATTATTTTGAGACGGAGTCTCACTCTGTCCCCCTGGCTGGAGTGCAGTGGCACGATCTCAGTTCGCCACAACCTCTGCCTCCTGAGTTCAAGTGATTCTCCTGCCTCAGCCTCCCAAATAGCTGGGACTACAGGCACCCGCCACTATGCCCAGCTAATTTTTGTATTTTTAGTAGAGTTGGGGGTTTCACCATGTTGGCCAGGCTGGTCTCGAGCTCCTGAACTCAGGTGATCTGCCCGCCTCGGCCTCCCAAAGTGCTGGGATTACAGGCGTGAACCATCGTGCCCAGCCTATTTTTATTTTTGAGACATGGTCTTGCTCTGTCACCCAGGCTGGAGTGCAGTGGTACAGTCATGGCTCAATGCAGCCTTGACCTCTCCTGCTCAAGTGATCCTCCTGCCTCAGCCTCCCAAGTAACTGAGACTACAGGTGTGCACCACCATGCCCAGCTAATTTTTTTTGGAGTCTTGCTGTATTGGCCAGGCTGATCTTGAGTTCCTGGCTTCAAGTGATCCTCCTACCTCAACTTCCCAAAGTGTTGGGTTTACAGGTATGAGCCACCGTGCCCATAGAGAATTTCCTTCCTTATGAACGATGAATATTCCATCGTATGGATGGACCACAGTTTGCTTATCCATTCATCTGTTGACGGATACGGAACTGCTTCCACCATGCAGCTATCATGATTAATGCTGTGGTGAACGTGGATGTATTTCTTTTCTTCCCAACCCTGCTTTCAATTCTTTTTTTTGTTTGTGTTTAGATGGAGTCTTGCTCTGTCACCAGGATGGAGTACAGTGACGCGATCTCAGCTCACTGCAACCTCTGCTTCTGGGGTTCAAGCGATTCCCCTGCCTCAGCCTCCCGAGTAGCTGGGACTACAGGTGCCCGCCATCATGCCCGGCTAATTTTTGTATTTTAGTAGAGATGGGGTTTTGCCATGTTACACAGGCTGGTCTCAAACTCCTGGGCTCAAGTGATCCTCCCACCTCAGCCTCCCAAAGTGCTGGGATTACAGGCGTGAGCCACCGCACCCGGCCTGCTTTCAGTTCTTTTGGGTATATACCCAGAAGTGGGATAATTGCTGTCTCATATGGTAATTCTACTTTTGATTCTATAAGGAACTCCCATACTGTTTTCCATAGCAGCTGCATCATTTTACATTCCTGCCAGCAGTGTACAAGGGTTCCAATTTCTCCACTTCCTCACCAACACTTATGCTGTTTTGTTCTTTTCTTTTCTGATAATAGTCATCCCGATGAGTGCTATCTTTCAGTTCATTCCTTTTAGCCGCTGTCTTGTATTCTACTGCAGGAACAAAGCACATTTTATTGATCTATTCTCCTCCTAAGGGACTGGTAGATTGTTTCCACTTTTTTCCTGTTACAAACGGGGCTGCAATTAATGTTCTTGTACAGGTTTCCTTGTGCACCTAAGAGCATCACCAGATGAACACTGAGAAGTGGATTTCCTGGGTTTAAGGTTATAGCAGGCAGAGCCCCCGTAGAATCAGCCAGCTTATGGAAGGTTTCATAGAGGAACTGCGTACACAGTTAGGGCGGGTTGCAAGGAAACCATAAGGGATAGGGCAGCAACCTAGGGCTTGTAGCAGCTGAGCTGTTACTGCCACAAGGCCCAAAGGGACACAGAAGGGAAAGCTTCCCAGACCCGGAAAGAAAATAATTGTGTAGAGATGGTCATCTTGAGAGGGGTGATCTTTTGCAGAGGGACTCAGCTGACTTGAGGTGACCAAATACCGTGACCACTCTTTCTTTTTTTCTCCCTTCCCTTTCCCTTTCCCTTCCTTTTCCCTTCCCTTCCCCTTCCTTCCTTCTCTCCTTTCTTCTTCTCTTTCCTTCCCCTCCCCTCCCTTCCCCCTCCCCCTCCCCTCCCTCCCTCCCTCCCTCCCTCCCTCCCTCCCTTCCTTCCTTCCTTCCTTCCTTCCTTCCTTCCTTCCTTCCTTCCTTTCGATGGAGTCTCGTTCTGTTGTCCAGGCTGGAGTGCAGTGGCGTGATCTTGGCTCACTGTAACCCCCACCTTTTGGGTTCAAGCGATTCTTCTGTCTCAGCCTCCTGAGTAACTGACATTACAAGCACATGCCGCCATGCCTGGCTAATTTTTGTATTTTTAGTCGAGACAGGGTTTCACCATGTTGGCCAGACTGGTCTCAAACTCCCGGCCTCAGGTGATCTGCCCAACCTCGCCTCCCAAAGTGCAGGGATTACAGGTGTGAGCCACCGCACCTGGCCAGTTTCCTTTTTTAAAATTTTTTTAAAAATTTTTTTGTAGAGATAGGTCATGCTTTGTTGCCCAGGCTGATCTTGAACTCCTGGGCTCAAGCAATCCCCTTGCCTCTGCCTCCCAAGATGTTGGGATTACAGGCGTGAGTCCCATGCCTGGCTTTCCTTCTTCCTTCTTTCCTGTCTGTCTTCCTCTCTCTCTCTCTCTCTTTCTCTTTCTCTCTCTCTTTCTTTCTAACAGGGTCTCAGGGTGGAGTGCAGTGGCACGATCACAGCTCCCTGCAGCCTTGACCACCCAGGCTCAAGCAGTTCTCCCACCTCAGCCCACCGAGTAGCTGGGACTACAGGCATGTGCCACCACACCGGCTATTTTTTTTTTTTTTTTTACTTTCTGTAGCGACAGGGTCTCATGTTGCCCAGGCTGGTCTCAAACTCCGGGGCTCGAGCAATCCTCCCACTGCAGCTGCCCAAAGTGCAGAGATGATAGGTGTGAGCCAATGCGCCCAGCCTTTCCTTCCTTCTGATCTCCCGCCAGGGTGCCCACTAGGAACCCAAGCCCAAGGCATGGTAGCCTGTCCAAGTCAGCCTCCTGAGGCCAGGGCAACGTGGAAAGGGGTGAAGGGATCGATTCGAGGGCTATCCAGAAGATGTCTGGCACATAGAGTATAGCCATCCTCAACTGTAGGGGGAATTTCCAATTTGCATTTATTTAATTATTTATTTAGTTAGTGAGTGAGTTAGTTAGTTTTTGAGACAGAGTCTTGCTTTGTCGCCCAGGCTGGAGTGCAGTGGCGCGATCTTGGCTAACTGCAAGCTCTGCCTCCTGGGTTCACGCCATTCTCTTGCCTCAGCCTCCTGAGTAGCTGGGAGTACAGGCGCCCGCCACCACGCCCGGCTAATTTTTTGCATTTTTAGTGGAGACAGGGTTTCACCGTGTTAGCCAGGATGGTCTCGATCTCCTGACCTCGTGATCTGCCCACCTCGGCCTCCCAAAGTGCTGGGACTACAGGCATGAGCCACTGCACCCGGCCTATTTATTTTTTTTGAGACATAGTCTCATTTTGTCACCCAGGCTAGAGCACAATGGTGCCATCTTGGCTCACTGCAACCTCTGCCTGCCTGGTACAAGTGATTCTCCTGCCTCAGCCTCCCGAGTAGCTGGGATTACAGGCGTGCACCCCCATGCCCAGCTAATTTTTTTGTATTTTTAGTAGAGATGGAGTTTCGCCATGTTGGCCAGGCTGTTCTTGAACTCCTGACCTCAGGTGATCCGCCTTCCTCGGCCTCTCAAAGTGCTGGCATTACAGGCGTGAGCCACCGCGCCCAGCCCAATTTGCTTTCCAAAATGATTTTATCCATTTACATTCCCACTAGCAACTTATGCTATCTATATACCCACATCTTTGCCAACATTAGCTGTTATTTACCAGACTTAATTTTCATTAATTTGAGTTTTTTCCCAGCCTTCGGGGATGAAATGGTGCCTCTTAATTTTAGTATGCTCTTCCCTAATTACTAATGAGGCTATTTTCACATACTTATTTGTTTAGGGGAGGTTTTATGTACTATGGATTGCCTTATCCTTTGCTCTTTTGCTGTTGGGTTTTTTATCTTTCTCAGATTCATTAATCACTTTCTTTTTAAATTTTGGATGCTAATCCTTCATAAATAAATTGTCTAACTGTTTGGTCCGGCGTGGTGGCCCACCCCTGTAATCCTGGCATTTTGGGAGGCCGAGGCAGGAGGATTGCTTGAGCCCAGGAGTTTCAGATGCACTTGGGCAACACAGTGAGACCCCATCTCTGCAAAAAAAAAAAAAAAAAAAAAAAAGTTAAAAATTGGCTGGGCATAATGGCACGCACCTGTAGGCCCAGCCTCTCAGGAGGCGGAGGTGGGAGGATCTCTTGAGTCCAGGACCTGGAGGCTGCAGTGAGCTATAATGGCACCACTGCACTCCAGTATGAGCAACACAGTGAGACCCCATCTCAAAATAAAAAACTTGTAGCTATTCTTTCCTGTCTGTGACTTATCTTTTCCCTTGCAGTATTTTTTGTTATACAGAACTTCTATATTTTTTTTTTGAGACAGGGTCCTGCTTTGTTGCCCAGGCTGGAGTGCAGTGGTGCGATCTTGGCTCGCTGCAATCCCCGTCCCGGGTTCAAGCGATTTTCGTTCCTCAGCCTCCCAAGTAGCTGGGATTATAGGTGCTTGCTACCACGCCCAGGTAATTTTTGTATTTTTAGTAGAGATGGGGTTTCACCATGTTGGCCAGGCTGGTCTTGAACTCCTGACCTCAGGTGATCCCCCTGCCTTGGCCTCCTTAAGTGCTGGCATTATAGGCTTGAGCCACCACACCTGGCTGGATGTTTACATTTTCATCTCTTCAAATTGATTACTCTTGCCCTTCATGGTATGTATCTGTGGCTTAGATCTCCTTCCCTACTCTGATGTCATAAAAATGGTTTCCCATGTTTTCTTCTAGAAATTTGAGTTTTGCTTTTTCACATTTGGGTGTTCAGAGCATTCTGGGACTGTGCATGTGAGCATACACATGTGTGTGGTTTGAGGTAGAGATTTACTTCTTTTTCCTTACAGATAGCTGGTTCCCTTTATGAAATACTCCATCTTTGTGCTTTGATTTCTAATGTCAACTCTTTTATTATACTAAGATCCTCTTTCTTGCTCTGTTTTTCCTCTTTCTTTCCTTTTTTTTTCTTTCCCTTCTTTCCTTCCCTCCCTCCCTCCCTTCCTCCCTCCTTCCTTCCTCCCTTCCTTCCTTCTTTCCTTCCTTGCTTTTTTTTCTTCTATTTCTCCCTCATCTCTCCCTCCCTTCCTCATCCTTTTCCTTTCCCGTTCCATTTCCTTTTCCCTTTCCCTTTTCTTTCTTTCGAGGCAGGGTCTTGCTCTGTTGCCCAGGCTACAGTACAATGGCACAATCTTGACTCACTGCAACCTCCGTTTCCTGTGTTCAAGCGATACTCCTGCTTCAGCCTCCTGAGTAGCTCGGATTACAAGCACGTGCCACCACACCCAGCTAATTTTTGTATTTTTAGTAGATATAGGATTTCATCATGTTGGCCAGGATGGTCTCAAACTCACTCCTGACTTCAAGTGATCTGCCTGCCTCGGCCTCCCTAAGTGCTAGAATTACAGGCGTCAGACCCCGAGCCTGGCCCCAACATCCTCTTTCTTCTGTCAGTTGGCCTATTTGTATCCCACTGCACCAATATTACAATGTTTAAAATCTTTCCAAGTAAGGGTAACTCCTGGTCTCTGGAGAGGAGAGTTTCCCCCACCCCTCTTCCCTTTCAAAGTTGTCTTTACTACTCTTGACTCTTTTGGTCTTCCATGTGAATTTCAATTTTTCAAGGAGTGTGAAGAAAAAGTTGGGCTTTTCATTGGAATTGCTTTGAATTTGTAAATTAACTTGAGGAAAATTGCCATTTAAAAAATCGTGTGTCTTGGCCAGCTGTGGTGGCTCACACCTGTAATCCCAGCACTTTGGAAGGCCAAGGTGGGTAGATCACTGGAGGTCAGGAGTTCGAGGCTAGCCTGGCCAATATGGTGAAACCCCGTCTCTACTAAAATTACAAAAATTAGCCAGGTGTGGCGGTGGGCGCCTGTAGTCCCAGCTACTTAGGAGACTGAGGCAGGAGAATCGCTTGAACCCGGGAGGCAGAGGGTGCAGTGTGCCGAGATCATGGCACTGCACTGCAGCCTGGGTGACAGAGTGAGACTCCATCTCAAAAAAAAAAAAATTGAAATAATGACTGATATGGAATGATACTAAGAAGTTACCATTAATTTTTTATTTTATTTTAATTTTTGTAGAGGGTGGGGTCTTGCTATATTGCCCAGGCTGGTCTTGAACTCCTGGACTCAAGCAATCCGCCTGCCTTGGCCTCCCAAATTGCTGGGATTACAGGTGTGCGCCACTGCCCCCAGCCAGTTATTTAAAGTGTGATGGTAACATTGTGATTATGTATTTTAAAATAGTCCTTAACTTTAGAGACATAGGCTGAAATATTTATAATCTATAAACATTACAGTATAACATATATAGATGTATATAAAATACAGTATGATAATAGGATGCCTGGGAGTAGGTGGGATAATAGATGAAACAAGATTGGGCAGGAATAGATAGTTATTGAAACTGAGTGATGGGTACCTGAGAATTCATTACTTTATTCTGCATACTTTTGTGTATTTCAAAAATTCCTATAATAATAAAAGTTTTTAAAATATGAGGGCCAGGTGGCTCCTGCCTGTAATCTCAGCACTTTGGGAGGCTGGGGTGGGAGGATTGCTTGAGGCTAGGAAGTCAAGGCCAGCCTGGGCAACACAGCAAAACCCCATCTCAACAAAAAATTTAAAAATTAGCCAGGCATGGTGATATGCACCTGTAGTCTCAGCTACTTGGGAGGCTGAGGCAGGAGGATCACTTGAGCCAAGGAGTTTGAGGCTGCAGTGAGCTGTGATTGTGCCATTTTACTCCAGCCTGGGCAACAGAGTGATTATTATTAAACAGTGTATTATTATACAGTATATTATTATAGTATAATAGTATAATAGATTAGCCTTATAGTATAACAATACAAATATGGAAATATTGAGTCTTTCCATCCACAGACATGATATAGCTATTCTTTTATTTACATTTTCTTCTGTCTTGCAATAAAGTTTTATATTTTTCTCCATAAGGGCCTGCCCATCTTTTAGCTGATCCAACAGATTTGCCAGACTCTTCTATTAGTTCCAATCATATTAATATTTTTTTCTCCAGAATGTCTTGTATTTTTTGTGTAGGCCTTTGAATCATATGTTAAAAAATAAAATAAAGGCCGGATGAGGTGGCTCACCCCTATAATCCCAGCACTTTGGGAGGCTGAAGCAGGAGGATCACTTGAGGTCAGGAGTCCGAGTCCAGCCTGGCCAACGTGGTAAAACCCGTCTCTATTAAAAATAGGAAAATTAGCCAGGTGTGGTGGTGGGTGCCTGTAATCCCAGCTACTCAGGAGGCTGAGGCACAAGAGTTTCTTGAACTCAGGGGGTGGAGGTTGCAGTGAGCCGAGATCGTGTGACGACACTCTAGCCTGGGTGACAAAGCGAGTCTCCATCTCAAAAAAACAAAACAAAACCAAACAAAACTGTAGTTTTGTATGTTTACTGTACCTTTTCTATGTTTAGACATGTTTAGATACATAAATACTTACCACGGGGTTACAACTGCCCACAGTACTCAGTGCAGTAACAAGCTGCACAGGTTTGTAGCCCAGGGAACAATGGGCTGTACCATGTATCCTGGGTGTATGGTAGGCTGTACCGTCTAGGACTGTGTAAGGGCACCCTGTGATGTTCACACAATGATGATTCCATTGCCTAACGATGCATTTCTCAGAACATAACTCTGTTGCTAAGTGACACTTGGCTCCATTGCTAAGTGCAGTGACAAGTGTCCGTATAAGAAGGCAGAGGGATATTTGACACAGAAAGAGGAGACAGACACACAGAGAAGAAAATATGCAGACAGAGGCAGAGATTTAAGTGATGCAGCCACAAGCCAAGGAATGCTGGCAGCCACCAAAAACCAGAGGCAAGTGACAGATTCCTCCTCCAGAGTCTTCAGGTTGAGCATGGATCTGATGACACCTTAATTTCAGACTTCCAGCCTCCAGAACTGTTAGATAATAGACTTTTGTTGTTTGGTTTGTTTGTTGTTTTTGTTGTTGTTTGAGAGTCTTGCTCTGTTGCTCAGGCTGGAGTGCAGTGGCACACAATCTCAGCTCACTGTAATCTCTGCCTCCCAGGTTCAAGCGATTCTTGTGCCTCAGCCTCCTGAGTAGCTGGGATTACAGGCATGCACCCCCATGCCTGGCTCATTTTTGTATTTTTAGTAGAGACAGGGTTTCACCATGTTGGCCAGGCCGGTCTCAAACTCCTGACATCTAGTGATCCGCCTGCCTCGGCCTCCCAAAGTGCTGGGATCACAGGCATGAGCCACCACACCTGGCCTGATTTTTGTTGTTTGAAGCCACCAAGTTTGTGGCAATTTCTTGCAGCAGCTTCAGCTAGCGAATACATGATTAAACTAGAAAAATCTTATAATCATCTCCTGATGAAAAACACCCATCTGACAAAATTCAACCTATTCATAATTTTTTAAAAAGAGATAAAGAGAAAAAAAAACTCTCAGTAAACTAAAATAGAAGGGGTCTTCTTTGACCTGATAACAGGCATCTATAGAAAACCTACAACAAAAGTGCAATACATTTTTAAAAATTGATCACTTGGGGCCAGGCGCGGCGGCTCATGCCTGTAATCCCAGCACTTTGGGAGGCCAAGGCCGGTGGATCATGTGAGGTCAGAAGTTCGAGATCAGCCTGACTAATACGGTGAAATCCTGTCTCTACTAAAAATACAAAAATTAGCCAGGTGTGGTGGTACATGCCTGCAATCCCAGCTACTTGGGAGGCTGAGGCAGGAGAATCGCTTGAACCTAGGAGACGGAAGTTGCAGTGAGCCGACATCACGCCACTGCACTCCAGCCTGGGCGACAAGAGCAAAACTCCATCTCAAAAAAAAAAAAAAAAATTGATCAATTGGACCTCATCAAAATGCAAATCTTCTGTTCTTCAAAAGATACCATTTAAGGCCGGGCGTGGTGGCTCACGCCTGTAATCCCAGCACTTTGGGAGGCCGAGGCGGGCAGATCACGAGGTCAGGAGATGGAGACTGTCCTGGCTAACACTGTGAAACCCTGTCTCTACTAAAAGTACAAAAATTAGCCGGCACAGTGGCAGGCATCTGTAATTGCAGTTCCTGGGGAGGCTGACGCACAAGAATTGCTTGAACCCAGGAGGCAGAGGTTGCAGTGAGCCAAGATTATGCCACTGCACTCCAGCCTGGGTAACAGAATGAGACTGTCTCAAAAAAAAAAAAAAAAAAAGGGAGAAGAAAAGAACCTCAAAATTATTGATCATTTATTTGGAAAGTGCAATTTGAAACCACAATGAGGTAATTTTTTTTTTTTTTTTGAGACGGAGTTTCATTCTTGTCGCCCAGGCTGGAGGGCAATGGCATGATCTCGGCTCACCACAACCTCCGCCTCCTGGGTTCAAGCGATTCTCCTGCCTCAGCCTCCTGAGTAGCTGGGATTACAGGTGGCTGCCACCACACCCGGCTAATTTTTGTATTTTTAGTAGAGACGGGGTTTCACCATGTTGGCCAGGCTGGTCTCCAACTCCTGACCTCAGGTGATCTGCCCACATTGGCCTCCCAAAGTGTTGGGATTACAGGCATAAGCCACCACGCCCAGCCGAGATAATATTTAACAACCACCAGGAATGGCTACAATAAAAATAAATAAATAAATAAAGTAATTAATTAAATTAAAATAACAAGTGTTGGCGAGGAGAAACAAAATCACTCATACATTGCTGGTGGGTGTGTAAAATGGTGCTCTTCGGAACAAATAGTTTAGCAATTCTTTAAGAAGTTTAATGCGGCCGGGCATGGTGGCTCATGCCTGTAATCCTAGCACTTTGGGAGGCCGAGGCGGGCGGATCACAAGGTCAGGAGTTCGAGACCAGCCTGACCAACATGGTGAAGCCCTGTCTCTACTAAAAATACAAAAATTCACTGGGCGTGGTGGTGTGCACCTGTAATCTCAGCTACTTGGGAGGCTGAGGCGGGAGCATTGCTTGAACCCAGGAGGTGGAGGTTGTGGTGAGCTGAGATCGTGCCATTGCACTCCAGCCTGGGCAATAAGAGTGAAATTCCATCTCAAAAAAAAAAAAAAAAAAAAAGTTTAATGTACCCAAGTGCATGCCTGAAGCCTCAGTTACTTGGGAGGCTAAGTCAGGAGGATCCCTTGAGCCCAGGAGAGCAAGACCAGCCTAGTCAACACAGCAAGACTTCATCTCCATAAATAAATAAATAAATACATACATGTTTAATATATTCTTAGGTATGACACCAGAAGTACAGGGCAACAAAAGAAAAAAAAAGATAAATTGTGCTGGGCGCTGTGGCTTACGCCTGTAATCCCAGCACTTTGGGAGTCCGAGGCTGGTGGAACACTTGATGTCAGGAGTTCGAGACCAGCCTGGCCAACATGGTGAAACCCCGTCTCTACTAAAAATACAAAAATTAGCTGGGCCTGGTGGTACGTGGCTGTAATCCCAGCTACTCGGGAGGCAGAAGCAGGAGAATCACTTGAACCCAGGAGGCGGAGGTTGCAGTGAGCTGAGATCGTGCCAATGCACTCCAGCCTGGGTGACAGAGTGAGACTCTGTCTCAAAAATACACACACACACAAAACCCACAGTGAGATACCACTTCACACCCACCAAGATGGCTGTTAT
Organism: Homo sapiens; assembly: GCF_000001405.40. Taxonomy (NCBI): domain Eukaryota; kingdom Metazoa; phylum Chordata; class Mammalia; order Primates; family Hominidae; genus Homo; species Homo sapiens. Next base: position 3,898,144 of record NC_000016.10, read on the forward strand.
AAAAAAACCAGAAAATAACAAATGTACATTGCAGGTGGGAACATAAAACAGCACAGTTGCTGTAGAAACAATATGGTGGTTCCTCAAACATAACATAAAATTACCATATGATTCAGCAACCCCATATCAAGGCGAATGCCTTAAAGAAGTCAAAGCAGAGATGTGTTCACAGCGGCATTATTCACAATCGCCAAAATGTGGAAGCCACCCAGGTGTTCTTCCATGGGTGAATGGAGAAACAAACTATGGTCCATCCGTACAATGCGCTATGATTAGCCTTCAACAGGAATAGCCTTCAACAGGAAGTGCGTTCTGACACTTGCCACAACGTGGACGACATGGCTGGACCTTGAAGACTTGCTAATAAGCCAAATGCAAAAGGGCCAGTATTGCATGATTCCACTTACATGATGTACCTCGTACCAGTGGAAGAGTCAAAGGGAATAGGTGAATTCAGAGGCCAGGTGCGGTGGATCATGCCTGTAATCCCAGCACTTTGGGCGGCTAAGGCGGGTGGATCACTTGAGGTCAGGAGTTTGAGACCAGCCTGGCCAACATGGTGAAGCCCCATCTCTACCAAAAAATTAAAAAATTAGCCGGGCATGGTGGCACGTGCCTGTAGCCCCAGCTACTCGAGAGGCTGAAGCAGGAGAATCACTTGAACCCGGGAGGCAGAGGTTGCGAGAGCCGAGATCACACCGCTGCTCTCCAGCCTGGGTGACAGAGCAATACTCTATCTCAAAAAAAAAAAAAAAAAAAAAAAAAAAAAAAAGTTGAGTTCGGATACAAAAACTTGAATAGTGGTTACAGTAGCTGGGAGGAGGGGAAAATGGCAAGTTCATGTTTAATGGGGATAATAATTATTCAGTTTAGGAAGATGAAAAAGTTCTGGAGAAAAATAGCTGTGATGGTCACACAACAGTGTGAATACGGTTAATGCCACTGAACTGCATGCTTAAAGAATGGTTAAGATTGGCCAGGCATGGTGCCTCACACCTGTAATGTCAGGACTTTGGGAGGCCAAGGTGGGTGGATCACTTGAGGTCAGGAGTTTGAGACCAGCCTGGCCAACATGGTGAAACCCCCTCTCTACCAAAAAATTAAAAAATTAGCTGGACGTGGTGGTGCGTACCTGTAGCCCCAGCTACTCGGGAGGGTGAGGCAGGAGAATCACTTGAACCTGGGAGGTGGAGGTTGCAGTGAGCTGAGATTGCGGCATTGCATTCCAGCCTGGGTGACAGTCAGACTCCGTCTCAAACAAAAACCAAAACCAAAACCCAAATTTTCAGACGTAACACCAAAAACACAAGCAGCAAAAAATAAATAAATAAATAAAAGAATTTGACTTCATCAAAATTTAAAACTTTTGTATTTCAAAGGCACTGTCAAGAAAGTGAAAATAATGGGGAAAATATTTGTAAGTCATATGTCTGTCAGAGAACTGTATTTAGAATATATAAATAACTCTTACAAGTCAATAATAAAAAGACGGCCAGGCGTGGTGGCTCACGCCTGTAACCCCAACACTTTGGGAAACCGAGGCGGGTGGATCACCTGAGATCAACAGTTCGAGACCAGCCTGGCCAACATGGCAAAACCCCATCTCTACTGAAAATACTAAAAATTTGCCAGGCATGGTAGCGGGCGCCTGTAATCCCAGCTACTCGGGAGGCTGAGGCAGAAGAATTTCTTCAACCTGGGAGGTGGAGGTTGCAGTGAGCCGAGATCGCGCCATTGCACTCCAGCTGGGCAACAAGAGCAAAACTCCGTTTCAATAATAATAATAATAATAATAAGAAGAAGAAGAAGACAAATAACCCAGTTAAAAATGAACAAAAGGGCCAGGCGTGGTGGCTCAAGCCTGTAATCCCAGCACTTTGGGAGGCCAAGACGGGTACATCACCTGGGGTCCGGAGTTCAAAACCAGCATGGCCAAAGAGGTGAAAAGAAACCCCACCTCTACTAAAAATACAAAAGTTAGCCGGGCGTGGTACCACGCGCCTGTAATCCCAGCTATTCGAGAGGCTGAGGCAGGAGAATCGCTTGAGCCCGGGAGGCAGAGGGTGCAGTGAACTGAGATCAGGCCACTGCACTCCAGCCTGGGTGACAGAGCGAGACTCCGTCTCAAAAACAAAAAAACAGAAACAAAAACAAAAACAGGACAAAATATCTAAATGGGCATTTTTCTGAAGAAAGTATACAAATGGTCAAAAAGCCCACAAAAACATATAAACATCATTAGTTACCAGGGAAAGGCAAATCAAAACCACAGTGAGATACCACTTCACACCCACTAGGGTCACTATAATTAAAAAAAAAGAAGAGAAAAAGTAATAGGTGTCGGCAAGGATGTAGAGAAATTATAACCCTTGTGGACTGCTGATGGAAATGTAAAATGCTGTAGCCTCTGTTGAAAACGGTCTGGCAGTTCCTCAAAATATTAAACATTTGATCCACAAATTCTACTCCTAGATATATACCGAAGAGAAATAAAAACCTATGTCTACAAAAAACTTGTACACAAACGTTCTTACCAATGTCAGTCATGATGGTCAAAAGGCGGAAACATATCACATGTCCATTAACTAATGAATAGATGAAGAAAATGTGATCTATCCATGCAGTGCAGTATTATCCAACCATAGAAAGGAATTGAGTATTGATACATACTACAACATGGAAGAACCTTGAAAACATTCTGTTAGGAGAAAAAAACCAAACATAAAAGCCACATGTTACATGATTCCATTGATATAAAATGTCCATAATAGGCAAATCCATAGAAACAGAAAGTAGATCAGTGTTGCTTAGGGTGGAGGGTGAGGATAAGGGTAGGGGGAAAGGGAATTGATAGTTAAAGGGTATAAGGACTTCTTTTTGCTATAATGAAAATGTTCAACAATTGATTGTGGCAATGGTGCACAACTCTGTCAGTATATCAAAACCATTCAATTGTCAAAAAAAAAAAAAAGTTAAAAAAATTTACCGGCCGGGCGCGGTGGCTCACGCCTGTAATCCCAGCACTTTGGGAGGCCGAGGCAGGAGGATCACCAGGTCAGGAGATCGAGACCACGGTGAAACCCCGTCTCTACTAAAAATACAAAAAAATTAGCCAGGTGCGGTGGCAGGGGCCTGTAGTCCCAGCTTCAGGAGGCTGAGGCTGGAGAATGGTGTGAACCCAGGAGGTGGAGCTTGCAGTGAGATTGCGCCACTGTACTCCAGCCTGGGGCGACAGAGCGAGACTCCGTCTCAAAAAAAAAAAAAAAAAAAAATTACCATATGACACAGAAATTAGGTATCTACACAAGAAAAATGAAGCATATATCTGCACACAGACTTGCACACAAAGTTCTGAGCATCATTCTTCTTCTTTTTGAGACAGAATCTCACTCTGTCACCCAGCATGGAGTACACTCGCATGATCACAGCTCACTGCTCCCTCCCGGGTTCAAGCAATCCTCTTGCCTCAGCCTCCCAAGTAGTTGGGACCAAAGGTGCAGCCTCCATCTCTGAGGCTCAAACCATTCTCCCGCCTCAGCCTCCTGAGTGTCTGGAACTACAGGCATGTGCCACCACGCTTGGAAAATTTATTTTTTAAATTTTTTTAATTTTAGTAGAGACAAGGTCTCATTATTTCGTCCAGGCTGGTCTCAAACTCCTGGCCTCAAGGGATCCTCCCGCCTCAGCCTCCCAAAGTGCTGGGATTACAGATGTGGGCCACTGTGCCTGGCCAGTTTTGTTATTCTTTTTTTTGTTGTTTAAGTTCTGTTGCCCAGGCTGCAGTGCAATGGTGCAGTCTTGGCTCACTGCAATCTCCGCCTTCTGGGCTCAAGCAATCCTCTTGCCTCAGCCCCCCAAGTAGTTGGGACCAAAGGCGTGCACCACTACACCTAGCTATTTGCCTAGCTACATATTTACTTTTTTTTTTGTTTTTGAGACAATCTCACTCTGTCGCCCAGGCTGGAGTACAGTGGTGCAATCTTGGCTCACTGCAATCTCTGCCTCCCGGGTTCAAGTGATTCTCATGCCTCAGTCTCCTGAGTAGCTGGGACTACAGGCATGCGCCACAATGCCCAGATATATATATATACATGTATATATATGTGTGTGTGTATATATATATATGTGTGTGTATATATATATACGTATATATACGTGTATATATACATGTATGTGTATATATACATGTATATATACATGTATGTGTATATATATACATGTATATATACATATATATATATAGAGAGAGAGAGAGAGAGAGAGAGAGACAGTCACTCTGTCACCCAGGCTGGAGTGCAGTGGCATGATCGTGGCATGATCATGGCTCACTGCAGCCTCAACCTTTCAGTCTCAGGCGATCCTCCCACCTCAGCTTCTAGAGTAGCTGGGACTACAGGCACTTGCCACCACACTCAGCTAATTTTTGTATTTTTTATAGAGATGGGGTTTTGCCATGTTGCCCAGGCTAGTCTCGAATCCTTGAGCTCAAGTGATCCTCCCATCTTGGCCTCCCAGAGTGCTAGGATTACAGACATGAGCCACTGCACCCAGCTAGCCCAGCTAATTTTTGTATTTTTCGTAGAGACAGGTTTCGCCATCTTGGCCAAGCTGGAATCGAACTCCTGGGCTCAAGCGATCCATCCGCCTCGGCCTCCAAAAGTGCTGGCATTAACCCGCTTTTTGAACAAGGGGCCCTGCATTTTCATTTTGCACTGGCCCCTGCAAATGATATCACCAGGCCTGAGGCCATGAGCAGGTGCCGCTTCAGACACCCCGGCTTCAGGGTTTCAAATGACAAAATCCAAACTTGGCTTCTCTCCACACCTCAGACTTGGCCTCCTTTCATTGGCTTCAATCTCAGTCCTCCTGCAGAGGCAGGACAGAGACAGTAGCTCCAGAACCAGCAGCAGCAGTAACAGCTAAAGTCTTTCCTGCAAACCCCAGCAAGCCCTCCTCCTTGAGTTTCAAGGAGCCTCGTGCCCTTCCTGGATCTATTGCTCCTATTGGGAGTGCGATGCCGGAATGGGTTTCGTCCTGATTCATGTACTCAGCCTCATCTGAGCTGAGACTAGAGGAGATGTGGACCTGGAAGTGAAAAGCAGGGGACAGTAGCCAGAGATGAGCAAAGGAGAACTTGGGCAATGACAGCAATGCCTATGCCTTCCTGGATGCCCAGTAGCCACAAATCCCCTCCTTCCTTACTCACAGCCACAGAAACACATCTGCACACACTGACCATGCATTTACTTCCTCCTTGGGGGGAGCAAACTCAGTTTTTCTTTCTTTTTTCTTTTTTTTTTTTTGAGACAGAGTCTCACTCTGTCACCCAGGCTGAAGTGCAATGGCACAATCTCGGCGGCTCACTGCAACCTCCGCCTCCAAGATTCAACCGATTCTCCTGCTTCAGCCTCCTGAGTAGCTGGGACTATAGGCATGCGTTACCATTGCCTGGCTAATTTTTGTATTTTTAGTAGAGATGGGGTTGGTCTTGAACCAGGCTGGTCTTGAACTCCTGACCTCAAATGGTCCACCTGTCTGGGCCTCCCAAAGTGCTGGGATTACAGGCATGAGCCACTGTACCCAGCCCCAACCCAGTTTTATCCAGCCACTGTTTCCCACTCTAGGACTGGAATCTGTTTTTTTGTTTGTTTGTTTGTTTTTGTTTTGAGACAGAGTCTCACTCTGTCACCCAGGCTGGAGTGCAGTGGTGTGATCTCGGCTCACGGCAACCTCAGCCTCCCATGTTCAAGTGATTCTCCTGCCTCAGCCTCCCGAGTAGCTGGGATCACAGGCATGTGCCACCACACCTGGCTAATTTTTTTTTGTATTTTTGGTAGAGATGGGGTTTCACCATGTTGGCCAGACTGGTCTCGAACTCCTGATCTCAGCCTCCTGTCTTAGCCTCCTAAATCTAGGACTGGTATCTTTGATAACTTGGCATTTCTGCTAAGTCTGGGATGTGGGTCCTCATAGTCTGGCCACCTATGGCTGAATGAGGAATTTGACCAACCCAGCCCATGAAGGGGGTAATTCTAGAAAGAGACCTATAAAACCATCCAAAACCCAGGCCAGGTATGGTGGCTCATGCCTGTAATCCCAGCACTTTGGGAGGCCAAGGCGGGTGGATCACTTGAGGCCAGGAGTTCAAGACCAGCTTGGCCAATGTGGTAAAAGCCTGTCTCTACTAAAAATACAAAAAGTAGCCAGGCATGGTGGTGGGCGCCTGTAATCCCAGCTACTCTGGAGGCTGAGGCAGGAGAATGGCTTGAACCTGGGAGGTGGAGACTGCAGTGAACTGAGATTGTGCCACTGCATTCCAGCCTGGGCGACAGAACAAGACTCCGTCTCAGGAAAAAAAAAAAAAAAAAAAAAAAAAAAAAAAAAAACAGAGCTGGGCGCGGTGGCTCACACCTGTAATCCCAGCACTTTGGGAGGCCAAGGCGGTCGGATCACGACGTCAGGAGATCGAGACTGTCCTGGCTAACACGGTGAAACCCTGTCTCTACTAAAAATACAAAAAATTAGCCGGGTGCAATGGCGGGTGGCTGTAGTCCCAGCTACTCGGGAGGCTGAGGCAGGAGAATGGCTTGAACCCAGGAGGCGGAGGTTGCAGTGAGCCGAGATTGTGCCATTGCACTCCAGCCTGGGCAACAAAAGTGAAATTCTGTCTCAAAAAAAAAAAAAAAAAGTAATTAAAAATTTAAAATAGAGACAAGGTCTCACTATGTTGCCCAGCCTAGTCTCAAACTCCTGGCCTTAAGCGATTCTAGTGCTCTTCTGGACAGTTCCACAGGTGAGAGTAACTGAAGCCAAACATTGGTCAAGTCAGGGTCTCTGGATAGAAACTGTGCCATGGGAATTCCTGTTCTTATCAACAGGTCTCTGGCTTGCCTCTGCTGCCAGCGCCACACCATGGCTACCCTCTGAGTCTGTGCTGCCATCTTGGCCACCACCCCCCTGGGGTTTCTGCCCTCAGGCTGCATGCCAGCTACGCTTTACAAAAGAAAAGAGAGGCTTTGCACAGACCAGTGCTGAGATCAATCATGAACCAAGAGGTGAATCACTCAATGCTTGCTCCCTGGGGTCAAAAAACAGACAGAGGAAAAAAAAAAGACTAAAAGCAAACAAATTAATTAATTCATGTATCACTTGCAAAAGTTTTCAAAATTTAAAGTTTTCAAATTATATATATATATATATATATATATATATATATATATATATGATTTTATTTTAGGTTCTGGGATACACGTGCAGGACGTGCAGGTTTGTTACACAGGTAAACATGTGCCATGGTGGTTTGCTGCAGCTATAGACCCATCACCTAGATATTAAGCCCCACATGCATTAGCTATTTATTCTGATGCTCTTCCTTCCCCCGCCACCTCCAAAATTAAGTTTTTAAAAAATTGTGAGAAAAACTCAAGGACCAAAGGAAAAAAAAAAGACAAATTTAACTTCATGAAAAAACTTTTTTTTTTTTTTTGAGACAGGGTCCCTCTCCGTCATCCAGGCTAGAACGAGGTGGCACAATCATGGCTCACTGCAGCCTTTATCTACCTGGCTCAACTGGTCCTACTGCCTCAGCCCCCCAAGTAGCTGGGGCTACAGGTGCACGCCACCACATCTGGCTAATTTTTTAATTTTTTATTGAGACAGGGTCTTGCTATGTTGCCCAGGATGGTCTCAACCTCCTGGCCTCAAGTGATCCTTCTGCCTCAGCTCCTAAAGTACTGGGATTACAGGGGTGAGCCACCATGCTCAGCTGTTCATGAAAAAATTTAAAATTTGTGCTAAAAGACACTATCAACAGAGTAAAGAAACAACCCACAGAATGGGAGAAATATTTGCAAATCATATATCTGATGAGAGATTGACATCCAGAATATATACACACCTCCTAAAACTAGACAACAAAAAACAAACAACCTGATTCAAATATGGGCAAAGGACTTGAATAGACGCTTATCCAAAGAAGGCATACAAAGAACCAAAAGCACATGAAAAGATGTTCAACATCCCTAATCATTAGGGAAATGCAAGTCAAAACCACAATGAGATACCATCTGACACCCCTTAGGATGGCTACTATCCAAAACCCAGAAAATAACGAGTGTAGGTGAGGATGTGAGAAATCGGAATCCTTGTGCACTGCTGGTAGGAATGTACGCCGGTGCAATCACTTTGGAAAATGGTATGGCAATTCTTTAAAAAATTAAAAATAGAATTACCATATGATCAGCAATTCCATTTCTGGCTACATACCCAGAAGAACCAAAAGCAGGGTCTGGAAGAAATATTTGTACACCGATGTCCATAGCAGCATTTTTCACAATAGCCAAAATGTAGAAGCAACCAGACTGTCCAATGACAGATAAACAGCTAAACTAAATCCAGGCCAAGCATGCAATGGAATACTATTCAGCCTTGAAAAGGATGGAAATTCTGACACATGCCACAACATGGATAAACCTTATGCTAAGTGAAATAAGCCAGACACAAAAAGACAGATACTATTAATATGTTATTCCACTTATATAAGGTACCTAGAGGAGTCAAATTCATAGAGAAAGAAAGTAGAATGGCAGGCTGGGCACAGTAGCTCACACTTGTAATGTCAGTGCTTTGGGAGGCCGAGGCAGGAAGATCACGTGAGTCCAGGAGGTCGAGACCAGCTTGGGCATCATAGAGAGACCCCCGTCTCTACAAAAAATAAAAAAATTAGGTGGCTATCTATGGTGACATGTGCCTGTAGTCCCAGCTATGTGGGAGACTGAGTTGAGAGGATCGCTTGAGCTCAGGAGATCAAGGCTACAGTTAGCTATGATTGTGCCACTGCACTCAAGCCTGGGCAACTGAGTGAGACCCTGTTTTGTTTTAAAAAACAAAACAACAACAACAAAAAAACTCAGCTGGGTACAGTGGCTCGTGACTGTAATCCCAGCACTTTGGGAGGCTGAGGCAAGAGGACTGCTTGCGCCCAGGAGTTTGAGACTGCAGTGAGCTATGATGGTGACACTGCACTTGTACTCAGCCTGGGCAGCACAGCAAGACCCCATCCAAAAAAAAAAACCCACAATGCTTAAGGAGGAAAAAATATAAATGACTAAGATGATCAATTTTATGTTACATGTATTTTACCACAATAAAAAAAGTAGTAAAGTAGTTTAAAAAAAAGACCATGAGAGGCTGGGCGCTGTGGCTCATGCCTGTAATCCCAGCACTTTGGGAGGCCGAGGCGGGCAGATCATGAGGTCAGGAGTTCGAGACCAGCCTGGCCAACATGGTGAAACCCTGTCTCTACCAAAACTACAAAAATTAGCCTGGCATGATAGTGCACGCCTGTAGTCCCAGCTACTGGGGAGGCTGCAGCAGGAGAATCGCTTGAACCTGGGAGGTGGAGGTTGCAGTGAGTCGAGATCGGACCACTGCACTCCAGCCTGGGAGACACAGCGAGACTCCATCTAAAAAAAAAAAAAAAATTGTGAGAACAATCCAGGGACTAGAGGAACCATTTTCAATTAAGGATCAAAAGGCATCACCAGTTTTAAGGAGGAGCCAAGGGAGTTGCCTGGATGCCTGCAGGTGACTGACAGGTGACTGGGGTGTGGGCAGGGCCTGCAGAGGGCTGAGTGAGTCCCCAGTTCCCTCAGAGCCATCAGCAGAAGCCCAGGGGACAGAGTGCTTTCTCTTATGGAGGTTGAGAGTGGAAAACCACACCACAGGAGGGAGACTGAGTGGCGAGAACCGAGATGTTGGCAAACACATCTCCAACAAGGTCTGCCCTACCTGTCCTGGGCAACATCATGGAACACAGCAATCAGGCATCTGCGGCAAGCTTGTGCAAAGGCCCCTCCCCCCCCCCCTTTTTTTTTTTTGAGACAGAGTCTCGCTCTGTTGCCCAGGCTGGAGTGCAGCGGCAGGATCTTGGCTCACTGCAATCTCCGCCCCCCGGGTTCACGCCATTCTCCTGCCTCAGCCTCCCAAGTAGCTGGGACTTACAGGCGCCCGCCACCATGCCCGGCTAATTTTTTTTGTATCTTTAGTAGAGACAGGGTTTCACCACGTTAGCCAGGATGGTCCCGATCTCCTGACCTTGTGATCCGCCTGCGTCGGCCTCCCAAAGTGCTGGGATTAGAGGCGTGAGCCACCACGCCCGGCCATGTATTTTTTTTAGTAGAGACTGGGTTTCAACATGTTAACCAGGATGGTCTCGATCTCCTGACCTTGTGATCCGCCCGCCTTGGCCTCCCAAAGTGCTGGAATTACAGGCGTGAGCCACCACATCCGGCTTTTTTTTTTTTTTTTTGGAGACGGAGCCTCACTCTGTAGCCCAAGCTGGAGTGCAGTTGGGTGATCTCAGCTCACTGCAACCTCTGCCTCCTAGGTTCAAGCAATTCTCCTGCCTCAGCCTCCCGAGGAGCTGGGACTACAGGTGCGCACCACCACACCTGGCTAATTTTTGTATTTTTAGTAGAGACGGAGTTTCACCATGTTGGCCGGGGTGGTCTGGAACTCCTGACCTCAGGTGATCCTCCTTCTTCAGCCTCTCAAAGTGCTGGGATTACAGGTGTGAGCCACTGCGCCTAGCATTTTTTTTTTTTTTAAGACTGGGTCTGGCTGTGTTGCCCAGGCTGAAGAGCAGTGGTATGATCACGGCTCACTGCAACCTCTGCCTCCTGGGCTCAAGCGATCCTCCCGCCTCAGCCTCCTGAGTAGCGGGGACTACAGATGCATGCCACTGTGCCTATGGAGGCCCCACTTAAGTCCCTGCAATAATAGCCCAGTGTGACTCAGGTCTGGCCTCCCCCAGACCCTCACAGGGATACCCACGAATGGCGAGGTGCTTCACGCAGACCACTGGGCTGGAACAAGCCACATGGTGGATGCTGAGTTCCAGGTGACACTTGGATCGGGGCCAGGCAGCCCTCTTCCCCCGAAGCAGGGGATCCCTCTGCCCACTGTTGGCATAAAAGTAATCGGGGCTGTACGGACAGTGTGATGACCCTCCGCCCTCCCTTCTGGACTGAATGACTTGGGCTCCGACTGCTGGAATGTCCTGCGAATTGCCCGTGACTGAGGAGAGTTGCCTCATTCAAGGTCAAGGTCAAGTTCACATCCCCTTTCTGGGTTCTACTTGGAGGTGGCTGAGGCAGGGGGAGAATCTCAGCCTGTTCCCTGAACCCAGGTCTGAAGTGGAGGTTGGGTGAGGCCGTGCTCCGGCCTGTGGCACAGCCCAGCGTCTCCCGGGCATGTCCAGCTTCTGCACTTCCCCACGCGAGCTGACAAGGGCACCTGAGTAATCTCTGCATGCTCCTCTCCATCTCAGAGTGTTCGTCCTAGGGAGCCCTGTCTTTGGCAGTAGCCGCCCTTGTATTCTTTTTTTCTTTTCTTTTCTTTTCTTTCTTTTTTTTTTTTTTCTGAGACATAGTCTTGCTCTGTTGCCCAGGCTAGAGTGCAGGGGTACCATCTCGGTTCACAGTAACCTCTGCCTCCCGGGTTCAGGTGATTCTCCTGCCTCAGCCTGCTGAGGAGCGTGCCACTACACCTGGCTAGTTTTTGTATTTTTAGCAGAGACAGGGTTTCACCATGTTGGCCAGGCTGGTTTTGAACTCCTGACCTCAGGTGATCCACCCACCCCAGCCTTCCAAATTGCTGGGATTATAGGTGTGAGCCACTGTGCCTGGCCGCCTTGTATTCTTTTTTGCAGCTGCCAAAACAAATGACCACAAACTGGGTGGCTTAATCCACAGAAATTTATTCTTATACAGTTCTGGAGGGCTGAGGTCCAAAATCAAGGTGTGAGCAGGCCACGCCGCCTGCAGAGGCTCTAGAGGAGGGTCTGTCCTGCCTCTCCCAGCTCCAGGCCTTCCTGGGCTTGTGGCTGCATCTCTCCAGTCTGCCTCCGTCTTCACATGGCCTTCTCCTCGGAGTCTCTGTATCTGTCCTTCTCTTCTAAGGACTTGTCATAGGGCCCACTGTAATCCAGGATGATCTCATCGCGAGAGCCTCAGCTTAATCACATCTGCAAAGATCCTTACTCCAATAGGATCGCATCCTGGAGGTTCCAGGTGGACGTATCTTTTAGGGGAGGCCGCAACTGAGCCCTCGGCCGCAGTCCAGGCTTCTGTTTCTATGGCAACACTAAGAGCAACCGGTGAGCTCCAGGAAGGGCGGGGTCTTGGTTGCATTTGTCTCTGGGCCTCCAGGAGTTCCTCAGAAAGGGTGGCAACATGAATAGTCCCATCTGCCACCGCCGTGAACTGTCCTCTCTTGATGGTGCTGAGAGCAACATGCAGTGTGCAGGGAAGACGCAGACCCCACCCCCACACCAGCACCCCCAGTGCTGCAGCCAAAGGAGTTTCCAGCTCGGCCCTGCCCCTCTAGGGTGAGCAGGTGAGCAGGCCAGCTTAGGAGAGAAAGGAGGCCTGATGGCTTGGTTGGATGTCTTTTGAAACTTTTCTTTTTTTAAGACAGAGTCTTGCTCTCTTGCTCAGGCTGGATTGTAGTGGCTCAATCACGGCTCACTGAAGCTTCAACCTTCTAGGCTCAAGCAATCCTCCCACATCAGCCTCCTAGTGGCTGGGACTAGAGGCATGCACCACCACATCTGGCTAATTAAAAACAAACAAACAAACAAACAAACAAACAAAAAAACCCTGTAGAGATGGGGTCTCACTGTGATGCCCAGGCTGGTCTCAAACTCCTGGGCTCAAGTGATCCTCCAGCCTTGACCTCCCAAAGCACTGGGATTACAGTTGTGAGCTACCACATCTGGCGGTCTTTTGAAACTTTCTACCGAGGATAAAGAGTAACTATTTTCCACCAGGGAAGCTGTCAAGGTTGAAGTTTTAAGGGCTTCTGTGTGGGCCAAGCCAGTCACAGGTACCTTCCCAGGAATGTAGGGCCCTGAGATATCAACTGGGAGACAACATGTATGAGTCAGTATTCTCCAGAGAAACAGAGCCAATGGGATGTGTATAGATACACAGAAAGAGGTTGAGTATGAGGAACTGGCTCACATGGTTACGGAGGCAGAGAAGTCCCAAGATTTTCCATCTGCACGCTGGAGGTGTGGTTCCAATCCAAACTCAAATGACTGGGAATTGCGGGGCCCATGGGTTAAGTCCTTGTCTGAGTCCAAAGGCCTGAGAACCAGAAGCGCCAATGTCAGAGAGCAGGAAAAGAAGGATGTCCCAGTTGGAGCCGAAAGAATTCACCCCTCCTCAGCCTTTTTGTGCTATTCAGGATTGTACCTGCCCACCTGCATTGGTGAGGGTGATCTTCTATATTGAGTCTGCTCCAATTCAAATGCTAAGCTCTGCCGGACTCAGTGGCTCACACCTGTAATCCCAGCCCTTTGGGAGGCGGAGTTGGGCAGATCACTTGAGGCCAGGAGTTTGAGACCAGTCCAGCCGACATGGTGAAACTCCATTTCTACTAAAAATACAAAAATTAGGTGGGCATGGTGGCATGTGCCTGTGGTCCAGCTATCCAGGAGGCTGAGGCACAAGAATCACTTGAGCCTGGGAGGCAGAGGTTGCAGCGAGATGAGATTGTGCCACTGCACTCCAGCCTGGGTGACAGAGCAAGACTCTGTCTCAAAAAAAAAAAAAAAAAAAACATTTAGCTGGATGTGATGGCTCACACTTGTAGTCCCAGCTACTTGGGAGGCTGAAGTTGGAGGATCACTTGAGCTCGGGAGGTCGAGGCTGCAGTGAGCTGTGATTGCATCACTGCACTCAAGCCTCGGCAACAGATCAAGACTCTGTCTCTCAAGTCAAATCAGGCTGGGTGCGGCGGCTCATGCCTGTAATCCCAGCACTTTGGGAGGTGGAGGTGGGCAGATCACCTCAGGTCAGGAGTTCAAGACCAGCCTGGCCAACATGGTGAAACCCCATCTCTCCAAAAATACAAAACTTAGCTGGACGTGGTGCTGAGTGCCTATAATCCCAACTACTTGGGAGGCTGAAGCAGGAGAATCACTTGAACCCAGGAGGGGGAGGTTACAGTGAGCCAAGATCACACATGTGACAGAGCAAGATTCCGTCTCAAAAAACAAAAGTCAAACCAAATCAAATCAAAAGGCAGCAACTGAGAAAGACATTCATCTTCAAGGAAGATGCAGGTGGCTGCTGAGAGAGAGGCGGGTTTCGGCACGTGGCCATGTGTGCCTACTCATGGAAGTTCCCCAGAAGACCTTTGTTCGTGGAAGTGATGAGGCTGTGATTCCATTTGTGTGGCGCTTTCTCTCTTTGCCCCATGCCCCCCTCTCCCCTCTGTGATGTCCATGGGCAACGGGGGGCCTTGGAAGAACCTGGGAATGAGGCTGAGTCCCAGCCTGGAGCCTGCATCTCATTGCCTGTAGAGCGAGGCCGCTCTCGTCACCTCCTGCCAGTTGTCATGAGGCTCAGATGAGGTGATGGGGAGAGAGGATGCAGCACAGCAAACTGGGCTTTCGACCCGGGAGGGGCCACGTGGCTCATCTACAGGCTTTGCCACCACTAGCAGGCAACTCTGGGCAAGCTGGGTTCTCAGAACCTGGATTTCCTCTTGCTAAGAAGTCGTGAGCATCTAAGGAGCGTAGGCGCTGCCCACCGAATGGTGGTTACCAGATCATGGAAAGCAATGAGCTCAGTGCCTAGTGCATAATGGGGGCCCTGCGTGTGAATCCTTTCCCTTCCTTAGGGCCACTCGGTGGTACATGAAGAAGCCATGAGAGCAGGGATGAGGCTGCCTTTGAGTGTCCTGGGCTGGGTGGCCATAGGGTAGACTGCAGGGGGCCCAGGTGGGGACCGGCATCCATGAACTGTGTCTTGGTCACCAACTCACTGTGAATGTATGGCTTCTACTAACTCTGAGGCACATGGATGTTTAATGACTTGCCCAAGCCCAGCCCCAGCTGAAACTGCAGCGTCCTGTCTACCGTGGGCTCTAAATGATGATGAAATCATGTTTGGTCCACAAGACTCATGACCCTTAGAATCCCTTAAACTGCAGCATGCATGATTTTGTGCATCCATGCACAGATGCGTGGACTGTCTAACAGTTCTCTTTTTGGGATAATTTTTTTTTTTTTTTTGAGACAGAGTCTCGTTCTGTCACCCAGGCTGGAGTGCAGTGGCGCAATCTCAGCTCACTGCAACCTCTACCTTTCAGGCTCACGCGATTCTTGGGCCTCAGCCTCCTGAGTAGCTGGGACTACAGACATGCACCACCATGCCCAGATAATTTTTGTGCTTTTTTTTTTTTTTAAGTAGAGATGTGGTTTTGCCATGTTGGTCAGGCTGGTCTTGAACATCTGGCCTCAAGTGATTCACCTGCCTCAGCCTCTCCCAAAGTGCTTGGATTACAGGCGTGAGCCACTGTGCCTGGCCTGCAATAATATTTAAAAAAAAAAAAAAAAGTAAGACTAGTCAATTGCAGCAGTAAGAATTTTTTTTTTTTTTTTTTTTTTTTTTTTTTTTTTGAGATGGAGTCTCACTCTGTCGCCCAGGCTGGAGTGCAGCGGCATGATCTCAGCTCACTGCAAGCTCCGCCTCCCAGGTTCATGCCATTCTCCTGCCTCAGCCTCCTGGGTAGCTGGGACTACAGGTGCCCGCCACCATGCCCAGCTAATGTTTTGTATTTTTAGTAGAGACGGGGTTTCACCATGTTAGCCAGGATGATCTCGATCTCCTGACCTCGTGATCTGCCTGCCTCGGCCTCCCAAAGTACTGGGATTACAGGCATGAGCCACCGCACCCAGTCTTTTTTTTTTTTTTTTTTTTTTTTGAGACGGAGTTTTGCTCTTGTCTCCAAGACTGGAGTACAGTGGCATGATCCCAGCTCACTGCAACCTCCGCCTCCTGGATTCAAGCGATTCTCCTGCCTCATCCTCCCGAGTAGCTGGGATTACAGGCGCGTGCCGCCATGCCCAGCTAATTTTTGTATTTTTAGTAGAGACAGGGTTTTGCTATGTTGGCCAGGGTGATCTCGAACTCCAGACCTCAGGTGATCCACCCGCCTTAGCCTCCCAAATTCCTGGGATTACAGGCATGAGCCACTGTGCCCAGCCAAGATTTTTATTTATTTATTTGATTTTTTTTAGAGACAGAGTTTCTCTCGGTCATCCAGCCTGGGGTACAGTGGCAAGACCATAGCTCACTGCAGCCTTGAATCCCTGGGCTCAAGCAATCCTCCTGCCTTAGCTTCCTGAGTAGCTGTGACTATACATGTGGACCACCACGCCCGGGCAGTTCTAACTTTTTCTCATAGAGACTGGGCACTAAGTTGCCCAGGATGGTCTCGAACTTACAGGCTCAAGCAATCCTCCCACCTCTTCTTTCCAAAGTGCTGGGATGACAGGCGTGACCCACTGTGCCTGACCAAGATAAATACTGAATGCTTAGCGCCAAATAGCAGATGAATAAGGAGGGCTGATGTCTGCAGGGTTTACCCCATTGCGTTGTACAACAGGCCTTGGCAGCCCTAAAACAAGCAGACGGGTTGTTTGTCACCGGGATCAGGAGACAGCAGAGCTTTGTCAAGCTGCCTTGCTGGGGTGAGCTGCAGTGGGAGTTGGACTCTCCCACGACACAGAGACGGATGCAAGATCCAGGACTCGCGCCTCCTTGGTGCTCTCCTGCTACCTGGTGGCCTCTTCTTTCCTTTAGTCCTCTGTCCCTCTTCCACTTCTCTCTGCCTCCTCCACCCGTTCCTGCAGGCGTCTGGCCATCACCTTCGATGGGTGCTTCTGTTCATCTTTACCACTCTGAACCCTCCAAAATAGCCCCCATGCAAACCAGGACGTATATGACCTCCCACGGGCAACAACAACAGCGGAGTTTACCTACTTCAATTGCAAGACGCTCCTTGGAGGGTAGAAACAGTTCTGGGACAAACGCATTTGATGTGAATGGGCCCCACTCTCTCCTGATCCACAAAGCTTCCTGTCCTGCCCTCTTGAGGGCCCTGACCTCATCCTTCCCTCTCAGTCCAGCCTCTCTCGGGAGTTTGACTTGTATGGTGCAAATTGAAGGCCCACATAGAGTAAGAATGGATCTTGATGGGGTCACAGCACACCTGGACTGATGGCGAGAAGTCCAGCCCTGTAGAAGTAGTCCTAGGGCCACACCATGACAATTAATGTGCAAAACGTGGCCACCCCTCTGAATGGTGACAATGGTGACAATAGTTGGACCATCCTCCAACAGCAGACACCCACTGAGTGCTTACCCTACCGGGAGGGCTGAGTCAAGCTCTCTCTACGCATGATCTTGTTGACTCCTCACAACCGCTCTGGGAAGTAGATGCCCCTATTCCCCTTTTACGAATGGATCACCCTAAGCTCAGGAACATATCCAAGGACAGCAGGACACCAAGGCCCATCCGATCTCACAGTGACAGCATTGAGTCCCACACCGCACAGAGGGCGGGGCTGGCACACTCCCCACAGCGTGGGGAATCTGCACTTAATTGCATAGCAGGGAGTGATCACACAAGTTCTGTCACATACCAACACTGCACGCCCCTCTGGCTCTTCCACCACGAAGCACGTCCTGGTGATGGACGCAGGGCAGGGAGAGGAGGAGAGAGGAGACCTCGGGTTCTGCCTTCCCCAGCCCCTCTCTGCTGGGCACATGGAGATCCACCTGGCAGTTGGCCCCTCTGGGCCTTGAGCCAGTCTGGCACAGGCAATGTACCGTTCGGTGGCATCTGGACCCATGTTTGTGCCTTAAGCATGACAGGTGGCCCTGGCTCAAACTTCCTGGGCTCCTTCTCCCTGTTTCCTGATGGGGGAAACCCTAGTTTTGGGCCCAGGCTGGGACCTGGGATGGACTCAGATGCTTTGGAAATGTATGTTGGGCTGGTGGGTCGGGCCTCACCAGAAGCTTGTGCACAGGCCAAGGAGCTTCCAGGAAATCACTCACCCGTGGAAGGGAGGAGCCAGGCCCAGTGAGCTGACCTGGAATAGTTAGTTACATGGCCTATCACATACCAACACCGCACACCCCTCTGGCTCTTCAGACCCTGTGGCATACGTAGCCAGGGAGCAGGAGGAACCTGGGGGTGCATATACGCCATAAGTAAAGATGAGCTGATTTACCCTATAAAACAGGGCACAGACACTGCTTTGGTGATGATAGTAGCCACCAGTAGTCCAGAGAGAGCAGATGCAGCCTGGTGAAGCCGTAGCAGCCAATTTGTTTGAGTGCACACATAGACACAGCCTTCAGTGACATCTTCTCAGGGGCTGTAGCAAGGTCAGGGTGAGAGCTGGCCGGGTTATGACTGCCTTCTTCCCATGAGGGCAGCATGCACCAGAGAAAGGACATGGGCTCTGGGGAGCTTGGTTCTTTTTTTTTTTTTTTTTTTTTTTTTGAGACAGAGTCTTACTCCCATCACCCAGATCACCTAGGCAGGAGTGCAGTAGCACAATCATGGCTCATTGCAGCCTTGACCTCCTGGTATCAAGTGATCTTCCTGTCTCATTTTTTTTATTTTTGGTAGAGACAAGGTCTAACTATGTTACCCAGGATGGTTTCAAACGCTTGGACTCGAGTGATCCTCCTGCCTCAGCCTCCCAAAGTGCTGAGATGACAGGCATGAGCCACTACACCTGGCCGGGAGCTGGATTCTAATCTCATTCGCACCACTTCCTTGTGTGTGATCTGGGGCAAGTTAATTAAAGACTCTTAAACTGGGATGTGAATGCCGCTGCCTGCTGTGGTTTAAAATATATCCACAACAAACTCTTTGATATTCCTCCCTTTAAGAGGTGGAGCCTCATCCCCTGCCGTTGAATGTGGGATGGAATTAGTGGATCACTTCTAAATGATAAGGCAGGGGTGACACTGTGTGACCTTGGGGACTGGTCATAAAAGGCCTGTGGGTTCCTACTTTTTCCCTCCCTTGCTCTCAGATCCCTCCTCTGGGGAAAACCAGCTGCTATGTCATTAAAACAGCACTGTGTTGGCCACTGGTGAAGACCAAACCCTCCAGCCAGCAGCCACAAGAAGGCGCCATCTTGGAGGTGGCTCCTCCAGCCCCAGTTGAGCCTTCAGATGATAGCAGCCCCAGCCGACATCGTAAATGCAACCTCACAAGAGACCCCGAGCCAGAACCACCTGGATTAAAACGACCATGATGTTCCTGAATTCCTGACTACAGAAACTGTGAGATAATGAATTTTTGTTGTTTTAAGCTAATATGTTTTGGGGGGTAACTTGTTACACAGCAATCGATAACTGATAGACTCATCTGCAGGTACGTGCCAGGATTTACTGAGCCAACATACACAAGGCGCCAGATGTCCACTGGACCCTCAGTCTGATCAGCTCCTTGCCACACTGAGGTCTCAGCAGCCCCTTCCTCATGGCGGCAAGGTTTGGACTGTGGTTATGCCCACTCAGGGTCCGGCCCTCCAGCCAGGTTCCTGGCTGCCCCCTCCTTTTCCCCAGGCTTGCCTTTCCCCTGGCCTTGCCCACGAGAGACCCTGTCACACTGGGGAGGCCTGTGCTCTCTTCTAAACAAAGGATCAAAGAAATCGGTTTGTATGCTGTTAAACATTTAAAAAAATTTTTTTTAAAGAGATGGGGCTCTTACTATGTTGCTTGGGCTGGACTCGAACTTCTGGCCTTGAGCAATCCTCCCACAGCAGCCTCCCAACTACCTGGGACAACAGGCACACCACTGTGCCTAGATCATATCACTTTTTGCACAAAACCCTTCCATGGTTTCCCTTTACCCTTACAGTAAAAATCCCAACCCGTGGCCGGGCGTGGTGGCTCACGCCTGTAATCCCAGCACTTTGGGAGGCCAAGACAGGAGGATCACGAGGTCAGGAGATCAAGACCATCCTGGCTAACATGGTGAAACCCCATCTCTACTAAAAATACAAAAAATTAGCCAGGCGTTGTTGCAGGAAGTCAGGGACCCCAAATGGAGGGACTGGCTGAAGCCATGGAAGAAGAAGGTGGATTGTGAAGATTTCATGGACATTTATTAGTTCCCCAAATTAATACTTTTATAATTTCTTATGCCTGTCTTTACTGCAATCTCTAAACATAAATTGTAAAGATTTCATGGACACTTATGACTTCCCCAATCAATACCCTTGTGATTTCCTATGCCTGTCTTTACTTTAATCTCTTAATCCTGTCAGCTGAGGAGGATGTATGTCACTTCAGGACCCTGTAATAATTGCATTAACTGCACAAATTGTACAGCATGTGTGTTTGAGCAATATGAAATCTGGGCACCTTGAAAAAAAAACAGGATAACAGCAATTGTTCAAGGAATAAGAGAGATAACCTTAAACTCTGACCACCCGGTGAGCCGGGCAGAACAGAGCAATATTTCTCTTCTTTCAAAAACAAATGGGAGAAATATCGCTGAATTCTTTTTCTCAGCAAGAAACATCCCTGAGAAAGAGAATACACACCTGGAGGTATAGGCCTATGAACGGTCCCCCAGGTGCGCCTGTCTTTTATGGTCGAGACTGCAGGGGTGAAATAGACCCCAGTCTCCCATAGCGCTCTCAGGCTTATTAGGAAGAGGAAATTCCCGCCTAATAAATTTTGGTCAGACGGTTGATCTCAAAACCCTGTCTCCTGATAAGATGTTATCAATGACAATGGTGCCCAAAACTTCATTAGCAATTTTAATTTCACCCCGATCCTGTAGTCCTGTGATCTCGCCCTGCCTCCACTTGCCTTGTGATATTCTATTACCTTGTAAAGTATTTGATGTCTGTGACCCACACCTATTCGCACACTCCCTCCCCTTTTGAAAATCCCTAATAAAAACTTGCTGGTTTTTGCGGCTTGTGGGGCATCACGGAACCTACTGAAAATATGATGTCTCCCCCGGACGCCCAGCTTTAAAATTTCTCTCTTTTGTACTCTGTCCCTTTACTTCTCAAGCCGGCCAACGCTTAAGGAAAATAGAAAAGAACCTACGTGAATATCGGGGCATGTTCCCCAATATCTGGCACCCACGTGGTCTTTCTTTTTTCCTAAGTGCTTGAGGGAACCCGATTCCCTTTGGTAGGCGCGGTGCAACGTCAATTGGCTTGGTCCACAGATAACGCGTGTTCGACTCCCTGATGAGTGGTGAGTAGTCTGTGTAAGGTCTGGGTTAACTGCAGGTCATGCATAGTCTAAGCTCGAACCCGGGAGGCGGAGCTTGCAGTGAACCGAGATTGCACCACTGCACTCCAGCCTGGGCTTCAGAGCCAGACTCCGTCTCAAAAAAAAAAAATCCCAACCCGTGACCATGGCTACAAGACTCCTATAATATACCCCAAACCCCATGATGTGACCATTCATGATGTTCTTCTCTGTGCCCTGCAAACTCACCAGATCACCACACTTTGTTTCTCTGATGCAAACCGTTCTTCTACCCGATCGTCACGGCTGCCTTCTTTCCCGTTGTTCTCATCTTTACTTAGTGTCACCTTCTCAGAGCATGCCCCACCCCAGGTCCTCTTGACCACAACACCTCATCATTTTTAGCACCAGCTAAAATATCCTGTGTGCATGATTATTGTTTGAAGCCAGCCCTTGCACGGAAACTCCTTCAGAGCAGAGCTCTGCTGTGCTTGCTCCAGGGTCTGGGAGAGACACACAGCAGAGATTTGTGAGCTAATAAATGTGTGAGACACACAACAGACACTTGACAAATGTTTGTGGGCTGGAGAGCTTTTTGATATCAATCACATTCCCTTTTAAAAGCTTTGGAGGTGCTCCAGGTTCCAGAAGAGCCATCTGGAAAACCCTTCCATGAAGGAAGTTAATCACTTTCAGCCCTTCTTCCAGAGCAAAGTGCTTACAACCTTTCTTAGTTGCATCATGATCATTTTAATCCAGGAAAGTTCTTATTAGGGGTTTGCAAATGCTGGTGTTCTAAGGGGAGCTACATCTTTCCCTGATTTAGTTCCGGGTAACACACATGGACTGGAACACCATGATTTTTTCCCTTGGGTAGGTTTTCATGTGGGGTCTGTCAGGCCAGCTGGCCCTCTGTGCGGAACAAGGATCCAGTGACTGCACGGTTGTAGGCCGCAAACCTTTTCCCCAGGACTGCTGTGGATTTGGGGTCAGTCCAAGGTATATAGGACAGGCACAGCTGGAAACACCTATGGGGGACACCCTGGAGGAGCCTTTGACCCAAGGGAGCCGGTGGGACTTGAACACCAAGTAGGACTCTGAGCAGGGGAAGGCATGGGCTGAGCCACCCAGCAGGGATCCCACCGCCACGGTGGAGCTGGGTCCCAAAGGCTGCCCTGTTACCGGCTGGCTGCAGGGAAGTCCAGGGGTCCCTGGGGTAGGGGATGGAATGGCAGGGAGGCCTCTGGGGCCTAGCCACATTGGAGTATTCACAGATTTCAACACCTAAACTAGCTGAACCGGGGCTCGCCAGACCCTGCCTTGGCCTCCCCACTGGCCAAAGACCCGGCCGTCCTCTGCCTGCTTCTCCATGTCCAGCCGCGCTGGCCTCCAATCCACTCCTCGAAGACACTGTGCTCCCTCGGGGCTTCACACACACTGGCTGTTTTCCCTAGGAGCTGCCCGACCTGAAAACATCCCCCTCTTCCTTCTGCAGGCAGTTCCTCGTTCCATTCCTCTAGGCGGCTTTCCCTGACCCCTAGACTGGTCCAGGGACCCTGCTCCCCACTCTTGGGTCTAGCCTTCCTAGCACATGCCCAGTTGATTGTTTTGTTTTGTTTTGTTTTGTTTTGTTTGAGACAGGGTTATGCTCTGTGGCCCAGGCTGGAGTGTAGTGGTGAGATCTCAGCTCACTGTAACCTCTGCCTCCTGGGTTCAAGTGAGTCTCCTGCCTCAGCCTCCCGAGTAGCTGGGATTACAGATGTGCACCACCGTGCCCACCTCATTTTTGTATTTTTAGTAGAGATGGGGTTTCACCATGTTGCCCAGGCTGGTCTCGAACTCCTGAGCTCAATTGATCTGCCCACCTCTGCCCGCCTCGGCTTCTGCCTCCCAAAGTGCTGAATGTGTCCATTTCATAATCCCACAGTGAGGACGTTTCCCACTCAACCGACTCCAGAATTATTTTTCTCACTATTCTCTCACCAACTTCTCATTAAACAGTTGCCGAATGAACATTCGAATGAATGGACAGACCCAAAATTCACGGCCTCTTGTGTATCCCGTGAATCCTTCTCTGGCTATGCCTCCTGGTAGGGAGTTTACCACTCTTGGGGGTCTAGAAAAACAGGTTCTGTGTGGATGCTGGGACCTCAGGCGTCCTTCCCAGGGTAGCACCGAGAGCCCACGTGGGCTGGCTGTACTGGACAGGAGATTCTGCCAGAGAACATTAGGGGCCAAACCGCAAAGCCCCAGTGTGGAGGTCCCGGCTGTTGCAGGGGAAAGTTGCCCAAGAGACGCTTGGTGAGCTGATGAGACCTTTTCTCCCAGCGATAAGACCTCCTTCGGCTCACCTGCACCTGTCTTGCAGCACAGACGTGAGAGCTACATCTGTGAAACATTGTTGGCGTTGCCTTTACCCAAACAATCAACCTGCTTTGTCTCTCCATCCTTTTGATTGTTCTACCAGGATTTTTTCCCCTATAGAAAGATTTCATCTTTCCTGAGTGGCTGGAAAGGTGGTAAAACAAACAAAGTGTTAAAAGGCGTTTAATGGGCCGGGCGTGGTGGCTCACTCATGTAATCCCAGAACTTTGGGAGGCCAAGGCGGGTGGCTCACCTGAGGTCAGGAGTTCGCGACCAGCCTGGCCAACATGGCGAAACCCTGTCTGTACTAAAAATAACAAAAATTAGCTGGGCGTGGTGGTGGGCCCCTGTAATCCCAGCAACCCGGGAGGCTGAGGCTGGAGAATCGCTTGAACCCAGGAGGCAGAAGTTGCAGTGAGCCGAGATCCCGCCATTGCACTCCAGCCTGGGCAACAAGAGCAAAAAAAAAAGGCGTTTAATGAAAGAGAATACACTAAATAATAAGTTTGTGCTATTTCGTCCTTTTCTTAGAGCCACGGTAAGAGGTATAGGGGAGAGGAAGGAGAAGTGGTCTTTTCTTACTCAATTCTTCAAATCGCCTAAACTGGGAAGGTATTGGCCAGATAGTTTCCAGAAGGAACTCTCCCGCAGCTGAAGGCAATTCTCCCAGCCTTGGCAGCTGCTTGGAGTAACACGCACACCTTCTTGGTGTTAACCTCCTTTGACATCGTGCAAATGGCCGATACTTACCTGGTTGCAGTGGGGCCCCTGCCACGCACTGTCCCGGGCGGAGAGGCATCTTTGGCTTGCCGGGTCCGTGAGCTGCCAATCATCATGCAGGAAACCAACTCGCTGGCCAGACCTCCTGCATAAATGCCCTGGAGCAGCCACCAGAGCCCAGAAGTTGGACAGGGCAGGGAGGAAGCCGCTGGCAGAATGAGGAAAACCTGTTCTGAGATGGGAGGTGGGAGGTGGGAGGTGTTGCGCTGGGAAGGGAAACTCCGTGGAGGGGTTGGGTGGTCCTGGCTCATCTTGACCCTTGCCTGTCTGGAAGGGGGATTTTTAAAAAACTGGATGGAAATTGGACAAGATGTACTTGTTTAATGGGGAAAGATGAGGTGAGTGATTTTAAGTGTTAGAGAACAATCTGGGAAACCTGCCCCTTAAGGAAAACCTGATATGGGGGAAAATTCCCACAAAGCTGAGAGGAAGCAGGTGCCAGTCTCGCTGATGCAGACTGGGGAGCATCTTTCTCTCTGCAGAATGTGCTCAGGGGTTCACCCCCAGTCTGTAATTGAGGGTGAGGCAGGGAAGCTGAAAGCAGCAGCAGCAGAAGTCCGCCCAAAGGTGGCTGTGATTCCAGCCCGGTCAAGAACGGCGGATCCACTCCTTGGCAGGGAACTGCAAGTCAAACCCACAGTGAGGCTGGGCTCGGGGGCTCACGCCTGTAATCCCAGCACTTTGGGAGGCCGAGGTGGGTGGATCACCCCTAAAGTCAGAAGTTCGAGACCAGCCTGGCCAACATGGTGAAACCCCGTCTCTACTAAAATTACAAAAATTAGCTGGGGGTGGTGGTGGGCCCCTGTAATCCCAGCTACCCGGGAGGTTGAGGCAGGAGAATCGCTTGAACCCGGGAGGCGGAGGTTGCAGTGAGCCAAGATCACACCAGTGCACTCCAGCCTGGGCGAAAGAGTGAGACTCTGTCTCAAAACAAACAAACAAACAAAAAACAAAACCACAATGAGACACCACCTTATGTCCACGAGGATGCCACAGTCAAAACCATGGAGAATGAGAAGTGATGGCAGGGACGTGAAGACATGGCAACCTTTATGCACCTTTGATGGGAATGTAAAATGACGCAGCCATTGTGCAAAATAGCATGGCCATTCCCCAAAAGTTTAAACACAGGGTTACCAGCAACTCCACTCCTATGTATATACCCGGGAGAAATGAAAACTGCCATCCACACAAAAACGTGTGCAGGCATGCTCACACCAGCATTGCCTTTAATAGCCCAAAGTGGAAACAACCCAGATGTCCGCAAACTGATGAATAGATAAACAAAATGTGGTCTATCCATACAATGGAATATTATTCAACCATAAATATGACTGAAGTCAGGCACAGTGGCTCATGCCTGTAATCCTAGCACTTTGGGAGGCTGAGGCGGGTGGATCACCTGAGGTCAGGAGTTCGAAACCAGCCTGGCCAGCAGGGTGAAACCCAGTCTCTATTAAAAATACAAAAATTAGCTGGGCGTGGTGGTGGGCGCCTGTAATCCCAGCTACTAGGGAGGCTGAGGCAGGAGAATCACTTGAACCTGGTAGGCAGAGGTGGCAGTGAGCTGAGATCATGCCACTGCACACTAGCCTGGGCAACAGAGGAAGACTCTGTCTCCAAAAAAAAAAAAAGCAGGAAGTAGAAGATGTATGGTTGTCTGGAGTTAGGATTGGGGAATGGCAGGATTAGGGAAGTGATAGTTAAGAGATAATGGTGTTTCTTTTTGGGATAATGAAAATGTCCTAAAGTGGATTGTGGTGATGGTTGTACAACTCTATGAATATATGAAAAGTTATTGAATTGTATACTTAAAAGGGTGAATCAGGCCAAGCGCAGTGGCTCATGTCTGTAATTCTAGCATTTTGGGAGGTCAAGATGGGAGGATCACTTGAGCCCAGGAATTTGAGATCAGCCTGGGCAACATGGTGAGACCCCATCTCTATAAAAATAAAAACTAAAAAAAAATAGTGAATCATATGGTATGTGAATTATATCTCAGCAAAACTGTTTAAAGAAAAAGAGGCCGGGCACGGTGGCTCACGCTTGTAATCCCAGCACTTTGGGAGGCCGAGGTGGGCGGATCACGACGTCAGGAGATCGAGACCACGGTGAAACCCCGTCTCTACTAAAAATACAAAAAATTAGCCAGGCGTGGTGGCAGGTGCCTGTAGTCCCAGCCACTCGGAGAGGCTGAGGCAGGAGAATGGCGTGAACCCGGGAGGCGGAGGTTGCAGTGAGCCGAGATCGCGCCACTGTACTCCAGCCTGGGCAATAGAACGAGACTCTGTCTCAAAATAAATAAATAAATAAATAAATAAATAAAAGAAAAGAAAAAGAATTTTGGGTCAGGGAGTCTGTTTTTAGTCTGTGTGGTAGGATCTCCTATAATCCCTCCAGCTGTCTGTGAAATGATTGACCTGGACTGGATAGGGCTAACAATAAAGGAATTTCTTGTTATAGTAAGTGCATAAGATAAGGGTACAAATTCTACTCTGAGGCACCCATGAAAAGTGAGGGCTAGGAAAAAAAATATCACCCTGAACATTCAGACTAAAAACAATCAATACATAATTGATTGTGCAACAATCTGCAGTAATATAAGAGACAGCTTAAAAAGAAACTGCAATAGAGAAGAAATTGAATCAGTAATTAATAACTTTCCAAAACAGAAAGTGCCAGGTCCAGATGGGCTCACTGGTGAATTCTACTAAACACTTTAGGAAGAAATTATACCAATTCTCTACAATCTCTTTCAGAAGAGAGAAACTGAGGGTATACTTCCTAACTCATTCTACGAGGCTAGCATCACGTTTCCTAACTTATTCTATGAGGCTAGCATCACCTTAACCAGACATCACCAGAAAGAAAAACTACAAGGCAGGGTACAATGGCTCTTGCCTGTAATCCCAGCACTTTGGGAGGCTGACGCAGAGGACTGCTTGAGCTCAGGGAGTTTAAAACCAGCCTGGGCAACATAGTGAGAGCTCGTCTCTACTGAAATTTAAAAAAAAAAAAAAGGTTGGGTATGGTGGCTCATGCCTGTAATCCCAGCACTTTGGGAGGCCGAGGCAGGCAGATCACCTGAGGTCAGGAGTTCAAAACCAGCCTGGCCAACATGGTGAAACCCCATCTGTACAAAAAATACAAAAATTAGCTGGTCGTGGTGGCTCAGGCCTGTAATCCCAGCTACTCAGGAGGCTGAGGCACAAGAATCCCTTGAACCCAGGAGGTGGAGGTTGCAGTGAGCCGAGATTGCACCACTGCACGCCAGCCTAGGTGACAGAGTGAGACTCAGTCTAAAAAAAAAAAAGAAAAGAAAAATTAGCCAAGAGTGGTGGGGCACACCCATAGTCCCAGCTATTCGGGGGGTTGAGGCAGGAGGATTATTTGAGCCTGGGAGGTTGAGGCTGCAGTGAGCCCTGATTGTGCCACTGCACTCCAGCCTAGGCAACAGAGTGAGACCCTGTCTTAATTTAAGAAAGAAAGAAAAAGAAAAGAAAACTACAGACCAATATATCTTATGAACATAGATGCAGAAATTCCCAACAAAATATTAGCAAACAGAATCCAACAATGTATAAATAGAAGTATACACCACTACCAAGTGGGATTTGTCCTAGGTATGCAAGCCTGATTCAACATTTGGAAATCAATTAATGTAATCCATCACATCGACAGGCTAAGGAAGAAAAATCACACGACCATATCAACAGATGTTGTTACACCCTTCACACAAATTAACGCAAAATGGATCCCAGACCATTTGAGTTAATGCAGTACTATAAAACTCCTAGAAGATAACATAGGAGAAAATCCAGATGACCTTGGGCATGGCAGTGACTTTTAGAAAACAACAAAAAAGATACAATCCATGAAAGAAATAACTGATAAGCTGGATTTCATTAAAATCAAGAATGTCTGCTCTGTGAAAGACACTTTCAAGAGAATGAAAAGACAAGCTACAGACTTGGAGAAAATATTTGAAAAAGACTTATCTGATAAAGGACTGTTATCTAAGATATACAAAGAATTCTTAAAACTCAACAATAAGAAAATGAACAGATGGATTGAAAAAATGGGCAGAAGATCTAAACAGACGCCTCACCAGAGAAGAGATACAGATGGCAAATAAGCATATGAAAAGATGCTCCGTATCATATGTCATTAGGGAAATACAAATTAAAACAACAATGAGCTGGGTGCGGTGGCTCACGCCTGTAATCCCAGCACTTTGGGAGGCCGAGGTGGGAGGATCACGAGGTCAGGAGATCGAGACCATCCTGGCTAAGGTGGTGAAAACCCCGTCTCTACTAAAAATACAAAAAATTAGCCAGGCATGGTGGCACGTGCCTGTAGTCCCAGCTACTCTGGAGGCTGAGGCAAGAGAACTGCTTGAACCTGGGAGGCGGAGGTTGCAGTGAGCGGAGATCGTGCCACTGCACTCCAGCCTGGGCAACAGAACGAGACTACATCTCAAAACGGTGTCGCAGTTTCTTACAAAGCTAAACATACCCTTACCATAAGATCCAGCAATCACACTCCTTCTTATTTACCCAGATGAGTTGAAAATTTCAGTCAACACAAGGATCTGCACATAGATGTTTATAGCAGCGTTATTCATAATTGTTAAAACTTGGACACACCCAAGATGTTCTTCAGTAGGTGAAGGGATAATTAAACCTTGGCATATCCAGACAACGGAATATTATTCAGTACTAAAAAGAAATTCAATGGACTATTATTCAGTGCTAAAAAGTTATCAAGTCATGAAAAGACATGGAGGAACTTTTTTTTTAATACAAATTTTAACTGTATTAAAATAGAGATGGAGTCTTACCATGTTGCCCAGGCTGGTCTCGAACTCCTGGGTTCAGGCAATCCTCCAGCCTCAGCCTCCTAAAGTGCTAAGATTATAGATGCAAGCCACCACACCCAGCCATTTTATTTATTTATTTATTTATTTATTTATTTATTTATTTATTTATGGAGATGGAGTCTCACTCTGTTGCTCAGGCTGGAGTGCAGTGGCACGATCTCTGCTCACTACAACCTCTGCTTCCCCAGTTCAAGTGATTCTCCTGCCTCAGCCTTCTGAGTAGCTGGGATTACAGGTATGTGCCACCATGTCTGGCTAATTTTTGTATTTTAGTAGAGATGGGGTTTCACCGTGTAGGTCGGGCTGGTCTCGAACTCCTGACCTCAGGTGATCTGCCCGCCTTGGCCTCCCAAAGGGCAGGGATTACAGGCGTGAGCCACAGCGCCCAGCCATTGACGAACCATAAACGCATGTTACTAAGTGAAAGACACCAATCTGAAAAGGCCACATAGTATATGATTCCAACTATACAACATTCTGGAAAAGGCAAAGCTATGCAGATATGGAGACAGTAAAAGGATCACTAGTTTCTAGGCGTTAAAGGAGAGAGAGGGATGAATAGGTGATGCACAGAGGATTTTTAGGGCAGTGAAACTACTCTGTATGATACGGTAGTGATGGATTCATATCATTATATATTTGTCCAAACCCATAGGATGTACAACACCAAGAGTGAACCCTAATGTTAACTGTGGACTTCATGAAGGTGTGTCAATGTAGACTGATTCTATCTACCTACCTACCTACCTACCTACAAGGTCTCGCTCTGTTGCCCAGGGTGGTCTTGAATTCCTGGGTTCAAGCAATCCTCTTGCCTTGGCCTTCCAAAGTGCTGTCCAGTGTAGGTTTATTGACTGTAACAAATATGCCACTCAGGGCAGGATATTGATTGTCAGGGAGGTTGTATGTATGCGGGGAAATGGGTATGTGAGAATTCTCTCTACTTTCTGCTCAATTTTGCTGTGAACCTAAAACAACAACAAAAAGGAAGGGAAGGAAAGGGAGAGGGAAGGGAGAGGGAAGGGAGAGGGAGGGGCAGGCCGGGCATGGTGGCTCATGCTTGCAATCCCAGCACTTTTGGGAGGCCAAGGCAGGTGGATCACTTGAGGTCAGGAGTTCGAGACCAGCCTGGCCAACATAGTGAAACCCTGTCTCTACTAAAAATACAAACAAATTAGCTGGGCATGGTGGTGGGCACCTGTAATCCCAGCTACTTGGCAGGCTGAGGCAGGCGAATTGGTTGAACCTGAGAGGTGGAGGTTGCAGTAAGCCGAGGTCGCACCACTGCACTCCAGCCTGGGCCACAGAGTAAGACTCCGTCTCAAAAAAAAAAAAAAAATTAGCCAGGCATGGTGGCGCGTGCCTGTAATCCTAGTGCTCAGGAGGCTGGGGCAGGAGAATCACCTGAACCCAGGAGGTGGTGTGAGCCCAGATTGTGCCACCGCACTCCAGCCTGGGGGACAGAGCAAGACTCTGTCTCAAAAAAAAAAAAAAAAAGAAAAAAGAAAAAAGAAAAAAAAGTGCAACTTTTGCTCACTTTTCAACAGCAACAATGGAAGCTAGAAGTAGTAGAATAATCTCTTCAATCTGTTGGAAAGAAAACTAAACAACACAACAACAGCAAACTTGCCAAACTAGAATTTTACTCAGTGGAAAAGTTCTTCAGTAAAGAGAAGTCTAGGGTGTTCTTCAGGCAGAAGGAAAAATTGTCCCAGAGAGGAGGTTGGGGATAGAGGAAGGAATGAAAAGGGATAAAAATGTCTCACTCTGTTGCCCACAGTGGCACGATCTTGGCTCACTTCAAATTCTGCCTCCTGGGTTCAAATGATCCTCCCACCTCAGCCTCCCAAGTAGCTGGGATTACAAGCATGTGCCACCATGCCCGACTAATTTTTATATTTTTAGTAGAGACAGGGCTTCACCATGTTGGCCGGGCTGGTCTTGAACTCCTGACCTCAAGTGATCTGCCCGTCTCGGCCTCCTAAAGTGCTAGAATTATAGGTGTGAGCCACCACGCCCAGCCGCTTATTGTAATTTTTAGAATAATTGCTAAAAATGGTAAAAAACCAGAATAGCTCTCAAACTAACACAGGAACAAAATGAAAATGTAAAAATGCAACCAAACTAAACAAAGCCAAAAATGAGATAAAAGAACAGAGAAGGCCAGGAGCAGTGGCTCATGCCTGTAATCCCAGCAATTTGGGCGGCTGAGGCAAGTGGATCACTTGAGATCAGGAGTTCGAGACCAGCCTGGCCAACATGGTGAAACCACATCTCTACTAAACATACAAAAATTAGCCAGGCGTGGTGACGGGTGTCTGTGATCCCAGCTACTCAGGAAGCTGAGGCAGGAGAACTGCTTGAACCCAGAGGCAGACGTTGCAGTGAGCTGAGATTGCACCATTGCGCTCCAGTCTGAGCAACAGAGTGAGACGCTGTCTCAAAAAAAAAAAAAAAAAGAAAAAAAAAAATAGGACAGAGAATAGGTGATGAATAGAAAGCCCATTCATGGCAAACTGCATATCAGTAATTACATGAATGGTAAGTGGGTTAAATGCTCCAGCTAAAAGACAAAGATTGTCATACTGGATAGACACCAAATCCAACAAATATTAAATACAAGAAACACGTGTAATACTTAGAGATAAAGCAAGACTGAAAGGAAAATAATAAAGAAGTATACACTATTGAAATACTATTAGGACAGCCAGTGTAGTAAATTCCAATGTCAAGCAAATGTACTTTAAAATGAAAAAAAAAAAAAAAAGCGTCTCTAGAATTAAGGAGGGTCACCCTATAATAATAAAAGATTATTTTAAATTTGTATGTACCTAATTACATGATACATAGAGCAATGTGAACAGAATTATATGGAGAAACAGACAAGTCCATATTCATAGTGGGATGTTTGACACAGCTTTTTCAGTAATCAATGGAACAGGCAGACAATAAATCAATAACACTGTAGAAGATTTGAGACATCATAATGAACAATCTTGTTGTATGAACATATGGAGAACTGTGCACCCAACAAGTGAAAAATATGTTATTTTCAAAAAGATATCATCCATTTTAAAATACGATGATCTGCTGGGCCAAAACGCAAGTTTCAACACATTTCAAAGGATTAAAATACAGCAGATAATGTTATCCTAACATATTGCAAATAGTTTAAGAATCGATAATAAAAATATTAAAAAGTCCCTGTACCTTTGAAAACTATACTTTCGAGTAACGTGCTTCTAAAATATACTTCTAAATAATGCATGGGTTTCAGAACAAATAAAAACGGAAATTTGAAATTACTTTGAACTATACTATATGTAATGAAAAACAAAATACAACAAAACTTATGGAGTAAAGCTAATGCAGTGTTTGGGGGGAAATTTATAGCCTTAATTGCATATTTTAGGGAAGAAGAAAGACTTAAAATATAATGAGCTAAGCACATTCATTTTAAGATGTCAGGAAAAGAACAACTAAAGAAACCCAACAAAAATAGACAGGAGGAAATGATTTAAATATATAATAAAGTAGACAGGAGGAAATGATTTCAATGTATAATAAGTATAAAAACAAACACACAACGGAGAGAATCAACAAAGCCAAAACTGAAACCACTAATAAAATTGGTTAATCCCTAAAGAGAATGATTAAAAGGAAACAATTTGACAGTTTTCACAAAAGGCATCTGTGAAAAGAAAAAGAAAATAGAAAAGGAAAAGGCTGGGCGTGGTGGCTCACGCCTGTAATCCCAGCACTTTGGGAGGCTGAGGCGGGCGGATCACCTGAAATCAGGAGTTTGGCACCAGCCTGGCTAACATGGTGAAACCCCATTTCTACTAAAAATACAAAAAATTAGCTGGGCGTGGTGATGGGTGCCTATAATCCCAGCCACTCAGGAGGCTGAGGCAGGAGAATCGCTTGAACCCGGGAGGCAGAGGTTTCAGTGAGCTGAGATCGCGCCATTGCACTCCAGCTTGGGCGACAAGAGTGAAACTCTATCTCATAAAAAAGAAAAGGAAAAAAAAAAAAGAAAAGAAGGCACAAATAACAAATACAAGAAATAAAAAAGGGACTTCACCACAAAATAAGAGTATATTATCGAAAACTTTAAGCCAACAAACTTGAAAATTTGGTGAAATGAACAGATTCACAGAAAAATACAACCTAACTGACACAATAAGAAATAGAAAACCTTAGTCCTTGGGCAGGTGCAGTGGCTCACACCTGTAATCCCAGCACTTTGGGAGGCCGAGGCGGGCGGATCGCCTGAGGTCAGGAGTTCAAGACTAGCCTGGCCAACATGATGAAACCCCATCTCTACTGAAAATAACAAAAATTAGCTGGGCGTGGTGGCGGGCCCCTGTAATCCCAGCAACTTGGGAGGCTGAGGCAGGAGAATCGCTTGAACTCAGGAGGCGCAGGTTGCAGGAGCAGAGATCACACCATTGCACTCCAGCCTGGGGGACAAGAGCGAGACAAAAAAGAAAATCTTAGTCCTGTAACTATCAGAGAAATTAAACTGTAATTTAAAAAAATCCTATGATAAAACTCAGAGCCTAAATTCCTTCATTAGGGAATACTACTAAACACTGAAGAAAGAAATAAAGCTAAGTTATAACATACTTTTTCCAGAAAGGAGAAAAAGAATCATGGACTAATTTTGGGAGACTAGCATAACCTTTATACTAACAGCCAACGAGAACAGTTAAAAAAAAAAAAAAAGAAAGAAAAATACAGATTAATTTCACTCATTAACTGCAAAAATCCTAGACAAAATATTAGCAAGTCAAATCAAGCAATATATAAAAGGATTATACATAATGACCATATTGGATTTATTCCAGGAATGCAGCTTTGGTGTAACATTAGGAAATCAATGGACAGAATTCACCATGTTAATAGATTGAAGGAGGAAATTCAGCCGGTGTGGTGGCTCATGCCTGTACTTTGAGAAGCCAAAGTGAAGCCAAGTGTTTTGAGAGGCCACACTGTGAGGACAGCTTGAGGCCAGGAGTTTGGAAAGAGCCTGGGCAACATAGTGAGACCCTGTTTCTACAAAAAATTAGCTGGGTATCATGATGCATGCCTATAGTCCCAGCTACTCAGGAGGGTGAGGCGGGAGGATCGTTTGAGCCCAGGAGTTCAAGTTTACAATAAGCTATGATTGTACCACTGCACTCCAGCCTGGGTAACAAAAGAAGACCCTGTCTCTTAAAAAAAAAAAAAAAAAAAGGGTATAAAGGGTTAGGAAGTTGGGAAAAAAATTACCAAAAGAGTCTTTTTTTTTTTCTTTAAGACAGAGTTTTGCTTTTGTTGCCCAGGCTGGAGTACAAGGGCAAGATCTCAGCTCACTGCAACCTCTACTTCCCAGGTTCAAGCAATTCTCCTGCCTCAGCCTCCCAAGTAGCTGGGATTACAGGCGTCTGCCACCACGCCCAGCTAATTTTTTTTTTTTTTTTTTTTTTTGAGACGGAGTTTTGCTCTGTCACCCAGGCTGGAGTACAGTGGCACGATCTTGGCTCACTGCAAGCTCCACCTCCCAGGTTCGCGCCATTCTCCTGCCTCAGTCTCCCGAGTAGCTGGGACTACAGGTGCCCACCACCACACCCAGCTAATTTTTTTGTATTTTTAGTAGAGACGGGGTTTCACTGTGTTAGCCAGGTCTCAATCTCCTGACCTTGTGATCCACCTGCCTCAGCCTCCCAAAGTGCTGGGATTACAGGTGTGAGCCACTGTGCCCGGCTAATTTTTATATTTTTAGTACAGACAGGGTTTCACCGTGTTGATCAGGCTGGATGGTCTTGAACTCCTGACCTCAGGCGATCCACCTGCCTTGGCCTCCCAAAGTCCTGGGATTATAGGCGTGAGCCACTGCACCTGGCCCAGAGTCATTATTCTTATATACTGATTCTATATGAAGAAAATCCAAAAGAATCTACTGATAAACATTACAGTTAAAATATTTTAGCAAGGTTAATGGATATAGAGTCAATATACAAAAATCAAGAGCATTCCAATACTAAACAGAAAAATACATTTAAAACAGATTTGATCTACAATACCTTTAAAATATGTCATTGCCTAGGACTAAAACTAGCAAAAGATGTGCAAAGACCTCTAAATAGGAAATAAAAAATTAAGTTATTACAAGAAATTTAAAAAGACCTCAAAAAATGGAGAGATATAATAAAACATCCATTGATAAGAAGACTCAATAATGAAAGTACATCAATTTTCGGACTGATCTATAGATCCAGTGCAACCCCAGTGAGCATCCCAATAGTTCTTTTAAAAAAATACAACTGGGCAAACTGACTCCCAAAAACATAAACAATCAAAAAGTCCAGGCTGGGTGCGGTGGCTCACATCTGTAATCCCAGCACTTTGGGGGCCTGAGGCAGGAGGATTGCTTGAGCCCAGGAGTTTGAGACCAGCCTGGGTAATATAGGAAGACCTCGTCTCTACAAAAAATTTAAAAATTGGCTGGGCTTGGTGGCACACACCTGTGGTACCAGTTACTCAGGAGGCTGAGGTGGGATGATGGCATGAGCCTGGGAGGTTTGAGTCTACAGTGAGCCGTGACCACGCCACTGCACTCCAGCCTGGGTGACAGAGTGATACACTGCCTCAAAAAAAAAAAAAAAAAAGAAAAAAAAAAAAAGGACCAGATCAGTTATCTGTTTTGCCATTTTCTAACTCTGTGACCTTGGATAAGATACTTAACAACTCTGAGCTTGACTGGCACGATCCCCAGGCATAAAGGGGGATATAGTTTTATCTCACAGAGTTTTGGAATGAGTACGGTGGAGAAACAGTAATAACATGGGACTAGGCCAGCCATGGTGGCTCACACCTATAATCCCAGCACCTTGGGAGGCCAAGGCAGGCAGGTTGCTAGAGTCCAGGAGTTCGAGACCAGCCTGGGCAACACAGTGAGACACCCATCTCTACAACAAAATTAAAAAATCATCTGGGCATGCTGGCGTGCACCTCAGCTACTTGGGAGGCTGAGGTGGGAGGACTGCTTGAGCCCAGGAGGTCCAGGCTACAGTGAGCAGTGATTATGCCACTGCGCTCCAGCCTGGGTGACAGAGCCAGATCCTGTCTCAGAAAACAGAAACAAAACACCAAAAATACATGAGATTAACTAGATTGTGATATGTTTGTACCATGGAATACATAAAGCGGTTAAAATGATAGGATAACTACCTCAAAAATAAAAAGTTCTCACTCTGTCGCCCAGGCTGGAGTGCAGTAGCACCATCTCAGCTCACTGCAGCCTCTGCCTCCTGGGTTCAAGTGATTCTCCTGCCTCAGCCTCCCAGCCTGGGATTACAGGCACCCGTCACCAGGCCTGGCTAATTTTTGTACTTTTTCAGTAGAGATGGGATTTTACCATGTTGGCCAGGCTGGTCTTGAACTCCCGACCTCAGGCAATCTGCCCACCTCGGCCGCCCAAAGTGCTGAGATTACAGGTGTAAGGCACCATGCCAGGCCTCAAAAATAAAGTTTTTAAAAATGATAGTGTGGATCTGTATATCCGCATATAAGGAAGGAACTCCATGACACATAAGGGAATGAACAAAGCGAATCCCAATTCAGTATCAGTGTGCCTCAATCCTCATGCATCAGAATCCCTGTGTGATTCGCGTCTCATTGTTCTCCAGTGAGACCCAGGCACTGGCATTTAAAAACAAACTAAAAACAAACAAAGAAAGCAAACAACAGTTATTGTCATATGCAGCCCTGCGCTGAGAACCCGTGGTAATAAAAACAGCTACAGCTATTATTTTGGACTTACAATGTAGCCGACATGGTTCTGAACACTTTGTTTACAGCAACTCACTGAATCCTTACAACAACTCCAGGAGGAAGGTTCGATTCTCACCACCCCCCCATTCACAGATAAGAAAAATGAGGCTCAGAGAGTTTACGCAGCTTGTTTATAATCACGCAGCTAGTGGATGGTGGGGGTGGCACTTACGGGATCCAGGCAGAGCGGCTCTAAAAATCTAGCAGAATTCCATGCAGTGGTAGGGAGGGAAGAGGAGAGTAGAATTTAGGGATTTTCAATGTGAGTCGGCAGGGGAGGGGCCCAGGAATCTAATGATCCCCAGATCTGGAAACCTGGGGCATTGACTCCCAACTCCCTGATAATAACTGCCTGGGGCATTCTTTAACTGTAGGATTCCAGGGCATCTTGGAGATTCTGCTTCCTGGATCTGAGGCAGGGCCTGGGAACCGTCATGCTTAGCAAGGGTCCCACGGGGGCCCAGCTTCACAGACCTGGGCAGCCACAGACAGCTCACCCTGAAGGGGCCATGCTTGCTTCAAACCTCTGCTGTCGACAGCCTGAAATTCTTTTTTTTTTTTTTTTTTTTTTTTTTTGAGACAGATTCTCATTCTGTTGCCCAGGCTGAAGTGCAGTGGTGCGATCTTGACTCACTGCAACTTGTGCCTCCCAGGTTCAAGCGACTCTCGTGCCTCAGCCTCCCGAGTAACTGGGACTATAGGCATGCACCACCATCGCGGGCTAATTTTTGTATTTTTAGTAGAGATGGGGTTTCACCGTGTTCGCCAGGCTGGCCTCACACTCCTGACCTCAAGTGATCCGCCCCACTTGGCCTCCCAAAGTGCTGGATTACAGGTGTGAGCCACCATGCTGGGCTGAAATTCTTAATAATGTAATCTTCGAATGTGTGTTTTGTAAGTGATGGGACAGTGTGATGTGCACCAGGGGCTTGGGGCCTAAGTACCTGTGATCTCAGCCCCTACCCTCTCTCTGCCTCCCTGGGAAGGCTCTCCCTGGCAGTCCCCCCACACCTGGATGCCCCAGGCTTGGTTCCCCTACCTGCCCCTGCCTTGTGCACTGCCATGTTCTGCCCTTTATCCTTTGTCCCCAGAGGGCCTGGGCACAAGTGTGGGAAGGACTGGACTCAGGTGTGCTGCCTGCAACCTTGTGGGGTTGTGGCCATTCCTGCCCCAGGCTGGCAGCGCCCAGCACATATGTCTTGGTGGGGTTGGTGAGCCCCGCGCATCTTGGCACAGATGTTTAAAAATCCCTGGGGGTCCCTGTCTGCAATGCAATGGGGCAGTGAGCATATAGGAGAAGAGATGCCTGGCTCGACCTCCGCAGAGGGTCCCCACACACCCTGCCTGAGCTCCATGCCTGGGGGACCCCCTCTTCCTCCTTCCACCCTCTCTGAGTTAGGCCTGCATGGGTCTCTTCCAGTGTACCCAAGGACAAAAGCACAACACAAATGGTGTAATTTCTGTGATTCTGCACGCAAGTTAAATGCTCTCATATTTGCACTTAAAACTGGCATTGCACGATATATGGATGAACAGTAAAGTTCATGCTGATAATTTACAATTTTATTTTTCTTTACGTAGAACGACATTAAATAAGAATAAAAAAATACACCATGATGAGTCAAGGGAGAGAGACCACAGAAAAAAGGAAAAAAGTTTACACGTTAATATCTTTCACAGCACTTCGTTCTAACTTAAAAAAATTTTTTTTTCAGATGGCATCTCCTTCTGTCGCTCAGGCTAGAGTGAGGTGGCATGATCATAGCTCACTGCAGCCTCAACTGCCCAGGCTCAAGGGATCCTCCCACCTCAGCCTTCCAAGTAGCTGGGACTACAGGCATGCACCACTATGCCTGGCTAATTTAAAAATTTTTTGTAGAGACGGGGGTCTCCCTGTGTTGCCCAGGCTGGTCTCGAACTCCTGGGCTCAAGCAATCCTCCTGCCTCATCCTCCCGAAGTGCTAGGATTATAGGTGTGAGCCACTACACCTAGCCTGTTCCAACTTTTTGAACAAGGAGTCCTTCATTTTTGTTTTGCCCTGGGCCCCAAAAATTATGCAACTGGCTCCAATCTCAGGGATTCTTATTGTCAGGGAAGTTCAAGAAGCTGTTCAGGAATACGGCCGGGCACGGTGGCTCACGCCTGTAATCCCAGCACTTTTGTTGGCCGAGGTGGACAGACCCCTTGAAGAGCTCAGGAGTTCGAGACCAGCCTGGCCAACATGGTGAGGCAGAAAATACAAAAAATTAGCTGGGTGTAGTGGTGTACATCCGTAGTCTTAGTCCCAGCTGCTTGAGCGGCTGAAGCGGGAGGATGGCTTGAGCCCAGGAGGCAGAGGTGGCAGTGAGCTGAGTTCGCTTCATTGAGCTCCAACCTGGGTGACAAAGCCAGACTCTGTTTCAAAAAAAAAAAAAAAAGAAACTAGAGGAATATGGATTGGAGAAGACTCTAAATTTGTGTCTGTGTGTTATGCTGAGCATTTTAGTTAAGGACACTACTGTAGCATCTCAGCTTCCTTGGGCTCCCCAGCTACAAGGGCATATCCAGGAAGACACCACAGGCTCCAACCGCCTTCCTTATGGTCAATAGGCAGCAAGCCAGGCTCTGGAGATGGAGCTGGGGTGGAGGCGTCTCAGGCTAGTGGGCAAGTACTCTCGAAGGGCCAGCCAGGGGTGCTCAGTATTTGGCTTGGGTGGACACTGGCCTGGGGAGAAGGGTAGCTGCAGGCCCTGGATAAAAGGCACTGGGCAATTTTTAGCCAGCTGTATTATTTACATATGTATAAATGGATAGACATAGATGTAATTTTGCCTGAAAAAATACAGTGTACCCTATTTAATTAATTAATTAATTTTTTTTTGAGGTGGACTATCATTCTGTCATCCAGGCTGGAGTGCAGTGGTACGATCTTGGCTCACAGCAACCTCTACCTCCCAGGTTCAAGCGATTCTCCTGCCTCAGCCTCCCAAGTAGCTGGGATCACAAGCACATGCCACCATGACCGGTTAATTTTTGTATTTTTAGTAGAGATGGGGGTTTCACCATGTTGGCCAGGCTGGTCTCGAACTCCTGACCTCAGGTGATCCTCCCGCCTCGGCCTCCCAAAGTGCTGGGATTACAGGCGTGGGCCACTGCACCCGGCCTAAATTTGAATTTCAAATGTCAAATTTTTTTTTTTTAGTGTAAGTATATCCCAACTCATGCACTATTTGGGATATACTTATACTACAAAAATTATTCATTGTTGATCTCACCCTCATAGTTACATATACACCCTGTATTTTTATTTGCTAAATCTGGCAACATCCACTGGACAGGAAATTCAAAGATCCAGATTCTAGTCCTGGCTTTGCGCTAACGAGGAGTTGGAGCAAAGAGGGTACTGCTTCTCAGGCCTCTGGTTAAAAGAAGCCCCTCTCCACCTCCCTCACTGCCTCCACCATCCAGGGTGAGAGAGGTACCGTCAGACACGCCAGAGCTAGACCCCAAGCGGATGCTTTCTAGGGCAAGGTGAGATTTTGCAGGAAAGGAGTGCATAGGCGTGCACAGGGGACGCGCGCTAAGCGTAAGGCGGCGTTCTCAATGCTTAGCAGTGCATTGGGATCGCCTGGTGAACGGGAACGATACTGACGGCCAGCGCCCCCACTCCCAATTCGACTGGTCTAAAGTGGGGCCCAGATACTTGTCTTTTTTTTTTTTTTAAAGTTCCACAGTGACTCCGCTGTGACCTGCACAGTTAAGAAACTGCAGGAGTCCGGGCGGTTTCCAAGGATGGGTCAGGGGCTGAAGGCGGTCTGTGCAATTGGCCCCGGGCTTGCCGAGCTGGAAGAGCCCCTGAGTGGCACTGGAGCCACTTCCGCCTGCATGAAGAAAGGGGTGCCGGGAGGACTGAGGAGGGACTAGGACCCCATCCCTGTTCCTGAGCCAGCGCCCGTCCCACCTCTGGCACGGTGCCTCCAGAAACCCAACAGGGGGAGCGCCTGGACCCCAGGCAGGACGCCGCGTGGGGGACGCTGGCTGTGGACCCCTGTCCCGAGGGCGGCCAGAGGCTGGCTCTGAATCCCAGGATGCCCAGGCCACGCTCGCTCAGTCCCGGAGCTTGGGACTTCTGAAGACGCGGGGCCTCGTTTGGGGTCGCAAGTCTGAGCGCTCCGGCTCTGGTTGGCGCTAGGTGGCGCCCGAGAGCGCGCCAGGCTCACCCTGGGGAGACCTGGGGCCAGCCGGGGTCTCCCTGCTCTGGCGCAGGCAGATCATCGACCCCTGCGTGGCGCAGTTACAGGATCCTTGGGCGGTGCCATGCAATGCCTTCTCAAGGCCCAGCACTTCGCCCGATCCCTGGGAGGGATGGACAGTCGTGCGCCCCATAGAGGTTTGGGTCAACAGCCTGCATATAGGACCGTGGTCCCATAAGATTTTCACGGAGCTGAAAAATTCTTAACATTCTTATGGCCTAGAGACTTCATAGGGGAACGCATTCCTCACGAGTTTGTGGTGATGCTGGTGTAAACCAACCTACAGTGCTGTCAGTCATATAAAAGTCTAGCACATGTAATTATGCACCGTACATAATACTCGGTAATGATAATAAACAACTGTGTTACTGGCTTAGGTATTTACTACACTATACTTTTTTCATTTCATTTTGTTTTGTTTTTATAGAGACAGGGTCTCACTCTGTTGCCTAGGCTGGAGTACAGTGGTGTGACCATAGCTCGCTGCAGGCTTGGCCTCCGGAGCTCAAACAATCCTTCTGCCTCAGCCTCCTGAGTAGCTGAGACTACAGGTGTGCGCCAGCACTCCTGGCTATTTTTTAAAAATTTTTAGTAGAGACAAGGTTTGACGAAGTTGCCCAGGCTGGCCTTGAACTCTTGAGCTCAAGCGATCCTCTGACCTTGGCCTCCCAGAGTGCTGGGATTACAGGCCTGAGCCATGGTGCCTGGTCCTTATTGTTCCTTAGAGTGCACTCATATTTTTTTACAGTTACCCGTAAAACAGCCTCGGGCAGGCCTTTCAGGAGGTATTCTAGAAGAAAGCATTATTATCACAGGAGATGACAGTCTGCATACACATTGCCTCTGAAGACCTTCCAGTGGGACGAGATGTGGAGGTGGAAGACAGTGACATTCATGATCGTGACCCTGGGTAGGCCTAGGCTAATGTGTATGTGTGTCTTAGTTTTTAATAAAAAAGTTTAAAAAGTTTAAAAAAAATTAATAGAAAAGGCTGTCCAGGCACAGTGGCTCCTGCCTGTAATCCCAGCACTTTGGGAGGCCAAGGCGGGCAGATCACCTGAGGTCAGGAGTTTGAGACCAGCCTGGCCAACATGGTGAAACCCCATCTCCACTAAAAAATACAAAAATTAGCCGGGCATCGTGGTGGGCGCCTGTAATCCCAGCTACTTGGGAGGCTGAGGCAGGGAGAATTAATTGCTTGAACTCAGGAGACGGAGGTTGCGGTGAGCCGAGATCGCGCCACAGCACTCCAGCCTGGGCAACAGAATGAGACTCCGTCTAGAAGAAGAAGAAAAAAGTTAATAGGGCCAGGTGCAGTGGCTCACACCTGTAATCCCAGCACTTTGGGAGGCAGAAGTGGGTGGACTGCTTGAGCTCAGGAGTTTGAGACCAGCCTGGGTAAGGTGGCGAAACCCTGTCTCTACAAAAAATACAAAAATTAGCCGGGAGTGGTGATGTGCATCTGTAGTCCCAGCTATTTGAGAGGCTGAGGTTGGAAGATCGCTTGAGCCTGGGAGATGAAGCCTGCAGTGAGCCAAGACTGTGCCACTGCACTCCAGCCTGGATGACAGAGTGAGACCCTATCTCAAAAAAAAAAAAAAAAAAAGCTAATAGAATAAAGACATAACGAAAATAAATATCTTTGTACAATGTGTTTGATGTGTTTGTGTTTTAAGCTGTGTTTTACTTTTTTACAAAAAAGTAAAAAAGTTAAAAAAATTAAAAAGTTTATAAAGTAAAAAAGTTCTAGTAAGCTAAGGTTAATTTATTACTGAAGAGAAAGAACCAAATTTTATTTTATTTTATTTTATTTTATTTTTTTGAGATGGAGTCTTGCTCTGTTGCCCAGGTTGGAGTGCAGTGGCGAGATCTCGGCTCACTGCAAGCTCTGCCTCCCAGGTTCACACCATTCTCCTGCCTCAGCCTCCCGAGTAGCTGAGACTACAGGCGCCCGCCACCACAACTGGCTAATTTTTTGTATTTTTAGTAGAGACGGGGTTTCACCGTGTTAGCCAGGATGGTCTCGATCTCCTGACCTCGTGATCCACCTGCCTTGGCCTCCCAAAGTGCTGGGATTACAGGCGTGAGCCACTGTGCCCAGCCAAAAGATCAAATTTGAAATAAACTTAGTGTGGTCTAAGTATACAGTGTCTATAGCGTCTACAGTGGTGGACAGTCATGTCTGAGGCCTTCACATTCACTCACCACCCACCCACTAACCAAGAGCAACTTCCAGTCCTGCAAGCTCCATTTATGGTAAGTGCCCTATACGGGTGTGCCATTTTTAATCTTTATTTTTTTAAGATGGAGTCTCACTCTGTTGCCCAGGCTGGGGTGCAGTGGCGCAATCTCGGCTCACCACAAACTCTGCCTCCCAGGTTCAAGCGGTTCTCCTGCCTCAGCCTCCTGAGTAGCTGGGATTACAGGTGCCCACCACCATGCCCAGCTAATTTTTGTATTTTTAGTAGAGACAGAGTTTCACTATGTTGGCCAGGCTGGTCTCGAACTCCTGACCTCAGGTGATCCACCTGCCTTGGCCTCCCAAGTTTCTGGTATTACAGGCGTGAGCCACTGTGCGGCCCATTTTTAATCTTTTATACTGTATTTGTGCTGTGCATTTTTTATGTTTAGAAGTGTTTGGTCATCAGAGAAATGCAAATGAAAACCACAATGAGATACCATCTCACACCAGTTAGAATGGCGATCATTAAAAAGTCAGGAAACAACAGATGCTGGAGAGGATGTGGAGAAATAGGAATGCTTTTACACTGTTGGTGGGAGTGTAAACTAGTTCAACCATTGTAGAAGACAGTGTGGCGATTCCTCAAGGATCTAGAACTAGAAATACCACTTGACCCAGCCATCCCATTACTGGGTATATACCCAAAGGATTATAAATCATGCTACTATAAAGACACATGCACACGTATGTTTATTGCGGCACTATTCACAATAGCAAAAACTCGGAACCAACCCAAATATCCATTAATGATAGACTGGATTAAGAAAATGTGGCACATACACACCATGGAATACTATACAGCCATAAAAAAGGAGGACGTCATGTCCTTTGCAGGGACATGGATGAAGCTGGAAACCATCATTCTGAGCAAACTAACACAAGGACAGAAAACCAAACACTGCATGTTCTCACTCATAGGTGGGAATTGAACAATGAGAACACTTGGACACAGGGCAGATAACATCACACACTGGGGTCTGTCATGGGGTGGGGGGAGGGGGGAGGGATAGCATTAGGAGAAATACCTAATGTAAATGACGAGTTAATGGGTACAGCAAACCAACATGGCACATGTATACTTACGTAACAAACCTGCACATTGTGCACATGTACCCTAGAACTTAAGGTATAATAATAATGATAAAGAAGTGTTTAGATACACAATCACTTACCATTTTGTTACAGTTGCCTACAGTATTCAGTGGGGTAACAAGCTGTACAGGTTGGTAGCGTAGGAGCAATAGGTTACACCATGTGGCCTAGGTGTGTGGTAGGCTGTGCCATCTAGGTCTGTGTAAGTGCACCCTGTGATGTTCACACAATGACGGAATTGCCTTATG
Source organism: Homo sapiens (assembly GCF_000001405.40). Taxonomy (NCBI): domain Eukaryota; kingdom Metazoa; phylum Chordata; class Mammalia; order Primates; family Hominidae; genus Homo; species Homo sapiens. The sequence continues at coordinate 3,942,892 of NC_000016.10, forward strand.
TCGACTTTCTCAGGTGTCAATAAGCAACACACAGGCTGGGCACGGTGGTTCACGCCTGTAATCCCAGCACTTCGGGAGTGCGAGTTGGGCGGATCACTTGAGGTCAGGAGTTCAAGACCAGCCTGGCCAACATAGTGAAACCCCGTCCCTGCTAAAAATACAAAATTAGCCAGGCGTGGTGGCACACACCTGTAATCCCAGCTACTTGGGAGGCTGAGGCAGGAGAATCACTTGAACCCAGGAGGCGGAGGTTGCAGTGAGATGAGATTGTACCACTGCACTCCAGCTTGGGTAACAGAGCGAGACTCCACCTCAAAATAAAAAAAAAAAAAATAAAGCAACCCACATCTGTAATTGATCTGTATTACCTCCCTTCCATTCTGTCTGCTCTTGAAAGGGTCCAAATGGCACATCTATCTTGTCAGGTCATGCACATCTGCGTTAGGCAAATCTGGAAGATTCTTCAAAGTTTTCCTGTTTCTCCCTGTCAGTTGGCAACAAAAATCACATATTTTAAAAAACAGGAAATTTATCAGAACAGACTCAAATAAGTGTATTTTCTATGTTAATGTTGATGCAGGGCAGGTGAGCCCCCAAATTGGGGCTTAGCCTGGGAGGGTTCTTGGCTTCACCCAGGAAAGAATTCAAGGGCGAGCCGGTGGTGTTAGACAGCAACTTATATTGGAGCGGCAGTGTCCAGCAGCAGCAGAGGGACTGCTCCCTGCCACACAGGGCTACTCCATAGGCAGTGTGCCCAGAGTAGCAGCTCAGAGGCAGTGCTGCCATCATATTTATACCCACTTTTAATTACATGCAAATTAAGGGGCAGATTATCCAGACTCTAGGAAAAGGGAGGTAACTTCTGGGTGCTGGGTCATTGCCATGGAAAGGGGTGGTAACTCCCAGATGTTGCCATGGCCGCGGTAAACCGACCCGGTGCACTGGTGGGCGTGTTTTGTGAAAATCTGCTTCCACCCAGTCCCTGTTTTAGCTGGTCGTCAATTTGGTCTGCATCAGGAATCAAGTCCCACTTCCTATCTCAATGTGATGGGAGAGGAGACCCCCAATGAGGACTTTGAGACATTACAAAATGTTGGCTAGGCGCGGTGGCTCACACCTGTAATCCCAGCACTTTGGGAGGCTGAGGCAGGTGGATCACTTGAGGTCGGGAGTTTGAGACCAGCCTGGGCAACATGGTGAAACCCCGTCTTTACTAAAAATACAAAATTAGACAGGCGTGGGGGCATAGGCCTCAAGTCCCAGCTACTCGGGAGGCTGAGGCAGGAGAATCACTTGAACCTGGGAGGTGGAGGTTGCAGTGAGCTGAGATTGTACCACTGCACTCCAGCCTGGGCAACAGAGCGAAACTCCATCTCAGGAAAAAAAAAAAATTAATCAAGAAGAATCCAGGCTGGGGGCGGTGGCTCATGCCTGTAATCCCAACACTTTGGGAGGCTGAAGCGGACAGATCACCTGAGGTCGGGAGTTTGAGACCAGCCTGGCCAACATGGTGAAATCCCGTCTCTACTAAAAAATAAAAAATTAGTTGGGCATGTTGGTGCACACCTATACTCCCAGCTACTCGGGAGGCTGAGGTAGGAGAACCACTTGAACCTGGGAGGCGGAGGTTGCAGTGAGCTGAGATCATACCATTGCACCCACAGCCTGGGAGACAAGAGTGAAACTCCATCTGAAAAAAAAAAGAAGAAGAAGAAGAAGAAGAAGAAGAAGAAGAAGAAGAAGAAGAAGAAGAAGAAGAAGAAGAAGAAGAAGAAGAAGAAGAAGAAGAAGAATCCAATTTTCTTCAACATTATCTTCATTTAGAGTTCTTTAATTATTTTTTAAAAAATAGAACAAGGGATCCATTCCTCATGCTTCTACTGATGGCAGCTCTCCCTAAAGCAGGACATTCCAAAAACAAACAAAAAAGCAACAGCCAAACATACATGGAAGTAAGATGGTCTCTCAAAGCTCTGAGAATTGGAAAGGTTTCCTTTCAAGAAACTTGAGTTAGCTTTTGGAAAACGATCTTTTGTATGTTACTAGATATTTCTTTTTTTTCCTCTCCCCATTTTACTTAAATAACTTATTCAATTAACATCTATTTGCCAGGCTTCAAAGTCAGATCCTGGAAGAAATACAAAAAAGCAGCAAATAATGGGAAACCATCCCGGCCTGTAGGAAACTCACTAACTCGGTAGAAAGGCAGGCTTGTAAATGACACCAATACAGCGTGCTTGGGATTTCATGGGATCACATGTATTTTGGTGTTTGGAAGCACAGAGGAGCAAGTATTAATTTTTTAAACTTAGTATAATGAAAAATTTCAAATATAAACCAAAATAATAGTATAATGAATCCTGTTACCCATCACCCAACTTACAAAATAATTATCCTATTGCCAACTGTTTCATCTCGGCCTTACTACCTTGCAGGTTACTTTTTTATTTTTACAATGTTTTTTAGATATAGTTACATATAGTAAAATTCACCCACTCTCAATGTATAACCAATGCCTTTTAGTAAATTTGTAGAGTCATGTAACCAACATGATCCAATTTTTAGAACATCTCCACCATCCTAAAAATTTTACTCTCAACTTGTGACAGTTCTCCTCCCTTGCCCCAGCAACCGTTGATCTTTCTGTCTCTATAGATTTGCCTTTTCTGGACATTTCATATTTCTTTTTTTTTTTTTTTGAGACGGAGTCTCACTCTGTCGCCCAGGCTGGAGTACAGTGGCACCATGTCGGCTCACTGCAACCTCCCCCTCCTGGGTTCAAGCGATTCTCCTGCTTCAGCCTCCCGAGTAGCTGAGACTACAGGCACCTGCCACCACGCCCGACTAATTTTTGTATTTTTAGTAGAGATGGGGTTTCACCATGTTGTCCAGGCTGGTCTCGAACTCCTGACCTCAGGTGATCCACCCAATTCAGCCTCCCAAAAGTGCTGGGATTATAGGTGTGGGCCACTGTGCCTGGCCTCTTTTTTTCTTTTTTTTTTTTTTGGAGTGCAGCGTCACAAACATGGCTCACTGAAGCCTCAACTTCCTGGGCTCAAGTGATCCTCCTACCTCAGACTGCTGAGTAGCTGGGGCTACAGGCACACGATGCCCTGCCTGGCTAATTTTTTAGTTTTTGTAGAGATGGGGTCTCACTGTGTTGCCCAGGCTGGTCTCAAACTTCTGGGCTCAAGGGATCTTCCCATCTCAGCCTCCTAAAGTGCTGGGATTACAGGCATGAGCTACTGTGCCCAGACTCACCTTAATTTTTAAAAATGTTCATGGTGGAGGAAGGGGCAGGAACATCCACCAGCACCAGCCAGGGTTCTCTGAAAAAGGCGCTGAATATTTTGCTCAGCTCTGTGCTTCTGTGCTCGAGCCAACCACACGTATACTTGAACACGAAGGAATGTGCTTGAGCATTAAGGAATGTAAGCCACAGGCTCATGCCTGGCTGCCTTCCAAGGAGTCATAATAGTCACGGATATCTGCTTCCAGAGGCAGATGCGGCTTGAGCCCTCCCCGAGAAGTGGGGTGTGGGAAGAGGACCCTGTTTCTGATGCAAGTTCTGGAACTGAGGTGGATTCTCTATCAAGGCACAGAGAGGAAAGAAACCTTAGTCTAATTCCCAGGTTGGCCGTCACTCCCTCTGTGCCTTACATATGCCTGAGCCTTTATATGCCTTCCTGGAAAATGGGATTCCTTGCATTTTACTGAATTTTAGAACATTTTATTAGAATTAATATACTGGTTGCTGAGGGGTTGTTGGAACCCCAGGAATCCATCACAGTGAGATTTATTCCTTCCGGTTCTAGCACATTTTGATTTAATGAGTATTGCCTGGTGCTTGAGATCAGGTCTGGTGCTGGAGTCGTAGGGGCCACTTGTGTCTCTGGATGGAGGAGGCGCCAGGACCAGGAGCTGCGGTAGGAGGAGCACGGCCCAGGCCCTTGGGGACACCCCTGCAGCAGGGGAGGCAGTGCAGACGCAGGGAGGCCGAGCTGCAGTCTCCGCTCGGGGTGCAGCGCCTACAGGAATCTTTGGAGGCTCGGCACAGGTCGAGGTCACCCCAGCCAGAGTCCCCAAAGCCCTAAGTCCGTGTAAAGAAACCCAGGAGGGCTTCCAAGCCAGCACGGACGGCCGAAGATCCTCCAGGGCTTGCGGCCACTGCGGTTCCATCTGCCTGTGCGGCTCCCACCTCTAACTGTGGCCACCGTCTTCCCAGTGCCCCATAGTTTGCTCATGGGGAGATTCCTGGTGATCATAGGTCCTCTGCAGCTATCTGAAGGGTGAGTTGATGAATGAACAGACAGGTGAATGGAGGATGACCACGACAGTTTCTGGAGGGCCACAGGTTGGGCTGGGCTGGGCGCCTTGAGAACACGTGGGTTCTTGTTTCTCCCGGAGGTCTGGCATTCCCTGGTAGCATCCAGAAGGCCGAATGCACCTGAGTGTGCTCTGCCTTCCCTCTTAGTCTAAGCCTTATTATTTGTTTAATTATTAATTATTATTATTATTATATGTTTTTTAAAGACAGGCTCTCACTCTGTCACCCAGGCTGGAGTGTAGTGGCGCCCTCATGGCTCACTTCAGCCTCCAACTCCCAGGCTCAAGTGATCCTCTCACCTCAGCCTCGAACTCCCAGGCTCAAGTGATCCTCTCACCTCAGCCTCCTGAGCAGCTGGGACTACAGGTGAGCAACACCATGCCTGGCTAATTTTTTTTTTTTTTTTTTTAATATACAGATGGAATCTCACTGTTGCTCAAGCTGGTCCTGAACTCCTGGGCTTAAGCGATTCTCCGGCATTAGCTTCCCAAAATGTTGGAATTACATGTGTGAGCCTCCACGCTGGGCCCCATAGCCTAAGTTTTTTTAAATGTAATTTTTTTTGTTGTTGTTTATTGAGACAGTCTCGCTCTGCTGCCCAGGCTGGAGTGCAGTGGTGTGATCTGGGCTCACTGCAACCTCTGGCTCCTCCCAGGCTCAAGCGATTCTCCTGCCTCAGCCTCCTGAGTAGCTGGGATTACAGGCACTCGCCACCACGCCCAGCTAATTTTTGTATTTTTAGTAGAGACGGGGTTTCACCATGTTGGCCAGGCTGGTCTCAAACTCCTGACTTCAAGTGATCCACCTGCCTCAGACTTCCAAAATGCTGGGATTACAGGCATGAGCCACCTCGCCCATCCTCAATATATATTTTTCACTGAGATCTAAATCACATACCATAGAATTTTAATGTGTACAGTTCAGTGGTTTTTAGTCTTTTCACAATAAATTGAGTTTTTGAGTAGACAATGCATTCATATGGCTTAAAATTCAACGATTACCAAGGAATATACACGGAAACATCTTCCTTCCCCGCATCCCGCATACATAGATCATATTATCTATTTCTTGACTATACTCATAGATATTTTATGCAAATACAAGCAAATGTATTCCGTCCCTTTTTAATCTACATGGTGGAGAACTATATGTACTGTTCAGCATCTTGCTTTTTTACTTAACTTGGAGGTCCTGCTGGTACCGAGCTTTCTCATTCCTTCTGGTGGCTGCCTGGTATTCTAGTCTATGGATGGATAAATATTTATTGATGGATATTTAGGTTGTTGCTACACCTCAGCTTTTGCAAACAAATGCTGCAAAGAAGAACCTGGTGCATGAGACATTTTGCATGTTCGGGCAGATCTGTAGAAGTAATTCCCAGAAGGGCGCATGTTTTTTACATTTTGACAGTTCTTGCTAAATGGCCCTTTATAGAGGTTACACCAGTTTTAATTCCCATCAGAATTTATTTCCAAACCTATCATGAGATACGCCAGCACTGACAAGAATCCTCACTGCGGCATTGTTCATCGCGCCCCAAACTGGAAACAGCTCAATCGATCCTCAGCGGAACGGAGAAATCATGGCCTCTTCACGCGATGAAATATTATGCTGCAATGAAAAGAAACAAAATTCTGCTGCACACGGCAGGGAGGAATCTCCTAGGCGGATTGATGAGTGAAAGAAGCCAGACACAGAACGGTCCTTACTGCATGATTTCTGTGATATGACTCAACCCCGAAGTCAAAAGGAAGACGCAATCTAGGATGACAGTGATGGAAACAGAGGTGACCCTTGGGCGGCAAAGGGAGTCTGCTGAGCGTCTAGAAACGTCGTATATCTTGTTCGGAGTGATAGCTGTATGGGTGCATCAGTGTGTGAAAACTCACCGAGCTACGTGCACTTTACTGATGGAAGTTGCACCCCAACAAAAACTTAAAGGGTTTAAAAATATTGCCCACACTGACGCGCAAACAACACGACCGCCCCAGCAGGCAGACTCCTCCGATGCAAAAGCTTAGGTGACAGGCTGTCTTTCTTTTGTCCAGTCCTGAGCCAGATGTGGGTTCTGGGCCAAGGAGGTGAAGCACGAGGCTCCCTCTGCTGCCTCCAGAGCTGTCCAGGGTTCCCCTCTGCGCCCCCAAAAGCGCAGGGTCACACCAGTCGGGGAGGAAGGACCAGAGCGACTCTGCGCCCTCACCCCACCGCCTCCTTCTCTGTTTGCTCTCTGACCGGTGCCGTTTCATTGTTCCCTTCCTGGACGCCATCCCCTCGTCCAGACAATTCCCTGCACCAGCTGCCAAGCAGCTGCCTGGCTATTTATAGCCTCTGTCATCAGCCCCTTCCTCCCGCCCTTGGCCCTACTCCTGGGACCACTCTCCCTACCCCCACCCACTTTCCAAGGGTCCGGCTGTGTCCAGCCAACCAGGAGAAGAGTGGGGACAGTAGAGGCTGAGTTCGTTGACAAATATCATACAACACAATTTTTAAAATGTTTCTGGAACATTCCAGGACCCGTTGTTGTGGGGAGGGGCCTGCCCTTGCTGAGCTGGTCCCTTGGTCTCCTGAGGTGATCTCAACTGTGTCCATGGCTTTTGGACAAGGTGAGACGAACTTAATTCTTTTTTTTTTTTTTTTTTTTTTTGAGACAGAGTCTCGCTCTGTCGCCCAGGCTGGAGTACAGTGGCGTGATCTCAGCTCACTGCAACCTCTGCCTCCTGGGTTCAAGCGATTCCTGTGCCTCAGCCTCCTGACTAGCTGGGATTACAGGTGTGTGCCACCACACCCTGCCTGTTTTTGTATTTTTCAGTAGAGGCAGGATTTCACCATGTTGGCCAGGCTGGTCTTGAACTCCTGACCTCAAGTCCACGCCCCTTGGCCTCCCAAAGTGCTGGGATTACAGATGTGTGCCACCGCGCCCGGCCTGTAATCCTACTGGCCGTCAAATCCACTTTAAAAGCAGTAAAGGCATTTGACTCCTTCCTGTTTCTCGTTCCTTCTCACCCCCACTCAGGCCATCTCCCCTCGCCCCACCACTTCCTCCCTGCACCTACCTTTCTTCCTTCCTTTCTCGGTGAAGTGAAGGGTCACCTCTCATTGTGGAAGAAGGACTAGTAAAGCCAGCTTTAAATGAACATTACTGGGTTGGCCTATGCCAGGCAGGCGCGAGGTCTCTATTCCCCATGTGACAATCAAGCTGGGTGCGTTCACGCCCAGGATGCTGGGGTTGTCCCACCTCTAGGTTTGGAGTGGGACGACGAGGAGAAGCAATTTGTTCAGGAGCAGAGAAAGTTCGCTTGGCTGTGACTCATCGCCTCTCCATTGAGAGTCTCCGGCGGGTCCGTGATCATCGGACACGATCATGATCCGTCCTCAGGCCCCGCCTGTGCAGAGTGCGCGGAGGCCAAGGAGTTATTGGCAGAAAAGCAAGAGCGGAATGAGCTTGCGTACTTGAAGTCTGTGGCCGTCTGCCAACATCTCCTTCAAATATGAACATTCTTATTTTCGCTCTGGAAGTTTTTGTCAGGTTTATTGCAAATGCAAGGGTGGTGAGCAGACAGAAAGAAAATGGTATTTACTGAGCTGGAAGGACTGTTTTCTCAACCGTTTCTCAAGAGCACGCAAGGAGACGTGCACTTTCCTGGGTGACATCAGGTTCTCCGTGGGGATTTTAATCCAAATCAGATATGGCCTTGTTTTACGAGGGATCCTCTTGGGTCTCAGGGTGTGAGGATTCATAATAAGTACACGTCCATCCAGTACATGGCGAAGACCATTGTAAGCCACCCCTGGAAACACATACAAGACAGATGGGCACGCAGTTCACAGGATAGCGCAGAATTCTAATGAATTTCATTGGCATCAAATGTTATGTTCCTGTAAACTGAGAGCCATGAAATTAGAATGAGTGCCTCACAATAGTTCAAAAGTGACTCACTTCATTGAAAAAACGTCTCGGAAACATAAATTGGTAAATCAAAACTAAAACTAGTACCCTTTAAAAAAAACTGAGAATGATGTCCCTAAGTTTTTTTTTTTTTTTTTTTGAGACGGAGTTGCGCTCTTGTTGCCCAGGCTGGAGTGCAATGGCGTGATCTCGGCTCACTGCAACCTCCGCCTCTTGGGTTCAAGTGATTGTCCTGCCTCAGCCTCCCGAGTCACTGGGATTACAGGCACCCACCACCACTCCCAGCTAATTTTTGTTATTTTTAGTAAAGAGGGGGTTTCACCATGTTGGCCAGGCTGGTCTCAAACTCCTGGCCTCAAGCAGTCCTCCTGCCTTGGCTTCCCAAAGTGCTGGGATTACAGGCATGAGCCACCGTGCCCGGCTGGGATGACTATTTTAATCTCAAGAGAGCCATCTGGGTTCCTTCCAGGGCACAATTCTATTTAAGGATATACTTTCTTATTTTTACACAAGTTTGATAACTGGATAAAAAAAAGACGAACTTTTTTTTTTTTTTTTTTGCATGGACCAAAAAATGTAGCCATAAGAGCATTTGTTAATACGCACGTCTAACATCCTCCTTCCCACCTCCCTGTGCAGCACAAAGTGGTAAAGACAGCAAGAATTTTCTTTCTAAACAGTTGGGCTGAAATTAAACAACAACAACAACAAAAACCCAAATGCCCATTCTCCTCCCAGCGGAAGTACAACCTCTCTTTGTATCATGTTACTCATCCGCTGCACACACCTGTTCATCCAACAACAGCTAACAAAAGTCAGACTCCGAGTTAAGCGATGTACACATCACAGTTTGTGCTGGAAATCTGATCCAAGCACATGGACAGAACTTTCTATGGTTCTCGGCTCCTAAGCTTGGCAGCTTGTTTTCAGCGTATTCTTAAAAACCTAGGAAACTGGCAATCATACTTCTAAGTTAAAAGATTGGGAAATCAGGCCAGTGAATAAATACTTACTTTGGATCTGCACTATTGATGAAAAATAAAAAATCACTGGAAAAAAATGAGCCCCTTTCTTCTATTTTTGCTCAAAGCAGTCCAAAGAAAACAAGTTTTGGTTCACTGCTGTCTGTGAGCTCAGTGTTGAACAAATTCCAGCAAAATCACAGAGAAAGTTGGAACCAGATTTGCAGCGCTCTATCTCATACATGTTTCTTCTTCTTCTTTTTTTTTAAGAGACAGGGTCTCGCTCTGGTGCCCAGGCTGGAGTGCAATGGCACAATCACAGTTCACTGCAGCTTTGAACTCCTGGATTCAAGCGATCCTCCTGCCTCAGGCTTCTGAATAGCTGGGACCACAGGCACGCACCACCACCCCCAGGTGCCTTTTATATCATTTGTAGAGATGGGGTCTCACTATGTTGCCCAGGGTGGAGTGCAGTGGCATGATCATAGCTCACTGCAGCCTCCAACCCCTGTTGCCAAGGCTGGTTCCAAACTCCTGGGCTCAAGTGATCCTCCCACTGTGGTCTCCTAAAGCACTGGGATTATAGACGTGAACCACCACAGCTACCCCGTGGTTCTTAAAAAGGGGTCTCCTTAAAAAGGAAGCTTCACCTTCCTTTTTGGTGTGAGGGAGACAGACCGTCAGGGAGAGGGCACTTTGTTCTTCTAATTGCCTTTCTGCAGAGGTTCCTGCTCAAGGAACGGGACGCCTAAACCTCAAATCCCCAGTGGCATTCAAGGCTGCTCGCAGGCACAGGGCGTGTTCTGGCCAATCCTGTTCGAGCAAGGGGAGCTGACATTGGCCCAGCACAGGCAGGCTGCACAGAGCTGCAGCCCATTCTTCCTGGAAGCGCCTGCATCAGAGCCAAGGACAGGCCACCTAGTAGCAGTGTCCCTGGAGCCTGGTGCTTGGCTCAGTACATTAAAATGCAACAACCAGGCCGGGTACAGCAGTTCATGCCTGTAATCCCAGCATTTTGGGAGGCTGAGGTGGGCGGATCACTTGAGGTCAGGAGTTCGAGACCAGCCTGGCCAACATGGCGAAATCCCATCTCTACTAAAAATACAAAAATTAGCTGGGCGTGGTGGCCTGTGCCTATAGTCCCAGCTACTTGGGAGGCTGAGGCAGGAGAATCACTTGAACCTGGGAGGCAGAGGTTGCAGTGAGCCGAGATCGCGCCACTACACTCCAGCCTGGGCGACAGAGCGGGGCTCCATCTCAAAAAATATATACGTATTTCACAGATACAGTCCTTCCTCGTTTTGGTAATTGACAGAGCATAAGCAGTTTTTAATTTTTTCAAATTTACAATTAGGCTCCTGCACGGCAACTCTCTTCCTGTGAACTGAAGGGAAACTTGGAGTCTCCCTCTCCACAGGGTTCTCGTCTTCTGGAAAAGAGAAGATGGGAAAATGCGGATAAGAAGAGGGTTAGAGGGGAGGAAAGAAATAAAAACCGAGCAATTTCTAGAAAACATGATGATTAAAAAAAAACCATCCACGCTTTTGGAATGGACGGATTCTTTAACACCTGTGGATTTCCTTATTCTGTGACTAGCAAGCTCCCAAGCCCACAGGTAGGAAGCTTCAGCCAGTGTGTGTGGAAAAAACGCCGGTTTTGGGATACGACGGACAAGTCAGAAGCCTGCTTGAACCGCCGTCACCCCTTTGCAGCCATCCAACACCACGAACAGCAAAAACATCAGGTTCTGGCAACCTGTGGGGACAAAGTGACCATCAGCACGGGGAGGTCGCTGTCAGAGCCGCGTCACAGCTCTTACGCCTCCCAGAATGGTTTTTGGTGTGAGGATTGCTGCATGGATTGAGAAGGTGGAATTTGATTGGAATAACTGGATCATCTCACGGATGGCTGAATCCTAAAATGCCTACAAAGCGTGAAACTGACTCAGGATTTCACAGAGGATGGTAAGGCTCTGATTTTTCCACTTGGCACTCATCTGGGTGTTATCATTAGCACTTTGGTTTAATGCTGCAGGGTGAGGAGGATGTACCCAGAGGCCCCACTGACGCACCCCGTCCAGTGGCTTCTGACATGCAGAGCTGCAGGACGGGCGTCGCTGAGCTGGCCGGGGCAGGCTGGGAGCTGAGCTTTGCAGACACTGGGTCCTGGTGAACGACGATGCTTCGACATCCACTCTTCTGGGCATTCCCAGCCTGTCCTCTGCTCTGTCCCTGCCCTCCCCTAATTCCAATTGGTGGGATTGGGTGGGGCTCTCTGGGCCCCACACTGGTCTGAGAGCCTGGCGTGCTGCTGCTGGGCCAGCCCAGGAGCGAATGGATGAAGTTCCTCTTTCTGAGCCGGGATCAGGCCCAGAACTCCCAGCTCGCAGCTCGGGCAGCTGCCTGGTGCTGAAACCAGAAGGGACCTCCGGGACTTAGTGGCAGCTTACAGGGAATGGCTAGGAGTGTCTCCCTCTGGGCCAGTGAGTAGGGTCCAGACCAGGAAAAGCGTCAGAAACGGAACACGAGGTTCACCAAGAAGCCAAGGGGGCCGGCTGAGGGCCAGCATCGCACGTTGATGCTGGGAGGTTGCTGCTTTGCAGGAGTAAGGGAAGGAAGAGGCCATCTCAGAGCAGCCGCAACACTGGAGTCCACACAGGGGAGCTCTTGGCAGAGCCATCCACAGCGATGATTACTGTGGACACAGATGGGGAGGCCCTGTGTGTGAGGCAGTGACAGAGCCATTGGTTGGGAACACAGCCAACTCTTTTGGAGTTTTGTTAACTATCCCGAGGTAGAGGCTGAGGGGGACACGCCTACATGTCATGCCACAAACTTAGCGTACTAGAACATGCTAGATTTTCTCTCAAAGCACGCAGGTCTGAGCCTGTCATCATTCTGCCAGTATAACAGACAGGTGAATGAAGAGACGGGGGAACTTGGAAATGAGGGGCTGAAAAGAAGAGAAAGTGGACCCTGGTACTGGCTGTGTAAGAAAAGTAAATAGTGACCCAGAAGAATTTGGGTCACGGTCTGATTCATACAATAAATTCATTTTGTCTCATTTGAAATATTTTAGGAAAAAGGCATGCTTTTATCCAAAATTACGTCAAAAATTGCCTCAAATGTCTCTCATTAAAAAAAAAAAAGTAGTTGGACCAGGCGAGGTGGCTCACGCCTGTCATCCCAGCACTTTGGGAGGTGGAGGAGAGAGGACCACCTGAGGCCAGGAGTTTAGGACTAGCCTGAGCAACATAGTGAGACCTCATCTCTATAAAATAAATACATAAAACAGTTGCACCTTATCTTCTTAGCTCTTAATTGAATTAATGTCCTGAAAGTTCACATAAATGACATTCTTCAATATTCAAAAAGAAGCCAAAACAAAACCCAGTCTCCAGGCATCAGGTTGGATGAGGACTTTAGAAGTCTACGGATGTCCTTCATTTAGGTTTGTTTGTTTGTTTGTTTGTTTTAGACGGAGTCTTGCTCTGTTGCCCAGGCTGGAGTGCAGTGGCGCGATCTCAGGGCTCACTGCAACCTCTGCCTCCCAGAGGTTCCAAGCACTTTTCCTGTCTCAGCCTCCAGAGTAACTGGGATTATAGGCGCATGCCACCACGCCCAGCTAATTTTTTTGTATTTTTAGTAGAGATGGGGTTTCACCATATTGGCCAGGCTGGTCTCAAACTCCTGACCCTGTGATTCACCTGCCTCAGCCTCCCAAAGTGCTGGGATTACAGGGGTGAGCCACCACACCTGGCCAAAATTTAGGTTTTTTTAAAGCTTAAAAAAAATGTTTTGGGGTCTTGCTCTGTTGCCTAGGCTGGAGTGCAGTAGTGAGATCATAGCTCACTGCAGCTTCACCTCCTGCGCTCAAGCGATCCTCCCAACGCAGCCTCCCAAGTAGCTGGGATCATATGTGTACACCACCGTGCCTGGCTAATTTTGAAAAATTTTTCGTAGAAAAAATTTCTACAAGATTTTTTGTAGAAAAATTTGTAGAAACGAGGTCTCACTATGTTGCCCAGGTCTCAAACTTCTGGGCTCAAGTGATCTTCCCGTCTCAACCCCACAAAGTGCTGGGATTACAGGAATGAGCAACTGCACCCAGGCAAAGTCATATTTTTTTTCACCTGAGAGCTCCAATTGCCACGAAAATCTCAAATTATATTCTATGATAATTCAAGTTAAATGGGCAAGTAATATTTCTTTTCTTTCCTTCTAAGTGCCTGAAATACTAGAAATACACAATAATGGCTTTTAAAAAACTACCTAACACAATAAAAAATTGTGATAGAATTTATTGTGTAATCAACAAGTTAGGGAAAACTGATTTTGCATTAAAGGAACATCTTCTGTTTCTGTTAAACAGCAGGAAGGACAAGACACCAGCGCAATGAGCTTTTTTTTTTTTTTTGGGGGGGGATGGAGTCTCCCTCTGTCTCCCAGGCTGGAGTGCAGTGGCATGATCTTGGCTCACTGAAACCTCTGTCTCCCAGGTTCAAGCGATTCTCCTGCCTCAGCCTCCCAAGTAGCTGGGATTACAGGTGCATGCCACCACACCTGGCTAATTTTTTTTTTTTTTTCTAGTAGAAGCTGGATTTCACCATGTTGGCCAGGCTGGACTCGAACTGCTGACCTCAAGTGATCCGCCCGCCTTGGCCTCCCAAAGTGCTGAGACTACAGGCGTGAGCCACCGTGCCCGGCCAGCAATCTGTCTTTTCTATGGAGGCACAAATGTGCAGCAAACCTTGCCTCTCCCCTATGACCATTTGGATAATTTGGTTACTCTGTAGACACCGAGTTGAGGATTTTCAGAGATCAGGCTTATTTGAGCAATTAAACATTTCTCCATTCTAAGCATACACTAGATAATAAATATTCCACACATAATTTAAGCAATGAATCTTATGAAAAGAGCGACGGAGGGAGAAGGGGGAAAATACATTTTTCCTCGTGGTCACTTTCTGAACTACTGTCTAAGCCTGACATTAAACTCACACCCTCCCCCTCCATCTGGGTTCTTCGTTCTTTCCTTGAAAAGGAGGAGGAAGGAAAAGAAACCGTTTGGCTGTAATACCGCGCTCTGTTTCTGGCTGTTACCAGCAAAAACACTGTGGCCAATGATGCCCAGTTAGAACCTGGGCTTTCTAACCTGATAAACAGAAAAGCCTTCTGCCAACACTTCAATGGGGCATCCTGAGGCCAGAGGAGGCTCCAGGGGTTTTCAGCTCGTTGGCAGAAAAGCATAGCATAACAGCAGACTATCTTCCAGGTAGAGGCATATTTGCGTATGTGAAAACAGAATTTACTGGCGGAAAAGTCATTCTCTTGAAGTCAAAGCAGTGCCTGGTGATCTTGTTGCTGAAGGTTTATCTACAGTCCTAGAGTCAGGGAGGGGGAGGGTGATGGCGGAATGGGGGTGGAGGCCACAGGCGGAGTGCAGAACCGTGGCATCCTGGGGCTTGAGGAAGGCAGGTGTGTCCTTGGAGAAGAATAAATGTCCTAGAGACGCAGAACCAAAGCTGGAGCTGGGCTGAGCTGAGACCCGAGGGTTCCCACAGGCCAGTTCTGGAGGAGATAGAGAAGGCTAGAAAGCCGTGGAGAATACGGGATGGGGGTCCTGGGAGGGCAGGGCTAGGGGGCGGTTCAGGTGCGTCTTGGCACAAGCATGTCTGTGCCCCCGGGCGTCCTGAGCAGAGCGGGGTGTCAGGGCGGGGCGCGGGCATTTCGCTCCTCTCTCCCTGAACCCTTTCACATCCTTCCCGATCCTGTTTTGCGTTATCCCAGGATCACACGCACAAATCCAAACAAACTTTTCTGGTCCCGTTCATCTCCCTCTCATCCTAGAGGGCACGGATTTTGTTTGATGAGAAAATAAAGAAGGTCAGAGGGAGACAGGACACAGAAACAGCAGCTCTCGGGAGGGCAGCTGGAGGCCGGGCTAGGGCTGCCTCCACTGTGCCAGGGCTGGGGGGGATTGGCAGAGACGTCTGGGTCCCCAACCATCGGCTCTTCCCTCAAAGAGCAGCGGGGGCTCTGCGGGAGGATACACTACCCTGAAAGACTCTCACCAGCCAACCCAAGCCAGTGTTTGTTCTGCCTGGCTCTGGGACCCTCCCGCCAGGACCCCAAACACTGCCGAGGGAGGAATTTTAAAAATAAAATGGATGGGCCGGGCACGGTAGCTCACGCCTGTAACCCCAGCACTCTGGTAGCCTGAGGCGGGCAGATCACCTGAGATCAGGAGTTCAAGACCAGCCCAGCCATGGTGAAACTCCATCTCTACTAAAAATACAAAAAATTAGCCGGGTGTGGTGGTGTGCACCTGTAATCCCAACTACTGGGGAGGCTGAGGCAGAAGAATCACTTGAACCTGGGAGGTGGAGGTTGCAGTGAGCCGAGATCGCGCCATTGCACTTCCAGCCTGGGCAACAAGAGTGAAACTCCGTCTCAAAAAAAAAAAAAAAAAAAAAGAAAAACAAAAAAAGATGATCTTATGGGCAGCAGCTGCCATGAGCTCCTTCATCAAGGAACCAACACAGAAGTGGTGCAGTTGTTTTCTCTGAATCTTTCTCGTCGGTTACTTTTTTTTTTTTTTTTTTGAGAGAATCTTGCTCTGTCGCCCAGGCTGGAGTGCAGTGGTGCAATCCTGGCTCACTGCAACCTCTGCCTCCTGGGTTCAAGCGATTCTCGTGCCTTAGCCTCCAAGTAGCTGAGACCACAGGCACCCACCACTACGCCTGGCTGATTTGATTTTTGTATTTTTAGTAGAGACAGGGTTTCACCATGTTGGCCAGGCTAGTCTTGACTCCTGACCTCAGGTGATCCTCCCGCCTCGGCCTCCCAAAGTGCTGGGACCACAGGCGGGAGCCACCATGCCCTGCCTCGGTTGCTTTTTATTCAGAGGTTGAACTCTCCATAAAGCCATGGACAAAAAAATCATCTTGCATGCGTTAGGGTTGACGTTAACAGCCCTATTTAAAAATGTTGGCCAGGCACGGTGGCTCACATCTGTAATCCCAGCACTTTGGGAGGCTGAGGTGGATGGATCACTTGAGCCCAGGAATTTGAGACCAGCCTGAGCAACATGGTGAAACCCCATCTCCACAAAAAATACAAAAACCAGCAGGGCGTAGTGGCACGCACTTGTAGTCCTTGCTACTTAGGAGGCAGAGACAGGAGGATGGCTTGAGGCCAGGGAGGTTGAGGTTGCAGTGAGCTGTGATTGAGCCACTGCATTCCAGCTTGGATGACAGAGTGAGACTCTTATCTCAAAAAAAAAAAAAAAAAAAATGTCCGTACTTGATTCCTCATATCTGGAAAGTCCCTTCAGTTTATAAGTGGAATTCACAGTGGTAAAGCCACTGGGACAAGCACAGCTTCTAATCACAGCTGTTTCTCAAATGCTCTCATGTATTGCAGAAAATTTAACAACCTAGGTAAATTAAAAAACCTAAGTAAAGGGAGTTTAGGGCATTATATGGCACACAGTAGTCGCTTGACAAATACTGGCTGGATGTTACTTATCTGTTGGAAATAATTCAACTAACATATTTGTGTACTGAAACGTTTTTTAAGCAGCTCTTCAAATATATTTAGATAACTCACACATTAAATTCTAAAATATAATTTTGATTAAAAATGCATGTATCAACGCTGGGCACAGTGGCTCATGGCTGTAATCCTAGCACTCTGTGAGGCCAAGGCAGGTGGATCACCTGAAGTCAGGAGTTCGAGACCAGCCTGGCCAACATGGTGAAACCCTATCTCTATTAAAAATCCAAAATTTAGCTAGGCGTGGTGGCGCATGCCTGTAATCCCAGCTACTCAGGAGGCTGAGGCAGGAGAATTGTTTGAACCCAGGAGGTGGAGGTTGTGGTGAGCTGAGATCGTGCCACTGCACTCTAGCCTGGGCAACAGAGTGAGACTCTGTCTCAAAAAAAATAAATAAATAAAATAAAAACGCATGTAACAATGAGTAGCATTAACATGCCAAATCAGGTTTCCAGCGGAGAGTCCAGAAACGCTAGGAAACCTCATCTGCAGAGAGTTGGAATGAAAAGTCATCTCTCCTCTGGTTACCGTGGATCAGGGGCACTCTATTTGCATTCGTGGACTCCTGAAATTATATATAAAATCAAAAGATTTGGCCGGGCACGGTGGCTCACTTCTGTAATCCCAGCACTTAGGGAGGCTGAGGCAAGTGGATCACCTGAGGTCTGGAGTTTGAGACCAGCCTGGCCAACGTGGTGAAACTCTGTCTCTACTAAAAATACAAAAGTTAGCCAGGCATGGTGGCACGAGCACCTGTAATCCCAGCTACTCAGGTAACTGAGGCAGAAGAATCACTTGAACCTGGGAGGCGGAGGTTGCAGTGAGCTGAGATCGCACCACTGCACTCCAGCCTGGGCGAGAGAGCCAGACTCTGTCTCAAAAAAACCAAGCAACGAAACAACAACAACAAAAAATCAAAAGTTGTTTTTATGTGCATTTTTTCTGGACAAAGTAACCATAACCTTCATCAAACTATCAAAGCCTTTGCGAGCCAAACCTGTCCCCACCCCGGAAAAAAAACAATGAAGAATCCCCGCTGTTGACTGAGACTCTAACAGGCACGCGGATTACTTAACTCACATCTCCTTCAGACTTTCAGGGCCAGCAGGGATACGAGAATTCCCTAAGCTTAAATTACTCTAATATTCATTAACAACTCTTTAGAGTCATGATATTTAAAAAAACAATTTTTAAAAAGGAACTGTATAAAAATAGACACTTGGGAAGATTTTAAATGTACATGTCCATTGCGTGCAAGTGTGTACTTTTTCTTAATCGCTTCCTCTTGGCTTTCTCCGGTTAGTTTCACTTTCCCAGTACGCGGGATCTATTCCAGGTGGCCACAGCCATAGATTCCCACAGTGGGGGAAAAGCAACCATGTGAACAAGATTTCAGATGAAAGAGAAACCACAAATGATCAGTTCTGGGGCTGATTGCAAAAATTAGAGGCTGCCTTTCTTGGCTGTTTGAGAAATCCTCTAAGTCACTGGGTGCCCTTTCTAGTAGAAAGACCCACGTTCTGGCTGGGCGCGGTGGCTCATGCCTGTAATCCCAGCACTTTGGGAGGCTGAGGAGGACGGATCACTTGAACCCAGGAGTTCGAGAACAGCCTGGCCAACATGGCAAGACCCCGTCTCTGCAAAAAAATACAAAAATTAGCTGGGCATGGTGTTGCGCACCTGTAGTCCCAGCTACTCAGGAGGCTGAGGTGGGAGGATCACCTGAGTCAGGGCAGGTCAAGGCTGCAGTGAGCCCTGATGGTCACTGCACTCCAGCCTGGGTGACAAAATGAGACCCTGTCTCCAAAAAAAAAAAAACCGAACAAAACCTCCATTCTTACAAGACCCTCAAGGCAGCAAGGACGGGTTATTCCCTAAGCTGGAAAGGTGACCAGGGAGGCCTGCAGTGGCGACTCGGGAGGAGAGTGACCTCATCAAACAGCAACCTCATTGGCCCCGGGCTCCAGCAGAGAATCAGCTGGAGGCTGCACCCCCGCAAGTCCATGAGCAACCACCAGAAGCCATGAATTCAGCTCCCTTTGTGGAGTCTACAAAAGAATCTTTGTGCCCTGAAGTTGGTCATAAATACTTAACTTACCAGGCCGGGCACAGTGGCTCATGCCTGTAATCCCAGCACTTCGGGAGGCTGAGGCGCACGGATCACTTGAGGCCAGGAGTTCGAGACCAGTCTGGCCAACATGGTGAAACCCTGTCTCTACTAAAAATATGAAAATTACCCGGGTGTGGTGGTATATGCCTGTAATCCCAGCTGCTAGGGAGGCTGAGGCACGAGAATTGATTGAACCCAGGAGGCAGAGGTTGCAGTGAGCTGAGATCGCACCACGGCACTCCAGCCTGGGTGACAGAGTGAGACTCTGTCTAAATAAATAAAAATTAAAAAAAAAATAACTCATCAGGAAAACCCCTACAGGGGAAGGGGCTCTAACCCCTGGAAGATCCATAGTTTGGCCTCAGATGCGGGAGTGTGGTGAACTCCCAAGAAGTGTAGAAAATGGCATGTGTGTTTTTCTGGGAAGAGGCTCTATGACTTTAAACAGATTCTGAAGGGGCTTTGTGACTTCCTCAAAACACCTGGGACCCCAGTGATCTGTGTACCTGCAATCACTCTTTCCTTTTCAGAAAACCTACTTTTTCCCCCTCAATTCCTTCTCTAAGGATGTTGCAGAAAACTATTTAGGAGGCCTGACAGGGAAAATCTCACAAGCAAAACTTGTCCTGCAACCTTACTTTTATTGTTTAAAAAATTCTGTGTAAAAATAAATACTTTTCAACTCAAGTTAACTGGAGCAAATAGATCCAATTAAAAAAATAACATAAACACAAACAGGGTTTTCTACTTGCCCTGTTTCTGAAGTCATGACGTGAAAGAAAGGCAAACCCACCCAGGTGAGCCACAGATCGCAGAAAACACGAGCTGTCCAAGGAAGACCGCCCTCCTCTCTGAAGCAGTGCTCATCTTTTCAATAAGAAAACACCAGGCATCATATATTTAAATTTTAGAATATTTTAATGTCCATTTCTTCAGTGAATGCATTTTGAAATTATTAGAATTAACAATTTAAAAAGAGCAGATAAAAGGATATATGGAAAATGCAAACAGTCGGTTCTTGCTAATTCAATTTCAGATTCTAGGCATGATGTGATTTTCCAAACAACCAATTAAAAAAAACTCCTTACCTCGAAAATCTAGAAATTCAAATGCAGACGTGTCTTTGGAAACTACAAATGATTACAGCCCATGTGACAGGAAGCACGCGGCCTTCGGCTCTCCGGATCGTGTGCAAATGTGCAGGGGGAGCCCCCGCGGGTGACGTCAGTGTGGATGAAGTCACGGGTGTGGCAGAGCCTGTGGGGCTCTCAAGCTATTCGAGGGTTTTGTAACTGATGCTCTACATTTGTTTGCATTGGATAAAATTGTGTGTGCTTGTTTACCATATATATATATATATATATATATATATATATATATATATATATATGGATATATAATTCGATCTGAGCTGGGACTGAGAAGAAAATAGCAATTGCAACTCAAAGCAACTATTTACACACATTCAATGCTGAAGTATTGCTTCCTGCCCTAAGTTCCTAAGAGGTATTGCCACCCTGAAGCACGACCCATGCCGTCAGCAGCCCTCGTGCCAGCTGCTTAGAAACTCGTGTCTCCAGCACGATGTGCTCGCTGCCAACAGACAAGAGATGCACGGCGTTTCCGCTGCAGAGATTCTGTGGTTCTGCACTGAGGTATGCATCGGAGCAGGGGACGGGGAGGACCCGAGGGGCTTCGTGGCCCAGAGAGAACGTCTGCACTGGCTGTTTAGGAAGGCTCAGGGTGTTTGAAAGACAACGTTAAGCTCTGGGTGAGTCTGCACGGGGCTGAACCAGACTCCACTTTGCAGCTCCTTGGTTTCCCGGGGTGAGGAATCACAAACACCTTTGTGGTTGGGGAAGGAAATGGGCTTGATGGGGAAGAAGTGTGTGCGGAGAACTTTGCGGAGCATGTTCTGAGCGAGACAGCAAGGTCGTGAGCAAACGCCCAGCCCCTCAAAGCTACACAGCCTGGAGGGGAAAGGGGAGGGGAGGACATTCAAATATACACCTTAATACTGATGCAGAAAGAGCTTCATGTGACCACAATCCCCACGAACAAGGAAAGCATCAGGTAGTGTTTTTTAAGGAAAAAAAAAAATCTGCGGTGTTTTATAATACATTCTTTAGAAGCAAGAGGTATTGTCACAACCACCCTTTCTTCGGTATTGGAAGACCAGCAAACTGACAGTCACACCTGACAGGAAACCTTACAGCTAATGGGGGGAGGTGCCCTGGACTCTCAGGACGCCGGGACCCTGGCTCTGGCTGTCCTGATGGGTGGCCATCCCAGGCACCGCCCCTGGAGAGGTGGCGGGTCAGAATTGTGACTTCTTCATGCCGGGGAGGGCAATCTGTATGTCTCTGGGGAGGAGTAGTGATGATGGGGACTGATGCGGTGTGAAAACGAGACAGTGAGATTTGACAGCGGAAAGCAAAATGCACAGGGACAACGGGCAAGACTGACAAGGAGTGCACCCTGGGCCTCATCAGCGTCCCGGGGTCCCCTGAAAGACTGGCTACAACTCCGACCGGACAACTCGGGCGAGCTCACTTCCACACAAACTTCAGACTCAATATGGCAAAACATAATCAGACAGGACCAGCAGCCAACTGCCCGGACGGAGCTCCCCCACACCACCCTCGGGATTCCGCCCCTAACAAACCCCGCGTTTGCATCCAGATGCCTCTGTCCCTAGATACGGTGTGAGAACTCCATTTCAGAGCTGGAATTTGCTCCCCAGATTAAATCCTGCCACTGATAGGCCCTGTGCCATCTGAGAGCGGGAGGCAGCCAAGAAACTTCTGGAATTTGTGGAAGCCAAGATGGCACCGGTGCTGCCGGCACAGACCCCCGTGGTTCTGAGCTGGACCCCGGCAGGGAGGAGCCCCCGTGGGTGGCAGGGGCAGCTGGTGGGCTTCTCCTATTCCCCTAGCCTCAGAATTGCACTGGCCATGCTTTGAGGTCCCACTCAGACCCCTCTTGGGGTGGGGAGGTTGGGGGCGGCCCCAGGTGGCCAAAACACAAAAGAGACATCTGGTTACCTTCCTGGGAACTGCCCTCCCCTGTGGCTATGACCCCCCACCCTGAGGACCCAGCACCCCTCCCGGGAGCGCACATGCTTCCGGGTAAATAAATAAATAAATAAATGCAACCTCGGATGTTTATTTGGTATTTCCCTCTCCGATGAGTCAGCTTCCAGGACCAACACCTCCACTCCCGATGGGGAGACCCCTGGGTGGAGGGTCGGGGGTGAGAGGCGGCTCTGAGACCCCCGAGGCCTGGGCACACGGGCGTCGTGCCCGGCTGGCATTTGCTGTCTTGGCCTGCATGCATGTGGGCGAGCCCCTAAACCCGCTCAGTGCAGGGAGCGCGGCTCACCCACAGCCCACGGGGCGCGGTGCTCGGGAAAGTGCGGGTGGGCAATGGGGGGTGGCGGAGCTGTCGTGACATGCCCCCTTCGCACCCCCTCTTGGCGGATTACTGGCACTTTATATCAGATTCATGAATGCAAGTGTGTGTGCGCATGTGTGCTTACATAGAGAGGTCGGGTCGTAGAGGAACACTGTGACATAGACAGAAACAAAATAAACTCAAAAACAGGGTATTAGCCAGAGAACCGAAAATAGTGTCTCGTGGGACGTGGGAAAAAGCAATAAAAATGAGATCTTAACCACAGCTTTTGTTCTAAAAGTCAAATAATACCCAAAGCCATGATCTCCACTGGCGGCCTCTGTCCCGAGACTCGAGGCCGAGGCCAGCCCTGAAGGCACTTGTTCTCCACCACGTGCTGAACGGATGACCCAGAGGCAGCGGGGTTTCCAGGGAAGGGAGCGAAAGGGAAGAATGGATGAAAATGAACCCTGAATAACTGTGATCCACACAGAAGTTAGGGCTGAAATGACCACATAACACCACGTCCGGGGAGGGCAACTGTGGCGCTTGGAAAGCACAACAGCCAAATACAAATATTACTGTGTTTCGACAAACAGAGCACCTCGGGCAGCGGGTGGGCGCCGCCTCACACACTCTTTGAAACGTTGAGCTTGGTGAGTTCGTTGGCTTCTTCTATTCCTGTTTCGTCACAGTCGTCTTTCTCTATGGCTTTGCCAAATCGACCCCTTTCTTCGGCTTTGACGGGCTCCTTCCACGGTCTCTTGGGGGACAGGTGGGCATCCTTGGCCTGCGTGCTGCTGTCAGAACCCAGAGATGTCTTGTCCACATACTGGACAGAAGGCACCAGGTTGGCAATCTCGTCTGTGGGAGACCGTCCGATGCTGCCATCCACCTGGACGCGGATGTCTGGGGAGATGGACAGCTGGTGCTGTGGGATGACCCTGTGATCCGTGCACTTTGGGTACAGGTAGGTCTTCATCTGGCCTTTCCCCTTGACATTCACGGTCCCTCTGTAGTCGAAGTCATAGCCCATCTTGCTCAAGACGCGGTAGCTCTCTTCGCTCACCTGGATGCGGCACTCCACGCCGGTGGTGTCCATCCTGCTGGCGATGTTGACGGTGTCTCCCCAGATGTCGTACAGCAGCTTGGTGGTGCCGATGACCCCGGCCGTGAGGGGCCCATGGTTGAAGCCGACGCGGAGCTTGAAGTTGAACCACAGCATGTTGTTGTTGAAGTCGTCCACCACGCGCATCATCTCCTTGGCGAACTCGAACAGGATCTGCAGGTGCTCCTGCGGGTGGCTGCCGTCCTGGGCCTGCGCGGTGTTCAGCCCTGACGCCGCCATGTACGTGGCTCCGATGGTCTTGATCTTCTCGATGCTGCTGTAGTCCGGCTTGCTTAGGAGCTCGTCAAAGTCCCCGATGAGCTCGTTGAGGACCCGGTAGCACTCCTTGCCGCCCTCGTAGTTCTCCTCGTAGAACTCGCTGAAGTTGACGATGCTGGCGAAGATCACCCCTCCGCTGTCATGGTTCTTGGAGTAGGTCTGGGACACCTTCAGCTGCTCAGCCACGTGGTAGGGGATGATGTTCCTCAGCAGCCAGTCTGCCTGGTCCCGCATGCTCTGGATCTTGGTGCGGTGAAGATCCGCTTCCACGTCTCCGTGGTAGTGGAGGCGGTAGCTGACTTCAAATTCGCGATTCAGGAACCAGACCAACAAGAGCAGGAGAAAGAAGACGAGAACCACCTCCTGGCCGATGAGGCTGGCGGGCCGCCGGAGGTCACGCGGCACCGAACTATTGCACGGGTTCCTCTCGGAACTGGAGAGCAAAGACACGGGAAAGGGAGAGGTTACTGCTCGGCGCTTCCAAGCTCAGAACAGCCCCGCTAGCTACGCAAAGCTTTGTTGAGTCCAGGCCTTCAACAACCTGAAGCTGTCAAGCTGCCCATTCCTGGTTTGGGCTGGCTGAAGGTATGGAGGGATAAAGACTAACTTTTGAAACTGATTGATTTCATTTTGTTAAATAGAGGTGGGGTCTCACTGTGTTGCCCAGGCTGGTCTTGCACTCCTGGGCTCAAGCAATTTTCCTGCCTTGGCCTCCCAAAGTGCTGGAATTACAGGCGTGAGCTGCTGTGCCCAGCCCTGTAACTAACATCTTTAGTAAGTGCTTGGTAATCGTTTTTCTTTTCTTTTTCTTTTTCTTTTTTTTTAGAAGTCTTTAGCTTCTTTCAAAAATCTTTTCTTTTCTCTCTCTCCTTTGTTTTTTTAGAGACATGGTTGTTGTCCAGGCTGGAGTGCAATGGCACAATCATGGCTCACTGCAGCCTTAAACTCCTGGGCTCAAACGATCCTCCTGCCCAGCCTCCTAAGTAGCTGGGATTACACGCATGTACCACCACACCTAGCTAATTAAAAAATTTTTTTTTTGAAGAGACAGGGTCTTGCTGGTTGCCAAGGCTGGTCTTAAACTCGTAACTTCAAGCCATCCTCCCACCTTGGCCTTCCAAAGTGCTGGGATTACAGGCTTGAACTGTGCTTGGCCTAACATCTTTTTTTTTTTTTTTTTTTAAGATTGAGTCTTGCTCTGTTGCCCAGGCTAGAGTGCAGTGGTGCGATCTTGGCTCACTGCACCCTCTGCTTCCTGAGTTCAAGTGATCCTCCTGCCTCAGCCTCCTGAATAGCTGGGACTATAGGTGTGTGCCACCATGCCTGGCTAATTTTTGTATTTTTAGTAGAGACAGGGTTTCATCATGTTGGCCAGGCTGGTCTCAAACTCCTGATCTCAAAGTGATCAGCTTGCCTTAAAGTGCTGGGATTACAGGTGTGAGCCACTGCACCCGGCTTTTTGCTGAATGAACTTTTTGAAAGTAAGTTGCTGACATGGCACTTCAGCTCTAAATATTTCAGCATGTATCTCCTAAGAATAAGGATATTTCCCTATGTAACTACAATATCATCATCATACCCAAGAAATTTAACATTCTCTGATATATTTGGTTCTTAGATTTCTTTTTTTTTGAGACGGAGTTTTGCTCTTGTTGCTGGTGAGATCTTGGCTCACTACAACCTCCGCCTCCCGGGTTCAAGTGATTCTCCTGCCTCAGCCTCCCCAGTAGCTGGGTTCACAGACATGTGCCACCACACCCAGCTAATTTTGTATTTTTAGTAGAGACGGGGTTTCTCCATGTTGGTCAGGCTTGTCTCAAACTCCCGACCTCAGGTGATCCGCCCACCTCAGCCTCCCAAAGTGCTGGGATTACAGGTGTGAGCCACCGCGCCTGGCCTTGGTTCTTAGATTTCTAATCCAATAAACTTATCATTTTACAAATAGCTTTTATGAGTTCTATACTCTCTACCTGTATAAAAAAGTTTGACAAGACGCCATCTCCCCTGATTCTGGGTTAGTTCTTTTTGCCGAAATCACTCAGGACAATGCTAACATCTGAACCAGTGCCATTATTTTCTCATGGCTGTGCAGTGTTCCAGCACTCGGAAATTCTGTAATTTAGCCAGATTCCCCCTGATGGAACTGGGCCCGAGTCTGTCTTTTCTTACCACAAACAGTGTCACAGGGAATATTCCCCTACCCCTATCTTTGTGCGTATGGAAGTGCTGAGTCATTTTAAATATTGCACATTTAGAATTTCCTTAGAAATTTCCAAATTGCCCTTCTAAACAAGGCTGAACCAGTTTCTGCTTTTTTTTTTCTTTTTTTTGAGAAGGAGTCTCGCTTTGTTGCCCAGGTTAAAGTGCAGTGGCGTGATCTCGCCTCACCACAAACTCCGCCTCCTGGGTTCAAGCAATTCTCCTGCTTCAGCCTTCTGTGTAGCTCGGACTACAGGTGCACGCCACCATGCCCAGATTATTTTTGTACTTTTACTAGAGACAGGTTGGTCTCAAACTCGTGACCTCGTGATCCACCCGCCTCGGCCTCCCAAAGTGCTGGGATCACAGGCGTGAGCCACCGCGCCCAGTCTCTGCTCCCTTTGATAACTGAGCCTGCTTTCAGCGGGGCTGTCTCCACTTCAGTGGCACTGATGGAGACAGCCATGGTCAGGGGGCTGCAGATGAGTGGTGAGTAGCACAATTTCTTTTTTTCTTTTTCTTTTTTCTTTTTTGAGACAGAGTCTCACTCTCTAGCCCGGGCTGGCATGCAGTGGTGTGATCTCAGCTCACTGCAACCTCCACCTCCTGGGCTCAACGATTCTTGCGGCCCAGCCTCCTGAGTAGTGTGCGCCACCAGGCCCAGCTAATTTTTGTATTTTTTTTTTGGTAGAAACGGGGTTTCACCATGTTGGCTGGGCTGGTCTCAAACTCCTGACCTAAAGTGATCTGCCCGCCTCGACCTCCCAAAGTGCTGGGATTACAGGTGTGAGCCACCACACCTGGCTGAGTAGCACAATTTCTTAAAGTTTGTTTGAAATATATATATATATATATATATATATATATATATATATATGTATTTTTTTTTTTTTTTAAGAAGAGACAGGGTCTGTCTCTGTCATCCAAGCTGGACTGCAGTGGTGCGATCCTAGCTCACTGCAGCTTTGACCTCCCAGGCTAAAGCGATCCTCCCGCCTCAGCCTCCAGATTAGCTGGGACTACAGGCACACACCACCACACCTGGCTAATTTTTTGAACTTTTTGTAGAGATGAGGTCTTACTATGTTGCCCAGGCTGGTCTCAAACTCCTGGGTTCAAACTGTTCTGCTTCTGCCTCCCCAGTGTGCTGGAATACATTTTTTCCCATTTAAAAATACTACATACTCATCATAGAAAATGTAGAAAAAAATAGACAAAAAAGATTTGTCCATCGTCCTGCCATCCAGAGGCAATCACTATTAACATTTGTTGAACTGCATTCTAGTCTTTTTCTTTTTTACAACACCGTGACTGTTCTGTTCATGTAAATGCTGTACCCTGATGCATTCCTCCCGCGCACAGAGTAGGCCAGTTGATTTGATGCAATAATGGGCTTGGTCACTATATACTTATATATGCGACTGGCGGATCCACAGTTTAGACAGCTCCATCACACTGGAAAGCTCAATTCTTTTTCTTTTAGAGACAGGGTCTCGCCATCTTGCCCAGGCTGGTCTTGAACTCCTGAGCTCAACCAATCTGCCTGCCTTAGCCTCCCCAAGTGCTGGGATTACAGGGATGAGCCACCACGCCTGGCCAAAACTCAATTCTTCTTTTTTCTTTCTTGCTCTGTTGCCCTGGCTGGAGTGCAATGGCGCGACCTTGGCTCACTGCAACCTCCGCTTCCAGGTTCAAGTGATTCTCTTGCCTCAGCCTCCCGAGTAGCTGGGACTACAGGTGTGCGCCACCATACTTGGCTAATTTTTGTATTTTTTAGTAGAGACAGGGTTTCACCATGTTGACCAGGTTGGTCTGGAACTCCTGACCTCAGGTGATCCACCCGCCTTGGCCTCCCAAAGTGCTGGGATTACAGGCACGAGCCACCATGCCCGGCCAAAAGCTCAGTCCTTTAATCAAAGTGTCTAATAAGTTTCACTAACTGTTCTTGGGATATTAAAAAACAATGAGCTTGACCTGTGTGGCCATCACGGCCCTCTGCGAAGCACAACCGCCAAAAGCCCTGGCCGTGGGTGGAACAGAACCCCTGGGCCCCATCCTGGCTGGACCGCGGGGGAGTTTCAGAATCTTGGGTAAGCCATGCCATCTTTCTGGGTCTCAGTTTCCTCGCTTGTAAGCTGTGAAGATGGACTGGAGCATGGCTACGTCCCTTCCAGCCTAAGGTTCCGTGCAGGAAAGGCCTGAGGCTGCCATCCTTGGAAAGACCTGCCTGCAAAGGTGGTGGCTGGCACCAGGGAGCTGGGATTTGGGGAGGGTTCCTGCCATTCCTTGATAAGAGCGGCTCACACTGCCTACACTGTCTAAATAAGGAGGTTTACGCTGAATACCCGCTTTCCTGCTGGAAGTCTGGAATTTAGGCACGTGCTGGGCAGAGGCGGGAGACCTGAACAGCCCCTAATACAAGCCTGGACACCGAGACTTTAATGAGCTTCCCTGGTAGGCAGCATGTTACAAGTGTTGTCACCACTCACTGCTGGAGGAATTAAGCCCATCCCGTGTGACTCTACCGGGAGAGGACTCTTGGAAGCTGGTGCCGGCTTCCTCCAAACGTCAACTCACACACCCTTCCCTTTGCTGATTCTGCCTTATGTCTTTTCGCTGTAATCACAGCGGTGAGAGAGCAGATTGCGGAGTCCTGAGTCCACCTGGGGCTGGTCTTGGGAGCCCTGATACGGGCTTTGTGACTCAACGCCTATGACCAGGAACCAAGAGTCCTCAGTGGGAAGACACCCTGTGCTTCACTGACTCATTTCGTGAACTGCTATTGAAACAGATGACATTACATATCCTACATCTCAAGTACTAAGCAAAATAACCATTTGTTACGATGATGACTCAAACATATTTCTGTCCAGCTCCATGAGCCCTCTGGTTGATTGTAAATAGAGCAGGAAGAGAATATGGACTGGGGGAAGGTTTTGTGAGCCCCGCTCGTTGGGTTAGGAGTTGACCTTTCTTTTGGTTTCTCAAAGTGGTGACACCAAGAACAGTCCCCTTTAGGAGCAGGTGTCACCAAGGTCTAACATCCCCATTATGTGCAGGGGGTGTTTCCAGTCTCTGTGGTGGAAATGGGAGACTGTATCTGGGCTTCTCAATCAGTTATCGCTTGTACAGCTCACTCTAATCTGCGGGAGCCGGAGCCAGCAGCACAGCTGACTCGAGACGGGCGCAGGCCAGGCCCCTCCAGGCAGAGGAGGGACAGCAGCACATGGGCTAGTGCCAGAGGGAGAGGAAGGCAGAGCACAGCGTTTGCTTTCCACCTTTGCTTCCAAGGAAGAAAAGCCATCACACACAGCATGTGCACTCAGAAACCAAGGGGGCTGCCTCGCAACAGAAGGCATCTGTAAGAAACAGGTACGAGGACAGCTTCCCAGCTAGAATGTGTGTTTCCTATTTTAATACCAAAGGAACAAAGGAGCCGATCCTATTCCTAAATTCAAATAGCAAAGATCCACTTCAAAAAGAAGAATTTCTTTTTCTTTTCTTTTTTTTTTTTTGAGATGGAGTCTTGCTCTGTCCCCCAGGCTGGAGTGCAGTGGTGCGATCTAGGCTCACTGCAACCTCTGCCTCCCGGGTTCTAGCAATTCTCCTGCCTCAGCCTCCCGAGTAGCTGGGATTACAGGTGCCCGCCACCACGTCCAGCTAATTTTTGTATTTTTAGTAGAGATGGGGTTTCACAAACATGTTGGTCAGGCTGGTCTCGAACTCCTGACCTCAGGTGATCCACCTGCCTCAGCCTCCCAAAGTGTTGGGATTACAGGCGTGAGCCACCACACCTGGCTCAAAAAGAGGCATTTCATGTGACTAAATGCAGGAGTTAATTTATAAGTCATAAATGGAAGTTAGAGTAAAATACAGTGTAATCCGTTATCATGGAGAAGAGGGATTGAAAAACTGAAAAAAATAGAAAGCAAACATCACTTGCAGTCCTAACCAGCCAAACGTGGCTTCGGTTGACACTTTGGTATATTTCAGTGCCATTTAAAATCTGCCCCTAGGGAGGTGGTCAGGTCGGGGGAGAGGGGGTCAGCAGCGGTGGGGTTGGAGGGCTTCTGGGGTAGTGGTAATGCTCTACTTCTTGGTCTGGGTGGTAGTTAAATGGGTGTGTTCTCTGGTGAAAATGCACTGAGCTGTCCTTTTATGATCAGGTACTCTTCTGTGCATACTGACATACACATCAATAAAAGGTTAAAAAAAGATGCTAGGTGCTTTACTTTTAAGTACTAAAGCTGTAATCATCACTCATTCATTATATCCTAAGTATAAATCTTGTACATATTTTTACTATATATAAATACCTAGTTGTACCTATAGTACATATATAGTTTCACCTAGTAAATGAAAATCTTAAATGTTTTCCATATTTACTGCATTTTAACAGTTGTATTATTTGAGTAAATGTATAATCAGTTAATTTATTTATTATTGACAACTACAGTTGCTAATGAATCTTTTTTTTATTTTATTTTATTTTTTGAGACAGAGTCTCACTCTGTCGCCCAGGCTGGAGTGCAGTGGCCGATCTTGGCTCACTGCAACCTCCGCTTCCCAGGTTCAAGCAATTCTCCTGCCTCAGCCTCCCAAGTGGCTAGGATTACAGGTGCCCACCACCACCCCAGCTAATTTTTGTATTTTTAGTAGAGACGGGGTTTTGCCATGTTGGCCAGGCTGGTCTTGAACTCCTGATCTCAGGTGATCCACCTGCCTTGGCCTCCCAAAGTGCTGGAATTACAGGCATGAGCCAACGTGCCTGGCCTTTTTTTTCTGAGACAGAGTCTTGCTGTGACAACCAGGCTGGGGTGCAAGGACACCATCACAGCTCAATGCAGCCTCAAATTCCCGGCCTCAAGCCCACCTTAGCTTCCCGAGTAGCTGGGACTACAGGTGCATACCACCATACCTGGCTAATTTTTACAATTTTTTGCCAAAACAGGATTTCGCTATGTTGCCCAGGCTGGTCTAGAACTCCAGGCCTCAAGTAATCTTCCTGCCTTGGCCTCCCAAAGTGCTGGGATTACAGGCGGGAGTCACCGAGCCCGGTCCTTTTCTGTGTGCTTTGATTTTCTCTCCCTTCCTCTCAAATCTGTCCATCTTTTCGTTGTGGTTCTATTTATTATTTGTAAGCCTGGAAAGTTATCTCAGTTTTAGAGGCTTGAAAACTATTGAATTTTACTTTTTCTAGATTTTATATAGTTTAATTTTTATTTCCGACTCTTCAATTTATTTAGAATTTATTCTGCTGTTTATAGTAAAGCAAGGGTCAAACATTTAGTATTTTGGATTTCAAGTCAGTTATTTTATTACTTTTTGAGACACAGTCTCATTCTGTCACCCAGGCTGGAGTGCAGTGGCACAATCTTGGCTCACTGCAAGCTCCGCCTCCCGGGTTCACGCCATTCTCCCGCCTCAGCCTCCTGAGTAGCTGGGACTACAGGCGCCCGCCACCATGCCCAGCTAATTTTTTGTATTTTGTTTAGTAGAGACGGGGTTTCACCGTGTTAGCCAGGATGGTCTCCATCTCCTGACCTCGTGATCCGCCCGCCTCGGCCTCCCAAAATGCTGGGATTACAGGCGTGAGCCACCGTGCCTGGCTGATTTCAAGTCGGTTATTTTAAAATATTTTACAAAATAACTTTTTTCTTTGATTTGCGAGATTTCCTTTGTTGCATGCGAAAGTCTTACATAAAATTACATGACTGTAATGTCTTATTAAAATAATAAAACTAATTTTATTTTCCCCATTAGACATTATAACTATGATACAGTTCAACGAGGAGATATTTTCCACTTTCTATTCTAAGAATGCACGTATTGTTCCTTTTATTCAAGATCCCATTGTTTTCAGGAAGCTTCGAAATGGGCAGGGTAATACAGTCACTCTCGTTTATTCAGACAGAAGTGCAATATTAAAAGCTTACCTGAAATTCTGTACTGCGTCAAGGGGCGAAGTTAATACAGAACTGAAATTAAAATGCAGAAAAATATTATCATAAAGAGCAAAGAAGGCATTCCACAAGGCAACCTGAGAAGAGCTTGAACAAACTATGTTCCTTTTTTAGACGTGGTTGTACATCCACATAAAGCCACCTGCTCCCACCTCTTTCTTCACATCTGTGTCTCCCAATGCTGGGGGCAGTTCCCTTGGTAAAGCTGAGTTTACGTCTTTGTTTACCATCCCGCATCCTCTCTATCCTGCTGAGGCTTAGCAACCGTGATGGGATTAGGGGCTCTGAGGCCTCAAGTGGATGGAGGAGTTCTGGGCCGAGTGGAACTTCAACCATCATCCCTACCCCAGATCTGCTATTTGAACTCTGGGCACAAAGGCGGCAGAGGGGTCCCCCATCACTGTGGCTCTCCAGCTCCAGGTAGAAAAGCCCCGCAGCCATGACTAAAGGCCACGGTGAATGCCCGATGAGGGACCTGTGATGGATTTAAAAGGTAAAAAGCAGTTTGCTGGATTTCATACTCTCGAGAAAGAGCTCATCGTGACCATCGTTCTAGATGGCCATACCTTCAGAAAAATCCAAGTCTGCTTTATTTTGCTTAATCTATTCATTAAAGTTTCCTTTCAAGTACTGAATGACAGTCCTATTTTAAATTCCCTTTTTGATCTTAATTTGCAGGGAATTTAAATGTCTTTTGTATTGTGATTCTTTTCTTAAGTAAACTGAGGACGGATGCTCACACTGCCCATGGCTGGACTGTTGCTTTGCTAATAACCAAAGACACCCCGTGCCTACTCCGTCTGATACTGACAATACTGCGGCAAATAGAATCATTTTGTGCTTTTGAATGAATTCAAGCAGAGGTCCTTGGCAACAGCAATGCCACTCCAACGGGGCATTTCGGAAATGCCAGGGGTCCCTCTGGTTCTCTTAATAACTCAGGGAGCCAGAATGTTAGATCTCCTGCAAGGACAAGGAAGAAATGTCCCATGTGACTTTAAAACATTCTGCGCACCTAAACCCTCTGTAATTGTAAACAGGCGGTTCTTCAATACACACTAATAGTGAAACATTTTTATAAGCAGTTATAGGAAAAGCCCAATATTTGGGAGAAATTTATTACATGAATGGAAGCTTAATGGGTTTAAGATATCACGAAATATTTGAATAAATTGTTCACTGCTTACATTCTGTTATACAAGGTATTACTGTATTTCCAACAACACATTTAGTTGAAAAGGCTTAAAATACCCTGAAACCAGTAGCAAATGTGTAATAGGCAATTTTGAGACTTATTTTTTATTTTTATTTTTGGAGACTGAGTCTTGCTCTGTCACCCAGGCTGGAGTGCAGTGGCGCGATCTCGGTTCACTGCAACCTCCGCCTCCCAGGGTCAACCAATTCTCCTGCCTCAGCCTCCTGAGTAGCTGGGACTACAGGTGCACACCGCCATGCCTGGCTAATTTTTTGTATTTTTAGTAGAGACAGGGTTTCACCGTGTTGCCCAGGCTGTCTTGAACTCCTGAGCTCAGACAATCCACCCGCTTCAGCCTCCCAAAAGTGGTAGGATTACAGGCGTGAGCACCAAGACCGGCTGGGACTTATTTTTAACAAATCAAGAATTATTCAGTTAGTGCAACACATGAAAGATAGGGATCTTACTGGATGTCGCTAATGGCAAATATTTTAAATATAGCACCTATCACTGCCATCCTGTAAGTTTTTACATTTTTTGTAGTACAATGATGAGAACTGGGCTTGTCCCCAGAGGTCTACCGGCCTCCCTGACTCCTGTTTCTGTGTCTGCGCCATCCCATTCCTCAGCACCTACCAGTGATACGGTTCTGAAGGCCAGCGTCCTCCTCAGTATGCAGAGGATTTCAAAATAAAAGACCTATGTTCAGTGACTGGTCATTAATCCTACGTCTCATGACATCATATGGGGAACTGTTTTGACCTATTTATTATTTTTTGTTTTTGAGATGGAATCTCACTCTTGTCACCCAGGCTGGAGTGCAATGGCACAATCTCAGCTCACTGCAACCTCCGCCTCCCGGGTACAAGCGGTTCTCCTACCTCAGCCTCCCAAGTAGCTGCGATTACAGGTGCACGCCCCCATGCCTGACTAATTTTTGTATTTTTCGTAGAGACGGGGTTTCACCATGTTGGCCAGGCTGGTCTTGAACTCCTGACCTCAGGTGATCTGCCTGCCTTGGCCTCCCAAAGTGCTGGGATTACAGGCATGAGCCACTGTGCCCAGCCTGACATAATATTTTGAAATAAGCCCCAGGTGACTTGCAAGATCATCCTACGTCTTCACCTCCTCCTTCCAGGCTGTGACCTGTCCCGGTTCATGAACCCTACCCCACTCAAGGAAAGTCAGCACCAGCTTCCTCTCCACCTTCACATCCATCTGCAGCTCCGCTCTTTCATGGCCTTGACCATCTTCTATGAAATCCTTCAGGTCCTACTTTCTTAGATTCCAGCCCATTCATCAGAAGTCACCTCGGTATAATGCAATGGCAGCATTATGTTTTCCAGGATGTCTACATTCAACTACCCAGAGTGCTGTTCTAAATGATATTCTTTTTCTTTCTTTTGCATATTACTCTGAGGGCATCTCATTAGCTCTTTGGTATGATGTGTGCTGACAGCTATTTTGGGTCATGATGGGAAATATCTCTATCGGGGCGTGAGAAGCAATGTGCAAATGCAGCCAGGCCCTACGCAACCTCGGGCAAGGTGGCCACGCACCCTGGTGCCCGCAAGCAGTGCTGGCCGCGTACCTGTCTGGGCACAGGGAGACGTAGAGCAGGAGCAGCGGCCCGGCCCCCACGACGGTGGCGAGGGAGGACCTCATCCAGGAGCTGAGCTGGCAGAAGTTACAGTAGTGCACGACGGCAATCAGCGCGGCCGAGCCTGTGAACACTGGGAACTGCAAGAGGCGAAGGGTTAGGACAGCCGCCCAGGGCCACCCCGCCACCCCTGCTATACCCGGCCGCCAAAACATTCGCCACTAATCCATGTTTCCTTTTTTTTTTGACTGAGTCTCACTCTGTCGCCCAGGCTGGAGTGCAGTGGTGCAATCTCAGCTCACTGCAACCTCTGCCTTCCGGGTTCAAGTGATTCTCCTACCTCAGCCTCATGAGTAGCTGGGATGACAGGCTCCCGGCACCACACCTCGCTAATTTTTGTATTTTTAGTAAAGACTGGGTTTCACCATGTTGGCCAGGCTGGTCTCGAACTCCTGACCTCAGGTGATCCACCTGCCTCGGCCTCTCAAAGTGCCTGGGATTACAGGTATGAGCCACCGCTCCCGGCCTAATCCATGTTTCTGTGTAACCTAAAAATATCACCGATACCAGCTAATTGCTCACTATCTGCAGTCAGTCTTACTTTTGCTAGTGGGCAGTGTCAAGGACAGATCAAGCCTCTAGGTTCCCTACCCGGCGTGAGGCTCCCTGTTCACATGGCATCACACTCTTCTGCAGGTGTGGGAAATGGCACGTGTCTTCGTGGAAAGGAAAGGGAGGCCTCCCTGTTTGAGAAACGCTGTGTGATCAGTTTCCTTCAAAACACTTTTCCTTGGGGCCCAGTGAGATGTGATTTGGGGCTAAAGTGTCAAACACCATCAGCCCGCCCGGAAGCTCATGCTCACTTGCACCAGAAGGATCATCTCCCACGGCCGTGCTGGTTCCCTCTCCACGGAGTTTAGCACAGTTCCCTTCCTGATCAGCAGCAGCCGACCCGGGCACAAGTCAATTCTGTGTGCCAGGTATGCTTCTCGCATGGTTAGGAAAGGTGGGACAGACGCTTCTTTGTAAAATGTGAAGGAAAATAACTGATTTGGAACTTGATGAAGAAGAAGCCACACTGGCAGGGACTCGTGCCCACCGGGGACTCCCCAGCCCGGCCACTGCCCGGGCGTGAGCATCTGGGCAGGCCAATGCTAAGTCGGCTTCTAAAAAAGCTGGCTCAGGAGAGTAAAAGAGTTCGTGCCTCTTCAAGGGTTTATTTTATTTTATTTATTTTATTTTATTTTGTGACGCAGTCTCGCTCCATCACCCAGGCTGCAGTGTGGTGGTGCAACCTCAGCTCACTGCAACCTCTGCCTCCCAGGTTCAAGCGATTCTCCTGCCTCAGCCTCCCAAGTAGCTGGGATTAAAGGCGCCTGCCACCATGACCAGCTAATTGTATTTTTAGTAGAGACGGGGTTTCACCATGTTGGCCAGGATGGTCTCGATCTCTTGACCTTGTGATCTGCCCACCTCCACCTCCCACAGTGCTGGGATTACAGGCGTGAGCCACCATGCCTGGCCAAAGGGTTTATTTTTAAATTGCTATCCCAAGTGATTTAAAGAAAAGAGAGATTAGGGAGTCCAGGAGAGCGTGGAAATAAAACGGCTGAGCCTTTACTTACGTGTATGTTGGTCTCATATTCGGAGGTGACATGGGAGTAGACGGCCAGTGCGGGAAGCGACACCAGGATGGCCCCGATGCAGTGACGTGGTAGCCAGCCGGCGATCCACTCCAGCAGGCGCTTGGTGCAGGCCATGACGTCCTCCAGGAAGAACACCATCCTGCGAGAGGCATGGGGGTTAGCAGGAGCGACGGGGCCCGGGGTGGGTCATCGGCCAGGAGACAGGTGCGAGGCCGCAGCCAGCGCCGCCCTCTGCTCTCTCCCGTGTTGCCCCTGGGATGGGCGTGAGAGCAGGCGTGGGGTGGGAGTCTACCTCCCTCACTTTTGGTAGAAGGCAAGGAAGCCAGGCTTAGCTCATTGTACCTGATTCTAGGGTCACATGTTGCGTTGTGATAAAATATGCTTGTGAAAAGCACATGCTTCGCTCGCCTAACAGAACACGTGAGAGTATCACAGGCCCTGAGGAGAGTCTCCTGGGGGCCACCACGTTGCCGTCACCGGCTCCCATCAGCTTCTGAGGCAGGAGGTCTTGACGGGGGCAGCTTTGGAGGCGTCCTGGAATTCTGTGGAGCCCGTGCAGTTGTCGCAGCAGAAGAGGCGGTCCTGGCATCTGGTGGGCAGGCGCCAGGGACAGAGCTGTCCTGCATGTGGGCAGGTGCCACCCAGGGAGGTTCTGCCCTGCACCCCACACAGCAGCCAAGCCCCTGGGCACCTGCAAAGGCAGAAGGCTGCTGACAGCATCTTAGCCCAGAGGCTGTGTCCCAGCTACAAACAGGGTGCTCTGTGGTGGTGCTGACACACCCTGGATTTTCTTGGAGCGCAGCTCCTGTGGAAACTGAGTGACAGTGGTCTCTGCTGTTTGGGGCATCATCATCAGTGTTTCAGAAAATCACACCACAGGCTGAACCTGGCTCGTGGCGCTTAGACCACCAAACCCGCACACGCGTGCCGTCTGCATCTGGGCTGTCATGTTCATCGTGCATGTTCACCTCTAGCTGGCGGCTTCAGGACTCTCCAGACAGCGGGGCTCTGTTGTACGTGAGGTCCAGCACCACGTATTTCATTTTAAAAGACTTTGTCCTTCTAAGCAGAGCGACTGTATTCACTGACTCCTTTTGCAGGCGTGTGTCTAGCGGGCTTCGTTTCAGGAGTGTGATGTTGACACAATAAAAGTTTCTGTATAAAGAAGCAGCTGAGTGTGCGGGCCAAGAACCACTGTGAGGAGGAGGAACAGGTCTTGGCTGAGTCCAAGGACCCCTGGGCCATGGTGGGGCCACATGGGGAGGTGAAGAGAAGGTGTGGGGTCCTCGTGGGGAGACAGTCCTTCTCTCAAGCTTGCTGCCAGGGAGCTGGGGATAGGCCTGCTGTCCCTGCCTCAGGAGAGGCTGGGCGGGGGCCGCTGTTGTGACTGAACAGCAAAAAAGCCTCTGGCACAGAGCCCCCCGCCCCCAGCCTTCGGGCCTGAACACCTACCATGCCTCTCCCTCTTGGCTGCGTGGTGTGGCCAGGCGAGGGAACGCTCACTCTCCAGCCATTCCCCACATGGACGCAGGCACAGCCTCACCCTTTTAGGGTCCTGGACAGCCCTGGCTTCCTGATATTTAAAGGATAATGAAGACTTTGGAATACTTCCAAGAATAACCACAAATATGCAGAATACAGAGGCCCTAGGAGGGGGGACAGAGGGAACCAAGTTCCCAGTCAGCAGCGGGAAAGATGTGAGGTTGGAGGGGGCCTTCATGCTGGTCCCTGAGACTGCAGGGATCTGAAAATGAGACCTCACGCCTGCTGGGGCAGAGCAGAGAGGGTGATGCAGGAAGCCTCCTGGAGGCAACGGGCGGGGCCTGGGCCAGTCACTGAGGAGGCGCCTGGCTTTCCTCCTGTACAGGAAAGGGATGGGGTGCCCGTATACCCCACAGCGCAGGTTCCCGTCAACCTGGGGTCCTCAACACGGCCCTCAGAGGGGCCAGGGAAGCCTTTCAGGGTCTGGGCCTCTCCCAGGCTTGACGATTCCTGGTAAATGGAACCAAATCCCACCACAGGCCTGTTCAGGGGTGCAGCAGCCACCACCTTCACCAGATCCTTGGGGAGTATGTCTGTGCAGGCAGTTCCAGCGCACCTCACCCCAGCCCTCGGCAGTCTACACCGGGGTTGCCCTCAATGCTTTAGAATTGGGTCTGAAGGAGCAGGGAATAATAGCTAAAGGGTGAAAGTAAAAAGGAATGGAGACAATGCTGGCCTCAGAGCCCTCAAGACGCTACAGCTACCCACATTAGAGGAAAACCTGGGGGTGGACCAGGGAAGGCAGACCTGGGGGAGTGACTGCCCATGAGGATGGGTTTCTTTTTGGGGTGATGGAGGTGCCCGATAGTTACATAGTGGTGATATTCATACAATTCTTCAAATTTGCTAAAAATCACTGAGTTGTCCACTTGAATGAGTTTATTGTATATAAATCATGTCACAATAAAGCAGATCTTCTTTTTTTTCTTTTTTGAGATGGAGTTTTGCTCGTCACCCAGAATGGAGTGCAATGGTGCGATCTCAGCTCACTGCAATCTCCACCTCCTGGGTTCAAGTTGATTCTCCTGCCTCAGCCTCCCGAGTAGCTGGGGTTACACGTGCCCACAACCAAGAATGGCTATTTTTTTTTTTTTGGTATTTTTTAGTAGAGATGAGGTTTCACCATGCTGTCCAGGCTGGTCTCGAACTCCCAGCCTCAGGTGATCCACCTGCCTTGGCCTCCCAAAGTGCTGGGATTACAGGCATGA
The DNA here is from genome assembly GCF_000001405.40 of Homo sapiens. Classification (NCBI taxonomy): domain Eukaryota; kingdom Metazoa; phylum Chordata; class Mammalia; order Primates; family Hominidae; genus Homo; species Homo sapiens. The sequence continues at coordinate 3,981,887 of NC_000016.10, forward strand.
GCCACCATGCCCAGCCTAAAGCTGATCTTTTTAAAGAGGAAAAACAAACCAACCAGGGGCCTGAGGATGTCTGGTTTGGGTTCTGGGGAAGTGGACCCTGAAAGGGTTTGCAGGCGACGGCTCCTTTGGGAGGGGTCCCCAGAAGCACAGGAGGGCACTGAGGCAGGAGGGGAGGCTGTGCCAGGAAGAGGGCTGCTCGCTGGGGGTGATGGGGCATGAGCCCACAGGGAGTTCTGGGAAACACTGAGCACACGCCACAGACAGCATGGCCCATGGCGGCCTCGGAGGAAGCTGAAAGGGTCCTGGGTACAGTGCAGGTGGGAAGGAGGGGGCAGGAATCCCAGCCTGCCCACCCCAGATGGGAGAAGCCAGCATTCCGGCGCCTCACGCCAGACTCAAAGCCATTCATTTCTGCCCTGGGATGTTGGATAAGGGCAGCAGACGCTCAAGGTCAGGGCTGCCTCCCCATGTCTGTTTGAAGCCCAGCTCCGGGGCACCGTTGCTAGTGGGACTCTGCTAGGCCGGCAGCCATCCTGTTGAGGGTGACAGGACCACCCAAGGGGCTTGTGGTGCCCAGGACGGGGACCACACAGGGCCACCTTCCTGCTCAGGAATACAGAGCCGCTGCGAGCCCCCTCAGGGAGCCAGGCTGGTCCCGAGGGCCCAGCTTTCCCAAGACGCACCTGTGGTCTATTCGGAGCCTCTGTCCCCTTTAAAATGAGCTGTCTTTTTATTATCAGGCTATGTGTGCTCTTTATCCATTCTAGATGTTAGACCTTGTCCGAGGCCTGATCTGCAAGTGTTCCCTCCCGTTCTGTGGGTTCTTTCTCTTTCTTGATGGTGTTCTTTGTAGCGCAACAGCTTAACTTCTGAGGAAGTTGGGCTTGTCTATTCTTTCTTCTGTTGGCGTCACATCCAAGAGACCACTGCCTGAGGCAAGTGCGTGGAGATGCTGTTTGGCTCCGGTACTCTGAAGAGGCGCCTGCTGTCCCAGGCCCACTACCCCCGCTCATGTCTTTTCCTTTCCTTCCTCCAGATTGTTTCCTATCTTCTCACCTTCTCCTTTGCAGTCTCTGAACCTGGAAATCTGGGGACAAGCTGGCAGCGGTTGGGGCTGTGGAGGCACCGCCCCCTCCAGCGAGGTGGTCCCCCCGCATCTGGGCCAACGTCAGGGAGGGAGGATGCTGGGGCACAGGGCTCGGGGAGGACACGGGGACCCATCTCCAGAAATCAGCCAGCAGGGACAGCTGGCTGGGGACCAGTCCAACCGCTCAGCCATAAGCCATGGAGCCAGAAGAGGGAGCTAACGGCTCAGAGCTGGAGACCCAGTCCACGCGGCGCTTACCTGATGGACACCGCGAGGGACAGCACCTCCAGCAGCAGGGCTGCACTGAAGACCGCCAGGGCGGCGGGCGGGGGAGGCACGGTGGCCGCCTCGTACTTCAGGAAGCAGGTGGTGGACAGCGTCAGAAACACTGTGGTCGACAGAAACACATCCAGGAGGGAGCTGAAGGTGGGACTAGCAAACGTCTTCACGGGGGAGTTCTTTATGACCTGTGTGGAGCAGGAGTGGAGCAGAATGACTGGGAGGCCATGGGCGGCCAGGAGCGCAGTTCAGATGGAGAAACAGGCAACACGTGCGGAGCACTGCTGCTCTGGGCCAGGCACAGGGCAGGAAGGCTCTCGGAGGGCTGTCTCCCTCTACTACCCCATTTAACACTGGGGAGTCCAAGGCACAGAGAAGTTAAACTTGCCCAGGGGGCTGGGCACGGTGGCTCACGCCTGTAATCCCGACACTTTGGGAGGCTGACGTAGGAGGGTCGCTGGAGCCCAGGAGTTCCCGGCCAGCGTAACACAGTGAGACTCCATCTCTACAAAAAACTTTAAAATTAGCCAGGCATGGCAGTGCGTGAGTGTGGTCCCAGCTACTCAGGAGGATGACGCAGGAGGATTGTGTGAGCCCAGGAGTTTCAGGCCGCAGTGAGCTATAATCATGCCACTGCACTCCAGCCTGGGCAACATAGCGAGACCCCGTCTACCAAAAAATAAAATAATTAGCTGGGCATAGTGGTTTGTGCCTGTAGTCCCAGGTACTTGGGATCTGAGGTGGGAGGATTGCTTGAGCCCAGGAGTTTGAAGCCGCAGTGAACTATGATCACACCACTGCAGAATTATACCGTTTCCGAAAACAAAAAAACACAAAAAAAACCCTGCCAGGGTCACAGAGCAACTGATTATGACCCAGCACATTCTCATAGACACATTATATATTTAGCTGCAAGATGAGTTACTGACTGGCGCAGGTGAGGTCCCTGCATCTGTAAGGCAGTTGGACGAGAGCAATGTGCAGGGCGGTCCTGCTGCATGGCGGAGTCCTAGGTTCAGCAGGTGCGAAAGCGGGGCTTCGTGGCGGAAGTGGCCGACGGGGATTTAAGTGGCACATCATCGCCTGGGAACCTACGGGGCCTGGCTCTGTGCTGGGGGCCAGTACACTAGAGAGGCACACACTAGTGTTCGGCAATTGAGGGGGAGAAATAACGATGCTGACACGTCCAAGAGGTGACCAGGCCCAGGCCCTGCAAGGCTCTGGGGAGGTGCGATCTCCATTGACGCTCACGGCACCCCACAGGCAGGAACTACCACCCATCTCGGTGTACAGATTGGGAGGCCAAGGCCAGGGGCTACCCCTAGGGCACACAGCGAACAAGGAGCCAGGCCAGGACTTGGCATGGACCGGTTGACTCCTGAGTGTGTCCCTAACCTAGAGGAAGGTGTAGGATCCAAAGGCAGAGGCTGTGGTTGGGAGAGGAAGGGATGTAGCCAGTTCAGCTGCTTTCCATTTGGCCTTGCAACCTTCTGGCAACCCCTGAGAGGCCATGGGTGTCCACTCAGCATCCCGGCCAGGCTCGGGGCTGAGGGCAGGAGCTGGAGACGCACGGAGCGGAAAGGTCTCCTGGCAGCCCTGGGTGCGGTGTGCGTTCTTTGGGACAAACCAGCTCCGGGTGCCTCGACCACTCCCAGGAACTAGGTGGGAGGGCAGGAGGGGCACTTGGACGGTGGGAGCAAGGCTGCCAGTCAGCCCTGATGCCAGGCTGGACCCTGCCAGGGCAACCTGGGGGTTAGGGTTTGGTTCCAAATTCTCTCCAAGGAAGCTGGAGGCTCTGTAGTGCCCAAAAGGGCAAGTCAGGTCCCAGCCCTGGAATCCCCTCAGAAGGTGTGGGAATTTCTTTTTTTTCATTTTTCTTTTCTTTTCCTTTTTTTTTTTTTTTTTTTTGAGATGGGATCTGGCTGTCGCCAGGCTGGAGTGCAGTGGCGCGATCTTGGCTCACTGCAACCTCCGCCTCCCAGGTTCAAGCAATTCTCCTGCCTCAGCCTCTGGAGTAGCTGGGAGGACAGGCACCCGCCACCACGCCCAGCTAATTTTTGTATGATTAGTAGAGATGGGATTTCACCAAGTTGGCTAGGATGGTCTCTATCTCGACCTCGTGATCTGCCTGCCTCGGCCTCCCAAAGTGCTGGGATTACAGGCCTGAGCCACTGTACCCGGCCAGGTGTAGGAATTTCAGGGGCGACACTGCCCATGCCCACTCACCTTGGCAGAGGCCCACGCACGTCCCCTTTCTGTGGGGCTCCATCTAGTGCCCGTCAGGGGTTCGAGTCAGGGCCGGGTGCATGCATGTGATGTCCCTGAGACATCACTGCCTTGCCCACATGTGAGGCCGGAAGGTTTCCACGTGGGCTGCCGTCCTTCTGAGAGCCCACACCTCCCACCTTCCAAGCCAAGGGCTCGGGTACAGGGCCTTTCCTGATTGGGGCTGCCATCTCCTCTGTAGAACTGCCCCATCCATGGACGCTGCCAGAGGCCCCGCTCCTCCCTCCACCTCCCTTGCAGTCTCTCCTGCCTGCCCTGCTACTTGCCAGAGACACCTGTCCCTGCCACAGCCTCCCCCTCTGGGCCACCCCTGGCCCTGATGCCAGAGGCTCCCAGGCCCATCTGCCCCACCCCTGTGCATCCCGGGAGTGCCACCTGTCCCAGTCCCACTGAGAACGACGCTCCCCCACATCATGACACTCTTTCGCCCTCTCTCCCCATGGGCGAAACCCAGGGACAGTGCCACTGGCTGCCAGGGCACCGTGGGCCAGGCTCCGCCCTGCTCACTACCCACATCCCAGGGCCTCCGGGTGCGGCCGTCCCACCATCATCAGAGCACAGGCTCTGCAGCCGGGCTGTCTGGGCTCAAGGCCACTCCACCATGATTAGCTATGATACCCACGCGTCCATGCCTCAGTCTCTTTATCCAAAACCAGGGATAAACCAGTACTTGCACCTTGTGGGCGGTGGGATGCTCGGCTAAGAACGCACCCACGTGGAGCCCCCAGCACAATGAGTCCCCAAACGCGGGCCAGCTGGGAGGCTCCCTTGTCCTGGCATCTCTCCTTTCCTCCCCACCGGGACCCTGTGGCCACCTGCCCTGAGTTTCGGTAACAGCCTCCCACCTGTCATGTGGCCTCCTGTCTTGTCCACACTCTTATCACCCTCCGAAACTCAGCTGATACATGTTTGTTTTTTTTCTTTTTTTGAGACGGAGTTTCACTCTTCTTGCCCAGGCCGGAGTGCAATAGTGCAACGGCATGGTCTCGGCTCACTGCAACCTCCGCCTCCCGGGTTCAGGCGATTTTCCTGTCTCAGCTTCCCAAGTAGCTGGGATTACAGGCGCCCGCCACCATACCTGGCTAAGTTTTGTATTTTTAGTAGAGACGGGGTTTCACTATGTTGGCCAGGCTGGTCTCGAACTCCTGACCTCAGGTGATCTGCCCGCCTCAGCCTCCCAAAGTGCTGGGATTACAGGCATGAGCCACCGCGCCCGGCCATGTTTTTCTTCTTTTTGTTGGAAGAGACAGGGTCTCACTATGTTGCCCAGGCTGGTCTATCTACTGGCCTCAAGTGATCCTCCTGCCTCAGCTTCCTGAGTAATTGGGATTACAGGTGTGAGCTGTGTGATCTTTGTAACACAACCTGTTCCAGATCCTTCAACAGCTCCCCATGGCCTGTGGCATAAAGTCCATGGCATGGGAGCCGTGACCTGGCCCCTGCCACGTCCTGCCACTCCTGCCCCACCCTGCCCCGGATGCGCCTGCAACTCCCTGGACGAACCAGGCTCTTTGGTATCTCTAACGTTTGTGGGTGCTGGCCCCACTCTCCAGAATGTTCCCTCATCCCACATTCCATTAATTCCTAGTCCCCCCACTGAGGCAGGCTCAGGAGTTCCCCCCTTGGAGCCCCCAGCCTGGGCTTGGTGCCTCGCCGTGTGCTGGGAGGGCACTCGCAGACCTCCAGCTCCGGATGTTGTTTCTAATTCCTGCTCCCCATCAGGCCACGTCTTTCCCCCTTCCCCAGCACCAAGAACAGTCCCTGGCAGAGCAGAGGCTGAGCGTACATTTGGTGCCTGGAGGAAGGCATGGCAAAGGTGTCTGCTGTTTGGGAGGCTCAGCAGTGCAGGGCGAGAAGCGGCCCGGACGCCTGGTTTGGCAGCCAGACCACTCGTGTCCGACCCCGGCTATGGGACCACAGCCACCTGTTCAGCCTTGCTCAGCGTCAGCTCTTTGGTAAAAGGAGGATAATCATCAGCTTCCCTACAGCATTGCTATGAGCATTAAATGAGACGATATTTTGCCTTACGGGCCACCAACCAGCCAACTGCCAACTTGCAAGTCCACTCCGGGAGCCATGTCTGGGACATTAACGGATATTCACTGTCCCTTGGAGGCTGACGGAAGGGGGCACCTCCCACCCCACGAGGCATGAACTGGCTCTACTGGGCTCACCAGGGTCTCTCTAGAGCCCAAGCCAGGACACCACGGAGTTTAATGAAGACCTGCTGGAGGAACCAAGGGAATCAGAGTGAGAAATCCCTTTTGTTCCGGGTGGGGAGGGCATCCACTCTTGACTTGGGAACACTCAGAGGTTAGGTTTGGGCCCAGAGGAGAGAATGCAGTCTGGAAGCCGCCAGGATTCAAACCAGGCTCTAGGTTCTTGTATTATTCCTTCCAGCAACCCCCTAAGGAGCACTTGTGAGCGCTGGGACTCTGCTGGAGGCTGTGAGGAGGGGCTGGAGGAGAGAGATGGGTGTTGGGACTGTGCTGGAGGCTGTAAGGAGGGGCTGGAGGAGAGAGACGGGGGTCCTACCTCACAGAGCTGAGCATCTAGGGAGGGAGGAACACGAATCCAGAACCACACACGGAAAGATTCCAAAATGGGGCACACACGGAGAAGGAAGTGTATGAAGGGAAGTACAATCCAGTCTGCAGTCGGGGAGAGCTTCTTGGAGGAAGTGGGATTGGGTGATGGGCTGAGAAGTCAAGTACAAGGGGTTAAGGCGGTGGGGGCGGGAGAGGGAACATGGAGCCGGAGTTAGAGAGAGAGGTGAAGGCCTCCTGGGCCCTTCTCAGGGGAAGAAAGCAGGGAGGGCAACAGAGAAGAGTCTCACCCAAGACTCCAGGACAGGTGGGACGGGGGCTCTTCCAGGGCAGGTCGGTGGGGAGTTCCCTTCCAGGGCAGGTGGGGGGTTCCCTTCCAGGGCAGGTGTGGGGGATTCCCTTCCAGGGCAGGTGTGGGGGGTTCCCTTCCAGGGCAGGTGTCGGGGTTCCTTTCCAGGGCAGGTGGGGAGGGGTTCCTTTCCAGGGCAGGTGGGGGACCCCTTCCATGGCAGGTGGGGGGGGTTCCTTTACCAGGGCAGGTGTGGGGGCCCCTTCCAAGGCAGGTGGGGGGGTTTCCTTCCAGGGCAGGTTGGGGGTTTCCTTTCAGGACAGGTTGTGGTGGGGGGGCCCCTTCCAAGGCTGGGGATAGCCTGGAGATGCCACGGCAGAGGAAAGGGGCTAGTAATGGCGAGGCTGCGCTTTAAGACAAAGGACTAAAGAAAGGGTTTTTTTCCTCCTTTGCAAAGAGACATTTCATGTACAGTTGCCACTTAGGGTTTACAGAGTGTGGGAAATCAATGTTCGCCTTCGTGTTCCCATCCCTTGGTAAAGCACAAAACTAACAGTGAATGACCATGTGAGAACAACAAACACATTCTTTAGTAAAAGCGCAAGGAGAAATGAACGCACCTCTTCCTGATAGCTGGTCCTGTAGGATCGCTCCAGCTCCTGATCCAGGAAGTTCAGGCTGAACTGATTAATGGGCGGCTTAAAAAAGTAATCTTTCATCAGGCTAGAAGACACAACAAATGCAGTCGATCAATACCCAGCACCATAACTGTGCCAATGTTTTCAGATCATAATTAGCTACCAAAACGCTGCTCATTAGGTATATTACAACAGCTGCGTCTAAAAGCGCCTGTGGAACAGACGCCACTCAGCTGCCCCTTGTTAAAACAGATCTGTGGAAAGTCCTTCGCACCTCAAAGCATAATCATATTTTGTGTTTCACCTTCGTTAAAGAATGACCATCCACCATGATTATAGCACACATCATCAGAACCTTGGTTTTTTGGGGTTTTTTTTTTTTGAGGCAAGGTCTCACTCTGTCGCCCAGGCTGGAGTGCAATGGCGCAGCGATCTTGGCTCACTGCAATCTCCGCCTCCCAGGTTCAAGCAATTCTCCTGCCTCAGCCTCCTGAGTAGCTGGGATTACAGGCGCCTGCCACCGCACCCAGCTAATTTTTGTATTTTTTAGCAGACGCGGGGTTTCACCATGTTGGTCAGGCTGGTCTCGAACTCCTGGGCTCAAGAGATCCACCCATCTCGGCCTCCCAAAGTGCTGGGATGACAGCGTGAGCTGCTGAGGCTTGTTTTTGAAAACACATTCCTAATGTCTAGGATTAGGAGAAGATGAAGGCAGCTTTTCTGTTCTTTGAAACAATCTTTTGTGAAGAACACGCAGATCACTGTGCTGAGAGTACTTACATGGATTTGGAGGCTTCAAACGAAAACATAATTCAGAACCGGCGGTCCTGTCATTCAGAGCACTGACAGTAATTGCCACCGTAAAAGCTAACAGGTTGTTATCACAAAATTGTGTTTATAGTTAGCGTAATTTTGGTGCTATTGTCACATATGCAGATTGCATGTGAAACCTGCAGAATGATAAAGCTCAGTGATTTTAATAGCAGGGAAATCAACCCCGCTTTCCATGACTCTTTCATTCATTTATGAATTGCCAGCAAATAGTAATATCCTTTCTATACTGCAGAAAATTACTAGAAACTAAGGGAACGTTAACATGATTTCAGAAAGCAAATATAGCTGTGTTAGCCTCTCTCCCTCATACAGTGACTATCAGAAGTAAATTAGACGAGGCTGGGCGCGGTGGCTCATCCTTGTAATCCCCAGACCTTTGGGAGGCCGAGGCAAGCGGATCACCTGAGGTCAGGAGCTCGGGACCAGCCTGGCCAACATGGTGAACCCCCGTTTCTACAAAAAATACAAAAATTAGCCAGGCCTGGTGGCAGGTGCCTGTAATCCCAGCTACTCGGGTGGCTAAGGCAGGAGAATCACTTGAACCTGGGAGATGGAGGTTGCAATGAGCCAAGATGGCGCCACTGCATTACAGCCTGGGTGACACAGCAAGACTATGTCTCAAAAAAAAAAAAAAAGAGTAAATCAGGTGAAATATGTCAAGTGCCTCATGTGCCCCCCACACAAAGTACGGCTCATCACGTGTGTTCCTTCCTGTCCTTGCAGCACGGCGGACACTCTCCTTTCTGTGACAGGTATCCAGTAACTTCCAACATTCTCAGACTCAGAAGAGAAATAATTCTGTCCCAGGACACTGACCCTCTCTCCTCCCCTGACTCAGGGAGTGTGGACTGAGGGAAGAGCAACCACGCAGCTGCAGAGAGGATGTGCACAAGGCCACATTTTAGCAGTCAAGTGGCAGAAGCGACACTGCTATTAGCTGTGCTGCTCCATTTATTTCTTATTTGTTTTTTGAGATGGAGACTCGCTCTGTTGCCCAGGCTGGAGTTGCAGTGCTGCGATCTCAGCTCATTGCAGCCTCTGCCTCCTGGGTTCAAGCGATTCTCCTACCTCAGCCTCCTGAGTAGCTGGGATGACAGGCACCCGCCACCACGCCCAGCTAATTTTTGTACTTTTAGTAGAGACGGGGTTTCACCTTGTTGGCCAGGCTGGTCTTGAACCCCTGACTTCAGGTGATCTACCTGCCTCGGCCTCCCAAAGTGTTGGGATTATAGGCGTGAGCCACAGCGCCTGGCTGAAAATCACCCTTTGAGGCATTATAGTGAAGACAGAGGCAAGAATCATCAATGAATGTTAAATCTAGGGAATTCTGATGGGGAATGAAATATGTACAAGATCTTCAAGTATTTTCTCACAGATTGCTTATTAGTCATAAGAGGAATATAATAACCCTAGATGAGACAACCCGGCACCACCTTGCCTAATTAATCAAAATTAGTATCACTAATGAGGAACAGACGGGCACTGCGTGTCCCTGGAGAGGACACCCTGAGGAGGACACGGCATCCCTTCTGCAGTCTCTGCCTGGCCAGAGGGAGAGCCTGAATCTAACCAATCCAACTTCAGGAATATTTGATAAAAGGACTGGACCTGTATTTTTCAAAAATGTTACCATTAGGCCAGGCACAGGCTCACACCTGTAATCCCAGCACTTTAGGAGGCCGAGGCGGGCAGATCACCTGAGGCCAAGAGTTCGAGACCCGCCTGGCCAACATGTTAAAAACCCATCTCTACTAAAAACACAAAAATTAGCTGGGCATGGTTGTGTATGCCTGTAGTCCCAGCTACTTGAGAGACCTAGGCAGGAGAATTACTTGAACCTGGGAGGTGGAGGTTGCAGTGAGCCGAGATTGAGCCACTGCACTCCAGCCTGGGCAACACAGCAAGACCTAGTCCTTATAAAAAAAAAAAAAAAAAAAAAAAAAGCCAGGCGTGGTGGCTCACGCCTATAATCCCAGCACTCTGGGAGGGTGGGGTAGGTGGATCACCCGAGGTCAGGAGTATGGAGACCAGCCTGGCCAACATGATGAAACTCCATCTCTACTAAAAATACAAAACCTAGCCAGGCATGGTGGTGGGTGCCAGTAACCCCAGCTACTTGGGAGGCTGAGGCAGGAGCATCGTTTGAACCTGGGAGATAGAGGCTGCAGTGAGCCAAGATCGCGCCACTGCACTGCAGCCTGGATGACAGAGCGAGACTCAGTCTTAAAGAAAAGAAAAGAAAAAGGCAGAGAGGCTTCTGCCTGCAACCTTTGCTTTTTCCCAGACAGCCCCAGTCGTACCTGTCTTCTTTGATAACGTCCACAAAGTGGGCGTCCGTTTTCTCCCGGATGTTCTTGAACCTCAGCGGAAGGAGAGCCGACTGGTCCAGGCTCACCCCTGCCCACCTTCCCTTCTCCTGCAAGATCTCACACAGAGAAGTCTGACTGTTGGTGAGCTTCTCCTCTTGGGGAGGGCTGAGGAGCCCGTTCTGAGTTTTGGGATTAGGTCCTCCAGAAGCCTGCCTCGAGACAAAGAGGACGCAGACACGGGAAGTGAAGTGGCACCGGGCACTGGGCACACACGCCTGTCCCACCCCGACCTCCGCTGCGGGGCGCTGCTGCACTGGGCGTGGGACTTTCTGACCTGCGAGGAACCCCCACCCCCCTGCGCCTACAGACCTGCTCCAATCCCAGCCCTGACTGCCCGTCTGCTCCTTCCTGTTACCCAACAGTGCCCAGTGGTAACGCTGGGTGTTCAGGCTGCCAGGACATTGAGACATGGGAAGAGTCGGTGCGGAGGTGGAGGGGAAGGGAGGAAAGTGAGGAGCCGAGGCCCCCAGAGTCTGCTTAGGCCAGAACCACGGTTCTGGGAGCAGGGTGCATGGGTCGGGGGTCCAGGAGAAGTATGACGAGGGGTCCAGGGCTGTCAGGGCACAGGCAAGGTGGATGGAAACGGGCTCGTGTCGTGGGTGTCCCCCGTGGCTGTGGGAAGGCATGGGATGACCTGCACCTGCAATCCTTTGGCAGATGGAGAGCAGATGGAGGACGAGAGCCCGCGCCCCAGGTGAGTCGCCTGCATGAGCCCCCGCCGACAGGCTCTCGCGGGTGGGCTGAGTCCTGGCCCTGGTGTCCAAGTCTGGTTTTCCTGAAAGCCTTCCTGCCACCGGCCCTAACTCCCAACCTCTCTCTTCACCCAGCCTTTCTCGCCGTGAAGACCCCCTCTTGTCTCTGCCCGTCTATATTCTCTCATAAACTGAGTCCAGCTTCCAGTACCACAAATCCCCTCCCGGCACTCGAATCCACGCATTTTAAACCCTTATTGGCCTTTAAAGGAATCCCGCCCAGCTCAGCCCCTGAGCGCTGGTTTCCACGTGGGTTGCTGCTGACCCTCCCTCGAGCTCCCTGCCGGTCTCTTCAACACCCGGAGGACCCGCGGGTGCGGAGTGCTGTTACCCAAGAGGAGTTACTCTCAGAACTAAGAAGTCGACAAGACAGGAATGTCACCTTGGGTGGATGCGCCAGGAGAGGAACTGACAGGAACAACAGCCATGAGCTTGTTACCTTGGTGCTGTTTTTATGCTCGTCTTGGCAGCCGTTTTGAGGTGCTCCTCCCTCGGCGCCGGCTTCAGATTTGGGAGCAAATGTGATTCCGCACGAAGGGCAGGTCTAGAAGAAAAACACAGACTGTGGGGACACACCCAGAAACCGCGACTGCCACCCTGAATTCAGGCAGGTCCGCTGTTGCCATCTGCCGTCACGCAGCATGGTGGTGAGCAAGGGGAAGGCACACAGAACCGCTCGGGGATGAGCTGAAAGCCAACGGGCAAAGTGACAGTGGAAACACACAGAAACCCGGGCACGAACGCAACAGGACCCAAAAATGGAACCGGGAATGTTCACTGACTGAACAATGGATCAACAAACTGTGGTCTATTCGAACAATGGGATATTACTCAGCCACGAAAAAGACGGAAGCACTGACGCCTGCCACAGCATGGTGAACCTCGAAAACATTATGCTCGGGGAGGGAAGCCAGACACAGCACAGATATTACGTGATCCCGTCTATGTGAAATATTCAGAAAAGGTGAATCCTTGGAGGGAGAAGGCAGATTCCTGGCTGCCAGGCGGGACCGGGGGCAGGAAGGGGGAGTGGCTGCTAAGGGGCGTGGGGTTTGCTACGATTCGAATGTTTGTGCCCCCTCAAAAGTCAGACGCTGAAATCCTAATTCCCAAGGGGATGGCATTGGGGGGCAAAGCCTTGGGAGGTAATTAGGTCATGGGGGACAAGCCTTCAAAATAGGATTAGTGCCCTCATAAAAGAGGCCCCAGAGGAATCCCTCGTCCCTTCGCCCTGGGAGAAGGCACCATCTGTGAAGCAGGAACGGGTCCTCACTGGACACTGAATCTTCCGGGACCTTGATCTCGGACTTCCCAGCCTCCAGAACCCTGAGAAATACATTTCTGTTGTTTAAAAGCCACCTGGTTTGTGGTATTTCAACAGGGTTTCTCTTTGGGATGATAAAAATGTTCTGAAATTGATCACGGTGATGGTTGCACAACCTTGCTAAATATACTAAAAACCACTGAACTGTACACTTTAAAAAGATCGATTTTTAAATATTTTTTGAGATGGAGTTTCACTCTTGTCACCCAGGCTGGAGTACAGTGTCACGATCTTGGCTCACTGCAACGTCCACCTCCTGGGTTCAAGCGATTCTCCTGCCTCAGCCTCCTGAGTAGCTGCGATTACAGGTGCCTGCCACCACGCCCGGCTACTTGTTTTGTGTTTTTAGTAGAAACGGGGTTTCGCCATGTTGGCCAGGCTGGTCTTGAACTCCTGACCTCAGGTGATCCACCCGTCTTGGCCTCCCAAAGTGCTGGGATTACAAGCATGAGCCACTGTGCCTGGCCAAAAAGATCGATTTTATAGTATGTGAATTATATCTCAACAAAGCTGTTATTAAGTAAAGAAACTGGCCACCAACTATGCGAGGACACAAATCCAAGGTTCTTAAGCTCCGTGTGATGGTGAGCTAGTCTCATAAGATGGGCTGAATAATCAAAGGTACACGATTTCCAGATCTAGGCGTACTTAAAAGTTTATAGGAATTAATGGACCTAGAAAAGAGAAGGCAAGATTTAATACAGGTACCCTAAAAAGAGCAAAGCCTTTATTTCTCATAAACTAGGATTCAAACCCTAGTCAAGTACTTACTAGTTTGGAGACTCTGTTCAAATCACTTTACCTCAGTTCCCTCATCTATAAACAAAGAGTGAAGATATGTTGCTAAGAATTAAATGAAATTGGCTGGGTGTGGCGGCTGTAATCCCAGCACTTTGGGAAGCTGGGGTGGGAGGATGGCTTGAGTCCAGGAATTTGAGGCCAGCCTGGGCAACATGGCAAAACCCTGCCTCAACAAAAAGCATAAAAATTAGCCTGGCCTGGTGGCATGTGCCTGTAGTCCCAGCTACTTGTGGGGCTGAGGTGGGAGGGCTGCTTGAGTCTGGGAGGTCAAGGCCGCAGTGAGCTTTGATGGTGCCACTGCACTCCAGCCTGGGGCAAAAGAGAAAGACCCTGTCTTAAAAAAATAATAATTAAATGAAATAAGTATATATATAGCCTAGCACAGTTCCTGGCATACAGTATACCCGTAATAAACTTATTATTATTATTAATGTGACCAGGTAACCTAGGAACCATCTAAGAAAGCAACTAACAGCTTCCAATGAAGAAGACAAACCGTGGCAAGAAATATATTTTTTTTTTTTTTTGGACTCAAAAGCAATTTCCTTGCAGCAAGAAGTGTAAAACATTGAAATAAATTATGGGAGGCCAGATATTATTTTGGAAATTTAAAGTAAGTGTCACTACCTAAGGGCAAAGATATGACCCAGGTTGTATTTAAAGTTAGACTGCAGACCTGTACTATATTAAATAAAAGAAACAAAGATTCTACAGGGTTGTATAGTTTGGGAATCTGATGTAACATACAAGCTAAATTTGAACATTTGTATGCATTCAAAAAATGAAAATATACATGCCAAAACAGCTAGCGAAATCATTAATTAACATATCTGAGCAAATAATGGCATCTAGATAACATTTGCTTACAGCTCTTTAAAAACTGACATTATCAACAGAGGTAAAATGTTCTAGTTATCAATAACATACAGTGAGTCTATTTGAAAGCACCTCTTGGTATTGACTGGCAGAGTTAAACTTCTAAACATTTTGCTGGTGTGCTGGCTCACACCTGTAATCCCAGAACTTTGGGAGGCCGAAGCAGGAGGACTGCTTAGGGCCAGGAGTTCAAGACCAGCCTGGGCAACATAGGGAGACCTTGTCTCTACTAAAAATAAAACCAATTAGCTGACCTTGATGGCACGTGCCTGTGGTCCCAGCCACTCGGGAGGCTGAGGCAGGAGGATTGCTTCAGCGAAGGAAGTCAAGGCTGCAGTGCACTGTGATTGTGCCACTGCACTCCAGCGTGGGTGACAGAGCAAACCCATTCTCAAAATACATATATATATGTATAAATATGTATATATTTGCCAATGAGACCACTGCTCTTATTAAATGTAAAAAAATCTAACACCAAGAGAAGAATAAAATAGGTGTGCCTGATACCCATGCCTAAAAGATGCCTGAGGGAACTCTCTGGTGTGGCTAAGGTGGGGGGCTTGGTGCTTGATGGGGCACACCAGCCATTTCAGGGCCCAACCGGTAGACCAGGAAAGGAAGCTGGAGGTGTGGAAGCGTCTGCTGCACTTGGCTCAGCCAAAGCCCGAAGTGCAAGTGCGTGCTCAGTAAATGCTGGTAGTGAATATGAAAACTTCTGTTAACTATGCTCTCTGGTCATTAAAGTTCATCTGGTAATTCAATGTCCTTGATTACAGACAGAACAGCCCTTGGTATCTATTCTTCTGTAGCCATTTAGTCACAGGAATCTCCTGGCGTCAGTCTGTTTCAGGTATTTTTCTTGCCTCAAGTTCATCTGCTGTGCTTTTCTCTCTTTTTTTGTTTGTTTGTTTTTTTGGGACTGAGTCTCGCTCTGTCACCCAGGCTGGAGTGCAGTGGGGAGATCTTGGCTCACTGCAACCTCCACCTCCTGGGTTCAAGCAATTCTGCTGCCTCAACCTCCTGAGTAGCTGGGATTACAGGCGCCCACCACCACGCCTGGCTTATTTTTGTATTTTCAGTAGAGATGGGGTTTCACCACGTTGGTCAGGCTGGTCTCGAACTCCTGGCCTCAAGTGATCTGCCTGCCTTGCCCTCCCAAAGTGCTGGGATTACAGGCGTGAGCCACCGTGCCCGGCCAACCCTCCTGTGCTTTAAGACGAGGCCGCCTGCTTCTTCAGTGCCCCCCACGGCACACTGGCTTTATGAGATTTTCTAAGCATTTAGAGCCATGAATGTGTCACCGTGACAGTCAAACCAACTTGGCACCAGAGGGCACACTGAGGACAGGGGGCTCCATGCCCTCCACAAGGGCTTCCCTCAGAGGGGCTGGAAGGCCGGTGCAGCCCGGGCATGCCCACTGGGATGAGGCTGAGCTCTGGGGGCCTGGGGCAGTGGTCTCCACAGGTGGGGAACTCAGTGCTTTGCTTACATCCCCTTGAACAGAGGCCGAGGCCTGCACCCTGCAGTGATAAGAAGTTCTGATACAGAAGTGAGGTCTGGCAGAGCCGCCCACAAATGGCAAATGAGGCTGCGCTTGCAGAAGGAAGGGGGCTGTCTGGGTCACATGGCCAGCTGTAGACACCCACGCTCGGGCCTCCTGAGGGCCGGGACAGTGCTCACTGCCTATTCCATTCCCAGCAGGTTTGTCCGGGAAGTGGGAGTATGGGAGGTGGGGGGAGAGCCAGGTGCAGACTCCAGGCCGCGCTGGGTGGCATGGTCCCACAGACCTGTGTCACCCGGACCCAGCAGCCATCATTTTACTGCACTTTGAAAATGCGGATTTTGGCTGGGCGCAGTGGCTCATCCCTGTAATCCCAGCCCTTTGGGAGGCTGAGGCGGGTGGATCACCTGAGGTCAGGAGTTTAAGACCAGCCTGGTCAACATGGCAAAACCCTGTCTCTATTAAAAATACAAAAATTAGCTGGGTGTGGTGGCACACACCTGTAATCCCAGCTACTGGGGAGACTGAGGCAGGAGAGTCGCTTGGACCCGGGAGGCGGAGGTTGCAGTGAGCCCAGATTGTGCCACTGCACTCCAGCCTGGGCGACAGAGCAAGATTCCTCAGCTACCTTCCTTTTGAGGGATAATTTTCTAGATAAAAACTTTCAAACAAATGAAACAAAAGAAATCTTAGAGCTGGGTGTGGTGGCTTGCTTGAGCCCAGGAGTTTGAGATCAACCTGGGCAATGTATCAAGACCCCATCTCTACAAAAGCTTTTTAAAAATTTTAGAAATTAGCTGGGCACAGTGGTGTGTGCTTGTAGTCCCAGCTACTCAGGAGGCTGAAGTGGGAGGGTCGCTTGAGCCCAGGAGGGAGAGGCTGCCATGAGCTATGGTCATGCCACTGTACTGCAGACTGGGTCATAGAGCAAGACCTTGTCTCTTTAAAAAAGAAAAAAGAAGCCAGGCGCAGTGGCTCATGCCTGTAATCCCAGCACTTTGGGAGGCCAACATGGGTGGATCACAAGGTCAGGAGATTGAGACCATCCTGGCCAAGATGGTGAAAGCCCGTCTCTACTAAAATACAAAAAATTAGCCTGGCGTGGTGGTGCACACCTGTAGTTTCAGCTACTAGGGAGGCTGAGGCAGGGGAATCTCTTGAACCCGGGAGGTGGAGGTTCCAGTGAGCCGAGATGGTGCCACTGCACTCCAGCCCGGGCAAAAGAGCAAAACTCTGTCTCAAAAAAAAAAAAAAAAAAAAAAAAAAAGAAAAGAAAGAAAGAAAGAAAAGAAAAGAAAAGAAAAGAAAAGAAAAGAAAAGAAAAGAAAAGAAAAAAAGAGAAATCCATCTACCCAATGGAGAGATTCTCACATCTCAACATCCCCTTCTGAGCTGTAGTTAGAGGCCCCTTCTGTACCAGGAGGGTCCCACCATGCAATGGTGGGTGGGTTTGTTTCCCTCCCCTGACCTCCTACCCCCCAACCCCCATGGCAATTTTCCTTGAGCGATTCATTAGCTTAATTTTAATCTGGATTAAGACATTTCACAACATGTTTTTTGCCAAGTACAGATGCCTCTGTGAAATGTTTCCCAGCCGGCTAAACAGCGTCTCCCCCTGCACAGCTGCAGGCATCTCCACCCCTGCTGAGAAGCCCTCCCTGGGAAGAGTATTTCTGACTCCAGGAAGCTGCAGGCATGGAAGCACCTCACTGCCTTGGGAGACAACCCTAGCAGCTGGCTCACAGGGAGCCACACGGGCAGGCACATTAGAGAAAAAGCAGTGTCATAATGACAGTAGCTACTATGACTTAGGAATGTCTATGGGCCAAGATCCTACCCGTGAACAAGTCGGGCCCCCATCCACGCAATATCTGCAGTCTCGACTGTATGATCTCGTCCTTTGCAGCCACACTGTGAGGCAGCAATGATCATTCCGCAGACGGCCACAGACTCCAGGGCCCTGGGACCCGGACCACCGTCATATGGCTCTGGCCCCCTTTCCTGGCACAAGGAGGACCCAGGAATAATCCTGGCACCTTGCTCTCCTGGGCCTTGTTTCCCTAGAGTGACCTGAGCAGCTATGCCTGTCCTCCTGGTTCTTCCAAGCAGCACCCTGGGCCCTCCGGCATCAAGGGAAGTCTCAAGACTTCTAAGGTCCTCCCAGCAGCACGCCTGGCGGGCCAGGGAGTTTGCTGGCTGTTGCCTGGGTAACCTGAGATTCCCTGGAGAACGCCCAAGAGCAAACTCTGCATTTTTCCGGATTATCTTTGCTCCTTCCCCCATGTGGACGTGGGCTTTGGAGGGAAGAGTGTAGCCATTTCTCTAACACACTTGGGCACATTTGCATTTGTTTTTAACACATTTCAGGACGTGCACCCTACATTCCGGTCAAAATATATGGCACAAAGCTATAAAATCGTTTTTTCTTCAAGGTTATTTCTCATCACAAGATAAATCATTTCTAAGCCAACAGCTGTCCCTTTTCAAAACTGTCAAGGGAGGGAGTGGGGAAACCTCTTTTCTCAGAAATGAGGAGGATACACCAGTAGAAGAGCCCTGGCTTTGCCTGCTTCGTCTTCTCAACACGACTGTTTTGCAAGATGTCGTGTTATCAGAAGCATCCTTTGCTCCCAAACTCAAAATGATGTTAACATGGTGAGCAGGAATAGTCATGATATTGCAACCACAATAACCACAAACACAATTTCCTGAGGTGTTCTTTGAAACTCCTTGTATCTGCTTAACCCTCGTAAGCAACCACGATGCAGGTACTATGATCGGTTCCATTTTACAGATGAGGACACTGAGACAGAGCAAGCACTGGCCCAGAGCCACACGGTACGGTCGGAACCGCGTAAAGAGGCGGTGAGCCCAGGCAGCAGAGCTCCTGGCCCCAACGATCTCCAGGTGAACGGGGCAGCCTGTCAGTGCGGCAGAGCCATGGGGCTAACTCTATGTCCCTGGCATTGCTGTTTAAGCTAACAGGTTAGGTACGGGCATAAGTACAAAATAGAGTATTTCTGCTAATGCAACATTAGAGAAAAATAGAAGCAGAATATTAGAAGAAAAGATAAGCAGTAATTATCACAGAAAAAGAAATTTTCTTACATCCCCAAAGCAGTAAGAACAGACAGCAGATGGCCTGAGAATACTAGACAAGTCACCACATGAACACACACGTGTAAAACTCACACACACAATCTCAGAGCCACACGGGGCGGAGTCGAAAAGTCCCTGGACCTCTCACTCAATCCCTTAGCCCTAAAGGACCACTGGGCTCAATAACCAGGCTGGTGATGGCGATCCGAGTCAAGAATAGATGAAAATATACTCAGCAGACTGTCAGGCAGGAAGACTGTTACCAGCTGTGGAAACAGTCCATCATGAAGTCAAGATAAGAAAATATTTGGCATCTGGGGAAATTTCATGGAAATGCAATATTTCACTCTCTGGCAATGCCAGTTCAATGATTCCGCACATACATTTCCATCCCTCTCTCTACACACACACACACACACACACACACACACACACACACACATATATAATTTCTTACTTTGAAATAATTTTAGACTTGCAGAGAGTGGGAAAGACAGTTCAAGGACTCTGCATATATCCTCCGTACATACTCACCGTACAGTTATCAAAACCAAAGCAACTCATGCTGGCGCGATACCGTTAACTAAGCTGCTGGCTTTATTCTGATGTCCCCAGTTTCCGCACCGTCCCTTTGCTGTTCGGGTCTCCTCTAGGTCCCGTGTTGCATTTAGCCCTCATGCCCCCTGCTCACCCCCAGCCTATGGGGGTTCCTCTGTCTTTCTCTGTCTCTTCTGGCCCTGCTGCGTTTGAAGTCCCGGCCAGGCATTTTGTCAAATGTCCAGATCTGGACCTGCCTGGTGCTTTCTCAGAGCAGACTGAGGTTTGGGGTTTGCGGAAAGAATGCCGCAGAGGTGACATGCCCTTCTCAGCACACCACACTAGGGTACCGGATGGCAGTGAGCAGGGAGGCTCACCTGGATCATTTGGTGAAGGTGGCATCTGCCCGGTTTGTCCACTGTGAAGTTCCTATTCCTACCCCGCCCCCCACCTTTCTTTTTTGAGATGGGGTCTCATTCTAGTGCCCAGGCTAGAGTGCAATGGTGCAATCTTGGCTCACTGCAGCCTCTGCCTCCCAGACTCAAGCGATCCTCCCACCTCAGCCTCCCAGGTAGCTGGGACTACAGGTGGATACCAACATGCCTGGCTAACTTTTATAGTTTTTGTAGAGATGGTTTTTTTTTTTTATTGTTTTTTTTTTTTGAGATGGAATCTCACTCTGTTGCCCAGGCTAGAGGGCAGTGACATGATCTCAGCTCACTGCAACCTCCGCCTCCAGGTTCAAGAGATTCTCCTGCCTCAGTCTCCCAAGTAGCTGGGACTACAGGCACCAGCCACCACACCCGGCTAATTTTTAAATTTTTAGTAGACATGGGGTTTCACCATGTTGGCCAGGCTGGTCTCGAACTCTTGACCTCAGGTGATCCATCTGCCTTGGCCTCCCAAAGTGCTGGGATTACAGGTGTGACCACCTCACCTGGCGGAGACTACCCTTTAGTTTTACAACAGCTTTCTTAAGATGTCATTTGCAAAGCATATAATGCACCCATTTAAAGTATATAACTCCAGGGTTTATAGCATATTCACAGGGATGTGCAAGCATCACCACTATCAATTCAGACTACCACTTATAATAAATACCTATTTAATTTCTAAGCTATATATATTTATATATGTATGTGTCTATAAAATATGAAATCATTTTTTCAATTTCTATAACGAATGAAAAGCCCCTTACTTCCTCAAATTGGGCCAACTGAGCCTACTCATAATGACTTGACACATAGAAAACAAGTAGATAAAAGAAGTTATCATTTAGGGTCATTTTCAAAATTCACTGTCACAAAAGGATGGTTCCTGAGGTGAGTGGCCTTAAAGGGGAAGGAGAAACCTTTTGAAAGCAGGACAGGTCCTCTCTGAATCATCCCCGTATGGGTAAATCTACATCACTAGCTTCATTACTGACTGGTCCATGTAGAAACACCCAGTGGCCAAGCAGCCCGGGGTTCTGAATAATAGATGAAGGTAAACTCAGGAAGACCAGCCACGCAGGTGCGCTCCAGGGAGGCCTTTCAGAGATGTACTAAGATGCTTTCACAGCTCAAATGGTTCCCTGATCAGAAGTAATGTGATACAAGTAATTCAATTTTGGGTTTTCTTTTCTTTTCGAGATGGAGTCTCACTCTATTGCCCAGTCTGAAGTGCAGTGGCGTGGTCTCAGCTCACTGCAACCTTCACCTACTAGGTTCAAGGGATCCTCCTGCCTCAGCCTCCTGAGTGGCTTAGGACTACAGGCATATGCCACCACACCTGGCTAATTTTTGTATTTTTAGTAGAGATGGGGTTTCACCATGTTGGCCAGGCTGGCCTTGAACTCCTGACCGCAGGTGATCTCTCTGCCTCGGCCTCCCAAAGTGTTGGGATTACAGGCATGAGCCACTGAGCCCAGTTGGGTTTTCTTTTTCTTCATGAAGATGTTGGAAAAGCTGTTTTTATTGATATATGGCATCTAGATCCACTCATCACCCACAGGGTTCATGAGAAAATGGAAAGCAAATGCCTGCTGGAGCGCTGACGTCACATTCAACAGGCCAAGGCACACATGCTCCCGTGTCATACAAGTGACTTGGTTACGGCCGAGAGCATCCAACCCACAGCAATGCTCAGCCGCAATCACTGTGAGAATCTCCCTCGAATCGGAACCGTGGAGAAGATGGGACCTTCCCCAGAGAGTCAGTGACTTCCTGCAGGCAAGCTGGGACCGTCTCTCGGCCCCTCCCAGTCCTCCATGGCTCCGTCTGTGGTCACTGTCCCTGCTCTGCGTGGAGTGAAGGCGTGCGTGCCGAGTGTGAGCGAGGCTTCTTCTCAGCCCTGGCGTCCACAGGCACCATTCCGGCTCATCTCCCAGCAATCCCGAGAGGTCTCTTCCTTATCACCACCGCACTGAAGAGGAAAACTCTCACTTAGAGGAATTAAGTGTGTGTTTGCTCTTTCTTTTCTTTTTTTTTTTTTTTTTTTGAGACAGTGTCTCATTCTGTCACCCTGGTTGGAGTGCAGTGGCATCATCACAGCTCACTGCAGCCTCTAACTCCTGGGCTCAAGCGATCTTCCTGCCTCAGCTGTCTGAGTGGCTAGGACTACAGGCATGAGCCACTGCACCTGGCTGCAGTTTCTTCACAGTCGCAAAGCCAAGGCTTGAGAAGGGTCTTGCTTCAAGTTGCGCCCCTGCCCGCCGTGGTCCGCCTCCCCTCCGCGACGCTGACAGTGGCGTCCTCATGTCTAATGCTTACTCCTTGGTTTCCTTCTTGACCTCTCCTTCCTTCACTCGGGCAGTATCTGTCCCCCACATTATGCAATGTCAGGGCCCTTAGGATGAGGACCTCTCACTGCTGGTCATTTCAAGAACCCAAGGCCAGGCACAGTGGCTCATGACTGTAATCCCAGCATTTTAAGAGGCCAAGGCAGGAGGATGGTATAACCCCAGGAGTTGGCAACCATCCTGGGCAATATAGCAAAAAAAAAAAAATTTAAAAATTAGCTAGGCATAGTGGCACATGCCTGTGGTCCTAGCTACTCAGCAGGTTGACTTGGGAGGATCACTTGAGCCTGAGAGTTTCGAGCTGCAGTGAGCTAAGATCATACCACTGGTACTCTAGCCTGGGCAACAGAGCGAGATCCCATCTCTTTAAAAAAAAAAAAAAAAAAAAAAGAAGCCAACACTTGGGTGTAGAAAGGGTTCCCTTTGAGCTATGACTTCAGGACCAAAGCCCTGGCCTTTGACATCACTATCATTTCCTGGTAGGTCGTTACAGTACACAGGTTATGTTACATTAGATAAGAATTTTCCAGCTATGACCTAGGAGATGACTTAAGGTCACAGAGGACACACATGCTAAGGGCAGGAAATAAACCCTTCGTGGGCGCTGCCCTGGTTCTACACAGTTCTGCTCGGGCTTCTGACTTCAGTCCTTCGCCTGGCTCTGCAGAGCTGCATCGCTCCATGTGTTTAATTAAAGAATTAAAAAGCCAAAAAGAAACTGTTAATTACTACATGCCAGGCACCATGCTCGACACTTGGGAAATATTTAAGTTATTTAACACTCAGTCTCTGAATGCAAAGAGCTCCCAGGAAGACGCATAAGAAACAAAGATTTAAGATCGTGTATGTTACAGCCAAGTGGGACAGACTGAAGGGACTGAGAATTTGGAGACGAGGGAACAGCGTTATCAGCTGCGGAGGCACGGGAAGGCGTGGTGGAGCTGAACGGTGAATGCAGACAGGAGTTCAGGGGAAAGAGAAGCCATGAGTATCTCAAGTGAGCAGCAGCAGGAACAGGACACACGTGAAAATCTACGCATGCTCCTTCAGGGAACGTTTCCTGAACACCTTTTCTCTAATGTATTGGTCCTTGGCATGAAACTCCTTTTACTACATGAGCATTCCCCCAAAAGGTGTGACCACATTAGCCCTGCAAGGTGCAGCTTGAAAAAAAACAATTGTGCTCAAAGAGGCCTGAGAATGCTGTATATACCGCGTCCTCCTCTGAAGGCCTAGCTACTGTCTACTAGCCTAGTGAAGGCTCCGAGAAGTCCTGCAGTAAAGAAACCCTTTCTGTGTTGAATATCCCAAGCTTCCCGAATTTACTTTACCACTGAGCACCCTCCTCCCTTTTTTTGGAGACAGGACAAGGTCTCACTCTGTGGCCTAAGCTGGAGTGCAGTGGCAAAATCATAGCTCATGCAGCCTAAATTCCTGGGCTCAAGTGATCCTCTTGGCTCAGCCTCCCAAGTAGCTGGGACCGCAGGCACAGGCCACCAAGCCCAGTTAATTTTTAAAATTTTTTTGTAGAGATGATGTCTTGCTACGATGACCAGGCTGGTCTGGAAATCCTAGCCTCAGGCATCCCTCCCACCTCGGCCGCCCACAGCACCAGGATTACAGGCGTGAGCCACCATGCCCGGCCTTCTGTCAACTTGATAGATCACAAGATTCTCAGAAACTTTCAACAATATTTGGAAAATCTCCACATGCCAAGAAGATACGCTAAATGGTTTTTGCTCATTCCGACCAAAACAAATATATATGACTAGAGTGCAATGTAGTGTAGAATCGCCATTGCTAAAACCGTGGTCACTAAACCCGTGAGCATGTGATATGGTGAACTCTGCGACCGCATCCCCTAACGGACAGAAACACACATATGTGGAAGCTAAAATGGCAAACACAACGAATTATATATTTTTGGCTCGGGGCTGTCTTTCACGACTTAAATACAGCTCAGTTTGCAGGCTGGAGGAAACAATTCTTCCCCAAATAGCAAAACCATTCCCGATTCCACCCCACGCCAGCCCCTCCCTGCCCGGGTCCGCTGTCTAGGAGCCCAGAGCTCCATTTTCTGACTCCTGCACAACGTCAGCCCAGGCAAGGCGGCTGTCTCTAAAGTTTGCAGGCATCCAGGGAATCTCAGATACATGAGCTTTACACATGTGCCAAGAGTACAGGGAAGAGAGGGTCCAACACCACTGTCCCGGTGGTTTTCACCCAGGGGTGACTCTGCACCCCCAGGGGACACTGGGCCATGTCTGGAGACATTTTTGGTTGGCACAGCTGGGGAGTAGGGTACGGGTGGGTATGCTGCCATCTGGCAGGTGGCGGCTAGGGATGCTGCCAGCCATCTGACAGTGCACAGGACAGCCCCACAACACATGACTACCTGGTCCAAAATGCCAGCGGTGCCAAGGTGAGAAGCCCTGCATTACACTAACAAAGCACCCAACGACCGCGATCCACGAGCGGAGTTGACAGAACCCGAGTGCAATCATTACGTGTAACTGGGCGACAGGCACTATGTATTCTGACCCAGTAAGTAATCTGCATACCCCAGCTGACTGCCACATAATGAAGACTGTTCCTCGTAAATACCAATAGCGGCTTTCAAACCTGTGAATGAATGTGGAGAGGCAGGGACGTATTGGGTGAAGCTGTAACCACTGGCCGCCATCCTCACACATACCCCACTGTGTTATCTGAGAACACAAAGCAGCATAGGAGAGCTGTTTTGATTCTCTGTCTCATTTTAAGAATGGAGACAGTAGATGTTTAAACTATAAAAATAAACAGAAGGTACCAGTGGGGAAACTAAATCAAATGTGAAAGCAAAGGAACAGCTCATAAACTGAAATGATTTCACACACCCAAGGTCGACCGCGCCAATTCCCTGGTAGTTTATGATGACAGGTCAGTCCAGAAACGGGCACTTCTAGGCAGCTACCAGGAGATCCCGGTTCCAATAATGAAATACTACAATGTTCTCGGCAGCCTGTCCTCTCAGTGAGCTGTGTCCTAGGATTCACCCACACCAACATCATTTCAAGTAATCATAAAATAGTGGATTTCAAGAGACGTAGAAGTATTTGAGAAAGTGGTCTCTGAAATCAGATTATCAACTAGCTCTCCACCCAAGGTGCCAAGGAAAGCCACCTTTACTGTCATTTATCACCAGCTTCTAGAAATCCCAAAAGGCACCACAGGTCCCAGGAAGAGAAAATAACTAATAATTCAAATGAGAAGCATCCTTGTGCAATGGAAAGGCAATGGAGGTGCGTCATATGTCAAAAAGCAAGGATGTTAAAAATGCAGAATGCTACTAACTTTAGACTAAATATTAAAATCGTGAAAACCAAATCGAAGGTCATTCCAAGTTGTTTGCCTCAGACCTGGAGGCTGCTTATTATTTCACGTGCTCTACTGCAGAATTAATAGAAAGTTTTAGAAGTAGGAAAAAAAAAACAAAAAAACTAACCTTAAGGTTATCAAAGGTTTTGACAGTCTGCGCCAAGTCACTGACATTCCCTGATGACGCTGTCCCCTGTCCCCTAGGGCCTGAGGACACCTGTGAGCCGTCAATGACCTCAAAGCCAGAAAGCAAGGCCTCTGCACAGCTGCAGCGAGACTCCTTGGCTCTCTGACCCGATATCAGGTATGTCTTCAAACCTATGATGGATAAAAGTTACAGTCAGCACAGATTGAAAGCACCGTCTGTTGAAACGCAGCTCCGTCTTGCTCTCTGGAGAGGACTCACTCCTGGAAAGTTGAGAGTAAAGTGAAAATGTGAATAGGTCATAGTTTACGACGGACGTCCACGATCTCTCCAGAGAGATGCGGCCTCAGGGAGACCGTGGGCCCCCGAGACACACCACTCACCCACGTTACGTTTTCTTGGAGTAATGGCTGCATGTTTCATGTTTTACCTTCAGGGTTAAAATAAGCATTAAAAAGTTCCTCCATGAAAGGGTCCCAGGACCTCCCCGTGAAGGCAGCAAAGCAGATTGGTTGACCCTAGACACTGCTTTGGTTTATTTCCATCTGTGAATACCAGTCCAGTGAGTACCTTCCTAACGGTCAGTCTAGACGTCATGGCAGCTTCCGGTACTGACCATCTTACCTGTGTCAGAGGCTGCAAAACTACCCCGAAAAACAAGACCCTACCAGGGACCAAGAGGCCATTAAAACCTCCCCAGACTCAGAGCTGTTGAGCATCTATTTCCTGTTGGATTCAAACACTCACCCCAGGAACATTCAGCTTTTGTTAAGCTGAGGTCCACATGCATTTTATTGTCTCACAAAATCCCGCATATAGAAAAAAAAAAAAAAGGTGGTCAAAAGGACACTTGACCTGTATCTTTACAATTCTCCTTTGAGGCTGAGCTAACAGCCGGACCCACACTGCGCTGGAAGGAGCTGTGAACAGGTGGGTGGATCCTGCCCCGGGAATCTGCTGGGAAGATGGCAAAGGAGCAGCTTTTCTAGAAAGAGCCCAAGGAATTTTTGAAAAAGAAGCAAACTTTATTTAAAGAAATCCATCCTTTGACTTCACTGGAATTTAACCAGATGGCAAATGTATCGGAAGGAGGGACAATGTAATTTAACATTTAAATAACATTTATTTCAGGCCTAGTGTATGCCACACACCGAGAATAAAATCATGAACAAAGCAGGGTCCCTTCTTTTTTTTTTTTTTAATTGAGATGGAGTCTCACTCTCTCACCCAGGATGGAGTGCAATGGTGCGATCTCAGCTCACTGCAGCCTCCACCTCCTGGGTTCAAGCAATTCTCCTGACTCAGCCTGTGAGCAGGCAGGTGTCCACCACCACGCCTGGCTAATTTTTGTATTTTTAGTAGAGACAGGGTTTCTCCATGTCGGCCAGACTGGCCTAGAACTCCTAGTGATCTGCCCACCTTGGCCTCCCAAAGATGACAGGTGTGAGCCACTGCACCCGGTCGCAGGGACCCTTCTTGAAGGGTTTAAGCTCCAGCTTCAGGTCGTGAAGGGTGTGGCATGGAAAGATGCCATCGAGAGGCGACGTGTCTACAACACTGATCGACTCTGGCTTCTTACGCTGGGTACATATTTGGTCAGCGCTTTAAAATTAATTAATCAGAAACCTAGGGACTACTTCATCAATAATCCCGAATCATTTTATAAGTATGGCCCCATCTCATCACTTCACCTCCCTCTCTCCTTGTAAAAATACTACGTGGCTAATCTTTTTAAGTCAACTGTTCTGAGAATTTGCCAAGAGTCCTAGAAACACGTAAAGACAGCCTAGAACGTAGCCAGGTCATAGCTGAGAATCAAAAGACTTAGATATTTTTAGATGCCAACTGGCCCCAAGAAACTCTTCATGTTTTGTTTTGTTTTGTTTTGTTTTGTTTTTCCTTTAGAGATAGGGTCTTGCTCTGTTGCCCAGGCTGGAGCGCAGTGGTGCAACCATGGCTCCCTACAGCCCCCACCTCCTATAGCCTCAGCCTCCTGAGTAGCTGGGACTACAAACGTCCGCCACTATGTCCAACTATTTCTTTCTTTCTTTTTTGAGATGGGGGTCTCACTGTGTTGGCCAGGCTGGTCTCGAACTCCTAGACTCAAGTGATCCGCCCATCTTGGCCTCCCAAAGTGCTGGGATTGCAGGTGTGAGCCACCACACCTGGTCCAATGAAAATCTTTCACTCTTACTTAGCTCCTGAACTTTTGTGCATTTTTTTCTCCAACAAAAACCCACATCCCAATTTATGCACAGGATCAATCACGACTGTAACATGTATACACTGAAATGGAAACGTGAACTGGAATACGACGCAGGAGTGAAGCCATCTTTATACTAATTTCTCGGACCTGTCCCAGGCGACACCAGACTGACTTTGTAACTTCACTTTGCCAGAGTTAAAAAATGCAACCTATGTGGACTCAAGAGAGGACAATGAGCTGCCAGGGCTTATACCCGCCTTCATCAAAGAAGTACACGCAAGGAGGCCTGTCCTGGGGCTGCTCTAAGGGTCTCCTTCCCATGACTCCTGAGTGTGGCCCACAAGTCACCAGGTGGCAGGGTGGTGACAGGAGCCACTGACAGCCAGTGTGACTGTGGATGGCCACTCTGGAGACCGCAGTCCCCACATACTGAGAGAGGAGGGACATTTTTTTGATGGGAGGTAGGAAAAGTTGCGGCTGAAGGATGAGGTTTTCCATTATGTCTGTGGCTGGCCCTGCAAGGTGCTGTTGGCTCAGGGTGCCCCTGCCTGAGGCTACGGCTCCCCATGCACAAGGGCTGCCCTGGGAGCATGAACTGGGCTGCCTCTGAAACCCAGGAAGGGGCCCTCACCCAGGTGACTGCGCACCTGCTCCCTGTGTGGCTCCGGGACTGCAAGAGAAAGTCAAGATGGCCTCTCCTAGAAGTGCGTGGCAACTGAAGCTGAGAGAGGCTGAGCAGGGAGGCCTGAAGAGCTGGAGCACGACGGGACAGCCAGCACATTCACAGCGCTCAGCACGGCAGTCCACGGGGAGCACGGAGTGGCAGCGGCGGCCTCTGCTCACAAGCTGGGCACGTGCCTCAAGCACATCTCCAACGTCTGCTGTTGCTTTTTTGTACTGGGATTACTGAGTCACTCTTAATTCATCAAACATTTATTAAGCACTTCCTGTTTACTACACACTGATGGGTGCAGGGACGATGTGTGACTATTTTGGCCGAGATCGTGACCTGTGTGGAGCCCATTACCTGAAGAGGGGCCAAGAGGACAAGCAGGTATGACTATGGTCAGGCGTGCCAAGTCCCAGGACAAGGAAGGACGGGTGCTCCAGGAAGCACAGGAGGGGGCATCTTGAGAAGCCTCAGGAAGGAAGGGGCTGTGGCTCGAACGTGTCCCCTCCAAAGTTCAGGCGTTGTGGAGTGAGAGTCTTAAGGAAGCAGGGCTTTAAGAGGTGACGAGGCCAGGAGGGCTCCTCCCCTGCGATGGGATCAGGCGCCTGCATAAAGGGGCTTGCTGTAAGGGGCTCTCTCGCTTGCCCTCCAGTTTCCTTCTCCCTTCCAGAAGATGCAGCCCTCCCCAGACACCTGAACCTGCTGGTGCCTTGATCTTGGACTTCCCAGCCTCCTGAAGCATGAGGACAGAAATTTCCGTGCTGTATAGATTACCCAGCCTATGCTGTTCTGTTATTGCTTCACAAGCAGATGGAGACGGACGGATCAGCACCCTCCACACGGAGAACTGAAAGACGGGGCGAGGTCAGCCCGGCAATAGCAAACCAGGCCAGGGGCGGGGGTGGCTGACACCAGGCAGGGGGGTTACTAGAACAGGTCATGAAAGGCCCTCTACAGAGGTGGCCTGCAGCAGGCATAGCTAAAGGATGGCTTGGAGCTCAGTGTGGCTGGAGCAGAGAACGTGTGGAGGGAATGGCCAGGGCTGAGCCACAGCACCTGTGCAGGGCACTGTGTGGGCCATCCTGGGAAGCCTCCATTCTGGGGCCACGGGCAGCAGGGGGGCGGGAGGAGAAAGAAGAGCCACATAGGAGGCATGAGGCGTAGGACAAGCCAGGGAGCCGGTGGAAATGCCAGCCACAGCGGGTGGGAAGTTGGGAGGCACGGGAGTCAGGAAATAACAGTGGAAACGGGAAACCTACTCCCCACAAACTGCTGGCGAGAGGCAAGGCTCCCATTACAAGCAACCAAGCGTGATGGGCGAGGGCCTGGCTGCTGGAGGGGGCCTCGGAGTCGGGTCCAGGTCCGCCCCCTAATCCCGTGATCTAAGTGAGCTGCTTCATCTCTGCCTCTCAGTTTCCTCATCTCTAAGGGGAGGGCAGGAGCAGAGCTAGTGAGCTGCTTCATCGCTGCCTCTCAGTTTCCTCATCTCTAAGGGGAGGACAGGAGCAGGGCTAGTGAGCTGTTTCATCGCTGCCTCTCAGTTTCCTCATCTCTAAGGGGAGGACAGGAGCAGGGCTAGTGAGCTGCTTCATCGCTGCCTCTCAGTTTCCTCATCTCTAAGGCGAGGGCAGGAGGAGGGCTTACCACACAGCTCGCATGTGAGGCTTAAATGATCAACACGCACGCAGCAAGCACTCGACATTAGCTGTGATTATCGACGCAGTGTTTGATCTGCGTATCACTGGAATCTTTTTCATGCACCTTCTACATACAAAAGCATTTGCAAAACTGTTAAATCAATAATTGCTCCTGATTTGTTTCTGACTTGAGTTTTTCTTTAGGAAGCGCTGAATGACCAACCCATAGTGATAACATGATCCTACTAGCTTTACGAAGGTCAAACACACCTCCGTGTCCACAACGAGCAAAATCGGGAAGTAAATTATCTTTTTATTTATGCTTCAATATGGAAAGCTAAATTTAAAGTGAAACCTTTTGTCAGAACCAGAAGGGTTATCACCCTGACAGGTAAGGCAGAGCCCAGCTGCCTAATCACAAACGCCTGAGAAATACATCAGGACAGGTTACTGAGTTCAAGCCCAGCGAAAGTCTTAAGTCAGGAGACTCTGCAGGCGACATGATTTAATGAATAACCACACACATGGACCCTGGGGTCCAAGTTCATTAGAATGGCTCTTTTGCAGCAGAAGGTCCAAAAAAAAAAAAAAGACAGCTAAATGATTTAAGTGTAGTGTAAACAGGAGAATAATTAATATGATTTCTTATATTCTTTCCTGGTTATCCATTGATTTTAAACCTCAACAACAGCGATGTCTTTTATCAGCTTAATTTTACAAAGGCTACAGAGAGGGGTGGGCATTTCCTAATGGGCTCCTGTCTGACGGGGGAATTTGTCTATGGCTGTGTGCGTGGAGGTTAACGCAGTTAACGTTCTTAAGTATTCTTAAGTATAGTGTCACTTCTTTGAAAACTAAAACTGCACTTTGCACATAGTGGTGATCAGGTTTGGTGACCCAAGTATAGGAAGAGTGACTGACAAAGCCCATTTTGGAAAAGAGTGATGGGCGAGGCCCATTTCTGGCCTCATTTGTCCCAGTCTCTTTCTGTGGGATTCTTGCCTTGGACTGAGATACCCTCAGCCACCAAGAATCAAGGACCTGACTGCCAACTCAACAGAAAGAGAACAACAGCGAGGCACGGGGATCACAGCTGTGACCCCGGCACTCTCGGAGGCCGCGGCAGGAGGATCACTTGAGCCCAGGAGTTTGAGACCAGCCTGGACAACATAGCGAGATCCCATCTCTATAAAAAATTTAAAAATCAGCTGGGTGTGGTGGCACCTGTGGTCCCAGCTACCCAGGAGGCTAAGATGGGAGGATCACTTGAGCCCGGGAGGTTGAGGCTGCAGTGAGCTGTGAGTGCGCCGTTGCACTCCAGCCTGGGCAAGAGAGTGAGACCCTGTCTCAAAAAAAAAAAGAAAAAGAAAAACAAGCCAGGCGTGGCGGCACACGCCTGTAAATCCCAGCTACTTGGGAGGCTGAGGCAGGAGAATCGCTTAAACTTGAGAGGCGGAGGTTGCAGTGAGCTGAGATCGTGCCATTGCACTTCAGCCTGGGCAACAAGAGTGAAACTCCGTCTCAAAAAAGAAAAAAAAATTAAAAGAAAAAGAAGAAAAGAAAAACAAGAAAGAGAAGAATAATCAGGAAGGAAAGAATGTTTTAAGACATGACTTTGGGAGCCAGCCACATAGCATAACAAATGCCTAGAAGCTTACGTCACTTATGACTTAAAACAATAAACAGAAAAGAGGCAATCAGCTTGGGCTGGTTCAGAAACATTCCAAAAACGTCTTTCACTTTGCATTGCATTCTTCCTCACGACTAGGTCGGAAACGACCAAGCGGCATGAGAGTTATTTAAACTAAACTGTAATCAGCCAATAAGAAAAATAAAGATAAAAATACTCTTAATCTACCAAATAGCCAAAGCCTATGGAGTCATAGATATATTTTATAATTATCTATTCTTTCTGCGTAAGAAGAACAAAAGTTTTGGTACAAAAGAGAGAATATCTTTCATATGTTAACATTAAAATGCTCTCCGGAGGGTTGTAAGTCCTTCCTACTCATATGCACCATAAATAATCATAAGAACTGATTTGTTCTTGTTGTCCCAATATTTGATGATAAATCTCAAGTTCCTACTACAAATGGCTGCTGGTGAAACTTAACCTCTTCTTAACAAATGAAGTCCCAGGTCAGGCGCGGTAGCTCACTCCTGTAATCCCAGCACTTAGGGAGGCCGAGACGGGAGCATCAGTTGTGCTCAGGAGTTTGAGACCAGCCTGGCCAACATGGCGAAATCCCGTCTCTACTAAAAATACAAAAATTAACTGGGCGTGGTGGCACATGCCTGTAATCCCAGCTACTCAGGAGGTTGAGGCAGGAGAATTGCTTGAACCCAGGAGGCGGAGGTTGCAGTCAGCCGAGATCGCACCATTGCACTCCAGCCTGGGTGACAGAGTGAGACTTTGTCTCAAAAAAGAAAAAAAAAAAAAAAGAAGTCCCAAATAATAAAATATGAGATGGATTTATGGAAGAAAGTGAAAGAAACAAAGGGTAGGCACCTTGCCTGTTTAATTTGATCTTCTGCTTAACCAAAAAAAAATTTTTTTGTTTTTTTTTGAGACAGAGTCTTGCTCTGTTGCCCAGGCTGGAGCGTAGTGGCGCGATCTCAGCTCACTGCAACCTCCGCCTCCCGGGTTCAAGGAATACTCCTGCCTCAGCCTCCTGAGTAGCTGGAATTACAGGTGTGTGCCACCATGCCTGGCTAATTTTTGTGTTTTTAGCAGAGAGGGGGTTTTGCCATGCTGGACAGGCTGGTCTCGAACTCCTGACCTCAAATGATCCGCCTGCCTCTGTCTCCCAAAGTGCTGGGATTAAAGGCGTGAGCCACCACACCCAGCCAGAAAATAAAATTTTAGAGCATGTGCACGCATTCTCTCTCTCTCTCCCTCCCGCTTCCCCACCCCTGCTTCTAAACAGGTACCTTCTATACCCAGCTTCCCTCTCTCTCCCAGTAATGGCTAAACAGCTGCCATCACAGCCAAATGGGAATGACAGGCATCCCCTGAGTGACCACATTCCCCTGTTTTGGCCTTTTTTTTTTTTTTTTTTTTGAGACAGAGTCTCGCTGTGTGGCCCAGGCTGGAGTACAGTGGCTCCCTCAGCTCACTGCAAGCTCTGCCTCCCGGGTTCACGCCATTCTCCTGCCTCAGCCTCCCGAGCAGCTGGGACTACAGGCACCCACCACTATGCCTGGCTAATTTTTTTTGTATTTTTAGTAGAGATGGGGTTTCACCGTGTTAGCCAGGATGGTCTCGATCTCCTGACCTCATGATCCGCCCACCTCAGCCTCCCAAAGTGCTGGGATTACAGGCGTGAGCGACCGTGCCTGGCTTGGCTTCTTATCTTCTGTATTCCGAGTTAATAAATGCCCCACTGCTAAATGCTACATTCCAGAATGCTAACATAGGGAGAGTCCAGGAGTCCACACACTTCAGAGACCTTCGCCTCCCACCTCTAAGAAACCTCTTGAATTAGGGTTTACTAGCACGAGCCTTCACAAAGACTGTAGAAATGAGTCTCTGAGAGACGACACCCAGCACACCCAGCACACCCAGCACACCAGCGAACAGCCCACCAGGTGCTATCGCTGTCATTCATTTGCTCATTCGCTCGTTCATGCACCCAGCAGACTAAATGTTTACTGAGTACTTACCGAAGGTTAGGATCTGGGCTAAGGGTTGAAAGAAATAAATAGGTTAAAAAAGAAAAAAAGCCACCTAGGTGACTTTCACTCCAATGCTTGACCTCAGTTCCCTTGTCTAGATAATGGAAATGCTGGCCGGCGCGGTGACTCACGCCTATAATCCCAGGACTTTGAGAGGCCGAGGTGGGCAGATCACTTGAGGTCGGGAGTTCAAGACCAGCTTGGCCAACATGGCAAAACCCTGTCTCTACTAAAACTACAAAAATTAGCCAGCTGTGGTGGCAGGTGCCTGTAAGTCCCAGCTACTCGGGAGGCTAAGGCAGGAAAATCTCTCGAACCCGGGAGGCAGAGGTTGCAGATAGCCGAGATCACGCCACTGCACTCTAGCCTGGGTGACAGAATGAGACCCTGTCTCAAAAAAATAAAAGAAAAAGAAAACGAAAATGCTGTGATATGATGGTCATATCATAGCACAGGGCTGTTGTGAGGATTAAATGAGTTGATTCAGGTAAACAGGGACATCCGAAAAAGGGAAAGACGGTGCTTGTCCTGAGAACAGCTGTGAATGTGAGGACAGTCAGTGAGTGACGATCTGGACCCACAAGAAGAGAGTCATATGCATTCAAGTCCAAGTGTCTATGGGCTGTTCAGAAGCAACAAATGGCACTTCAACAATGAGTTGCAGACAACAAAATGGAAATGAAGGTCTGCAATAACTATTAAGAATCCTGTAACAGAGCAGAGTTTAAATAATGGGAAGAGGCTATGAAACAAGAGAGCTGGGGAAAGATACCAGAACTGAAACAGACCACCAGCTGATCACCTTTTATTTGTGAAATGACAGCACCAAATGCACCAGATGCCACAGACGGGAGGGAGGGGGATAGGTCACGTCGGCAGAGGGAGGGGGTCAGGTCACACCTGCAGCAGGGACGGGGGTCCCAGACCGTGTTCTTGTCCCTAGAGAGCTAACAGCTCATCCGTAGGTTTCTAAGAGGTGCTGATTCAAGCACACAGTGTAGATGATGAAAAATAGATTATAGAAAGAAGAGAAAGGAAAAACTAAATTTAAAATCTGAGACTAGGTAGCCACTAAATACTTGAAAACAAAAAAAGGGAATACACTGAAAATGGAAATAAAGCTGTATGATGTTTAGTTAAAGAAGCCAGTCCCAAAAGGCCACGAACTAGGTGATCCCCTTTATATGAAATGTCTGGCATAGGGAGATCTGTAGACACAGAAAGCAGATGAGTGGCTGCCATGGGTTTAGGAGAGAGAGGGTGTAACTGCTAACGGATGCAGGGTTACTTTTTGGGGTGACGAAAATGTAAAATTAGGTTGTGGTGATGGTTGCACAACACCATGAATATACTAAAAACCACCAAATCATACACTTGAGAGGGTGAATTGCATCATATGTGAATTATACGTCAATAAAGCTGTTTTTTTGAAAAAGAAAAGGAAGCTGGGTGTGGTGGTGCATTTCTGTGATCTCAGCTACTTGGGAGGCTGAGGCAGGAGGACTGCTTGAGCCCAGGAAATGAAGGCTGCAGTGAGCTATGACTGTGTCACTATGCTCCAGCCTAGGTGATAGGGTGAGACCCTGTCTCAAATATAATAATAATATTAATAATACAATAAAATAAACTAAATACAGTAATGTGAACATCAACAAGGTGCAATAATTCTGAGATTTAGAGAAGAAATAAAATAAAGCTGGGAAGAAATACACCCTCCCTGAGAATACAAGGTAGAGTGAGCAGTAGCAGGTAAATGAAAAATATTAAAGGCTTAGAAATAGATAATGTGGGCCAGGCATGGTGGCTCACACCTGTAATCCCAGCACTTTGGGAGGCCGAGGCGGGGGGTTGCTTGAGGTCAGGAGTTCAAGACCAGCCTGACCAACATGGTAAAACCCTGTCTCTACTGAAAATACGAAAATTAGCCAGGCGTGGTGATGCACGCCTGTAATCCCAGCTACTTGGGAGGCTGAGGCAGGAGGATCACTTGAACCCAGGAGGCAGAGGTTGCAGTGAGCCAAGATCGCACCATTGCACTCCAGCCTGGGCAGCAGAGTGAAACTCCTTCTCAAAAAAAAAAAAAAAAAGATAATGTGGTAGAGCTAGGGCAGAAAAACATGCAAGTCAAGAATAAGGCCAAATAACCTTGAAGAACTAAAAATTCAACATAGCAAAAGTTCAGAAGTCTGGGAGAGATTAAATAAAACAAAACAAAAGAAAATTTGACCTTCATGAAATAGCTCCAAGAATCATCCAATTTGCAGCTCTCACTATTGTAGTCCAACCTAAAAACGCCGGGCCGACACCCACATTGTCTTCTTCGAGCACAAACACACTTCTCCTGCAGCAGGTGTAGCCCGCACAGCATGGTGAGCCCAGCCACACCCGCACGCCAGACGCTTGGCCACAGAAACGCAGAAGCGGCCACTGTCCTTGCCTGGAACACAGATGGGCCTTTTCATCCAGGAGGAGATTTACTTGCAAAGGCATTTTCTTCTGACCCACAGGTGGTTATACCTGCACTGACACCTCCTGTGGGCATCTTCAGCTGGAAGAAAGGCCACCGAGGCTGCGGAGCCACCTCGCCTGTAAACATCATATCATGCAAAGGAAAAGCTCTAAGTTGCGGAATATTCTTCTCTTTTTTTTTTTTTTTTTGAGATGGAGTCTCGCTCTGTTGCCCAGGCAGGAGTGCAGTGGCATGATCTCGGCTCACTGCAACCTCTGCCTCCCGGGTTCAAGCAATTCTCTTCCACAGCCTCCTGAGTAGCTGGGATTACAGGCACCTGCCACCATGCCCGGCTAATTTTTGTGTTTTTAGTACAGTTGGGGTTTCACCATGTTGGCCAGGCTGGTCTTGAACTCCTGACCTCAAGTGATCCACCCGCCTCGGCCTCCCAAAGTGCTGGAATTACAGGCGTGAGCCACCGCGCCCGGCTGATGCTGAACATGCGTGACTAACCTTCCGCGGGAGCAGTCATGCCGCTGCCTTCACCACCTGTTGCTTCTGGGAAATGTGGATCCAGGCTGCTGGCTCTCTCCCAGATCGTATCTGCAGCACAGGCACATGCTTGCTGTGAATTTCCACACTTGTCAGATCACCCGGTTTTCAACTTGTTTTCTAGTTTTCTCTCTTTTGAAGAGTATTTTGCACACTGGCTGGGGCAGAGGCTGACAGTTTCCCAGACTGTGTTTTCTTGTTTACAGAGCACATGCAGACTTGTTCGAGTCATCTAACGGAGAAACCCAAAAACCTCCATTTTCTCCTGAGATATCTCTGCTATCTCTAATTTCACTTCAGCAGCACTGGTGGCTGAAATACTATGGACTATGTATTTCGGACTTCCTTTTTCTGAACTTTTCTGGAAGAATCGCAGTTGTGTGTGTGTGTGTGTGTTTTGTTTTGTTTTGTTTTTTTAAGAGAAAAGGTCTTTCTCTGTCACCCAGGCTGCAGTGCAGTGGCATGATCACGGCTCACTGCAGCCTCGACGTCCTGGGCTCAAGTGATCCTCCCACCTCATCTTCCCAAGTAGCTGGGATGACAGGTGTGCACCACCAAGCCCACCTTCTTTTAAAAAAAAATTTTTTTTTAAAGATGGAATCTCACTATGTTGCCCAGGCTGGGCTTGAACTCCTGGCCTGAAGTGATCCTCCGGCCTCAGCCTGCCAAAGTGCTGGAATTACAGGCATGAACCACCATGCCCAGACTCAGGTATTTATTAATAACCTCAAGGTGTTGCTGCACATTCCATAAGTTGAGAGCAGGTCCACTCTGCCACCCAGGGATGTCCCAGGCTGGGCGATTTGTTCTCCCACTGCACACCATGCAACTGTCATTTATGCCTTAAGAAAATCCCATTGAAGTTGTGGACTCAATGCACAATCAAAACTGAAAGCAAAACCGAGGCAGTGAGTAGTGAGTGCCCAAGCACGAGAGGAGGGGACAAAGGCTGGGTCCCCGGCCATCAACAAACGGAGAGCTAGCTCATAAAACAGTGACCTGGAGCTTCAGTCAGCAGCCCTCACTCCCAAAAGGGGTGAGGAGTCTTCAGAAACTCCCCTGTCTTATGGCAGAAAGCTGAGCTCTGCACAGACCCTGGAAAAACCACTGTTGTCAAAGGAGAGATGGAAGTGGGCAGAAAGCCCAGGAAGGAGGGTTCCAGACTAGTGGAGGTACTAGCCTCAAACAAGACAGCTGAGTACTTAGAGAAGAAGAGATACATGCCAGGCATGGTAGCTCATGCCTATAATCCCAGCACTTTGGGAGGCCAAGGTGGAAGGATCACGTGAGGTCAAGAGTTTGAGACCAGCCTGGCCAACATGGTGAAACCCTGTCTCCACTAAAAATACAAAAATTAACCGGGCGTGGTGGCGGGAGCCTGTAATCCCAGCTACTCGGGAGGCTGAGGCATAAGAATCACTTGAACCCAGTGGGTGAAGGCTGCAGTGAGCTGAGATCGCGCCACTGCACTCCAGCCTGGGCAACACAGCAGACTCCATCTCAAAAAAAGAAAAAGAAAAAGAAAAAGAACTTTCTATGAACTTCCCGTGATGATGGGTACATCCTGTAGCCGTCCAGTTCTGTGGCCTCCAGGCACATGTGGCTACTGACCACTCGAAATGTAGCTAGTATGAACAAGGAATTAATTTTTTAATGATTTCAATTATAATTTAAATTTTAAACAGCTACATGAGGCTGGCAGCTATGTAGGAAGCAGTGAAGATCCACATCCTTCCTTATTGGTGAAAGGAATGAATTGGAAACAGAAAGTTCTTTTTTACCTTTATTAAATAAACGTGAAGTCATAAGAACTACTAAAAGAAAATGGGTGGGATAAAAGTAAAACTAAATATGAAACCAGTAAGTATTCACTGTTATTTATTATAGATGACATTTAGACGCAAATACGAGAGGGAGAGTACCCTGTATATTAATAGCAGGGATAGCCAATTACAAAGTGGAATAAGCCAGGCGTGGTGGCTCACGTCTGTAATCCCAGCACTTTGAGAGGCTGAGGCGGGTGGATCACTTGAGGCCAGGAGTTCGAGACCAGCCTGGCCAACAAGGTGAAAACCCCTCTCTACTAAAAAATATACAAAAAATTAGCTGGGCTTGGTGGCACACGTCTGTAGTCCCAGCTGCTTGGGAGGCTGAGGCAGGAGAATGGCGTGAACCCAGGAGGCGGAGCTTGCAGTGAGCTAAGATCGCGCCACTGCACTCCAGCCTGGGCGACAGAGCGAGACTCCGTCTCAAAAAAAAAAAAAGAAAGTGGAATAGAAACAGTTACTCTATCGAACAAAATAGCAGATAATGTTTTAGAATAAAGAAACAAAAGAGCTGGAAACATTTGAACGTTTTCAAAAAAAACCCTATAAGTGGGATGAGATACTGGTTCACAACTCTAATTTAGAGCCTATATAAACACATTAGCTTGACCTTGCTTGACATACATTATTTCTAAAAAATGTTTTAAATGTGAATATTTAGAAGATACACCATATTTTCTGCTTTTTATATACTATAAATTTTACTATGTGAGTTTAAAAAGTGGTTGGTAAAACACACACCCAAGCTCTCTGATCTTTCACACCCATTAAAAGCAGCACATGTATTAAACACACTGCTGCACAATGGGCGTGCCATGGGTGCTCTCCAACCGCATTGGGCTTGAATGTTTAACTAGGCCTGAAGCCACAGTGCTAACAAGATCTGGCAGAGACAGACAAGGCCACGCCGGCAGCAGGTGTTTCAGGAAAGGTATTACTCCACCATCCCTTGCGCTGAAGCCTTAGCCTCAGGCAAATTCATGAACCAGGTAGAATCTAATTCAGGTCACTTTGGCCAATCTCCACTTTCTACCAGCCTCCTCCAGGTCCCTACTGCCTCGGGAGGCCCCCTACCCACCTGCCAACCTATCCCCTCACCATCTACCGGCACCAAGTCTGTGTGAGCACACTGTAGATACACGAGCTCCGTCCCAACTCAGAGCTAGGAGAGTATCAGAGGCCAAACGCCTGCCCCCTGCTTCTGGGCTCCACCAGCAGCCTGGGAGGCCACCCCCTGCAGCTGACTCATCTGCATACTGAGACTTCCTGACACAAATGGAGGTGACAATATTCGTTCCCCCATCATATCCCAGAAATTCCCTTATTGCCGACATCCATTCTGGGTTTTTACTGCGCTTCACACGAGGACAATTCCAGGCTGAAGTGGCAGGTCCCAGCACCAGACTCCACTTCATCAGAACACTTCTGTTAGAGTCTTTGAAACGCATGAAATCCCCTTTAGGGTCCATAATAACGCCTTCTGGAAACTCGACGGCAAGCCACTCACCCTCAGCCCTATCAGACCCCATGGCTCCTTACATTTCTGTGACATACTTAATTTGCAATGTCCTCTTTTCCATCATGAAATAAAATTAAATTCATGGACAACATAACCTTTAATCACTGAGACCATAAAGGACACCTCCAGCAGCTGACTAGCCTTCCCTCAGCCACCTTTGTGCCCAGCCTAAGGGCAGGGTGGCACCGGAGCCTCCATGCTTCAAAGGTGGCCACCAGGGCCCATCCCCCTTTCCATGCTTCTCCCTGCCCAGAGAGAAACAGCCTGAGGACAGGTTAAAGACTAAATACAACCAGGCATGGTGGCTCATGCTTGTAATCCCAGCAATTTGGGAGGCCGAGGTGGGAGGATCACTTGAGGTCATGAGTTTGAGACCAGCCTGGCCAACATGGTGAAACCCCATCTCTACTAAAAACACAAAAATTAGCCAGGCCTGGTGGCCCATGCTGTAATCACAGTTCCTCAGGAGGCTGAGGCATGAGAATGGCGTGAACCCGGGAAGCGGAGCTTGCAGTGAGCCGAGATTGCACCACTGCACTCCAGCCTGGGCACCAGAGCGAGACTCCGTCTCAAAAAAAAAAAAAAAAAAAAAAAAGACTAAGACTATGCCACAATTCCGCATATGCATGTATTTATTATATACATATATGTATAAGGTACATATTTGTATGTGTATATCCGTGCATATGTGTATACCTGCAGCAATTTTTTTTAAAAGGAGAAAATAGGCCAGAGCCAGTGGCTCATGCTTGTAATCCCCGCAATTTGGGAGGCTGAAGCAGAAGGATTGCTTGAACCCAGGAATTCAAAGCCTCAGTGAGCTGTGACTGCACCATTGCACTCCAGCCTGGGTATCAGAGTAAGACCCTGTCTCTAAAATATAAATTAATAAATAAAAATTAAACGGAGAAAATTTCTTAACAACTTTTATCCTATTCATTCTTTCAACACATAATAAGCTCCTGAAATCCGTTAAGAATGAGATTAGACCTATTCTAAATCCTACTAACACCTTACATTGACTCTGTCTTATTAATCTCAGTACTGTAGTACCTGGGGGAAGGCGCAGCACCGTGGACACTCAGAAACGTCAAGAATCAAATCACATCTCTACAACGGTGGTCCATCTGCAAACAGCGTGGAGATCAAGGAAGGGCAGAACAAAGTACTGAAAGTGCTGTCA
Organism: Homo sapiens; assembly: GCF_000001405.40. Classification (NCBI taxonomy): domain Eukaryota; kingdom Metazoa; phylum Chordata; class Mammalia; order Primates; family Hominidae; genus Homo; species Homo sapiens. The sequence continues at coordinate 4,023,103 of NC_000016.10, forward strand.
TTTCTCTGGAGGGTGAATTACACAGACCAACTTTCTTCACATAATAAGAAACAAGAAGTTGTTTGTTTATGGGTTCTATGGGAGCACCCGCTGCAGGCCACGCTAGACGCTGGTGATAAAACTGTGAACATGGCGTCCATCACCTGACTCAGTGGTAGGAACCAGTGGCAGGGAGAATCCACAAGCAAGGACCCGAGTCACCAGCTGTGATTAAGAGCCAGGAAGAAAGCAAAAGCTTCCTGCAATAGAGAATACCCAACATGCGGTTTGGACAGAGTCAGGGACGTCCTTTCTGAAGAAATGAGACTGAAGTGGAGATATCACAGTGAGATGGAGGCAATTGCGGTGGTGTAGGTCTGGGGAAGGCACGAGGGATGCAGGGATCAGCATGGAAAGGACGGTCCCAGCATGCTCACGTGGCTGAAAGGTGGCAACTGTTCCCGATGCAGACTGAGGGAAGAAAGTGTGGCATGAGAGGAGGCTGGGGAGGTGGGCCAGGCCCTGGGAGCCATTAAGAGGTTTCTGCCTGGCCAGGTGCAGTGATTCACACCTGTAATCCCAGCACTTTGGGAGGCCGAGGTAGGCGGATCACTTGAGGTAAGGAGTTCGAGACCATCCTGGCTAGCATGATGAAACCCCGTGTCTACTAAAAATACAAAAATTAGCCAGGCGGGGTACATGCCTGTGATCCCAGCTACTTGGGAGGCTGAGGCACGAGCATCGCTTGAACCCAGGAGGTGGAGGCTGCAGTGGGCCGAGATTACGCCACTGCACTCCAGCCTGGGGGACGGTAGGAGACTCTGTCTCAAAACGACAAGAGGCATCTGACTTACATGCTAGGCACACACAAGAGCTCTGCAGTGTTTTAAGTAAGACAGCACACAGTTCGATTCTTTCTTATTTTGCATTTTAATTTTTTAACTTTTTTTTTTTCTCTTGAGACTGAGTCTTGCTCTGTTGCCCAGGCTGGAGTGCAATGACACAATCTCGGCTCACTGCAACCTCCGCCTCCTGGGTTCGAGTGATTCTCCTGCCTCAGCCTCCTGAGTAGCTGGGATTACAGGCACCAACCACCATGCCTGGCTAATTTTTGTATTTTTAGTAGAGACGGGGTTTCACCATGTTGGTCAGGCTCGTCTCAAAGTCCTGACCTCATGATCCGGCCACCTCAGCCTCCCAAAGTGCCGGGATTATAGGCATAAGCCACTGCACCCATCCAATTTTTTAAAACTTTTTAATTCAAACTAATGTTAATCATATAGGAAAGTTACATATACGGTACAGGGAGTTCTCATATATCCCTCGCTCCACTTCTCCTAACGTGAATGTCTTATTGTACGACGTCAAGCACAGCTTGATAATCAAGAACAGGAAATTAACTAGACGATGAACTTGATTTGAGTTTCACCAATTTTTCACCTGATTTATGTTCCAGGATCCCATCCAGGATCCCACGCGGCTGGCTGGCTCTTTTTAAAGCCTACACAGCTCTGGGTGGCGAATGGCTCCGGAGGTGTCAGGAGTAGAAGCGGGGGCTCACTCCTGGCCTTTTGCTGTGGTCCAGGCAAAAGCTGGAGTGGCCTTAGGTCAGGTTCATGATTTAAGGTCTAGGCAGAACCGACAGGATGTGAACAAAGGGAACAAGGACACTTCCTGGGTTCCTGGGTTCTGCCTTCAGTACGTGGACGGATGAGTGAGACCAGAAGAAGTAAAAGTTTAGGGGGCAAAATCAGGAGCTCAGTTCTGGACCTCCCAAGCTGAAGATGCTGGTGACACGCTCAAGCGATAGGGACAAGGAGGTGGCCATACCATGAAATCAGAAGGGAGCTCAGGGCCAGAGATCCACTGTCCATAATATCACCAGGGAGAAGACAGCAGGTGGGGAGGCCTGGGAAGCAGCCTTGGAGCTGCAATGTTTTGAACGGCCAGGGAAGTGGGCCAGCAGGGCTCTGAGGAGGGACAAAGGGGTAGGGAGGGGGGCTGGGTGTGATGGCTAAAGCCTGTAATCCCAGCACTTTGAGAGGCCGAGGCGGGTGGATCACCTGAGCTCAGGAGTTTGAGACCAGCCTGGCTAACATGGTGAAACCCCCGTCTCTATTAAAAAATATATATATACAAAAATTAGCCAGGCATGGTGGTGTATGACTGTAATCCCAGCTACTCAGGAGGCTGAGGCAGGAGAATTGCCTTGAACCCGGGAGGTGGAGGTTGCAGTGAGCGGACATTGGTGCCACTGCACTCCAGCCAGGGCAACAGAGCAAGACTCTGTCTCCAAAAAAAAAAAAAAAGAAGTGGATCACTGTGAACGCTGCAGAGAGAAGATGAGGCCACTAGCAAAGCCAGCCTGGGTTTGGCCACTGGCCACGCAAAGACTGTCAGTGACCACACCAGGGAGAGGTGCGTTTGGGCGGCGAAGAGCACAGGCCAGGCTGGCAGGTTGGTGTGCGAGTGTGTGCAAGGTGGAGAAGGCACACGCGGTCAGTCCTTTGGAGAAGTCTGGCACGAGGCCTGCCGAGGAAATGGCCCGGGGGTGTGGCAGGGCGGAGGTCCTGTGCCATGTCCTGCACTGACCAGGGCAGCCCACGGGAAGGCAGCTGCAGAGAAGGCAGAACCCGCAGCTCCAGAAGGTTTGGGGCATGACCAGCAGAGGCCAACTTCTATTGTGAAGAAGAAACCGACTCCCAGACTTTCAGGGAAGGGGGTGTGTTTGGTCTGGTGGCAGTGGGGACAGCAAAGTAGGACCCTTGGGTGTGGCTACGATTGAGAGGATGTCAGGTAGTGTGAGATTCAGGCTGGTGTAGAATCACTCATGAGAAAGTATCTAAAATCTTCCAGATGACAGTGCTACCAGCTGGACAGCTGACAGTGGGCGCTGGCTCTTTCAAAACAGTGCTCCAAAGGCAAAGAAATAGCAAAGACAGAAGTAAGGCACTTAACTATTTGTTGGGTGAATATAGAAATGAATGAATGAATGGATGGATGAGCAGATACATCAAGAAGTTAATTCACAAATTAAAGCCCATTATGAAACTAAAGTAGAGGCTGGGCGCGGTGGATCACGCCTATAATCCCAGCACTTTGGGAGGTCAAGGCAGGTGGATCACCTGAGGTCAGGAGTCTGAGACCAGCGTAGGCAACATGGTGAAACCCTGTCTCTACTAAAAATACAAAAATTAGCTGGGCATGGTGGCGTCACCTGTAGTCCCAGCTACTCGGGAGGCTGAGACAGGAGAACTACTTGAACCCGGGAGGCGGACATTGCAGTGAGCTGAGATCACGCCATTGCACTCCAGCCTGAGCCAACAACAGCAAGACTCCGTCTCAAAAAAAAAAAAAAAAAAAAAGTTAATCCTGCAATGACCATACACCCAGAAACCCCAATCATGGATATTTACCCTAGAGAAATCAAACCTTATGTTTACAAAAAACGCTGTACGCAAATGTTTGTAGCGGCACTATTCATAATTGCCAAAACCTGGAAACCAACCTAATGTCCTTCCCAGGATGAATGGATAAACACACTGTGGTCCCTCCCCACAATGGGGCACTACTCAGCATCACAAGGAATGAACTAGAGACCCATGCAGCATCCAGGACGAATCTCAATAGCTCTAGACTAAGTGGAAGAAACCAGTCTTCAAAGGGTACATGCTGTGTGGTTCCATTTTAATGACAGGCTCCCAAAGGCAAAACTACAGGGAATGGATAGTTGTTGCTGGGTCGGCAGGGGCCTGGAGGCAGGGAACTTAAGGCCGATTCACCCTGACTTTTTAGAACTGAATCAAAAGGAAAACCATACCCAGGTAACAAAAGGATCAGAGGCTACTACTCCCTTTGCACCTCGTGGCAGATGAAAAATGGAAAGTACCTCTGATTGGTTCCCTCCCGCAACCAACCAGACTGGTCCCAGGCCAGGTCTTCAGGTGTAACGTTGCAACTTCACTTCAACCTCTGATTGGTCGCCTCCTGCAACCAATCAGACTGGTCACAGGCCACTCCTTCACTTACATAGGGTGTAACCAAGTAACCAATGGTAAACCTCTACAGGGTATTAAGGCTCCAGAAAATTCTCTAATCAGCCACTTGCTCCTGCTCGAGCCTGCTCCCACTCCGTGGAGTGTACTTTCATTTCAGTAAATCTGTGCTTCCCTTGCTTCGTTTTCTCGTTGCTTTCTTTGTGCATTTTGTCCAATTCTTTGTTCAAAATGCCAAGAATCTGGTTAAGAACCCAGACAACTTGTAGTCAAGACCCTCCACTGGTAACACCCATAAAGGGTGTATTAGTCTGTTTTCACACTGTTCATAAAGACTTTATAATTATCCGAGACTGGGTAATTACGAAGGAAAGGTTTAACTGGCTTGCAGTTCCCCATGGCTAGGGAGGCCTCACAATCATGGCAGAGGGCAAGGAGGAGCAAGTCACGTCTTCCATGACGGCAGGGAAGAGAGAGAGTGTGTGCAGGGGAACTCCTCTTTATAAAACCATCAGATCAACTGGACGTGGTGGCTCACGCCTGTAATCCCAGCACTGTGGGAGGCCGAGGTGGGCATATCACCTGAGCTCAAGAGTTCGAGACCAGCCTGGCCAACATGGTGAAACCCCATCTCTACTAGTAAAACAAAAATTAGCTGGGTGTGGTGGTCCATGCCTGTAATCCCAGCTACTTGGGAGGCTGAGGCAGGAGAATCGCTTGAACCCAGGAGGCAGAGGTTGTGGTGAGCCAAGATCATGCCATTGCACTCCAGCCTGGGTGACAAGAGCAAAATTCCGTTTCAAAAAAAAAAAAAAGAAAAAAAACCCATCAGATCTCGTGAGACTTATTCACTATCACGAGAACAGCATGGGAATGACCTGCCCCCACGATTCAATTACCTCCCACTGGGTCCCTCCCACAACATGTGGGAATTGTGGGAGTCACAATTCAAGATGAGATTTGGGTGGGGACACAGCCAAATCATATTAAAAGGTCAACCCTTGGGAAAGATTTTTGGGGGGTGATTAAACTGTTCTGTATCCTGATTGTACTGGTGGCTACAAAACCTATACATGTGTTATGATCCTTAGAACCGTATAGCAAGAGAAAAAAGTCAGTTCACAAATGATAATTAGCAAAATAAAATTATACGTTACCATACAATCTTGCAATTCCAATCCAAGCCTCTACTCACGAGAAATGGAAACAACTAAGACTTGCAAGCGATGTTCAGAGCAGCTCTGTTTATTACAGCCAAGACGTGGGAATAATCCACGTGTCCAGCAGCTGGTGAATGGATGGACACACTGTGATATATCCACACCACCGAATTTAACTCACGAAAAAGGACCTAAATACTTGATCTGTGCTACAATACAGAAGAACCTCAAAAACAATAAGCTAATTGAGAAGTCAGCTACAAAAGACTACAATAGTGCATGATTCCAATTATATGAAATGTCTAGAAAAAGCAAATCTATAGACACAGAAAGTAGATTTGTGGTTTGGGACTGGAAGCAGGTATTGCCTGAAACCAGATATGATGGACCTCATGGGATGATGGAAATGTTCTAAAACCAGATGATACCCTAAATTTTCTAAAAATAAAATTGTATACTTTTCACAGCTGAGCTTCATAGTGTGCAAATGATACCTTAGTAAAACTGTCTTTAATAAAAAGTGCTCAATTCGTTATCTATTTTCTTTTTTTCTTTTTTTTTTCTTTGAGATGGAGTCTTGCTCTGTCACCCAAGCTAGAGTGCAGTGGCGCGATCTCGGCTCACTGCAACCTCTGCCTCCCGGGTTCAAGCAATTCTCCTGCCTCAGTCTCTTGAGTAGCTAGGACTACAGGCACCTGCCACTGCACGCGGCTAATTTTCGTATTTTTAGTAGAGACGGGGTTTCACCATCTTGGTCAGGCTGGTCTCGAACTCCTCACCTCGTGATCCACCCTCCTCGGCCTCCCAAAGTGCTGGGATTACAGACGTGAGCCACTGCGCCCGGCCTAGCTATATATTTTTTAAAGTAAAACTTGATCCCTACCTCATAGTGTACACAAAAAATATCAGTTCACATTTCACGTGGATTATAGACATAAATCTGAAAAGTGAAACAATAGAGTATCTAGGAAATAATATTATAGTTTCATGACCTCAGAAGTAGAGAAATAGGACAAAAAAAGTCCTCACCTAACAAAGAAAAAAAGTGGATCAATTTTATGGTAGGCTGAACCATATGCCAATTGCCAATATTTGACCATTTCGATCTACAAAAATGGCAATTTCGTAGTAAAAAGGCAAAACTAGAGTGGGAGAAGGTATTTGCCTCACATATAACTGACAAAGGGCTGGTAGCCTGAATATAAAGAACTCCTCAAAATCAGTAAGAGGCCAGGCCCGGGGGCTCACACATGTAATCTCAGCACTTTAGGAGGCCAAGGTTGGTGGACCACCCGAGGTCGGGAGTTGAAGAGCAGCCTGGCCAACATGGTGAAACCCCATCTCTACTAAAAATACAAAAATTAGCTGGGTGAGGTGGCACGTGCCTGTAATCCCAGCTACTGGGGAGACTGAGGCAAAAGAATGTTGAACCCGGGAGGTGGAGGTTGCAATGAGCCGAGATTGTGCCACTGCACTCCAGCCTGGGCGACAGAGTGAGACTCTGTCTCAAGACAATACAAAACAAAACAAAACAAGCCCAACAATAAGAAAACAAAACCAGACCACTCAGTAGAAAAATGTGTAAGAAAGCTGAACAGGCACTTCACTGAAGAGCCAACCCAGGTGGCCAGCAGACATATGAAAAGACACTCAGCCAGGGAACTGCAAATCAAATACAGAATCACAAATGAAAATTACCAAAAGAAACTGCACCCACCCACCAGAGTGGCTGCAATTCAACAGAGTGACAAGCGCTGGTGAGGATGCAGAGCCACCCACAGGAACCCTCATACTCTGCTGACGGGTATGAGGTGATAACAATGTTATCACCATTTGTTATCACCATTTGTAAAACAAGTCGGTATTACCGATGGAAGTTGAAGACACTCACACTCTATGGCTCAATAATTCCCCTTCTAGACATTGATTTCGGCCAAAGAAATGCATGCAAGTGTGCACCAGGATACAGTACGTAAGTATTCACAGGGATTATTGTAAAAGTCAAAGCCCAGAAACAACCCATGTATCCATCAAGAGGAGGATCGATGGATACGTTGTGATATGACCGAGAAGGCACAACAGCAGTGACGATGAAGGAACCCCAGCGTAAGCAACAGGCAACAGGAATGAAGCTCACAAACTTTACACTGAGTGACAGAGGCAGCCACAAAAGAATATATACTGACCAGGGGCAGTGGCTCAAGTCCGTAATCCCAGCACTTTGGGAGGCCTAGGCGGGTGGATTACCTGAGGTCAGGAGTTTGAGACCAACCTGGCCAACATGGTGAAACCCCGTCTCTACTAAAAATACAAAAAATCAGCCAGGCATGGTGGTGGGTGCCTGTAGTCCCAGCTCCTCAGGAAGCTGAGGCAGGAGAATCACTTGAACCTGGGAGGTGGAGGTTGCAGTGAGTCGAGGTCATGGCATCGCGCTCCAGCCTGGGCAACAACAGCAAAACTCGGTCTCAAAAAAAAAAAAAGAATACACACTGCAGGTTCCATTTGTACGAAATTCAAACACAGGCAAACGCAATTTATGGTGCCAGAAGTCAGGACATGGTTACCTTTAGAAGGAGGAAGTGGGTAGCGTTGGGAGGGACACGAGGGAGGCTTCTGGGATATTCTGTTTCATCTGGGTGCTGGTTTAGTGGATGTGTTCCTTTTGTGATAATTCTTCAAACTGTACACTTATGCATTTTATGTATGCATATTACACTTCAATGCAAAATTTATTTTAAGAAACAGGAAACCAAACTCTTCAAAAATGCCAATAGCAGTAAAGAAAAAAAAATGTGCGGAACTGTTCTAGATCTAGATCTTGAGTGTCCTCTTTTAGGAAAAGATCATCCCTGATTGGATCCTGGATGAACACCATAAAAGCTCTAAAGGATACTGTTAGATGCTGGGGAAATTTGAACATGAACTATATATTTTATAAGAGTATTCTGTCAATGTTATATTTCTTGAGTAGGATAATTTGTTTTGTCTGTACAGGAGAATGTCCTTGTTCATAGGAGATACATGCTGAAGAATTTAAGGGTGCAGGGCCACAATGTCTGCAATTTAGTCAGTTAACGGTTCAATGGCTCAGCAAAGAAAAAAGAGGACAAATATAGATACACACACATACACATATGCACATACATATGTGTGTACTGTATTATATCCCATTCAGGGTTCTTGCACAAATGTGTGTATAATTATATTCACACATACATATATACACACCTACACTGAGACAGCCAAAGAAATTTGGCAAAATGTTAACCACGGGTCAATCAGGTGAAGTGGGATATTAGTGTTCATTATACTATTATTTCAACTTTTCTGTAGGTTTGAAATTTATCAAAATGAAAAGTTGCGAAGGCCAGGCACAGTAGCTCACACCTGGAATCGCAGCACTTTGGGAGGCCGAGGCGGGTGGATTGTTTGAGCCCAGGAGTTTGAGACCAGCCTGGGTAACATGGCGAAACCACTGGCTAATACAAAAATTAATCAGGCATGGTGGTGCACACCTGTAGTTCCAGTTCCTCAGGGGGCAGAGGTGAGAGGATCATCTGAGCCTGGGAGGTCGAGGCAGAGGTGAGCCATCATCGTGCCACTACACTCCAGCCTGAGTGACAGACTGAGACCCTGTCTCAATAAATAAATAAAATTAATTAATTAAAATTAAATTAAAAGTTGGAGAAAAAAGCAAAAGCAAGCCAAAAAACAGACAAGCCAAACACCCGACGCCAAGTGTTGAAGGACTCACAGTTGGATAAGAAAACCAAAAAGTCCGGGCGCAGTGGCTCACACCTCCCCAGCACTTTGGGAGGCCGAGCCGGGCAGATCACAGGGTCAGGAGTTCGAGACCAGCCTGGCCAACATGGTGAAACCCCATCTCTACTAAAAATACAAAAATTAGCCAGGCATGGTGGCCCGTGCCTGTAATCCCAGCTACTCGGGAGGCTGAGGCAATAGAATTGCTTGAACCCAGCAGGTGGAGGTTGTGGTGAGCAGAGATGGCACCACTGCACTCCAGCCTGGGCAACAGAGCAAGACTCCATCTCAAAAAAAAAAAGAAAGAACGAAAGAAAGAAAACCAAGAAGAGCAGAGACGGGACCACCAGGAATGGCAAGATCTGGCCCCCTGCGGCAGGTGGAGGGCAGGACGGCTGCTGGGTGGCTGGCTGTGCTCTCCTGCAACCTGCCTGGTAGATATGCAAAGGCGGTCACCTTATAACAATCAGATTGTACATTTATTTTACGTGGTCTTCCATCTATATCACACAATTTTTTTTTTTTTTTGAGATGGAGTTTTGCTCTTGTTGCCCAGGCTGGAGTGCAATGGTGAGATCTCGGCTCACTGCAACCTCTGCCTCCCTGGTTCAAGAGATTCTCGTGCCTCAGCCTCCCATGTAGCTGGGATTACAGGTGCCCACCACCATGCCCGGCTAATTTTTTGTATTTTTAGTACAGGTGAGGTTTCACCATGTTGGCCAGGCTGGTCTTGAACTCCTGACCTCAAGTGATCCACCTGCCTTGGCTTCCCAAAGTGCTCGGATTACAGGCATGAGCCACCGTGCCCAGCCTGTATCATATACTTTTTTAAAAAGAGACTTTACAGAAAAACAGACTGAGCAAACAGAGCTGCATGCCGGTGCATGAGCAACAAGTTATAATCGCACGCTGGAGGAAGAAAGAGGAAGCCGTCGGCCACACAGCTCCGCTCTGCCAAGGCTCTGCTGCCGTCCCTCACCCGCCCCACCACGTGGCAACCCAATCACAACAATGCCGCCGTCCCCCAGCTGCTAAATGCTCTCACCATTTGGTTGCTGTGCAAACACACCTAACTTAGACTTCAGACTGATGTCCTGGAGGTGCTACAAGATGGCCATTCTTTATGAGTAAGGCTGCCTTCCAGGGTAAAAATTATGATTTTCCCATAAATCACATATAAGCACTTAGCAAAAAATATTTAAAACTCTCATAAGTTTTGGTCCTAAATTCTTTTCTCTTGCTGTTACTACAAAAATGACAGAGACAAAAAATTTATTATTTATAACGGCTTGGAATCTAATTCCAAATGAGTTGCTTCCGTAGATTCACGTAATACTGCAGAACTAAATATGCAAGATTCCCGATTCCAAATGGAGGCCAAATTCCATCCACACAGGAGACAGAGGAACCCTCAGCAGTCTCTCCTTGAAGTAATTTTTTTTTTTTTTTTTTTTGAGACGGAGTCTTGCTCTGTCGCCAGGCCAGAGTGCAGTGGTGTAATCTTGGCTCACTGCAACTTCCACCACCGAGGTTCAAGCGACTCCCCTGCCTCAGCCTCCTGAGTAGCTGGGACTACAGACGCTAATTTTTTATGATTTAGTAGAGATAGGGTTTCACCATGGTGGCCAGGATGGTCTCAATCTCCTGACCTTGTGATCCACCCGCCTCGGCCTCCCAAAGTGCTGGGATTACAGGCATGAGCCTTGACAAGCTGACAACAGTTATCTATGTTCTTCGTCAGTTCATGGACTCGACACCAAAATGCCTGGGTTCAGATCCCAATTCCTGTGAAGGCTTAAGCAATTACTTAACCTCTTTGTGCCTCAGTTTCTGAGTCTGACAGATTATGGCAACATCAGTGACTTTACAGGGTTTTGAGGATTAAATGAGTAAATACTCTAAAGGGCTCAGATCTGTGCCTGGCACATATTAGCACCGATGCTGGCCTGTTCAAAAATTCTATTATTATTTGCTCAACAATTGCCTGAAAACATAGAAAAACTGTCTGCCACATACGCAGATGAGGGGAACAACGAAAGATTTGGTGGGTTTCAGAAGAGGTACAGGCCTGATGGCTGCCGTGCGCCAACAAGGTGAGCCTGCAGATCAGAGACCACGTGCATGAGCCACAGTGCATGTGGCTGCTGTGTCCCCTCTGCCTTCTCGGTCTTACACAAATGGTCTCTTGTGGCTCAAGTTACATACAGAGCTCCAACTTAGCCAAGGTGACGCAAAACGAACTCACTACACGTACCCCTTGTCAACTTGGTGTCCATATCTACTCCTCTTTTCAACCGTACTTAACTTCCAAATCAAGTAAATAGCAACTAGGCTTCCATGCCATATAATGCTACTATCCGTCTTACAACCAAAACCATGCTAACCCTCTCCCCAGAAGAGGAGCCAAAGTCCTTTTATGAACTTTTTTTGAGACAAGGTCTCACTCTGTCACCCAGGCTGGAGTGCACTGGTACGATTTCGGCTCACTGCAACCTCCGCCTCCCAGGTTCAAGAGTTTCTCCTGCCTCAGCCTCCTGAGTAGCTGGGATTACAGGCACCTGCCACCAGGCCCAGCTAATTTTTGTATTATTAGTAGGGGTTTATTAGATGGGGTTTCACCATATTGGCCAGGCTGGTGTCAAACTCCTGACCTCAAGTGATCTGCCTACCTCAGCCTCCCAAAGCGCTGGGATTACAGGCATGAGCCACTGCACCTGGCCCAAAGTCCTTTTACATTCTATCTGAGTGGTTATCCGTTGGCACCCCATGGAATGAAGAAGGAGACTGAAGTGATAACATAAGGCTGGTAGCTGACAGACCCCTGAAGTGTAACTATGAAGGCGGGCTGTGGACCTTGCCGGCTGGAAGCAAGACCCTTCTGGTCATCTTTACTACCAGGTAGAGAAGGAGAAGACACTCACCGCATACCAGGTACCAGGAAATGTGTTGATTTGTTCCAGCAACAAAAACACATCTGGCACAGCAGCTGTAACTGCAGTCACCGCCTAGTTTAAGTTTATGACAACCTGCTGTCATTCTCTAAGATCCATCCGTCTTCTAGACAAGCCAAATATGGATTAAACGGAGATGTGACACGATCACCACCCTTGCATCTTTCAAGTCCCTGATGGTGGCACTAATCTCTGCCATCCTCCCAGGAATGTGATAATTGCTTTGGGTTGACTATTTTGGTAGACAGAGGCAGTTCTGGCAGCTTCCACTTGGCCTTTGCTACCACAACAGCCCTCACTCCAGGGAACCAGTGTCAGAATTCTGCCAGGTGCTAAGTAGATATATATTTACTTATGCATTGCAGAACTGCAGAAAGAACCACAGGACAGCTATTATATCTTAATAATTACTTAATATATAATACACAATGATATGTGGGTATTAAATATTATGAGTCATTACTCTGAAATGGATTAAAGTTAATATAAGTGTAATTGCCATACAGAGTGATTATGGGTGCCCACTCAAAAGTCAGCCATACTCAATTATACACAAAAACACAAAACACACGTGCACACATGCTTAGATTGCCTCGCAAAGCCTATATGCATGGGAAGCCAATGACACACACGAGGAAAGATGGGAACACAGAGCTGCTTCTTGGTTTCAGGGAATCCTCACTTCTTTCTTCCTTCTCAGGGAAATTTCGCTTTGTTTCATGCTCGACCTCCAGCCTCCCAGGTCTTGGCCTTAAAGATTCCAAGGGGGCCGGGCACGGTGGCTCACACCTGGAATCCCAGCACTTTGGGATGCCGAGGCAGGCGGATCACCTGAGGTCGGGAGTTTTGAGACCAGCCTGACCAACATGGAAAAACCCCGTCTCTACTAAAAATACAAAATTAGACAGGCGTGGTGGCACATGATTGTAATCCCAGCTACTTGGGAGGCTGAGGGTGGAGAATCACTTGAACCCGGAAGGCGGAGGTTGTGGTGAGCCCAAATCGTGCCATTGCACTCCAGCCTGGGCAAATGAGTGAAACTCCATCTCAAAAAAAAAAAAAAAAAAAAAAAAAAAGATTCCAAGGGGCCCCAGCCCCCCTCCCTTCACTAAAGACAAGCCAGCTCCTTAGATCCCATGATGCCAGAGCTGTGATCTTCCAGTACACTGGAGAAGCTCCTTGTATCTTCCTATCTCCTAGTAGGCTGATTTCATCCACCAACAGCCACAGCACCTTGAAGCAACCCAGGAGCTGCTGTTTCCCGTGATCATGTGGTCAACCCTGGTCCTTCAAACTTCTTTCAGAACTCACACACACACCACGTCCCCTTATGAGTTTTGAGCAGAATGCTTTTTCTTTGAAAGTCTGTATTCAACACCCCCTTTTTATTTATACAAACTTGGAGGGTATGTGAGAAATTTTATGGCATGTATATAATGCGCAGTGATGAAGTCAGGGCATTCAGGGTGCCCATCACTCAAATACAATACATTTTGGTTTTGGGGTTTGTTTGTTTTTTTTTTTTTTTTTTTTGAGACAATCTCGCTCTGTCACCCAGGCTGGAGTGCAGTGGTGCAATCTCGGCTCACTGCAACCTCCGCCTCCCAGGTTCAAGCAATTCTCCTGCCTCAGCCTCCAGAGTAGCTGGGATTACAGGCACCCACCAACCACCCGGCTAATTTTTGTATTTTTAGTAGAGAAAGGGTTTCGCCATGTTGGCCAGGCTGGTCTCGAACTCCTGACCTCAGGTGATCTGCCTGTCTTGGCCTCCCAAAGTGCTGGGATTATAGGCGGGAGCCACCATGCCCAGCCACAATACATTTTTTGTTAGGTGAGAATATATATAATATTAGAATAATATTACTCTGCTCTCAAGCCTTGAACTTATTCCTTCTACGTTACTGCATGATGGTACCCTTTAACCGACTTCTCTTGACCCTTCTCCTCCCCGCCACTCACCCTTCCCAGCCTCTGTTACCCTTCTTGCCACTCTCTACCTCCATGTGATCAAACCTTTTAGCTCCCACATATAAGAACATGCAATATGTCTTTTGTGTCTGGCTTCCTTCACTTAATGACTTCCAAGCTGGGCATGGTGGCTCATGCCTGTAACTCCAGAACTTCGAGAGGCCAAGGTGGGACAATCGCTTGAGCCCCAGGAGTTCAAGACCAGCCTGGGCAACATAGTGAGACCCCATGTCTACAAAAAATAAACAAAATTAGACAGGCATGGTGGTACATGCCTGTGGTCCCAACTACTCGTGTGGCTGAGGTGGGAGGATCATTTGAGCCCAGGAGGTCAAGGCTGCAGTGAGCTATGATTGTGCCACTGCACTCTAACCTGGGCAACAGAGCAAGACTCTTCTCTAAAAAATAAAAATAAAAAATAATCATAATAATAATGACCTTCAGTTCCATCCATGTTATTGTAAATAACAGGGTTTTGTTCCCCTTGATGGCTGGACAGTATCCCACTGCATATACATATACCACAGTTTCTTTACCCATCCATTCGATGATGGCCACATTGATTCCATACCTTTGCTATTGCCAACATTGCTGTGATGAACATACAAGTGCAGGTATCCCTTTGATAGATCGATTTCTTTTCCTCTGGGTAGATATCTAGTAGTGGGATTAATAATAGCCATTGTGCCCAGTAAGACCCCACTTCTTAATATTATTCTCATATAATTCTAATAGCCATTCTGACTGGCATAAGGTGATATTTCCTTCTGGTTTTGATTTGCATTTCTCTGTGATGAGTGATGCTGAGCATTTTTTATTGTAATGCTCTTGACTAACTGTGCCACGTTTACAACTGTCTTTGAGCGGAGACCTGTACTACAGAGTCCTACACAGGGTTAAGGAGGAGCATCAGAAGGCAGTGAACAGACGTGAGGCCTATCAGCTGGTACTAGAAAAGAGACAATCCATTTAAGGCTTTGACTCATTTTTGAAACCTATGTGCTATGGTCTAAATGTCCCCCAAAATTGACGTGTTTAAACTTCATCACGAAGGGATGGTATTAAGTGGGGTCTTACTGGCACAGTGGCTCAACACCTGTAATCCCAACAGTTTGGGAGGCTGAGGTGGAAGAATCACTTGAGTCCAGGAGTCCAAGACCAGCCTAGGCAACACAGCGAAGACTCCGTCTCTACAAAAACAAAATTGTTTTTAATGAGCCAGACGTGGTGGCACACGCCTGTGGTCTCAGCTACAAGGGAGGCTGAGGTGGGGGGATCGCCTGAGCCCAGGAGGTCCAGGCTGCAGTGAGCCGTGATTGCACCCCTGCACTCCAGCTTGGGCGACAGAGTACGATTCTGTCTCAAAAAAAAAAAAAAAGGCAGTGGGGTCTTTAGGAGGTAAGGAAGAAGTCATGAGTGCTCCACCTTCTCAAATGGGATGAAGACCCTAATACGAGAGGGCTTAGGGGTGAGCAACCGCATGAAAGGCCTGAGGGAACGAGTCCGTAGCCTTTGCTCTTCTGTCATGTGAGGACATGGCACCAGACACCCAATGCCAAGGCCTCGATCCTGGACTTCTCGGCCTCCAGAACTGCCTCCAGAACTGTAAGAAATAAATTTCTATTGTTTGGAAATCACCCAGTTGCAGGTATTTTGTTGCAGCAGTAAAACGGACTGAGATACCGTGTCGCTGTACACTCTTTGCAGTATGAAGTCAGCATGGTTTCAGTTGAGAAAAGAGGAACAGAGTAGTTGGGTCTCATCCTCACAACCCTGTTTCTCTCCTCTCTTCTCTCGGGGTCATCACTCCCCAACCATCCAAACCAGAAGCCTCCAGGTCACTTTCTTCTCCTTCCTTTCCCTCACCATCAAGCCCTGCCAAGTCTCGCTGTGGAATCCACTACTTTCCTTCCACTCCCACTGCCTGAACCCTGAATGTCTCTCGGGCCCCAGCAAAGAGCTTCCAAACCATTCTCCAGGCTTCCAGTTTCTCCTCTTCCAATTCATCCTCCATTATATTATCACCCCATAAGCCTTGCTCTGAAACTCGTAATGCTTGCCCTTTTATAAAAATAATAGCAACAACATCTCCTACAACTAAGATTTAGAGAATACGGATTATGTGTCAAACACTGTTCTAAGCACCTTACACGCATTACCCTCACAGTTAACCCGCACCAGTCTGTGAATAGGTACTACTACAAACTCCTGCTAACAGAACAGAGCAGAGACTCTAACGTGGCATGCAAAGTCTTTCACTACCAGGCCCCAAGCCCCTTTCCACCCCCATCTCCCATGTCCTCCATCTTTGCCGCTTCCCCACGTACTTGCGGTGCTGTTTCTCAAACACCCACCCCTTTCTGTGTTACACGCCCTCATGCCGTTTCCTTGCCATTTTAGGTGTTCTGCTACTGTTTTAATTCTTGTCTTTTTAAGTGTTCCAACGACACTTTAAAAATGCTTTAAATGCAGGATTGCAGGCCAGGTGCGGTGGCTCACGCCTGTAATCCCAGCACTTTGGGAGGCTGAGGCAGGCAGATGTTCTGAGGTCAGGAGTTCGAGGCCAGCCTGACCAATAAGATGAAACTCCATCTCTACTAAAAATACAAAAATTAGCCAGGCACGGTGGCATGTATCTGTAATCTCAACTACTCGGGACGCTGAGATAGGAGAATCACTTGAACCTGGGAGGCAGAGGTTGCAGTGAGCCGAGATCGCACCATTTCATTCCAGCCTGGGCAACAAGAGTGAAACTCTGTCTCAAAAAAAAAAAAAAAAAAAAAAGCAGGATTGCACCCTTGAAAGTTAAAATTTTACTTTTGCTGAAAGGAACAATTGAGGTCAGGTGCAGGGACTCACGCCTGTAATCCCAGCCCTTTGGGAGGTCGAGGCAGGCGGATCGTTTGAGCTCGGGTGTTCAAGACCAGCCTGGGTAACATAGTGAGATCCCATCTCTACGAAAAATGCAAAAATTAGCTGGGCATGATGGTGCACACCTGTAGTCCCAGCTACTTGGGAGGCTGAAGTGGGAGGATCACCTGAGCCCAGGAGGTAGGGGCTGCGGTGACCCATGATTGCACCACTGCACTCCAGGCTGGGTGGCAGAGCAAAACCCTGTCTCAAATCCAAAAGAAAAGAAAACAAGAGAAGAGAAGAGAAGACCATTGAGCTTAACACGCCTTTTCATATAAATAACTCCAATGGCGGCATTCATCTAGGCTAAAATTTTGGTTTCTGAGAACAAATCATTTTGCTAATAATTCAGTGGACATTTATACTCAAAGATAGGCAGAGCCCCTAAATCTGCAGGTGCATGAAAAATTCAGGTGTAGGGACATTACACTACACAATTACCTCAGACTAGGGTAGTTTGTTGCGGTGAGGTTGGGTTTTTCTTTCCTTCCTTTTAAATTTTTACTTAATCAAGAAAGCTTCTTTTAAGACAAACACTTGGTGAGGTGGCCAAGCACTATCATATTTCCTGGTTTCCTCTTCTTCTTTACTTAACAAAGAACTGCTCATTAAAATGACATCTTCTTAATTTTTTTTTTTTTTTTGAGATAGAGTCTCGCTCTGTCACCCAAGCTAGAGTGCAGTGGCGCAATCTCGGCTCACTGCAATCTCCACCTCCTGGGTTCATGCGATCCTCCCACTTCGGCCTCCCGAGTAGCTAGGATTACAGGCAGCCGCCACCACACCTGGTTAATTTTTGTATTTTTAGTAGAGACGAGATTTCACCATGTTGGCCAGACTGGTCTCGAACTCCTGACCTCAGGTGATCCACCCGCCTTGGCCTCCCACAGTGCTGGTATTATAGGAGTAATGACATCTTTAAACTCACATCTAAGGAGTGTCTACTGAGTATAAGACATTGATTCCAGGTTAAATAAAGTATCTACACGAGTCTTTTCACCTATTGACTGAACTGTCTTTAATAATCACACTTGTGTAGTACTTTTCATTTCCATTACCTCATTTGATTTTCCAACGAGACAGGTGAAACAATTCTGCTTCCAGTAGACATGGGAGGGTGGAAACAGCAGGGCCACTACTTACCTGTAGTAGTCAGTTTTAAGTTGAAGGTAAATACCCCTTCAAAATTTCTGGATGGAAAAGACCACAGGAGATAAAGCAGAGAATCAAAGCCCAGGGAGGAAAATCATATAGGGGACATTAAAGACCAGCAGGGTCATAAGACTTCCCAAGAAATGGCATATTCTAGAAATAGAGCAAGGAAGCCACTCCACACTCATCCTTCTCTGAATTTCTACCCTTATTTTTTCCTTCTAAAGAGCTAGACTTGGGCTGGGCATGGTGGCTCACGCCTGTAATCCCAGCACTGTGGGAGGCCAAGGCAGGTGGATCACCTGAGGTCAGGAGTTTGAGACCAGCCTGGCCAATATGGTGACACCTCCGTCTCTACTAAAAACACAAAATGTAGCTGGGCGTAGTGGTTTACGCCTGTCATCCCAGCTACTTGGGAGCCTGAAGCAGGAGGATCACTTAAACCCAGGAGGCAGAAGTTGCAGTGAGCTGAGATCACTGGGCGATCGAGCAAGGGCGACAAAGCAAGGCCCCGTATTAAAACCAAAAAAAAAAAAAAAAAAAAAAGAGGCTCTTTCTAAACTTTTAAATCTATTGCTAAATTCAAGGAAGACTTGATTGCAGTAGCATTTAACTCTGGAATCACAAATAAAGTACTAGCAAATTCCATCTTCATATACTACTGCTTTAATGCCAAGCTAATACTTAAAAAAGAAAATGGGCAAAGAAAAAGAAAAAGTTGATGATTCATGAGTCTAAACAATTTTTTGTTTTTATTTATCTGATTTTTTTTGTTTTTTTTTTTTTTGAGACAAGGTTTCACCGTGTTGCCCATGCTGGAGTACGGTGGAGTAATCACAGCTCACTAAAGCCTCGATCACCTGGGCCCAAGCCATCTTCCCACCTCGGCCTCCCAAGTAGCTGGGACCTCAGGGATGTGCCACTGCCCCCAGCTAAGTTTTTTTTTTTTTTTTTTTTTTGAGACGGAGTCTTGCTCTGTCGCCCAGGCTGAAGTGTACTGGTGTGATTTCGACTCACTGCAACCTCTGCCTCCCGGGTTCAAGCAGATCTCCTGCCTCATCCTCCTGAGTAGCTGGGACTACAGGCGTCCGCCACCACTCCTGGCTAATTTTTGTTTTTTTAGCAGAGACGGGGGTTTCACCATGTTGGCCAGGCTGGTCTCAAACTCCTGACCTTATGATCCATCCACCTCAGCCTCCGAAAGTGCTGGGATTACAAGCGTGAGCCACGGCGCCCAGCTGACTCAGCTGTTTTTAAATTCTTTTGTAGAGACAGGGTTTTCCTATGTTGCACAGGCTGGTCTCAAACTCTTGGGCTTAAGCAATTCTCCCGCTTGGCCTCTCAAAGTGCTGGGATTACATGTGAACCAGCATGTCTGGCCTTCAATTCATTTCTAAAAAGAGAGGAAAAATATATGGCTTCTTCCCCGCCCCATTGTTATTTGATTCAATTATTTACAAAATGAATTCTTAGGATATTTTGCATTTTTATTTCCTTCTGAAAAATCAGTTTTTACACCATGACCTTAATCTAGCTAATTCTGTTAAAATAGGATTTAATTTTAGATAAGTTCCCAGAGGACCTGCATTCCATTCAATTGTTGGTTGAACTATATTTCCTAGTGACTAGGATTTATAAATATTAATTATCTGAAAGAGTGGAAATGAACATATAGTTATTTTTAGAATATACTGTGATAACAACAACAAAAAATCCTGCAAAACGGAGCTAGACCAGCGCTGACATGAAAATCCAACAGCCACCTGGCGAACTCTGTGTTCCAAGAGGTTTTTATTTACAGTGTAGGATGTGACTTTACCTATAAAATGCTTTCTGGCTGCCACTCCGTTTGGACGATTCCGGTTTTGGTCTGCTAACTTATCAACTGTATGATTTGGGCAAGTTCCTAAACTTCTCTGTGCTTCGTTTCTCCCCTTTGTAAAACAGGACTAAAAATATTAAAACTCGGCCGGGCGCAGTGGCTCACGCCTGTAATCCCAGCACTTTGGGAGGCCGAGGCGGGCAGATCACGAGGTCAGGAGATCGAGACCATCCTGACTAACATGCTGAAACCTCATCTCTACTAAAAATACAAAAAATTAGCCGGGCGTGGTGGCGGGCGACTGAAGTCCCAGCTACTTGGGAGGCTGAGGCAGGAGAATGGCGTGAACCCGGGAGGCGGAGCTTGCAGTGAGCCCAGATGGCGCCACTGCACTCCAGCCTGGGCGACAGAGCAAGACTCTGTCTCAAAAACAAACAAACAAAAAATTAAAACTCTTCCCTGTGGGGTTGCTTTAAAAATCGTATAATGTGTTATATGTAAACATAAAGCATTATAACAAGACAGAGGAATACACCACTGGAGCAAAATCAGAAGCGGTTCCCTCGTTTTTTCACAATGTGGAGTCTGGCCCGGCGCGGTGGCTCACACCTATAATCCCAGCACTTTGGGAAGCCGAGGCAGGAGGATCACTTGAGGTCAGGAGTTCGAGACCAGCCTGGCCAACATGGTGAAACCCCATCTCTACTAAAAATACAAAAATTAGCCAGGCATGGTGGCACGTGCCTGTAATCTCAGCTGCCCGTAATCTCATCTACTTGGGAGGCCGAGGCAGGAGACTCACTTGAACATGAGAGGCAGAGGTTGCAGTGAACCAAGATTCCGCCACTGCATTCCAACCTGAGCAACAGAGCAAGACTACATCTCAAAAATAATAATAATAAACAATGTGGAGTCTTTTATTCTTTGCCTAGAATTTTCTGTGCATTGCTGGAATGAGTATATCCAGAATTCATTCCAAAGTTAATTAAGAAAAGTACAGTTAGGCTTTGGTAAAACAGTCTGCCAAAATTTAACAAAAAAGAGAAGGAGAAGAAAAGTTCATTAAAAAATAACATCACTAGGAACTCTGCAACCTTGAGTGGGGCACTTAAGTGCCACAGACCTCAGTTTCTTCCTTTTTTGTTGTTTTTTTATTTTTGTTTTCTAGGCAGACATTGAATGCTAGTTTCTTCCTTTTTAAAAAAATGAAATAGCTTAACTAGAACCATCTAAACTACAAAGAATCTTTTTAAAATTCTAGGCCAGGCACGGTGGCTCATGCCTGTAATCCCAGCACTTTGGGAGACCCAGGTGGGCGGATCACCTGAGATCAGGAGTTCGACACCAGTCTAGCCAACATGGTGCAACCCCATCTCTACTAAAAATACAAAAATTAGCCAGGTGTGGTGGTGTGTGCCTGTAATCCCAGCTACTCCGGAGGCTGAAGCAGGAGAATCGCTTGAACCCAGGAGGCGGAGGTTGCAGTGGGCTGAGATCGCACCACTGCACTCCATCCTGAGCAACAGAGTGAGACTCCATCTCAAAAAAAACAAAAAAACAAAAAAACAAAAAAAAAATTCTAAAACACTAGGTTTATGAAGTAAATAATAAAATTCTGTGATAGGACGGAGCCATTTTCTTCCAGGCTATTTACCAAACACAGCAAAGGAAATCAAAAAAAGGCTTCCCATATAGTAAAACTTACATTTTGGAGATCTGGATTTCTCCATTATAAACCTATGGAATCAAATCATTTAAAATCTAGTTACCAGAGAAACCTCGGTTTAATATTAACAAACATACTTCCTTTAACCACGAGCCACTTTAATGTATATCAGTTTTATCTCTGGAGCTTCATAGATCCCAACAGAGAAGGCTGATCTATTTTCAGAGAAACATAGCAAGAGAGTGTCACTTCTGAACCATTATACATTTAAACAATCTCTCTACATGTAGAGCCTGCATCTAAATCCCAGCAATTTTTCAGGACCTAGCTCTGAGGCCACATCAGCACTCCAGGCAGGCGGAGGGACTCTCCACCCCGCCTCTTTTGCCCCCAGAAAATAAATCTTTCCCCAGACCAACAATCCACTTCCCGGCCTCACAGCAACGGGCTCCCGGCTCCCGCACGTGACTGCCAACTCTTTACGAGATGAGGCTGTGCTGGCTCGGTATGGTTGATAAGACAAGCATGCAAGAAATATTTATTAATGCAAACTCGTATAAATTCGTATCATCTGAGTTTATGGGAATGAGGATAAATCACAAAAGCATTATAAAGTGAGGCTTTGGACAAAGTCCTGAATGGAAGAGTCTAGTACCATTTTTAGAGCCTCTTTTGTTTTTTAAACTCCTTTTACTATCATTCCCAGCCTTGGTAGACACTTGACAAATATTTGAGGGGAAGCTGAGGACAAAGAGATGAAAATAAAGTGACTGCTATGAAAAAATGAAAGCCCAGGTAACAATAAACAGTTTAATCTCTGTTTAGTTAGGAAGGAGCCAAACGCGGCTGGGCACGGTGGTTCACGCCTGTAATCCCAGCACTTTCAGAGGCCAAGACGGGCAGATCACAAGGTCAGGAGTTCGCGACCAGCCTGACTAACATGGTGAAACCCTGTCTCTACTAAAAATACAAAAATTAGCCAGGTGTGGTGGCGTGTACCTGTAATCCCAGCTACTCAGGAGGCTGAGGCAGGAGAATTGCTTGAATCCAGGAGGCTGAGGTTGCAGTGAGCTGAGATCGGACCACTGCACTCCAGCCTGGGCAACAGAGCAAGACTCTGCCTTAAAAAAAAAAAAAAAAAAAAAAAAAGAGCCAAATAATTTTGCCTCCCAATTTGCTGCATCCATCCAAGAGGGGAAGATGGTCTCAGGCAGTAACTAGCTTTGAAAACCCTTGTGAATTTTTTGAGATAGGGTCTCACTCTGTTGCCCAGGCTGCAGTACAGTGGCGCGATCTTGGCTCACTGCAGCCTCGACCTCCTTGGCTCAAGTGATCCTTTCACCTCAGCCGCCCGAGTAGCTGGGACTACAGACATGCACCACCATGCTTTTTTTCTTTCTTTTTTTTTTTTTTTTTTTTTGTAGAGATGAGGTTTCATCATGTTGCCCAGGCTGGTCTTGAACTCCTAGGCTCAAGCGATCCTCCCATTTCAGCCTCCCCAGTAGCTGGGACTACAGTTGCATACCACCACACCTGGCTAAACTTTTTTTCATATTTTTTGTAGAGTTGGGGGTCTTCCTATGTTTCCCGGGCTGGCCTCCAAATCCTGGGCTCAAGTGATACTCCTGCCTCGGCCTCCCAAAGTGCTGGGATCACAGGTGTGAGCCACGGCACCAGGTCTGAATTTGTGATTCGTGTTAATGACGAACCTGAGCTGAGCCTTAAGTATCTGTCCGGAGTCGCAGAAGCAATCAGCACAGTGCCCAGCACTGAACCACGGCACACAGTGCCCAGCACTGAACCACAACACCCAGTGCCCAGCACTGAACCATAGCACATGCGCATTCCCCCCACGCCCCCGAACTTATATTCGTCACCATATGTTGTGCAGATCCACGAATGGGCAGAGTCACAATTCTCACATGAGCTTTGTAAATAAGGAAAAACTGCATGGGCCAGCACACGTTGCTTGTGTGTGTGTGTCCTAAGCACTGATGACAAATGCAGAACCAACAACATTCCCACTCATCCAGAGGAAATCGTGAGTTCTCAATGAGCAGGCTGGGAGTAGCTTAGTAGTCATTTCCAAAGCACTGTGAAACTTGTCTACTTCATGAAAAAGTACTGAGGCTGTTTTACAGCCCTTTAACTTAAATCTAGTAATTGTGCCTATCAGAGTTCTGAAGAAAATAAGACTCAATAATCTAAGCTACTAGTTCACGCAGATCATCTTAAAGCAAGATTTTCCACAGACCTCACATATCGAGGTGACATGATCCTTTTCTAAAATGAAAGAGCTTCGCTAGAGCCCAGAAGTTCGAGACCAGCCTGGGCAACATAAGTGAGACCCCGTCTCAACAAAACAACAAAAAAAAAGTTTTTTTTTTAAATTATCCAAGTGTGCTGGCATGCACCTGCAGTCCCAGCTACTTGGGAGGCTGAGGTAGGAGGACTGACTGAGCTCTGGAGGTCGAGGCTGCAGTAAGCTATAAGTACGCCACTGGACTCCAGCCTGGTCAACAGAGCAAGACCCAATCTAAAACAAAAAACAAAAAACTACGAAAACATATTCCACAAAAAAGATTTGTACATAAGGACTGTATATAAGATTGTTTCTAGGCAGACATTGAATGCTAATTTCTTCGTTTTTTAAAAAAAATGAAATAGCTTAACTATAACCATCTAAACTACAAAGTATCTTTTTTAAGTTCTAAAATATTAGGATTTATAAAGTAAATAAAATTCTATGACAGCATGGAGCCATTTTCATCCAGGATGTTTGGACACCCTTCTCCTTTTTTTGAGACTCCATCAAAGAAAGAAAGAAAAGAGAGAAAGGAAGAGATAAAAAGAAAGAGAGAGCTAGCTTAGCAAAAATCATCTAAACTACAAATTATCTTAATTCTAAAATATTAGAATTTATAAAGTAAATAAAATTCTGTGATGTGGTTTCTCTAGTTAAGGGCCTGGGGGACTTACACAGCTGTTACGAAGACATTATTTAAAAAAATCTTCAGTTCTCCCTGGGGGGCAATTGGATTGACAATTGCAATTCCTTTGTAACCAATGGGCTTCTGTGTGAGCTGTTAGACGCACACTGGTATTCGTTCAAGATGGAAAACCAAACAACATGGACACAACCCATGACAGCCTTCAAAGTTCTGTCTGCATGACCAATCAGGTCCTTTGGTTGAAATCCATGACCAATCAGGTCCTTTGGTTGAAATCCATGACCAATCAGGTCCTTCGGTTGAAATCTATGACCAAGCAGGTCCTTGGTTGAAATCCACGTTGGCCAGGCTGATCTCGAACTCCTGACCTCAGGTGATCCGCCCGCCTCGGCCTCCCAAAGTGCTGGGATTACAGGCGTGAGCCACCGCATCCGGCCAGAGTGTGTTGTTTTCTCATTGCAGTCCCTAACTTGCCCTGAACCCTCCCTTACCCAGGTAGCCACGAAGCATCTGGTGACTGAGGCCTGGGAGTGAGCCCTGGAGGTTCTGGCTGACGCTCTGCCGTGACCCACTTGGGGCTTCTGTGACGTCCCCTTCAGCCTGACAAGAGGACCCAGTTCTCCTCTGTGCTCACCCTGAACAAAACAGGTCCTAGTCTGGGAAGGGCGCCAAAGAGAGATCTTTTCACTGGTTTCTGTTCCCTGTCATTTTTGGGGGAGGGTGGGCTGGGGAACACAAACACCCAATAATTGGAAATTGTCAGACATACAAAAAAGAAATGTAATTAGTCATAAACCCTATTTTAAGGTTATATTTGCACTGCCATTTTAAAATGAGAAAACACTAATAACATTAAAATGAAGTCTTTGTTAAAAGTAACCATGCATTGTTCAAATTTCCATTTGTTCTTTGTTTGACAATGAAAAATCATTCTAAATTAGTTCCATACACTTACTGTGAAACACAACAGTTTATTCCTGGGTCACATTCTCCCCCTTCTGTGGTTTATATAACTTCTCTTTGTTCCGCAAATGGCAGTACAATGGCAAACAAAATAAAATGGAGTTTATTATGAAAATGGATCCATTAAGCTACCTAAGAATAACATAGCCCTACAACTCCTGCACTTGTAGAGGGACACGGGTGAGATGAAACGGACGTCAGTACCCCT
Source organism: Homo sapiens (assembly GCF_000001405.40). Lineage (NCBI taxonomy): Eukaryota > Metazoa > Chordata > Mammalia > Primates > Hominidae > Homo > Homo sapiens. Next base: position 4,048,593 of record NC_000016.10, read on the forward strand.
GCAAGAATCACACAGATAGGCCCCTCGGTGCACCTGGAGAGGGAGGCCACAATGGCAAATAATAGGAGACACAGCGATGCCCCACTCCCTTCTTTCCCAAGAGCTGCCATTTCTGCCCTTGCTGGATAAGCTCAGTGTCTCACACAGCGTGAGCGTCCACTAGATGCTGGCTTGGACAGGCGATGCTGAGGGTTCCCATAGACGGCACTCTAGTAGGGCTGCTCAAGTCCCTCCTCACAATCCAGAGGATCTCACCTAGGCAGGGCCCATGGTCACTCCCCAGGAGAAGAGCCAGGAATGTCCCCATCAAGCAAAACCCCTGGTCTCCAGCTCACAACTCAAAACCCAAGCAAATGAAGGAAAAGCTCCTGGGACCATCAGGACTCATAACGACCAAGGGTCAGTCATGGTATCAGGAAATCGTAATCCTGGCTCAGAAAGGTTTTAAATACAGGGAAGCAGAAGGCTGGGGCAGCAAAGGACACTACTAAGAGCAAGCGACTCACAGGGCTCACCCGGAAGGCATTACAAACTGGAATTCCTAAAAGAGTGGTTGCCAAGCTCACCCAGAAGAGGAGGTCCCACTGGTCCCTGAGTCTGCTCCAAACGGCCACGCACAGCGTGGGCATCCTCTCCCCTGCTTTCCATTGCTGTACAGAACCTGACCTGGGACCAGAGAGAAGAGGGTCCAGGGAAATGCTGCTGAAGGCTTCGTCTCTGCAGTGGAGAGAAAGTCGGAAGGGGCAGCACCCACCCCTAGCTGCCCATAGATGACCAGGCACAGGCACCCACCACCGACACTGGCACAATCCCCCAACATGTTCTCAGACCAGACCAAGACCCTAGCCGAGCCCAAGGATGCTGGCTAATCAAATAGTAAACACCTTTGGCCAGATTATCCTTAAAAAGTCTCTGGAATGTCACCTTCAGTCTCTGTAGTCTACTTTCTAACATACTTCTGAGCCGAAACCACGTGAAAAGATTTTTCTTCTGACTACAAGGCAGAACAATAAAAGTGACCCTCTGAGTCAAAAACACCACATGAAACTCACCTCCCGCCTCCAACCCATCCCTTCCGCATCCTTCATGTCCACCGTCCCTTTACCAACAACCAGCTGATTCTTCCAGACTTCAAAATCTTTCAGATTAACCCAGAAATATCGATAAGGGAGGCCTTTTTCTTAGCTTATGTTGTATATGTTTTTCTGTTTAGGCTACTGCTATAAAGAACTATCCACCAGCCTGGGCAACAAGGTAAGACCGACCCTGTTTCTACAAAAAATACAAAAGTAGACGGGCATGATGGTGTACACCTGTAGTCCCTGCTACTCAGGAAGCTAGGGTGGGAGGACTGCTTGAACCCAGGAGTTAGTGGCTGCAGTGAGCCGAGATCACACCACTATACTCCAGCCTGGGTGACAGAGTGAGACTGTGTCTCAAAAAAAAAAAAAGAACTATCCCGAGAGTCCACTGTTGGGGGCCGAAGTGGGGGTGGGGACCCTTGGCTGCCATGTTCCTGGGCCAGGAACATGGACTGGATGGCCTGCATGTCAGAAGACTGGTGACATACAAGGGTCAATAAATAAAAACAGTTAATATGATAAGAGCTGTTACTGTTATTGTTAGAAAAGAGGGGCACAGCCAAGGAAAGGGGAGAAAGCTGAAACAAACCATTTGACTTGGATGGTATCATGATTTTTATATGAGATGAATGGATACATAGATACGAGCGGGACAGATGGATACAAAGAACTACAAACGCATGTGTGCCCGTGTGTGTATGTACAAACATATGTGTACGTGTAGGGAAGTACATGCATATGTTTAATTTCCTAGCTATGCCAGGCGCGGTGGCTCATGCCTGTAATCCCAGCACTCTGGGAAGCCAAGATGGATGGGTCACCTGAGGTCAGGAGTTTGAGACCCAGCCTGACCAACATGGTGAAACCCCGTCTCTACTAAAAATACAAAATTAGCCGGACGTGGTGGCGCATGCCTGTAATCCCAGCTACTAGGGAGGCTGAGGCAGGAGAACTGCTTGAACCGGGAGGCAGAGGTTGCGGTGAGCCAAGTTCCTGCCACTGCATGCCAGTCTTGGCAACAAGAGTGAAACTCCGTCTCAAAAAAAAAAAAAAAAAAAAAAAATTCCTAACTACGCTGCTTGAGAAGTCCTTGTAGCCGTAATAGCCCAGTAGCGTGAACACACCTAATACTTAGATCCTGGTTTCTAAAAACCACTTTCTACTAAAAGGAACCAGGGCTTATTGGAGAAATGGCTGATTCCAGGGCTGGAGCAAGGAAAGTTCCGGGTGAGCCTAGAACCAAGAACTAAACATGTGGCCGGGAGCAGTGGCTCACACCTGTCATCCCAGCACTTTGGGAGGACGAGGCAGGCAGATCACCTGAGGTTACAAGTTGGAGATCAGCCTGGCCAACATGGTGAAACCCCATCTCTACTAAATATACAAAAATTAGCTGGGTGTGGTGGCGCACGCCTGTAATCCCAGCTACATGGGAGGCTGAGGCAGGAGAATTGCATGGACCCAGGAGGCAGAGGTTTCAGTGAGCCATGATCACGCCATTGCACTCCAGCCGGGGCAACAGAGTGAGATTCCATCTCAAAAAAAACAAAAACAAAAACGAAAAAACCTGGCCAGGCATGGTGGCTCTCACCTGTAATCCCAACACTTTGGGAGGCTGAGGCAGGCAGATCACGAGGTCAGGGGATTGAGACCATCCTGGTTAACACAGTGAAACCCCGTCTCTACTAAAAATACAAAAATTAGCCGGGCGTGGTGGCGGGCGCCTGTAGTCCCAGCTACTCGGGAGACTGAGGCGGGAGAATGGCGTGAACCCGGGAGGCGGAGCTTGCAATGAGCAGAGATCACGCCACTGAACTCCCACCTGGGCAACAGAGCAAGACTCCATCTAAAAAAAAAAAAAAAAGAAGAAGAAGTAAAGATGTGCTCAAAGAATGACATGAACACATCAAAAGAACACAGGGGCCAGCTTGGAGGCGCTGCTTTTGGCCAAATCTGGGACAATCTGGGTATCGAAGCAAATGATAATGGTAATGAATTATAACCCAATGGGTAAAATAGGAGTCTATGAGTGTATTGATAGGAAGGAGAGAAAGACAGCAGGCAAGCTCCAGCTTGCAGTGGAATGCCAACTAATCAATGCAAAAGAAACAATGCAACTAGAAACATCACCATTTGGCAATGCTCATACTAATTCCCTCAGGCAAGAATCATCCCAGGATGCTAAAACAAATGGGCAAAAAGCTTAATGAGAAACAGGATATTTTCCGAGTCCCCAAAAAATCTCCCCACCAGAAACAGTACTTTTTAACTGATAATTACAAAATACCAACAAATTAATTTTACAGTGGAGAAACCTGGTAGACACCACCTCAACCAAATGATAAGTTAACTTCTCCAGAAATGGGACTGATCAGACCTGTGTGCGTTCCTGTCGTGACAACCCTGCAGGGACTCTCCTGCCAGGAACCTACCACCTGATTCTCATCATGAAGGAATATGAGACCAGCCCAAACCGAGGGACATTCTACAAAGTAACTGGCCTGTTCTCTTAAAAAAATGTCAAGGTCGTGAAAGACAGAGACGAAGGAACAGCCCCAGATTGAAGGAGACTCGAGAGCCATTGACACAGACGGCGCCTGTGGTCCTGGGCGGGCTCCGGGGCCTCTGCATTTGGTGGCATGGTGTGACAGTGCCCACGTCCTGATTTGGGCAGGTCGGTGCAGGCTATCCGGGACAGCGTCCTTGTTTTTAGGAAACCCACACAGGAGAATCTAGAGGCACTCTCTGCAGTCTATTCTCAAATTATTCCGGAAAAAAGGGATGTGTGTATGTGGAGAGACAGACAGACAAACATGTCGGAATGTTAATTCAGGGAATCTGGGTGAAGAGTATTTGGGAATTCTTTATACTGTTTGGGAGCATCTCTGTAAATTTAAACTTACTTCAAAATTAGAATATAACGCCACCAAAACCCCCTCTATCACTCACTCCGCATTCCTAGATAACAACTAGTGTGGAATTCTGTTCTTTGAATCACTAGATATCAACTAGCGTGTAACTCTGTTGTTTGAAGCCACCTGGTTTGAGGTACTTTGGTACAGTAGCCCTAGGAAATAAATATGCTACTCAAAGAATATTGAATGTGGCTTTTTCTACAATACTAAAATCTGACCTACCATGTTAACTTAGTAAGGCAAACTGCTGGGGCGGGGTCCCGTTTCAGCCGAACGCATCTGACAATGCCTTAAGTCACACATTGCATAATCACAAGTTGCTTCTTGACATGAGCGGCTCTTCAAGTGCACGGGGAACAACAGATTCTTTGTCAGGGACTCACAAGAGTCACATGCTGTTATTCTTTTCTCCTTAAGAGACAAACTGATTTTTTAATCACTGAGAGCCTATTACATGCGTGGCATAGTTTTAAGATGTTTTGACATGTCACACGTAAACGATAGTAAACATGTCTTGGAAGAGGGGCTAAGATGTGGGACGAACGTGATTATTCAATGGGCATGCGCTTCCGGCCACGCATCACACGCACATACACCAGCGCGGTTATCCATAACTCTACCATTTCAAGTGAGCCGCAAGAGACTGTAAATCGCAGTGAAGTGGGCCGTCAGGCAATGATTACTAAATAAGCATGGGAAACATCTAAGATTAACAGTGAAGAGAGAAGATGCGTTTGGAATGGAATCCTGGAGACAGTTAAGTTACCAGGTGCTTTCACAGTCGTTTTTTCAAATTCAGTCACTGAGACATAAAATAATATTGATCTTTGAGAAGAGCTCTCGACGGAAACAGCAGTTGGCAGTGTCCCCAGAGCACTTGCCCTTCCTCTGGAGCGCTTCACGTGCGAGCCCGCCGTCTATTTATAACAGTTGGGCACTTGTCGCCACAATGGCTGATTGTGTGGCCCAGCTGTCTGTGTCTATCAAGAAGGGCAGGAGTGGACAGCCTGCACTTTGATGTTTCCCTTTTTTGGAGACTGAAAATAACATTTTTAAAAAACTGCCAACCGGCAAGGTCACAAAATATTTTTGGATGGCACGGGGACCCGATTGCAAAGCTGTGGTTCACATCAGATGCGGAGGCCTGGGACGCAGCCAGTGAGCCCCATTGCACAATATCCTGCTCATGCCAACTTCAAAAGTTATTTGCCTCGGAGAGCTCCCAGACGACTCTTTCTCGGTAATAAAACACAGCATTTTAGAAATTTGCAAGGGTCTTCTGGATAGGGCATTACCCAGAGGAGCAAGGATTTCCCTGGCCACTCTGGTTACAGTTGCAACCAGCAGCCCCAGGCCTCTTGCCACCCTTGCCCCGCCCCACCCCACATCCCTCACCCCCACTCCACAAACTCCTGCCCTTCCCTGATGAGCTCTCAAGCACTTACCAGCGACACGCTACATATTTTTCTAATGCATGTGTCAATTTCTTGACTCGCCCATTCTATTATAGATGGCTCACGAAAGCAGGATTAGCGTCTGTTTTGTTCACTGATGCAACCACAGAGCCGAGAATAGTGCCTGGCTCACAATATTTACTGAGTGCATACTTGTGGAATTAATTAATTTAAATAGCAGAGACAATGGGATCAGGAAACACATGGAAATACCGATGACCAGTATTAGATGTCAGGGTTCTGTCGCCCTTCCCTCCGCCCCCGACGAAGATCCCAGCTTTGTTTACATATTTGTGGTGCACAAAAATAGAAATGGACTAAACAAAATTCCCGATTTTCCCAAACTGTGGTGGATTGCAGAAACCAAGACTTCGCAGGGCTCGGTTCTGAAATGATTTTCACTCAAACCATCTTCCTGAAACTCTTCCTATTACTCTCTGCCCATTTCGCAAACCTTCTTGCTGGAGGTATTAGATACGGGAAGCACCTGTAGTAATCAACAAGTATGGCTCTGATTAAATGGATTTTTTTCTTTTTTTTTTTTTGAGACGGACTCTCGCTCTGTCACCCAGGCTGGAGTGCAGTGGCACAATCTCGGCTCACTGCAAGCTACGCCTCCCGGGTTCAAGCAATTCTCCTGCTTCAGCCTCCCGAGTAGCTGGGACTACAGGTGCCCGCCACCATGCCCGGCTAATTTTGTATTGTTAGTAGAGACGGGTTTCACTGTGTTAGCCAGGATGGTCTAAATCTCCTGACCTCGTGATCCACCTGCCTCGACCTCCCAAAGTGCTGGGATTACAGGTGTGAGCCACTGTGCCCAGCCGAAATGGATATTTTGAAAATCATCAAGTTATACAAAAGAATCCCACATGCTGTACAACACCACTCGAGATTTTAGGGTTTTTGCGGGTTTTACATCAGTAGATCATGAAACCCTGACTCTTTAATTATTATGTAAATGAAATTCAACAACACACTCACACCTCAAAAACTCTGGAAGGTCAGAAAGAGGCAGAGAGCAGGGCCCCCGCGGAAGGGGAGGCACACAAGGCAGACAGAGGCAGAGGAGGTGGGAGTACAGGCCCCAGCACTGTGGTAGCCAACAGCAGAGCCATTCTTCCACACCGGGAAGGGCCCCCAGGCCTCAGGAAGCCAGCTCTATTCAGCAGATTTCACAAGTGAAAAAGCCTTTTTAGATGTCTTTTGGGGTCAGGCGTGGTGGCTTACACCTGTAATCCCAGTACTTTGGGAGGCTGAGGCGAGCAGATCACTTGAGGTCAGGAGTTCAAGACCAACCTGGCCAACATGGTGAAACCCTGTCTCTACTAAACATACAAAAAATTAGCTGGGCATAGTGGCACACACCTATAATCCCAGCTACTCGGGAGGCTGAGACAGGAGAATTGCTTGAACCCAGGAGGTAGAGGTTGCAGTGAGTCAAGATCAGGCCATTGTACTCCAGCCTGGGCAGCAGAGCAAGACTCTGTCTCAAAAAGGAAAAAAAAAAAGGCCAGACGCGGTGGCTCACACCTACAATCCCAGCACTTTGGGAGGCCGGGGTGGGGGGATCACGAGGTCAGGAGATCGAGACCATCCCGGCTAACACGGTGAAACCCCGTCTCTACTAAAAATACAAAAAAATTAGCCAGGCGTGGCGCCGGGCGCCTGTAGTCCCAGCTACTTGGGAGGCTGAGGCAGGAGAACGGCATGAACCCAGAAGGCAGAGCTTGCAGTGAGCCGAGATGGTGCCACTGCACTCCAGCGTGGGCGACAGAGCGAGGATCCGTTTCAAAAAAAAAAAAAGATACCTTTTGGGAACAATTCCCCAGCAGAACAAAGGTGCCACTTCTAAGTATGAGGAATTCCTTATCAAAGATGCCTGAGCCTGCAAGACAGCTCCCACAAGTACAAGCGCTGCAACGACTGGGTGACTGCGCGTCTCTGGCAAGCGGTTTTGAAGCCACTTCCTTAGCTCCCATAGACAGGCAGTGCTGGAAACACACATGCAGGGAGCTCCCAGCCGGTGTTGTGCGATACAGAACCCGAAAGCTGCGCCCTCCCCGCAAGGAGGTTGTCTATAGAAAATTCTGTGACATCAGGATTCTTCAATAATCTCTTCAACATCAGCTCTCAACATATTTATAGAAGATCTCCAGGCCCAGCAGTTTTCCTACCTGTGCAAAATGCTGTGGCTTCAAAGTAATGTTTTGTTGTGTTTTGTTTTGTTTTTGAGACGAGTCTCACTCTGTCATCCAGGCTGGAGTGCAGTGATGCAATCTCAGCTCACTGTAACCTCCGCTCCCGGGCTCCAGGGATTCTCCTGCCTCAGCCTCCCAAGTAGCTGGGACGATAGGCGTGCACCACCACACTTAGGTAATTTTTGTATTTTTAGTAGAGATGGTGTTTCACCATGTTGGCCAGGCTGGTCTGAAAATGCTGACCTCAAGTGATCCACCCACCTCGGCCTCCCAGAGTGCTGGGATTACAGCCGTGAGCCACCACACCCAGCCAAAGTAAATTTAAAAGGGGCTTTCGTCCTCCTAGGAGTCAGAATCAGTCCTCACTGTAAGAAGCAGAATTCTAACCTCAAAACTGGTCTCCTGGGAACACTGGAAAGCAGTGCGTGATCCGAAGGGGCAGAAATGACTGACACTCTCAAATTCCCCTCTGCATCATGGGCACTCAGCACTGTGCCTAGTGCATAGTAAGACTTCAACAAATATGTGCTGTTGTTATAATTCGGCATGACGATGGAGGTGCAGAGGTTTACCTGTGTTTTTATTATCTCTGGTTGACAAGGCGGCCACACCCAGGTTGCCTGTTCTGAAGCTGTCTCAAGACAGTGACCATCACCCAGGCTGAGGTCCAGGATGATGTGAGTGCAAATTGCTAAAGCTCTCCTTCAGGTGCCAGGCCTGCCATGACACATGGCGAGTCCTAGCAGAGGTCAGACCAACAACTCAGTTCTTTCAGGTAACCTGTACTGATGAAACCGCCCCCCCCCCCCCCGCCAATCTTACTCTTCTGTTATTTCATGTCTATGAAGGGTTTTGGCATAAAAAAAACAAAAAGCCTCATTTTAAAAAAATCTACAATTGTTTAGGTTTTTGTTTAAAGAGAAGCGTCTGGTTCTGTTGCCTAGGCTGGAGTGCCGTGGTGCAATCTCGGCTCACTGCAGCCTCCAACCCCTGGCCTCAAGCAATACTCCTGCCTCAGCTTCCTGAGTAGCTGGGACTGTCCATCTTTTTTTTAATAACAGCTTTATTGAGATATAATTCACATACCGTACAATTCATCTGTTTCCAGGGTACAATTCAGTGGTGTCTAGCATATTCACACAGGGCTGTGCAACCATCACCACCATCAACCTAGAACACTTTCATCACCCCAGAAAGAAACTCCGCACCCGGCTGCAGTGACACCATCATCCTGGCTTATTGTCGTTTGTCCGCCGGCCACCGTTCTGTCTCTGTTTCTTTCCCAACACCAGCCTCTCTTTTCACGCACTATCTCCCCGCCAGCCCTGCTCCCTGCATTCTGTAGGAAATGCTTGGCTCCTACAGTGGTTGACGAATACCAAAGCTTCTGTGAGCACGCCAGAGGGCCCCCACAAAGCTCTCTCCTCTGTCTGAAACATTACTCTGAAGGAGTGATTTCTTGTTCATTCTGAATAAGGATGACGACACCAGGAAGCGGAGGCCCGGGGAGCATTTACGGCGTGTTCTCGATGTGTGAGCACTGTGGCCAGCACGTTCCAACCCAGTGCTGCAAGAGTTGCTCCCAGCCCCACTTCAGAGATGAGAAAACCAAGGCCCAGGGAACCCAAGGTCACAAAGGACTCTAAGAAGGAGAGTTGAGTAATCCCAGCACTTTGGGAGGCCAAGGTGGGCAGATCGCTTCAGGTCAAGAGTTCGAGACCAGCCTGGCCAACATAGTGAAACCCCATCTCTACTAAAAATACAAAAATTAGCCAGGCGTGGTGGTGGGCACCTGTAATCCCAGCTACTTGGGAGGTCGAGGCAGAAGAATCGCTTGAACCCAGGAGGTGGAGGTTGCAGTGAGCCGAGATCATGCCACTGCACTCCAGCCTGAGTGACAGAGTGAGACTCTGTCTAAAAAAAAAAAAAAAGAGAGTTGAGGCTGGGCGCAGTGGCTCATGCCTGTAATCCCAACACTTTGGGAGGCCAAGGTGGCAAGATCACTTGAGGTCAGGGGTTCAAAACCACCCTGGCCAACACGGTAAAACCCCCGTCTCTACTAAAAATACAAAAATTAGCCAGGCATGGTGGCGTGCACCTGTAGTACCAGCTACTCAGGAGGCTGAGGCAGGAGAATCACTTGAACCTGGGAGGCAGAGGTTGCAGTGAGCCAAGATCGCCCCACTGCACTCCAGCCTGGGAAACAGAGAAACTCTTGTCTCCAAGAAAAAAAAAAAAAAAAGAAGAAGAATTGAAATTTGAACTCCAAGCAATGTGACACCAGAGCTCAGGCCCGGAACCCCATGCTACACTGACTCTTGTTGAGAGAACACTCCAAGATGTAATCATGCCTACAATGACGTTGCAGGGGGAAGTGACTGATCCACTACTTTCCTGGAGAACCTGGGAAGGTATGTGTGATCAGGAGGATAAAAGGCCAGGGAACAAGAAAACTGCAGAGAGGAGACCCAGCAGGCAAGATGCTGCAAAAGGTGCAGCGGAACTGAGTCCACCGAGGAGCTAAAAATCCCTCCGTCTTAGAATTCTGTCCTTGCCAGGAAAGGGCTCCTCATCTCCTGATTGCTAATTAACTTTATCTCCTTGAATCAAGGGAGCTAAAGGAAGTCTCTGAATTAGAAACCTTTGTGGTGAGGGGTAAAGGAACTTTGGTAAGAGGATATAATCAAAAATATGATGATTAAAGAAAGATGATTAAAGCTTGGAAAGCAAGTCACTAACTTATTAACAGTGGCTATCTTTAAGGGATGGGATTAGTAAAGATTTTCATTTCCATTTTATACATTTCTATATTGCCAAATTTTACAACAAGCTTATAGTACTTAGAAAGTTGGAAGAAAAACCGGCCGTGCACGATGGCTCACGCCTTTAATCCCAGCACTCTGGGAGGCCGAGGTGGGCAGATCACCTGAGGTCAGGAGTTCGAGACCAGCCTGGCCAACATGATGAAACTCCATCTCTACTAAAAAATACAAAAATTAGCTGGTGGCGGGTGCCTGTAATCCCAGCAACCTGGGAGGCTGAGGCAGGAGAAGTGCTAGAACCTGGAAGGCAGAGGCTGCAGTGAGCCGAGATCATGCCACTGCACTCCAGCCTGGGCGACACAGCGAGAATCCATCGAAAAAAAAAAAAAAAGAAAAAAAAAGAAAGAAAGAAAGTTAGAAGAAAAAACCAAAAAGATGACCTGGGGAGAGGGGAAGAACTTCTGGAATAATGAAGTGAGAAGCTTGGCAAAACCTCTCCTCAAAAAGTAACAACAAAACTAGACAAGTCGGTCAAAAACAACCACCACAGGGTTGGAAATCAACCAAAGACATACAAAAAATTGAAAAATGTTTATTCAAGAAAAACTACGCAGCTGGGCATGGTGGCTCCCACCTGCAATTGTAGCACTTTGGGAGGCCGAGGCAGGAGGATTGCTTGAGGCTGGGAGTCAGAGACCAGCCTGGGCAACATATCAAGACCCCGTCTCAACGAAAAACAAAAAAGTCAGCCTGGCGTGGTGATGCACACCTGTAGTCTCAGCCACTCAGGAGGCTGAGGTGGGAAAATCTCTTGAGCCTGGGAGCTTGAGGTTACAGTGAACTATGATTGTGCCACTGCACGCCAGCTTGAGTGACAGAGGAAGGCCTCATCTCAAGAATTAAAAAATAAAATGAAGAAGAAAAATGACCAAATCTTGAGTTAGAGCGGTGGTGTTCTGTGATGCTTTGGCTTGAGGGGCTCCCCTCCTTCCCCTCAGCTCACCCATGCTGCTACATCTACCAGGGTGGGACGAGCTGTGAAAATTGGTGGCTCCACTGCTGGAGGGGTTGACTTGATTTGGAGGAGAGCACATGCCCAAAGGCACTGACATAAACCACGGTGATTTCCTGTAAACAACAGGAAATGTACAGAAGGTCAACATCTCAGCCACCCTGAGCCTGCAATGCCGGTTGTGGCAACCAACAGATCAGGAGACCAGCCAAAAACCTAGCCGGAAGATACAGAGAATAAGGGAGCTATCACGGGCAGTGGTAAAGTCCCTGAAGTCCCACACATTCTTCGTGCTCTGGAAGGCTGCACACAGGCAGGAAAGACTGAAGAGGGCCCTGGTTATCCACTCATCCTTGGCTAAAGTGAGGCCTACCCCACGCACAAAGGAGGCCAGAAAAGGCCTGGCAAAAAGGAAAAACCAAGACAGGCTCGTATAATATATGCCTGAATTCTGAACATGTCCCTAAACGTACACACATATCCACCGCAAACTGTGAAAAGCATTAGTAGCTCAAGGTGTTTCAGCACACCTCTGAATAATCATTGCCTGACCACTAAGCTATGCTGACCTGGGTTAACCCCTGCAAAGCCAGGCTTAAACACATTTTAAAAATAAGAAAAAAAAAATGAGCAGGATCATCAGCAGCTGCTACAGAGACAGACTTCACAGAATTAATCCAGGCAAGTCACAAACAAAAAGAAATAAACAACAAACCTGCATTTTGCCAAAGGTGATCATAATCCAGAGTTGCTACAACGTATTAACTAAAATACAGAGCTTAAAAAAATAAAATATAAGACATGCAAAGAAACATAAAGTATTGTGAATTATACTCAGGCAAGAGTCATAACTGGAAACTCTAAGGGGGCCCAGATATTGGACTTAACAAAGATTTCAAAGTTATAAGAAACTACTGTAAGAATGGAACTGAAGGAATTCATGTTTAAAGAACTAAAGGAAAGTATGTAACAATGACTCATCAAATAGAGAATACTAATAAAGAGACAGAAATTATAAAAAGAAACCAAACAGAAATTCTAGAGTTCAAAAGTATAATAACTGTAATGAAAAGTTCACTAGAGGGGCTCAACAACAGAGTTGACATGGGAGAAGAAAGAATCAGTGAACTTAAAATTATCCAATCTGAAGAAGAAATAAAAAAGCATAAAGAAAAATAAAAAGAACCTCAGAAACACAGGGATACCATCAAGCATGCCAACATATATATAAAGGAAGTTTCAAAAGAAAACGAAGCAAAAGGAAGCAGAAAAAATTTTTTGAAAAACTAATGGCATAAACTTCTCACATTTGATTTTAAAAAATTAATGTTCACATCCAACAAACTCAAAGTAAGCTCAAAAAACTCCAACTCAATAAAGTGAGCCACCATGACACATCATAGCCAAACTGCTGGAAGCCAAAAACAAAGAGAAAATCTTGACTGCATGAAGACAAAATGGTTCTTCATGAAAAGGAGCACTACCATAAGATTAACAGCTGACTTCACGTTAGAAATTAACAGAGACCAGAAAACAGTAAAATGACATATTCAAAGCACTGAAAGAAAAACTTCCAATCAAGAATTCCATATCCATCAAAACCATACCCCAAAACTAACAAGTAGAAATAAAGATATTCCTAGATAAACAAAGACAGAAAATTTGTTACTGGCAGACCCTACTTACAAGAAATACTAAAGGAAGCCCTTCAAGATGAAAGAAAAAAACACCAGATTATATCCTGAATCCACATGAAGAAATAAAGAATGCTAGTAATACTAATTACATAGGCAAATATACAGCAGATTTATAAATAGTCTCTTTTTTACACTTAACTGATTTAAAAGACAAGTACATATAACAATAACTACAGACTTTTACTACTGGGCTTATGACATACAAAGATATCATATACATGACATAATACCACAGAGGAGGTAGATAGACATAGACATTTAATGGAACAAAGTTTCTATATTTTATTGAAAATGAATTAGCATTAATCTACAGTAGACTGTGAGCTCTAGGCACAGTGGCTCATGCCTGTAATCCCAGCACTTTGGGAGGCTGAGATGGAAGGATCACTTGAATCCAGGAGTTTGAAACCAGCCTGGGCAACATGGCAAAACCCCATCTCTACTTTTTAAAAGCTATATATAGATCTTTAAAAAGTAGACTGTGATGAGATGCATATTGCAATCCTTAGAGTAACCACTAAAAATATAACCAAAAAATATTAAAAACCTCACCAAACAGATGAAAACAGAACACTAGAAAATATCTATTTAACACAAAAGAAAACAGTAAGGAGAAACAGAACAAAAAGATGTGAGACAGAGAAAACATAGCAAAATGTTAGATGTAATCCAAGCATATCAATAATTGCATTAAATGTAAATGGATTAAACACTCCAATAAAAGGTGAAGACTGTCAGATTAAATTTTTTAGAAGTTCTAACCATGTGCTGTCTGCAAGAGATGCAGATGGAGAAAAATGTACTATGCAAACAAAACCATAAGAAAGTTGCAGTGGCTATAATAATATCAAAGTAAGTATGGGAGGCTGTGGCAGGTGGATTGCTTGAGTACAGGAATTCAAGGTTATAGTGAGCTATGATTGTGCCACTGCACTCCAGCCTGGGTGACAGAGTGATACCCTGTCTCAAAACAAACAAACAAAAACACAAAAAAATCCCACAGACTGAATAAACTTTAAGACAAAAAAGTTATAAGAGAAAAAGAAATTTTGTAACAATAAAAGGGTCAACTCATGAGGAATATATAAAAACATAAATACATAAGCACTTAATAGCAGAGCACAAAATACAATAAAGCAAACACTGACTGAACCAAAGGGAGAAATAGGCAATTCACAATAATGTTTGGAGACTTCAATATCCCACTCTCAATAATTGACATAATAGTTAAACAGAAAATCAGCAAGGATATACAGACTTTGAACAGCATTGTCAACCAACCTGACGTAACTAACATCTGTAGACCATGTCAAGCAACAACAAATAGAATATATATTCTTTTCAAGTGTACATATCGCATTGTCTAGAATGAATCATGGGCTAGGTCATAAAACAAGTATCAATAAATTTAAAAGAATTAAAATCATATAAAGCATGTTCTCTACCAAAATGAAATTTTTAAAAATCAAGAACAGAAATAAATTTGTGGACTCCCCAACTACTTAGAAATTAGAAAACATATCTAAAGGATTCAAAGGTCAAAGAAGAAATCACAAGGGAAGTTTAAAAATACTTCAAACTGGATGAAAAGAAAAACACAGCAGATCAAAATTTAGGATGCAGCTATGAGAAGTACTTAGGGAGAAATTTATAATGTTAAAAGCCTGTATCAGGAAAAAAAAAAGAAAAGTCTCAAGTTAATAAACTGAGCATCAGCAGGGAACAGTGGCTCACACCTGTAATCTCAACACTTTGGAAGGCCAAGCTGGGACGATCGCTCAAGCCCAGGAGTTGAAGAAGAGCCTTGGTAATATAGTGAGACCCTGTGTCTACAAAAAATAAAAATAAAAATTAGCTGGCCCAATGGTACACACCTGTAGCCTCAGCTCCTTGGGGGGCTGAGGTGAGAGAATCTCTTGAGCCTGGAAGGTGGAAGCTGCAGTGAGCCAGTATCGCACCACTGCACTCCAGCCTGGGCCACGGGGCGAGATCATGTCTCAAAAAAAAAAAACACAAACCTGAGTTTCCACCTTAAGAAACTATAAAAAGGAGAGTAAACTAAATCCCAAAAAAAGCAGAAGGAAGGCAATAATAAATACTAGACCAGAAATCAATGAATTAGGGAAAGTAATAGAGAAAACTGATGAAACCAAAAGTTGGTTCTTTGTTCAGAAACAAAACAAGGATGTCTACTCTCACCATTTCTACTCAACATTGTACTGGAGGTGCTATCCAGAACAATAAGGCAGGAAAAAGAAATTTAAAAGACACAGATTGGAAAACAAGTAAAACTCTTCATATTCACTAGCTCTATATATAGAAAATCTTCAGGAGTCTACAAAAAACTACTAGAACTAATAAGCAAGTTTAACATGTTCATAAGATACAAAATCAATATCAGGAAATCAACTGTTTTGTGTATACCAGCAATGAACAATCCAAAAACAAAATTAAGAAATAATTCCATTTGTAATAGCATCAAAATTAGTAAGTTAAAATTACAAAACTTTGTTGATACATTAAATAATATCTAAATAAATGTAAGGAGATACCAGGTTCTTGGATTGAAGGACTCAGTATTGTTAAGATGGCATTTCTTCCCAAATTGATCAACAGATTCAACAAGACCCAGCAAGCTTTTTGTAGAAATTAACAAGAAAGGTTATGAGTGGGTAACTGAAGCTGGGTAACGTGTACCTGAGAGTTGATTATACTACTCTCTTCACTTTTGTTTATGTTTGAAATCATCCATAATAAAGTGTTGTTTTTTGTTTTTGAGAGACAGGGTCTCACTCTGTCACTCGGGCTGGAGTACAATGGCACAATCAGAGCTCACTGCAGCCTCAGTTTCCTGGGCTCAAGCAATCCTCCCACCTCAGTCTCCCCATTAGCTGGGACTCCAGGTGGGTACCACTATGCCCAGCTAATTTTTTTAATTTATTTGTTTATAGAGACAGGGTCTCACCATGTTGCCCAGGCTGGTCTCAAACTCCTGGACTCAAGCAATCCTCCCACCTGGACCTCCCAAAGTGCTGGGATCACAGGCATGAGCCACTACATTTGGCCAGCAACGTGGTTTTTGTTTGCTTACAAAAAAAAAAGAAGACTACACAAAAGAAAAAAATGTACAACTAATTCAAGGGCTGCCTTAATTATTCCTCACTCTTTACCCTCGGCCCACATCATTTCCCTACAGGCTGATCCTTGCCCAGTCCACTCCTGATTCATGGCTGGTGAATAGGTGAGGGAGGAAAATGGAGAGAGCGAATACACAGAGTGACAGAGGGAGGAGAAGTGAAAGGTCATAGGCATTCGCTGCAGCCATGCCTGTAGTACGTCCATCACCAGGCTTCAATTTATAGCAGCTACATGACTGCGTGTGTCAATCTCTAACTGGCTCATGTGCCAGACCAGAAGCTACTATTGGAAAATGCCCCTCTCTCGTCATGTCGTTTGCACAGTAATTCACTTAGATCTGAACTGAGTACAAATGAGTGGTGCTCTAAGATCAAAGCACCAGGGTCTTTAAAATGATCTTCACTCTCCCCGCAACCTGCCCCGAACACGTGCATGCTCCTTTCACTTTCAATTCCAAACTGCACCCTTCTAACGCTGGCCGAAAGGGAAAGTAAGCCCTGTTTTCGTTTCCTTTCAAATACTTGATGCTTTCCAATTTTATTCCTATTTTCCCTAATGGAATAATACTTACTACTTGGAAAGCATCATTCATCTCCTCTCAAGATCCTCACAGCAACACCATGTTGCCAGAAGGGCAGGTGCGAAATCTGAAATAATGGCAGAAGTCGAATGTCGCACGTCAATGTACAGCCTCCCATCGAGGCCCATGGCTTTATTTTTATGTATTTATTTATTTATTGAGACGGAGTCTCACTCTGTCACCCAGGCTGCAGGGCAATGGCGCTATTTTGGCTCACTGCAACCTCCACCTCCCGGATTTAAGCAATTCTGCCTCAGCCTCCCGAACAGCTGGGATTACAGGCATGAGCCACCACACCTGGCTAATTTTTGTATTTTTAGTAGAGGCGGGGTTTCGCCATGTTGGCCAGGCTGATCTCGAACTCCTGACCTCAGGTGATCTGCCCGCCTCGGCCTCCCAAAGTCCTGGGATTACAGGCGCCCACTGCCACACCCGGCTCAGTTTTGTATTTTTAGTAGAGACTGGGTCTCACCATGTTGGCCAGGCTGGTCTCGAACTCCTGACCTCAGGTGATCTGCCCGCCTTGGCCTCCCAAAGTGCTGGGATTACAGGCGTGAGCCTCCGCGCCTGGACTAAGGCCCATGACTTTAGCAAGCGGGATGTTGTTTTCCACCTCCTGCTGCTGCCTCTTAAGGAACAGGGGCGCTTCTTCACCGCAGAGGAGACGGTTCTCCATTCTAGGAATGGGTATGAACTTGCCTGAATAGTCTATGATGGGCAATGGGGACGTTCCATCTACATCTCATTATGAAAATCCCCAAAAACCTTACAAAACCATATAATCGTGAAGTTTTAAGAAGTCTTAAATAGTTCTAATATATAATTCTCCACAAATCTTTTCTCTCTAAAAAACACTTATTTTTCTCATTTTGATATGCCACTTCAAAGCTTTTCCCACTCCTTGAGTATATTTACTTTTCTCTCTCCTCTCTCTAGTGACTGAGCAGTGATTTTACCTTTACCTATTTATTTAGAGATGGAGGTCTCACTCTGTTGCCCAGGCTGGAGTGCAGGGGCACGATCAGGGCTCACTGCAGGCTCCACCTCTCAGGTTCAAACAATCCTCCTACCTCAGCCTCCAGAGTAGCTTGGACCAAAGATGCATGTCACCACACCCAGCTAATGTTTTTATTATTTGTAGAAATGAGGTCTCGCTGTTGCCCAGGCTGGTCTCAAATGCCTGGGCTCAGGTGATCCTCCCGCCTCAGCCTCCCAAAGTGCTGGAATTATAAGTGTGAGCCACAGCTTCCCACTAACAATTTCACTTTTTAAAGAGATGGGTCATATTGTCCAGTAACATTTACATGAGATCCATGAAAAAAAAGTGAATATTATTCTTTAGAATAATAAACAATTCATATCACAAAATTAGCTTTAAAAGATTCCCGCTTGTAGGAGCTATTAGAATTTCAAAACTGCCCAGTTAAACATAACCTGGTTCATCCCAACGTTTTCATTTACATATAATTCAAAAAGATTTACTTTTCCATAAATTTCAAATGCTCTTCAGATGAAGGAAACATTCATCATTACATCAAAGCAAGTGCAACTTCAATACTAAATTTCCTGATCTTTTATACAATTAGACTGCAAGTGCTCATCTGAGACAGATTTAGAGAAAATTGCGGCTGATGCCCAGCTCTATGAAAGAGTTTTAAGAACTGAAATAACTTAAAAAAAATTAGAATCACAGAATGGGGGGAGATGAGAAAAAATTCATCCTAAATTAGAAATACGAACTCCTGCCCAAAGTGCAGGGTTTTTAAAAAATGGAATTGTTAAACAGATTGAAATAATATTTAGAAACAACACCAGCTCACAAGGGTAGTAAAATACTAATTCTTAAAATCGTTAAACAGATTGAAATAATGTTTGTCAATAACACCAGCTCACAAGGATAGTAAAATACTAATTCTTAAAATCCTCCCTCTTGCGCTATGCCTGCTTCTGAGTTGGCTGAGCAAGTTCCTTCCCTTCCCCAGGCTTCTAACAGTGAACATGATCTGGCAGCATTAGACACACCACAACTCCACTCCAGACCAAGATGGGTCTGGGTCAAACCCAGGACTTCTGCTTCAAATTAGGAGAGTTACCAAATTAAGACAATTCTGCCTCAACTGAGTCACCCTCCAGGGACAGCTGAGTCCATTTCCAGGGTAAGTACTGGGGTAGCTCTACCCACCCCAGAGAGATGTATTTTATGGTCTGTCCTAAACAGAACTGGACCCCCAGAGAAGTTCCGAGATCAGCACAGCCTGCAGCTGACCCTCGGGAGAGGGTCAATTCAGGGCATTTGCTGACCAAAAGGATGGATCTCCCTCACCGGGAGGTGGACTGCAACCTCCCAAACACTTTGCCACTGTAGCTAATGTGTGCAAACATTTACTTTGTGAATTTGTATCTTAGTAGCTTCACTAAGTCAGCAAAATCCAATCTCTGAATCTTTTTGTGGTGACTGAACTAACTCTATGTTGCACTTTTGGTGAAAAACTGCAACATAGAATTTAATTAATTCTTTAATTAAATGGGTTAAGGGAAAAACCGTGGCAATAATTTTTTTTTTCCTCTTTCACTTTTGGGATTTGAGGTCTTCAAATAAGTTTTTCTAATTGTAGGGAAAACAAAGTCTTTTAATAATTACCATTAATGATTTATAATTTAAGCAGTTTAGGAAATAAAAAATGCATAGAACATGATATTCTCATACCCAGACAAGCTCATATCCCACCTGCACCCCTTTACAGTCAAGGATGATTTTGCATCTCCTTTCCTCACTTAAGTGCCTTTTTTGCCAACTAGGATAACTCATATAATGAATTTTTGCCAACTAGGAAAACTCATATAATGGCTTTTTTTAAATCTGGTTTTTCTAATAATAAAATCATATCTGTTGCAAAAAAAAAACAAAGCAAAAAAAATATTAGTACAAGTTCCTCTAATCCCACTGTAAAGAACACGCGCTATATATAAATTTGTATATATCCTTCAATGCATGTATTATTATCTCTCTAGACCCACATTATTAAACACGCTATTTTATGGAAAATGAGATCATGTTTTACATATGGTACAGTTGCTTGCTTTTTTCAATTCACAGTTCATGGCCGGGCACGGTGGCTCACACCTGTAATCCCGGCACTTTGGGAGGCCTAGATGAGCGGATCATGAGGTCAGGAGATCGAGACCATCCTGGCTAACACGGTGAAACCCCGTCTCTACTAAAAATACAAAAAAAAATTAGCTGGGCATGGTGGCGGGCGCCTGTAGTCCCAGCTACTCAGGAGGCTGAGGCAGGAGAATGGTGTGAACCCAGGAGGCGGAGCTTGCAGTGAGCCAAGATCGAGCCACTGCACTCCAGCATGAGTGACAAAGCGAGACTCCATCTCAAAAAAAAAAAAAAACAATTCACGGTGGCTCTTTTGCACATATGGGTACACGCAGATCTATCTCATTCTTACAAATGGTTACAACTATTCCACCATAAGGACAGACCATAATTTCCACCTAATAGATGTTCAAGTGATTTCCCACTTTCTGCTATTACAAGAAAGACAGTAACCAAGATTCTCATACATACATTTTTGTACTTGTGCAAATATTGCCATAGGGTAAATCCCTAAAAGTGAAAGGACTTGGTCAAATGGCATGACATGTGAAATTCTGAAGATATGCAAAATGTCCTCAAAAAGGTTTCTGCAATTCGTAGTCCCACCAACAGTGTTTCAGAGGGCCTGCGTTCCCTTTCCTCTCACCACCAACAACTAGAATCAATTTTTTCATCTTTACGAATCAAAGAGATTTTTCAAATTTTTTTTCTTATTTCAATATGCTGTTGTTGTAAGTTATTATTATTATTATTATTATTATTATTAGGGGGATTGTACATTTAGCCCACCGCACACTAGCTGCATGACCTAGAGAAGTAATTTAATATCCCGGTTCCTTGGTTGTAAAATGCAGATAATGAAAGTAACATCTACTTCTCGGGGGAGCCGTGAAGATGTAATGAGCGAAGGCATCTCAGACACTTGGTGCCGAGTCTGACAGAGTGGGGCTTCAACAAAGGTTGGAAGAACAACGAATAAATAGAATATATTCTATGAACAATGAATAAATGGAATATATTCTATCAGGGTGACTTACCAGAGTTACCTCACTCATCACCAATTTGGCTGCTGTTCAATTTTTGCTATTCTCAATTATATTCGTATCATTGAGTAAATTATTCTCTTGTATCTACAGGACCATCTTCTAAGGCGACTCTCCCAGGATTCGGACAGTGTTACAGTTCTTACTTCTGTTCTTTAGAAGAAGTGAACCAGCAACAACAGGCCACCCATCAAGTTTTAGAAAATTTTCTCTGCCTTAAAAAGTATATAATGCGGCCAGGCATGGTGGCTCACACTTGTAATCCCAGCACTTTGGGAGGCTGAGGCAGGTGGATCACTTGAGGGCAGGAGTTTGAGACCAGTCTGCCCAAGATGGTGAAACCCTGTCTCTACTAAAAGTACAAAAAAATTAGCCAGGCGTGGTGGCACATGCCTGTAATCCCAGCCACTCAGGAGGGTGAGGCACAAGAATTGCTTGAACCCGGGAGGCAAAGGTTGCAGTGAGTTAAGATTGCGCTACTGCACTCCAGCCTCGGCAACAGAGTGAGACTCTGTCTCAAAAAAATATGTATGTGTGTGTATGTGTGTGTGTGTGTGTGTGTGTGTACTTTTAAGGCATTCTCTTTTGTACTTTTAAAATTACTAGTAAGGACATACATTTCCATATCACTCACTGTTTGTTGTATAGAAAATAAGCTTTATCGTTATAATTTTCACGCATATATTTTTCTCCAAATTATGACCTGGAAAAAAAACTTGCAGCTAGTAACTGGAAAACTGGGTAACATATATTTATAAAAGACAAACACACATGTATTTCTTATATGTGGCTTTTCTCTACCAGTAAAGAATAGGATGTGGATGAAAGTTTCAAATAATATTATGTTATAAACCTTATATAATTACTGAACTCAACAAAACTTTTGAAAAATAACCAAGTAGAAGTTATTTTTAGAAACCTGGAATGTCATTCCACCTAACAGAAATTAAAACTGGCTGGGCCTGGTGGCTCACACCTGTAATCCCAGTGCTTTCGAAGACCAAGGCAGGAGGATCGCTTGAGTCCAGGAGTTCAAGTCCAGCCTGGGCAACATAGAGAGATCCTTTCTCTTTAAAAAGAAAAAAGCGAAGTGCAGTGGCTCACACCTGTAATCCTATCACTTTGGGAGGCCGAGGCAGGAGGACTACTTGACCCCAGGAGTTCCAGACCAGCCTGAGTAACATAAGACCCCATCTACACACAAAAATACATAAAAATGAGCTGGGTGTGATGATGCATGCATGTAGTCCTAGCTACTCAGGAGTCTGAGATGGGAGGATTACTTTGAGCCCAGAAGGTCAAGGCTTCAGTGAGCCATGATCAGACCACTGCACTCCAGTCTTGGCAACAGAGAGAGTCTCCGTCTCAAAAAATAAAATAATAATAATAATAAAAACCAAGATAAATAATATAACCACAACTTTTCTTGACCCATCAAAGAGGCGGGGTTACAAAGTAACCAAGTAGTAGCCAGGCGTGGTGGCTCACACCTGTAATCCCGGCACTTTGGGAGGCCCAGGTGGGCAGATCACTTGAGGCCAGGAGTTCGAGGCCAGCCTGGCCAATATGGTAATATCCCATCTCTCCTAAAAATACAAAAATCAGCCAGCCATGGTGATCCATGTCTGTAATCCTAGCTACTCGGGAGGCTGAGGCGGGAGAATCAATTGAACCCGGGAAGCGGAGGTTGCAGTGAGCAGAGATGGTGCTACTTGCACTCCAGCCTGGGCAACAAAAGCGAAACTCAGTCTCCAAAAAAAAAAAAAAAAAAAAAAAAAAAAAAAATCAAAAAAGTTGAAAACAGATCAATATCTGGCATTGAGGCTTTTAAAAAGTCAAATCCAAAATTCCTTATAAAGGTTCCTGCAAAGCCAACTTAAAAAGGGTCCGTATGGTGGATCACAATTCTTGCTACATTTGATGCAAATCTTCAGGCCAAGTATAAAGCAACTAAAATTTGTTTTGCAAATAAATTGGTCTTACTATTATATATATAATTTATCCCTGGTAGAAATGGGGAAACTGGAGAAAGAAAAATTTAGATTCTAGCCTTAACCATTGTTTGTGAGTTTTTATTATCTGCCTACAATTTGGGCTAATCCTGAACCATTTCCTGGCTGCAACAAGTCTCTAAAGAAGAACCGAGTTTTAATTTTCATCATGATGCATTTTAGTTGGCTTCTTAACAGAATACGTTCTTTTTTCATTGTTGTTCTGGCCCACGAATTCTGGGTTTTTTTGTTTGGTTTTTGAGACAGAGTCTCACTGTCATCCAGGCGGGAGTGCGGTGGTGCGGTCTCGGCTCCCTGCAACCTCCACCTCCCGGGTTCAAGCGATTCTCGCGCCTCAGCCTCCTGAGTAGCTGGGATTACAGGCGATTCTCTTTCTATTGCAATCTCTGTGTGCACAGAATTCTACTATCCGAGTGATCGATGTTATATATCTCACATTGTTTTGCCTATTCTGACAGAACCAAAGCCACTGCATTCTGAAGACTGAAGACGATTTAAAAGCCTGTGAATCTCCCTTGTTTGGAATCCCACTGGGCCCGATCTGTTTTCCATGACCAAGGCACTGCTGCTAAAGCTATACAGTATCAAGCACCCTCCTTAAAGGCTCAGGGACCATGAAGGAAGAAGAGGGCATGTGAGATTACAAGAGCTGGATTACAAGAGTGGACTGTGGAGGCTGAAGTAGCTCCATCGTGGATGCTACTCCGCCATGTGGCTTCTGATTAACCCCAGTTCCAGGAAACCCTCTGAGATTTCCAGCTTATGCGCTGTTCCTCGTGTAAGACCAAGAACTTACCATAAAGCCTGACCTTAGGTCAAACAACTTTGATGTTATTGTACTCACACTGACCTACACATCCCTCTGAATCACCCCTTCCCTACGGTATACAAGCCCTGGGACCAGGGGATAATGGTGCAGGGATCCACTGTCTCTTCTCGCTGCAGCCCCAGTTCACAGACTAATGAACAGAAGCTTGAGAACAGACATAGCTTCTGTGCATAAGCCCCTATTAAATGTTTCTAAGAAAAAAGAAAATGCTTGAAGAAGAAAGAAAGGATAGAAGGAAATATTTGAAGAGATAATGGCCAATAATTTTTTAAACATAATAAAAGACATCAAAGCACAGATCCAAGAAGTTTAGAGGACTCCAAAAAAGAGAAATACCAAAACAACATCATGTCCAAATTGTCGAAAACTAAAAATAAAGAGAAAATCTTAAAAGCTGCCGGGGTGACAGTGGGAATTGGGAAACATATTACATTCAGAGGAACAAAGAAAAGAATTATAGCAGACTTCTCACCAAAACAACAAAAGCCAGAAGGCAGTGGTGTGATATCTTTAAAGTACTAAAAGAATAAGTTGCAAAAAAAATTTTTCAACACAAACCTTCATATCCTAAAAGAAAAAAAAAAAAAAAAGAAACAAACAAAACCAAAAAAAAGAAAAAACCGACTCTTAAAAATGAGTGTCTCTTGGATCTCCTTGGTATGAAATTTTTCTTTAAACATTTTCTTTTTTTTCAGAAAGAGTCTCACTCTATTGCCCAGGCTGGAATGCAGTGACGTGATCTCAGCTCTCTGCAACCTCCGCCTCCTGGGTTCAAGTAATTCTCCTGCCTCGGCCTCCCAAGTAGCTGGAACTACAGGCATGCGCCACCATGCCCAGCTAATTTTTGGTAGAGACGGGGTTTCGCCTTGTCAGCCAGGCAGGTCTCCAACTCCTGGCCTCAAGTGATCAACTCTCCTCAGCCTCCCAAAGTGCTGGAATTACAAGCATGAGTCACCGCACCCAGCCCTCTTTAAAAACTTTTTTTTTTTTTTGAGACAAAAGTCTCACTCAGTTGCCCAGACTGGAATGCAATGGCGCGATCTCAGCTCACTGCAACCTCCACCTCCTGGGTTCAAATGACTCTCCTGCCTCAGCCTCCCAAGTAGCTGGGATGACAGGCTCTCACCACCATATCCAGCTAATTTTTGTATTTTTAGTAGAGACAGGGTTTTGCCATGTTGGCCAGGCTGGTCTTGAACTCCTGACTGCAGGTGATCCACCTACCTCGGCTTCCCAAAGTGCTGGGAATAACAGGCATGAGCCATTGTGCCCGGCCTAAAAACATTTTCTAATGGGAGGGAAATAAAAACTTTTTCAGACAGACAAAGGCTGAGATCATTTATTCCCAGAAGACCTGTAGCATAAAAAATGTTAAAGGAAGTTTTTCAGTCGGGAGATGAGACAGAAACCTATAGATCTACACAAAGAAACGAAGAGTTCCTGAAGTGGCCTAAAAAGAAGAAAGATTTTCAAAATAATTTTCAAAAGTATTTTGAAAATCTTCCATTGTTCTAAAACTACACTGTCTATATGGCAGCCGCTTAAATTTAAATTACTTAAATTAAACTAGTTTATTTAAAATTCAGTTGTTTTCAGGTACTCAATGGTCACACATGGATAGTAGCTACCATATTGTATAGTCTAGATATAAAACATTTCCATCATTGCAGGAAGTTTCATCAAACAGCATTGCTCTAAAAGGTAATTTTCTGTAAAAATAACATGTTATGAGGTTTATAATATATATAAAATACATTATTATGACACTATTAGCATCATAAACATTTACAAGGTTCTCATAGAACCTTGTAGTAACTTACAGTTATGAAGAATTCTTACGAGGTTCTTATATAATAAATGGTATAATATTTGGAGGCAGACTGATAAAAAATGTACTTTGTAAATTTCGGGCAATGACTTAAAATAAGTGAGAAAAAATATATAAGAAATAAATCGATAGAAGAGATAAAAATAGAATCATGACAAAAATCTGGCTGGGCACAGTGGCTCATGCCTGTAATCCCAGCACTTTGGGAGGTAGAGGTGGGAGGAGCACTTGAGGCCAGGAGTTCAAGACCACGCTGGGCAACATAGTGAGGATCTGCCTCCGCAAAAAAAAAAAAACAAAATTTAAATTAAAAAAACAATTAGCCGGGCATGGTGGTGTACGCCTATATTCCCAGCTACTTGGGCGACAGAGGCGGGTGGGTCGCTTGAGCCCAGGAGGTCGAGGCTTCAGTGAGCTACGATCATGCCATTGTACCCCAGTCTGGATGACAGGGCAATACCCAGTGGCAAAAAAAAAAAAAAATAGAAAACACACTAGCAAATTGTCTACAAAGTGGAAGGTTAAAAAGTGATCGAGGGGAAAAAAAAGCAGTTCGGTATTTCTTTACATAGACAATTCAAAAGGTTGTTCTGAATCTCACAAAGATTTATTGAAAGTTGTTACACTTTTAAGTACTACTTTATGGCCGGGTATAGTGGCTCACACCTGTAATCCCAATACTTTTGAGAGGCTGAGGCAGGAGGATCGCTTGAGCCCAGGAGTTCAAGGCCAGCCTGGGCAACATGGTGAGACCCCGTCTCCACAAAAAAATAGAAAAATTAGCCAGCTATGGTGGTGCATGCCTGTAGTCCCAGCTACTCAGGAAGCTGAGGTAGGAGGATCACTTCAGCCCAGGAAGCTGAGGCTACAGTGAGCTGTGATCATGCCACTCCACTCCAGCCTGGGTGACAAGGTGAGACCTGTTACTATATATATATGGAGTGCAGTGGCACCATCTTGGCTCACTGCAACCTCCGCCTCCCGGGTTCAAGCAATTCTCCTGTCCCAGCCTCCCAAGTAGCTGGGATTACAGGCATGTGCCACCACGCCCAGATAATTTTTGTATTTTTAGTAGAGATGGGGTTTTGCCATGTTGGCCAGGCTAGTCTCGAACTCCTGACCTCTGGTGATCTGTCCACATCAGCCTCCCAAAGTGCTGGGATTACAGGCATGAGCCACCGTGCCTGGCCAGTGCCTAATTTTAATCTCTTACTAAATTAACCACTAAATTAATTTTTTAAACCCCAGAGGAACATTAATTTACAGCAGAAGAGGTAAGGGAAAACTGGATGTACTGGCAAGAAATGTACCCGGTCCCATGTGTGCAATCTGTCAACATGTAAATACTGAGCGTCTGCTAAACACCATACACCAGGGACACAAAAATGTTGCAAAATGTGTCCTGGAGAGCTCAGTGAAGGGGAGACACAACTCCAAAGACCCATTAACGCAAAAGGAGGTAAAAAGAGACCTGGCAAGGAATGGCGGCTGGGGCAGCGGGGGGGCCAGGCGGGAGGGCTCAGGAAAAGCTTTCCAACGGAGATGCTACTGGATCTTGTAAGGTGGGCAGGGGTCCAACCTGCACAGATACCTGGCTGAGAGTATCTGGCTTATTTGGGAAAAATGCAGGCAGTGTTTTTTGGAGAAACAGATAAATTTTAAGTCTGGAAGAGTTCATAGGGGTTCTATTATCCTGAAATGCATCGCTGTTATTTCTTTAAGTGACAGATATCTAGTTAATGAGGAGAAAAGGCAGGCACAAAAGCACAACGTGATGACAGAGCAAATGCAAAATAACAGCTGGGTGGCGTAGCACATGCCTGTGGTCCCAGCTACTTGGGAGGCTGAGGTGGGAGGATCACTTGAGCCCACGAGTTCGAGGCTGCAGTGCGCTACCATCACACCTGTGAACAGCCACTGTACTGCAGCCTGTGCAACACAGCAAGACCCCCGTCTTACAAAACAAAAATGCAAAACAAAATTAGTGCCCAATTTCTCAGGTTTATGCCTAGTTGCTAATCTGTGACATCTCTGTTAGAAAAGCTAACAAGAGCCTAAAAGAAAAATTCAAGTCAGCTCCAGGACTGATGGTGGCAAATCTACAACTCCTTCCACTTAAAAATTCAACAAAATAAGAGATTTAGATTTTTGCATTTTTGTGTGCCCAAAGAAAAAGGCTCCAGTTTTCTGTTTCGTGTTCCATCAGCTTACATAACCTAACTCGTCCCACACAAAGACAGACGAATGATTTTTCTTGCAGATGAAATATTCCCAAGCTCTCACCTCTAAGGTCTAAGTGGATCTTGTGATAACCAGCACAAAGTGAGGCTGGGGATTTGAAAAGAAAATACCAGAAATGGTTACCAAAAACTGACAAGAGCACCCAAACAGCATCTGTGATCGCTAGAAGATAGACGCACTGACAAATTAAGGAGCCATTAATTAGTTTCAAAGAGAACCAAATGGCATCAATAATTTTTTTTTTAGACAAGGTCTTGCTCTGTTGCCCAGGCTGCAGTGCATCAATAATTAAGAATCAGCCTCCTGGCTGGGGGCGGTGGCTCACGCCTGTAATCCCAGCACTTTGGGAGGCCAAGGGAGGAGGATCACCTGAGGTGAGGAGTCCGAGACCAGCTTGGCCAACATGGTGAAACCCCGTCTCTACTAAAAATACAAAAATTAGCCGGGCATGGTGGCAGGCACCTGTAATCCCAGCTACTCAGGGGGCTGAAGAAGGAGAATCGCTTGAACCTCAGAGGTGGACGTTGCAGTGAGCCGAGATCACGCCATTGCATTCCAGCCTGGGGGACAAGGTTGAGACTTCGTCTCAAAAAAAAAAAAAAAGAATCAGCCTCCTTTCTGTACACGCTTTCCACAGCTAGCATGCGGACTCACTGGACTACAGGGTGTAAGATGAGGCCAACTGTAAGCCCTATACAGGGAAGTTACAGTTTTGTTCAAAACTCACTCACAATTGGGAACAGCCTGAGACCATGCCTGCATGGAACAGCACAGCCTTGTCCCCCCCCGAGGACACTTCCTGTGACATCTGGAGAGATGAGCAGATTCACGAGGCCCAGGAGGGTTTTCAGGTGGTCTTTCTGGCTGTAGAGAGATCAAACACACCCTTCCCCAACGTCCTTTAGGAGTAAATGACCAATTTAGCAACAATGAGCACTCAAGAAGTACGCCAGCATTCTCTTTATTATGATTATTTCCTGCACATTACATCATGCCTTCTTTTCTTACAGCGGGAAAACACCCACACACACGCACACAGGTATATGCACACACACACATCAAAAGTTACTGTAACTCCTAAGCAGAGAATAGGCATATTTTTGGCCTTTACCTTTCAGTCCAATTTTTTAAAATGAGATATAAAAACTGAAAAGGAGGGGATTTTAAATTTATATGATTTTCTGCCAAGAAAAATCTAAGGCTATCTGATTTTTAAAAATCAGACACAGGCCAGGCGCGGTGACTCACACCTGTAATCCCAACACTTTGGAAGGCTGAGGTGGGTGGATTACTTGAGGTCAGGAGTTTGAGACCAGCCTGGCCAGCATGGCAAAACGCCATCTCTACTAAAAATACAAAAGAAATTAGCCAGGCGTGGTGGTGCACACCTGTAATCCTAGTACTTGGGAGTCTTCGGCAGAATTGCTTGAACCCAGGAGGCAGAGGTGGTAGTGAGCCAAGATGGTGCCACTGCACTCCAGCCTGGGCAATAAAGTGAGACTCTGCTTCAGAAAAAAAAAAAAAATTCAGACACAATAAGCATTCAATTAAGTGTCCAGTTACAAAGAAAAATAACATGTTCAGCTTCATAGTTTCTTATAAAGTTAAACACACTCATCATACAACCCAGTCACTCCACTCCTATGCATTTAACCGAAACAAATAAAAATATACATCCACGGAAGACTTGTGAATGTTCACAGCAACTCTATTCATAATAGCCAAGAACTGCAAGCAACTCAAATATTCATCAACTGATAAACTGATTTTTTAAAATGGTGGTATATCCAGTCCAGGCACAATGGTTCATGCTTGTTATCCCAACACTTTGGGAGGCCAAGGTGGGAGGATTGCTTGAACTCAGAAGTTTGAGACCAGACTGGGCAATATAATGAGACCTCCATCTCTACAAAATACTTAAAAATTAGCCAGGTGTGGTGGTGTACACCTGTAGTCCCAGCTACTTGGGAGGCTGAGGTGGGAAGATCACCTAAGCCTAGGAGGTCAAAGCTGCAGTGAGATCACGCCACTGCACTCCAGCCTGCCTAGAGTGAGACCCTGTCTCAAAAAAAGAAAAAAAAAAAAGAAAACAAAAACATAAAAGTATTAGAAGAAAATATAGGTTAATATTTTACATAGTCCTCAGGTGGGGAAGGCTTTTCTAACCATGATACTAAAGGTAGAAACCATAAACAATGATTGATAGATAAGACCAACATAAAGATTTTAAATTTCCACATATCAAGAAATATCACGATTGAAAGACAAATTAGAAAATGGGAGGCATTTTACAACATATATGGAAGACAAAGATTTAAGATACTTACATAAATAAAGAACTTTCACAAATCAGTAAGGAAAAGACAACCAATTCACAAGCAACTCATGAAGAAATACAAAAGGGCAACACACATATGAAAAAGAGATTTGGCCCCACTACTAATTATCGTGGGCAAAGACAACGGCAAATAAGGATATTCATCACACTGTTATAATTGACAATATTATATTTCATCGAGTCTAAGATGCCAATGATGATGTTTCATTACTTTTTGTTCTATTAAAATATAATGCAAAGTGCTGCCAATTAAACTATGACATACCATTAAATTATACAATGCATCCTGATGTGAGGGATGGCTGGATTATTAACAGTTTCATATTGTGATATACAATGATTCAAAGCTGGAAACAATCTACATTTCCAACAAGAGATATTTCCTGAATAAATTATAGTACATCCCCAGAATAAAATCTAAGTCATTTAAAATGATGATACAGATGTATGTACAGACTTGGCCAGGCATGGTGGCTCACGCATGTAATCCCAGCACTTTGGGAGGCCAAGGTGGGTGGATCACCTGAGGTCAGGAGTTGGAGACCATCCTGGCCAACATGTTGAAACCCCGTCTCTACTAAAAATACAAAAATTAGCTGGGTGTGGTGGCGGACGCCTGTAGTCCCAGCTACTGGGGAGTCTGAGGCAGGAGAATCTCTTGAACCCGGGAGGCAGAGGTTGCAGTGAGCCGAGATCATGCCCCTGCACTTCAGCCTGGATGACAGAGCAAGACTCTGTCTCAAAAAAATAAAATAAAATAAAATAAACAAAGATGTACATACAGATTTAAGTGGAAAGGTATTCATGATCCATGAATGGTGTTTAATGGTGTTAATGGTGTTTAATGGTGTTAATGGTGTTTAATGGTGTTAATGGTGTTTCATATGACACCATTATATCTATATATATTTATATGCATTGATATATATTTGATTTTGAATAAATATTTGATATATATCGTATATGCACTGAAAAAGTCTAAAAACCTCATGTTGAAACATTCAAAATGGCTATCTCTAGTTGGTAAATGTTTTTTTAATCTTCTTTTTGCTTATCTGTCTTTTCTAAAACACCAAAAACATGTTTTACTTTTATAATAAAAAATTAATAAAAATAAGATGGTCACCCCCTTTGCCATCTGCCAAAACAGAGAGCTTCAAAAGTCACACATTCCTTAAAGCTGCAGTATTTACAAAGGAAAGAAAAACCTTCAAGCAATCTAAAAAGCTCAAACAGGAAATGATTAAACTATGGCATATTAATTCAAAGAAATACTATATTATGTAGATGCACAGGAAAATCCCCATGAAATAGCAACAGAAAACTCAAACACAAAATGACCAACATCAATTTTAACAAAGAAAAAAATTACCACCTGTACCTAAGAATTTAAAGAAGTTAACAGAGGTAATTTTTCTTTTCTTTACTTTTTTTTTGAGACAGTCTTGCTCTGTTGCCCAGGCTCTAGTGCAGTGGCATGCTCTTGGTTCACTGCAACCTCCATCTCCCAGGCTCAAGTGATTCTCCTGCCTTAGCCTCCCGAGTAGCTGAGACTACAGGCGTGCGCCACCACACCCGATTAATTTTTGTATATATATATACATTTTTTGATAGAAATGGGGTTTTGCCACGTTGGCCAGGCTAGTCTCAAACTCTTGGCCTCAAGAGTGATCCTCCCGCCTCAACCTCCCAAAGTGCTGGGATTTCAGGCATGACCCACCGTTCCCAGCCCAACGGAAGAAATTTTTCTAATAGGCTTCAGAGAATTATGTGTTTTGACCTTTCCATTAATGTCTTATATAAAATTAGTTTGACAGAAACAATAAAAAATATATACACCTTCAGAATCATGACGGCGTTCTCCAGGCCTCTACCAGAAACATTTTTTTCGTTTTTTTTTTTTTGTAAAAATATCAATTTTATGCTCCAAAAACATTCCACATGGCAACCAAGGTCCCGTAGAGAGCACTTTTTCCCCCTTGCCTCTTCTTTAAACTCCTAATTCAAAATTTTGGTTTCTGATAACCTGCTCAGGATAAAAAGAAAATCTCACATAGAAATGCCTTTACTACAGGGAAATGGAGCAAGAAATTTCCCTTGTCTCTGGGATTGCTTTTTTCTGTTTTCTGGTTAAGGAAAACATTTCAAAGTTCATAAAAACAAGGAACTAAAATTAGAGAGATGAGAACTGAACCTTGACTCGAGGTAGGGAAAACACTATTTTTAAACCGAGAAATATTTCTAGGTCTGTGCTTTATGAGAAAGGAAGACGAGCGTGCTCATGTGTGTGGATGGTGTGGCCTGGGGAGGGACGGTGGCAGGAGAAAACCATCTCCCGCAGCGGGGCATTCCCTGCACCTCACACACATCTGCTCTCGTGGAACACAA
The DNA here is from genome assembly GCF_000001405.40 of Homo sapiens. Lineage (NCBI taxonomy): Eukaryota > Metazoa > Chordata > Mammalia > Primates > Hominidae > Homo > Homo sapiens. Next base: position 4,081,216 of record NC_000016.10, read on the forward strand.
ACTGGAACTAATCAGCAGGCGGCACCTGGGAATTCTAGTCACTTAACAGCAGGGAGAAGGTTGCACGTTGCTCACAGCAGATCATGAAGCCATCTCCACCTCCTGCTGTCACCATCCTCAGAACCAGCAGTGGCTCCATGGCTCCCTGACTCCAGAGGAGCTGGCCGCACAGGAGACCCTCTGTCATTCCTGCAGAACAGCTAATGCTTTGCAGAGCTCCAGATGTAAGTTTAAGAAATACGTTTGTTATAAGGTTTCTTAACAAGACACATCAGTGATATCTAAGACTCTTAACAGGTGACTATTAAAGAAATAAATCTCTTCCACATATTAAAACCACATTCATCCTGACAGTCATAGCCCAGCTCGAAAGCCTTCGAGAGTGCTTTTACCTCCCACCACATCAAATCTAGATTTCTTCCTTTCATCCTGACACCCACATGTTCAACATCACAGCACATGCGGGGAGCCCCCAGGGTGCAGGAGGGGAGGAGGGCGCTGTGTCTGCAGGGGCGTGTGGGTAAAAGCAAGAGAGGGTGTAACGGTGGGTGGGGGGAGGGTGCTGTGTCTGCAGGGGCGTGTGGGTAAGAGCAAGAGGGGGGCAGCAGGGGAGGAGGGCGCTGTGTCTGCAGTGGCGTGTGGGTAAGAGCAAGAAAGGGGGCGGCGGGGGAGTCTTGGAGAAGGGAGGGGTGCGGAGGGGCACTGCCTTGTGAGGTCACTGGTGGTGATGTGGGTTCCAAGCAGCAAGAAAAAGGGATTGAGGCCAAGCTGGAGAACTGAAGGCAAGTCACGCACAGGCAGAGTTGGTTAAATGATCCAATTTCACAAGTTTCTCCTAGAACAAGCAGCTACATTTTCATTTTTTAAAATGCTGCATGAAGGTTGGGCAGTGGCTCACACCTGTAATCCCAGCACTTTGGGAGACTGAGGCAAGAGTGTCACTTGACACCAGGAGTTAAAGACCAGCCTCGGCAACATAGCGAGACCCTGTCTCTACAAAAAAAAAATTGAAAATTAGCCAGGCATGGTGGTACACGACTGTATTCCCAGATACTCAAGAGGCTGAGGCAGGAGGATGGCTAGAGCCCAGGAGATCAAGGCTACAGTGAGCCACTATTGCCACTGCACACCAGCCAGGGCAACAGAACAGGACCCTGTCTCAAAAGAAAAAAAACAAACAAAATTCTATGTTTTAACTAAAGTCACAGCCACTAATGCATTGCATCCCTAAGAATCATTTTCTTTCTTCATGTCCTCCCCGTTCCCACACACCTACCTTCCTTACCAGCAGAAGCCTGATTCTGCTTGGGGTATCTCCCTTCTACCTGCTTAGGAAGGAGATGCACACACGCACACACACACATGCATGCATGCACACAGGCACACCCATGCAAGCACGCACACACACATGCAGGCACACCCACGCATGCACGCACACATATATGCACACCCATGCACACCCATGCATGCATGCACACATATATGCACACCCACGCATGCACGCACACACATGCACACCCACGCATGGACGCACACGCACACACACCATGCATGCGCACACACAGCCCACCCGCAGTAAGTAGCTGGAGCAGGGTAAGTTCACCCCAATGGGGCTTCCCTCCCCTTTCCAGTAACTAAGGAGGATGTGGCACATGGCCCCGCCTTGGCCAAAGGGAGCTGAGAGATGTCTGCTTAGTTTCCATGCCAGTAAAATAAGACATGCAGGATTGGAAAAGCCCCTCTTCTTTACTAGATATCACTGTGTCATTCGGAATGGCTGCAGCCACTTTGTGCCACAAGGGAAGACATCTCCCACGTGGCAAAGACAGCAGAGAGCAAAGATGAAAAGCACCTGGGGTCCTGGAAATGTCATCACACCTCTGAATTAATCAACCCTGGAACTGCCATACTTCTTGTTACATGAGATAGTAAATGCGTTTTTTTGTTTGTTTGTTTTAGGTAATTTTAGTTAGGTTTTCGTTAACTCACAACAAAAACCATCTTAACCAATATAACATGCTTATTTTATCAAAACATAAAGTCTTTTTTTTAGAAAAATCACCTATACATAAGTTTTCTGTTTGTGTGGGATACAAAAGTGTCTTTCCACTAGTGTGGCTATAATAAAAAAGACGAACAGCAGCAAGTGTTTATGGAGACGTGGGGAAATCAGGGCCCGCACACACTCTGGTGGGAAGAGAAAATGGCATAGCCACTTTAAAACAAACTCCAGACATTCCTCAAAAAGTTAAACAGAGTTACCATATGACCCAGCAATTCCACTCCTAGGTACATACCCAAGAGAAATGAAAACATATGTCCACAGGAAAACGTGTCTGCCAACATTCATAGAAACACTATTCATCATAGTCAAAAAGTGAAACAACCCAAATATCCATCAACTGAGGAATGGATAATCAACAAAGATAAACAAAACGCAATGGAATATTATTCAGCCATGAAAAGGAAGAAAGCACTAATACATGCTACACCATGGGTGAACCCAGAAAACATTAGGCTCAGTGAGAGAAGCCAGTCATGAAGGGCCACATATGATGTGATTCCATTTTTATGAAATGTCCAGAACAGGCAAATGCAAAGAGACAGAAAGCAGCTTAGGGGCTGCCAGGGGCTGGGAGCACTGGGGGTGGCAGCTCGGGTGTGCCGGGCTTCTCTGTCGAGTGAAGAAAACGTCCCCAAATTGTCTGTAGTGATGGATGTCAAAGTATAGGAACTGTACACTTAAACTGCTGAATTGTGTGACATGTGAATTACATCTCAATAAAGCTTTCTTTTGTTTGTTTTGTGTTTTTCTTTTTGACACAGGGTCTCACCCTGTCACCCAGGCTGGGTGACAGGTGAATTACATCTCAATAAAGCTTTCTTTTGTTTGTTTTGTTTTGTTTTTGTTTTTGACACAGGGTCTCACCCTGTCACCCAGGCTGGAATGCAGTGGCACAATCTCGGCTCACAGCAACCTCCGCCTCCTGGGTTCAAGTGATTCTCCTGCCTCAGCCTCCCAAGTAGCTGGGATTACAGGCACCCACCACCACGCCCAGCTAATTTTTATATTTTTAGTAGAGACAGGGTTTTACCATGTTGGCCAGGCTGGTCTCGAACTCCTGACCTCAAGTGATCTGCCTGCCTCAGCCTCCCAAAGTGCTGGGTTTACAGGCCTGAGCCACCGGGCCCAGCCTCAATAAAGCATTTTTTAAAAAATGAAATGTTGGCTGGGCACGGTGGCTCACACCTGTAATCTCAACACTCTGGGAGGCCAAGGTGGGGGTATTGCTTGAGGCCAGGAGATTGAAACCAGACTGGACAACACAGTGAGACCCCATCTCTACAAAAAATTCAGAAAGTTTAAAAATTAGGTGGTGCACACCTCTAGCTCCAGCTACTCAGGAGGCTGAGGTGGAAGGATCACTTGAGCCTGGGTGGTCGAGGCTTCAGTGAGCCATGATTGCACCACTGCACTCCAGCCTGGATGACAGAGTGAGACTGTCTCAAAAACAAAAACAAAAACAAACAAACAGGAAATGTGATAGAATCAGTGGCAATCTCTGTGTTTCTGTTATTAACATAGCCAAACTGAGCCGCCTGCTAGTTATCAGAAACCCAACAAGGAACGACCCATATTCCTGTGACTTCTTAAGTAACTACTTAACTTGCGCATTTATGATACTCATATCAACTTCAACTCCCGGCCTTCTAACTGGTTTAGCTACAGCCAAATAAAGTACACATTTTTAAAAGTCTTCAGACGCCTGTCTCTCCATTTACCCATTGGTGCCTTAGGTATAAACAGTGCTGAGTGGTGGCACTGGCTGGCAACACCCAGAGGCTGAAAGGGAGGACACTGGAAGCTGGACGCAGTGGCTCACGCCTGTAATCCCAGCACTTTGGGAGGTCAAGGTGGGCAGATCGCTTGAGGTCAGGAGTTCGAGACCAGCCTGGCCAACATGGCCAAACCCTGTCTCTACTAAAAATACAAAAATTAGCGGGGCATGGTGGCGCATACCTATAATCCCAGCTACTTGGGAAGCTGAGGTGGAAGAATCACTTAAGCCTGGGACGCAGAGATTGCCATGAGCCGAGATCGCACCACTGCACTCCAGCCTGGGCGACAGAGCAAGACTCTGCCTCAAAAATGAAGGAGAGAGAGAAGGCACCAGGTTCCAAAAGAGAGCCGCACCAAGTGTGTGCACCCAGCCCCCAGGAGCCCTCCGTAAATGTGTGTTAAATGAATGTGTGTGTGAACACCATCAGCTGAGGTGGTATAGAAAAAGCAACTCCTGGTCAGAGCAGGGAGGAACTCATCTAAAGGGGAGGCTCCCAAGAGCTGCAGCAGAGGGTCACCAAAGGAGGGGAACTCCATGTGGGATTCCAACCCTGACTGGTTACATGGAAGTGAACAGGACCTCGTCGAAGAGGGAGAGGTCTGCGTTGCCTCCAAGCAGTGCTTCTTGAAATGGTATCCCCCCAGCAGCCGCCTCAGTATCACCTGGGAACTTGCAGGAATGCACATTCTTGCCCCACCCTGGACCCGCTGAGCCAGACTCTCTAGGGTGGGGCCCAGACGTCTGTGTTTTGACTCAGATGACATCGGTGCAGGCTCGAGAGTGAGCTACTCTTCCAGGGACAACCAGTGTGGTCCTTCCACCCATGCGTGTCCAGGGATGACCAGTGGGTGCTGGTGTTCAGGGTGGTGTGCGGACATCCATTCATTTATTGCATAATTATTAAAAAAAAAACAACACTCGCTGAGTATCTACTGTGCCCTAAAAAATGAGAAAGACTCCGCTAATGTGTAGGCAGTCAACCAGCCCTGGTCAGCGTACTCACAGGTAGGCAGACGGCCGCGCGGAGAGCACCAAGGGGCAGAAGGATGCTGCTTGGGGGTGGGGAAGGTGGCGACGCAATGAAAACAGATGAAGGACAAGGAGAAAAAAAATCAAGTGCTGCCAGACACTGGCACAAAGCTGGAAGGGAGGTCACATCTATCGAGGGGGAGGAGGGCAACACAGGAGGAGAAGAGACAGGGAAACCGCCTCTCCGGTGCCTTCCACAGAGGGTCCATTGCAAGCAAGTGGAGAATCAGCCACATGCCATGTACTACGTGGCAGGGGTGGCAGCCCGAGCCCTGAGATCGGAGAGCCTATCCCATGTGACGCATGTCAGCCACACATCACCCAGGCCTGTGATGAAGGACAAGCGCACGCTCCGCTCTGATGACACGCGCAGCTGGCACGGACCCAGGAGGGATCATGGACGTGAGGAGACGTCAGTGTCCAAAGAGGGCCCATCAGCCCAGAGAAAGTTGACACAGAATCATGAAACATAATCTACTTAGGGGACAGCTCACTCTCAGCACCAGTACAAAATGTAGATTTTATCCATTAATACTTCCATAATTAGCTCAAAAAAATTGGACTGTGTTTTTTATTTTTATTAATTTTTTTAAGACAGGGTCTTACTCTGTCACCCAGGCTGAAGTGCAATGGCATGATCTTGGCTCACTGCAACCTCTGCCTCCTGGGTTCAAACGATCCTCCTGCCTCAGCCTCTCTAGTAGCTGGAATTACAGGCATGCGCCACCACGCCCGGCTAATTTTTGTATTTTTAGTAGAGATGGGGTTTCACCATGTTTCCCAAGCTGATCTCAAACCCCTGACCTCAGGTGATCCGCCCACCTAGGCCTCCCAGAGTGCTGGAATTACAGGCGTGAGCCACCACGCCCAGCCCTCCAAAGCTTCTTCATTCTCCCCTAATCAAGGTGCTGCTCCTTCTTCAAATCCTGCCATCCTAGGAGCTCACCTGAACCCTATTCCATTCTGATACTGCGCCCTACATCCCAACAAGTTATGTCTTTTACCTGCATTCTATTAATGTGAAATCCACTCTGGCTTTCTTGGTGAGCGTTTCTACATTTACCTGCACCCCTCATGAAGCAGGGAGTTTCCTCTTTTATGGTGAGGTTTTGTTTTGTATGGAGATTCGTTTGTTCTGTAACATCTCCTTCTTTAAGAACAAGGAAGGCCGGGCACGGTGGCTCACGTCTGTCATCCCAGCACTTTGGGAGGCTGAGGCAGGCAGACTGGTTGAGACCAGGAGTTCGAGACCAGCCTGGCCAACACAGCAAAACCCTGTCTCTATTAAAAATACAAAAAATTAGCCACATGTGGTGGCACATGCCTGTAATCCCAGCTTCTTGGGAGGCCGAGACATGAGAATTGTTTGAACCCAAGAGGTGGATGCTGTAGTGAGCTATGATCACATTGCTGCACTCCAGCCTGGGCAACAGAGCGAGATTCCATCTCAAAAAGATAAAAAAAAAAAAAAAAAAAAGAAGAACAACAACAGCTAAGAGTTTGGCAGAGTTTACTCTGCACAGTTCAGGGAGGGCACTGAGTCTGTGGGCATAAACACTCAGTCCCTCGTGGGATGTGCTGGATCAAATCAGATCCTTTGCTCAGATACTACAGTCCTGAAGCAATCCTGTTACTATTTGCTCGGATACTACAGTCCTGAAGCAATCCTGTTACTATTTGCTCGGATACTACAGTCCTGAAGCAATCCTGTTACTATTTATTTTCTTTCTTTCTCTCTCTCTCTTCCTTCCTTCCTTCTTTCTCTTTTCTTTGTTTCTCTTTGTTTCTGTCTCTCTCGCTCTCTCCCTCTCTTTCTCCCTTTCTTTCGTTTCTTTCTTCCTTTCTTCTTCTTTTTTTTTGTTTTTTTGCGACAGAGTCTCACTCTGTCACCCAGGCTGGTGTGCAGCAGTGTGAGCTCAAGCAATGCTCCTGCCTCAACCTCCCCAGTAGCTGAGACTACAGGTATGTGCCACCATGCCCGGCTAACTTGTTACTATTAATGAGGCCTCACAGATACCTTGATCTCATGGAGGAACTGCCTTGGGAAGTAGATATTAATATTCCAGCCACTGGAAAAGTACATCATATTCCCCAAAGTAACTTAATACACTGGCACCTGCTTTATACATCGGTCTCATGGTCAGCATGAATCACAACTCCTAAACTCACACAGTTCTGAAGACTGATGGAAATGAAGATTCTGGTTTGTTTTTGTCTTTGTTTTAGATAGGGTCTTGCTGTGCTGCCCAGGCTGGAGTGCAGCAGCATGATCTCAGCTCACTGTAGCCTCAACTTCCCAGGCTCAAGCGACCCTCCCACCTCAGCCTCCAGAGTAGTTGGGACTACAGGCACGTGCCACCATTCCCATCTAGTTTTTGCATTTTGCAGCGACAGGATTTCACCATGTGAACCAGGCTGGTCTTGAACTCCTGAGCTCAAGCGATCTGCCCACCTTGGCCTCCCGAAGTGCTGGGATGACAGGCATGGGATTCCAAACCAAGATTCTTAATCTCAAAATTATGAACAAGATCCTGAAGCTCGGTGATCACCTCAGGATCTCTGTCCCTCCTAAGAGGCTGTAACAGCACCGTCCACCTCATCCCTCTCCGCTCCACAATCTACAAAATCTCTATGTCCAATCTTATCTTGCCAATCTACAACTGTCTTGTACTACAATATACTCTAATTGTTAATGTTGGTCTGGTAGGTTCGCTTTTCATAACAGCTTTATATAGAGAGAATTCATATACTGTGTAATTCTCTCGTTTATAGTTTATAATTCAGGGAGGTTTCGCACACAGAGTTGTGCAACCATCACCATAGCCCATTCGAGAACATTTTCATCACCCCGAAAGGAAACCCCATCCATACCCATCGGCGGTCACCTCCCATTTCCCTTCAGTTTCCCCAGCCCTGGCCATCACTAATCTACTTTGTGTGTATGGATTTGCCTGTAGTTCTAGAGTTCCTAGAAATGGAATCATATAAAACGTGGCATTTGGGTTTTTGTTTTGTTTTGTTTTGAGACAGAGATTGCTCTGTCACCCAGGCAATCTCAGCTCACTGCAACCTCCACCTCCTGGGCTCAGGTGATCCTCCCGCCTCAGCCTCCCGAGGGGCTGGGACCACAGGTGCATGCCACCATGCCTGGCTAATTTTTGAGTTGACAGGATTTTGACATGTTGCCCAGGCTGGTCTCGAACTCCTGGGCTCAAGCGATCGAAACGTGGCCTTTGTGGTCTGGCTTTTTTCACTGGGCATGTTTTCAGTATTCGTCCACGTTGTCACATGTATCAGAACTCCATTCCTTTTTAAGGCTGAATCGTATGCTATCCTACAGAGGTGCTACGTTTTGTTGATGTGTTACTTGTTTTGTTTATGTGTTCATCAGCAGACAGGCATTTGGGCTGTTTCCACTTTTTGGCAATTGTGGATAATGTTGCTATGAACATTCCTATAAGTTTTTGTGTGGATGTGTGTTTTTCACCTCTTAGGCACAAACCCAGGAGTGGCATGGCTGGGCCCTACGGTAGCTCCGTGCTTAACCTTTTGGGGACCTGCCAGACTGTCTTCTGCAGCAAGTGAACCATTTCACGTTCTCACCAGCCGTAAAGGGGAAAGTCTGGGAGGCTCCCGAGACAAGACCATGGTTTCTTCGTGCTCACATCTTCAACCTCCAGCAGGTACTCCAAAATTTTCCACCAGTGCCTGCGTGCCAAGGTGGCTTCCAAAGAGAGAGCAAATCAAGCCTGGCCACAGGGGACCAGGGCACTTCCCAGAACAGTCCTCTCCCTGGTGGGATCCTTTTGTTCCCTGGAAAAGCCAACCCCCCTTAATCCTGGGTAGTTTTACCTACCCACAGGCTTGAATTACATCCTAACAAACAGTAAACCACACTTGCTGGGACTCCGTGGGCCCGAGGGCTGCTTAACAGCTTGGCAGGCATCCCCGGCAGCCACTGTGACCCAGCTGCCCTACAGGCCATTCCAAGCTCCCCCAACAAGGGCACTTTTCAGGTGAACTCATACAAATGTGTGCCGAGCGATACCCCTGACTTGGAGGGGACTCCAGCTGAGGTCAGCCCTGGAGCAGGCCCCCCACGCCCTATGGATACTTCCAAGCCCAACTTAGCAAATACAGCTGGAGGCGTCCAACCTCACCCAGTTGTTCAAGGAGGGACCTTGCCCCTTCCTTTGCCTTTAAGGATGAACAGATTTTTTTTCTACTTAGAAACTCAATGTGTTCCTCTTCTATCCTAAACACTACTGATGTTCGGTAATGCAGACATGTTTACATGCTATTTCTTGTTTTAACAACATGAAAACAAAATAAAAATGAACTATGAACTGATGACAGTGTTTGGGAGTTGAGCTTTTTCTGTGGCCAACGCTGCTTTTAAAAACGTTCTATATTAAGGAAGTGCTGTGGGAACACTGCTGGCCGTGGAAACCGTCCCACCTCCCTGTGCTCCGAAGCCAGCCAGCAGGCAGAGTCCTGGCTGGGCACGAGACGCTCAGGGCTCACTCGACCCCACGGAAACCAGAGGGAAGCCTAATTTTATCACGCTGTATTTAGACGGTGTGGATTCATTTGAACAAGGAAGTTCCTAGAGTTGTTGAGATTTTTTTTTTTTGGTCAATGTTTAAATACTACTTTTTTTTCAAGCTTGCCCTAGATACCAACTGTTTATCTAACACACAATTCCAGTGTTGCCAAGCCTCATGCCAATTTGAAGGGAACAGCCAAAACTTATGCATTCATATAAAAAGAGTCTCTAGGCTCTTATATCTACATTATAATTTTTATCCTAATCACAAAACTATTCCGAATGGTAGTGAACAAAGTAATTATTTCAATCAAGAAACATAATGGCCAGCCACATCTATGACCAAATTGACCTAAGCTTTCAGATGTTTTCCAAAACATCGGACTGCCACAGGTAACTTTTTACAGGGTCTTCATATAAGTTCCTATTTTATTATTTTATTTTATTTTATTATTTTTTGAGACAGAGTCTCACTCTGTCACCCAGGCTGGAGCGCAGTGGCATGACCTCGGCTCACTGCAACCTCTGCCTTCCAGGTTCAAGCGATTCTCCTGCCTCAGCCTCCCGAGTAGCTGGGATTATAAGCACGCGCCATGATGCGCAGCTGATTTTTCTATTTTTAGTAGACACGGGGTTTCACCCTGTTGGCCAGGCTGGTCTCGAACTCCTGACCTCAAGTGATCCTCCTGCCTCAGCCTCCCAAAGTGTTGGGATTACAGGCGTGAGCCACTGCACCCAGCCCAAGTTCCTCATTTTAAAAGTGGCAGAGGTTTGTCAAAAAGTTAAACAGAGTTACCGCGTGACCCAGCAACTCCATGCCCAGGTATGTGCCCCAAAGAACTGAGAAAACAGATACTCAAACAAAAACGTGTACACGAGTGTTCCCAGCAGCACCATCCACAATAGCCAAGAGGCAGAAACAACCCTAATGTCCATCAATGGAAGAATGGAAAAACAAAATGTGGTTTATCCATACAATGGAATTTTATGCACCCATAACAAAAAGGAGGTACTACTCCATGCCACAACATGAATGAACCTTGGAAACATGCTGAGCGAGAGAATCCAGACACACAAAGCCACGTATCCTACGATTCCAAGTATAAGAAACGCCCAGACTCGGTAAATCCTGCAGATGCAAAGTGCAGCACAGCGGCTGCCAGGTGCTAGGGCTTGGGAGCTGGGAAGTGGCTGCTTAGTGGGTGTAGGGTTTCCTTCTAGGGGTGATGAAAACGCTTCGGAATTAGACCCAGGGGATGGTTGCACAACACTGTGAATGTGCGATATGCCACTGAACTGTTCACCTTAAAAATCATTAAGTTATGTGAATTTAGCTTCAATTAAAAATAAAGCAGGCTGGGTACTGTGGCTCACGCCTGTAATCCCAGCACTCCGGGAGGCCGAGGCGGGCAGATCATCTGAAGCCAGGAGTACAAGGCCAGCCTGGCCAACATGGTGAAACCCTGTCTCTACTAAAAATACAAAAAATTAGACAGGTGTGGTGGCGGGTGCCTGTAATCACCGGTACTTGGGAGGCTGAGGCACGAGAATTGCCTGAATCCAGGAAACGGAGGTTGCAGTGAGCTGAGATCGTGCCACTGCACTCCGGTCTAGGCAACAGAGCAAGACCCTGTCTCAAAAAACAAACAAACAAAAGAACCAAGTAGGAAGAAATGTGGCCAGTTCCTCCTGGGCAGTGTTGTACAGAACACACCAAATTTCTACAGTGACTCCTACCAGACGTTTCTTGGGAAAGTAAGCAAAGTCCTTTCCTGAAATTCTGGTAAATTTTCATAAAAATCAATACTTCCCTAATTTAACATTCACATTTTAGCTTACAGTATAACTAGTTATAGAATTGTTCATTAATTCTAATTGACTTTCGATTATACAATCTAATATCTAATTTCCATTTTCTATTTCTAGTACATAAGCAAAAGAAATGCCCTTTTGGTCTTATGGAAAACGTGTCCTATTTAATAAGACACAAATTTGATTCAAATTTCTCTTTCTCCTCCTCCCCCTTAATAATACACTAAAAATAACTGTAATAACATCTTACACATCCTGAACGCCTGTACCTAGCAACCTCACTTACTCAGACTATAGCTGACAACTAAAAACCTGCACAAAGGCTGACTCCTTAGCCCTTTCCATCAAACGATATCTGCAGGCTGAACGAGCTTAATTACTTGTTGGTTTGGTTTTTTAATGTAACGAAGTAAAAACCAGGAGCAAATGTGATACAGGAAAGCACACCAACAGCTACATACATGGATAGCAAAAGAAGCCAAAAAAATTATTTTTTAAAATGTAAGAACTGGAAAAACAGAATGATCTCAGTTTTTTTAAAAAAGCAAAGATTCCTATTTTTATAGAGAAATTGCTATATTAGTAAAAGCCAAATAACAAGAGGCAAAAATAACTGAGTCATCAAGAAAATTACCTCTTATTTGGCACAGTCCATTTTTATGAAAGTGCTTTATCTATTTCAGAAACATAAAATCAAATGTTTGAATTGGTTAAAACAGAAAATTATCTGATTGATTAAAAGAGAAAATCCTCTGCTCTTCAGAAAACTCAACCATCCAGAAAGTGCTATCACTGACATTTATATCTAACAACATGGCAAATGAGGTTGGTTTCATATTCAACCATTTGCTGTCCCCGAAGCTCTCTATTAAGGATCTGGCTGATCAGAAAACTTAATATTTAATCAACCTAGAGCAGGCCTAGAAAAGAGGCTACTGTTTAAAAACAAACAACTGATTATATAAAACATTTACATCAAATTATAATTCAGTATTAAATCTCATGGAATCACGCCTTTCAGGAAAACGTCTGGACACTAGTGAAAATGAAATGGCTAAATCTCAATCAAAGTATATTATTAAGTAATAAAAGATTTTATCATTCAACTTTTTTTTTGTCTCTACATAAAAAAAGTATTTTTGTCTCTACAAAAAATACAAAAATTAGTCAGTCGTGTTGGCATGCGCCTGCAGTCCCAGCTACTCAGGAGGCTGAAGCTGGAGAATATCACTTGAGCCCAGGAGGCGGAGGCTGCAATGAGCTGAGATCACGTCACTGCACTCCAGCCTGGGCGACAGAGCCAGACGCTGTCTCAAAATAATTAATTAATTAATTGTTTAAAAAATCAAAGAATAGCTTAAAATTATTACTAAGCTAAGAACCTTGCTGCTATTACTTGTTCAGGAAAGCTCCACACACCATAGGCAGTGGTGCTAAATGCAACAGAAGCCTTAGTGCGAACTGGAACTTCTCCCAGGAGTCTATGGAATTGGAAACTTAATAGCTACTAAATACAGTAACATCATGACTGGAGCTATGAAAGCAAACATTTCCATTTGAACTTCAAGTGGCAGAAGGGACAAAGTTGATACCTTAGACTCATCAGCCCTGAAAGTGTTCCTAATCACAATTTCTTTCAGGAGCCAGAAAGAACACAGCGTTAATTATGTTAATCCAGCTGAGACGTTCACTATGAAATGTGTGTTAGAGAAAAGTCCTTTGAAATTTCTTATTTGCATGGTAGTTCTGAAAGTTTTTAACCTCCTGCAGTTCCTGGCACACGGAGTCAGTCACTCACTTGTCCTCAGGAAGCACAGGACAGCAGCAGGTTCGGAATCACACTTTCTCTGTGTGATTTCACAACTCGGGTCTTTGTCCAGGTGAGATTCTCACTCGGGTCAGAGGGCAAAGGTATCCAATGACAACCCTGTCCTTCAGAACCAAGTAGTGTTTTCCCATCAGCCGTGCAAATCACAGCAAATGTCATGTGGCTTTCCAGCAGCCTCTTTGCTGTTTGTTGAGGAAGGATAAGAAAACCATGGAGGATTAAAATCACCACATTCAAATTACTATAAAGAAAAGGAGGCCAGGCGCTGTGGCTCACGCCCGTAATCCTAGCACTTTGGGAGGCCAAAGTGGGACGATCGCTCGAGGCCCCGCAACACAGCAAGACCCCCATCTCTAATAAGAAAAAAAAAAGGGAGAAGAAAGAAAAGGAAAAATGCAGACAAGCCAGAAAATAAAATTGAGGAGATTAATACAATATAATAATCAGGCACTGCAGATCACACCTGGAACACCGCCTCACCCAGGCAAAGGAGGAAAAGCTTTCATGTGTGCTCATCATTTGAGCAAAAAGGAAGAAAACACACACAGAAACTCAGGAGATCCAGAAGAGACACTCTGAACAAAGAAAATGGAAATGACAGGGAACCAAATGATCCACATCAGGGATTTTAAGAGGGAAATTATGCTTCTGAATGAAAAAAATAAAATCATTCAAAACTTTTTATAAATCTTTGACAAAATCCAAGAGTTTCCTTTCAATGTTGATGACATTTAATTTTTTTTTTTTTTTTTTTGAGACAGTCTCTGTCACCTAGGCTGGAGTGCAATGGCGCAATCTCAGCTCACTGCAACCTCTACTTACCAGGTTCAAGCGATTCTCCTGTCTCAGCCTCTGAGTAACTGGGATTACAGGTGCGCACCACCATGCCCGGCTAATTTTTGTATTTTTAGTAGAGACAGGGTTTCGGACGTTGGCCAGGCTGATCTCGAACTCCTGATCTCAGGTGATCCACATGCCTCAGCCTCCCAAAGTGCTGCGATTACAGGCGTGAGCCACCGCGCCCAGCCCTCTAATTTCTAATTACAACATCTAAGGTAGACACTTTCCAGATGCATTAATGTGGGGGACAACTAGAGGACTAACACGTCCCCTTGCACACTCAATATAGGGCCAGTAGATCCAGAAGCTCACCGTCAAGAGCAACAAGAGCAAGCAAGTCCTTCCTCAACAGAATCATCGGTAAGAACACTGTCAGTCCAGGATTCACTCAGTCCTACGAGTGAAAAACTTGCCAACACAGTGAAATTCATTTTACTGGCAACTAACCTTCCAATCTCTCTCTAAAATAATGTTCACATGGGAACTGAAGCACATTAAAAAAATAATAATTATTCACTTCACATTTTCTCCAAGCCATTTCAAAAGTGTTTCTCAGACTTTCAAAATCAAACAGGATTCCCAGACCAGGCACCATGGGTCACGCCTGTAATCACAGCACTTTAGGAGGCCAAGGCAGCTGGATTGCTTGAGCTCAGGAGTTCAAGACCAGCCTGGGCAACATGATGAAACCCCATCTCTACAAAATACACAAAAATTAGACGGGCATGATGTTGCATGACTATAGTCCCAGCTACTCGAGAGGCTGAGGCACAAGACTCACTTGAACCCAGGAGGCGGAGTTTGCAGTGAGCTGAGATCACGCCACTGCACTCTACCCTGGGTGACAGAGCAAGACTCTATCTCAAAAAAAAAAAAAAAAAAAAAATCAAATGGGGTTCCTCTAACGATACCCTGCTTTATTCAGGAAACGTGATCCTCAGGAAACCATGTGTAAATTATACTTCTAGAACTCAATCTTACGTATTTATATTTAAAGGAAGTAAAGAATCTTTTATGAAGTTACAAATCTCACACACGCCCTGCAATTTAGTGGCTCTATAAATCGGAGCTTCCCTATGCTAAATGTGTCTAAATGAGAGTTCGTAGTTGAAACAAGAGGACAAAGAAAAAAACACTTTTCAAATTAAGAATGAGCACTATGTCCCAATCACGTGAGAATCTCAGCTATACTTAGACAATGGTGGAGATTTTAAGCATATCTATCTCAAACTTTATATTTTACCAATATGAAAAAAGCAGAACCAGAGAGATTAAATTATTTGCCCAAAAGTGCTTGTTAGTGGAGGAAATGTATTAAGACCAAAAGCTAATTTACAAAAACAAATTAAATTTTCAAATAAGATCATGCTATAAAAGTGCTTCCCTTTCAGAAACCACCCTCACCACACCCAGTTTTTAGGCAGCTCATTCACACACACAAAAATCACATTAATGAACATCAGAAGCAGTGGCCTTTCCTTATGGGAAAAAGAACTCATTTATGAAGTTCCAGAATGCGATGCAATCCACACTTTAAATAGTAACACAATAGGGTACGAACTAACTGAATCAACATGCAATAAACACTTTCACTTAAAGTGTCATAGCCTTAATGGTATATTGCATTTAATATCCATACACAAGGAAATAAATCACACGCATGTGGGGTTTCTTCCTTTCTCCAGGCTAGAGTGTTAGAAAATGTAGTTAATATTTCCCAAACAACTCAAACACGAAAATAAATGATTCAAAAGCTGCTTTTTCCCCGCTTTGGAAGGGGGAAAAAAAAAAGAACAGATTTTAATAGCATTACATAAAAATCCTGGAAATTATGCACAAAGACTACCCTGGAGCTTTGCCAGAAACAGGCATGCTGGTTTTCCATGTGTATAAATGGTAATCAAATAAGAATTACCAGGAGCTACAATATTATTAAGATAAATATACTTCTTGAAATCTCCATCTTACAAAGCTTAAAAACAATTGCCAGAACTAGGCCGTTCAACCCCACATTTCCTGGGCCTCCCCTAAGCACTCAGTCCTCTGTGTTTCTGCCCTGCGCCCCACGCCCTCAGCGCAGCACCTCGGAGCCCACAGTCCCAAGCTGTCCACACTCTGGCGCCCCTGGGCCCATTCACATTCCCAGGCACCATGCGCTGGTCAGCCCTCTCGGCCACCACCTTTGCTAGAGCCTATCAAGACCCTCCGGAGCCTCTATTTAATGAACCACTCAGTCATTCCAGCAAAGCGGTTACTGCCTTTCCTCTACCTGGAGGCTTGTTCTGTGTAGATGTTTGGGGTGTGGTTTCACACATAACAGGGTACTCACATGTGGAGTTACATATATATATATATATATATATATATATATATATACACACACACACACTATATATATGTATAAATACATATGTACATATATATATATATATATATATATATTTTTTTTTTTTTTTTTTAAGACAGAGTCTTGCTCTGTCATCCAGGCTGGAGTGCAGGGGCGCAATCTCAGCAACCTCCATCTCCTGGGTTCAAGAGATTCTCCTGCCTCAGCTTCCCGAGTAGCTGGGATTACAGGTGCCCACCACCATGCCCAGCTGATTTTTGTATTTTTAATAGAGATGGCATTTCTCCACGTTGGCCAGGCTGTTCTTGAACTCCTGACCTCAGCTGATCTGCCTGCCTTGGCCTCCCAAAGTGCTGGGATTACAGGCATGAGCCACCATACCAGGCTTATATTTACTTATTTATTCATTCATTTATCAGCAAATATTATCACACATATATTATATGCCTGGCTATATTCCCAGCGCTAGGAACACAGCAGGAAGTAAAACATGGAAAATTCCTGCTCTTAAGATGCATTCCAGTGGCGTGGAAACAGATTATAAACAAAATTAAGTCAAATACATATGATGCAAGCTGGAAAAGAGAGTGGCTGGCCCATAGCTCCAGGAGGCACTGTTGAAAGCAAGGCTCCTACTAAGGGAATTCCTGGAGTTGGGCCTTCTGGAATGTTCCACAGCGGTCCTGAGGGATGGGGTTTGCTGGGCTGGGGGAGGACTCCTCAGTCTGCAAACATGTCATCTACGTTTTGGTTTGGGATTTTTTGTTTTGTTTTGTTTTTGTTTTTGGTTTTTTTTTTTGAGACAGAATCTCACTCTGTCACCCAGGCTGGAATGTAGTGGTGCAATCTCAGCAACCTCTGCCTCCCGGGTTCAAGTGATTCTCCTGTCTCAATTTCCCGAGTAGCTGGGACTACAGGTGCACGCCACCAAGCCCGGCTAATTTTTGTATTTTTAGTAGAGATGGGGTTTCACCATGTTGGCCAGGTTGGTCTCAAACTCCCGACCTCAGGTGATCCGCCCGCCTCGGCCTTCCAAAGTGCTGGGATTACAGGCATGAGCCACTGTGTCTGGCCTGTAATATTCATTCATTTATTCATTCATTCATTCAGCCAATATTATCAGGCATGTATTATATGCCTGGCTATATTCCCAGCACTAGGAACACAGCAGGAAGTAAAACATGGAAAATTCCTGCTCTTAAGATACATTCCAGTGGCGTGGAAACAGATTATAAACAAAATAAGTCAAATACATATGATGCAAGATGGAAAAGAGAGTGGCCGGCCCATCGTTCCAGGAGGCACTGTTGAGAGCAAGGCTCCTACTAAGGGATTTCCTAGAGTTGGGCCTTCTAGAACATTCCGCAGCTGTCCTGGGGGATGGAGTTTGCTGCAGGACTCCTCAGTCTGCAAACAGGTCATCTACATTTTGGTTTGGGATTTTTTTTTATTGTTTTGGTTTTGTTTTGTTTTGCTTTGTTTTGTTTTTGGAGACAGAGTTCTCACCGTGTCACCCAGGCTGGAGTGCAGTGGTGTGATCTCAGCTCACTGCAACCTCTGCCTCCCAGGTTGAAACAATTCTCCTGCCTCAGTTTCCCGAGTAGCTGGGATTACAGGTGTGCGCCACGACACCCGGCTAATTTTTGTATTTCCAGTACAGACAGGGTTTCCCCATGTTGGCCAGGCTGGTCTCAAACTCCTGACCTCAAGTGATCCACCCGCCTCAGCTTCCCAAAGTGCTGGGATTACAGACGTGAACCACCACGCCCGGCCTTTTTATTGTTTTTTTATCACGATTTACCTACATTCACAGACACCTGCCCCTCAACAGGCATTAGTGGGAAGATACAGAAAGAAATTCTACATTGCTCTCAATTGTAGGAATGCAAATTAAAGCTTCCAAGGAACTCGAAGATGCACAAACCGTTTCTTGGGTGGCATTATTTCCTCATAGAAACATGCATATACTATTCATTTTCTTTTCAAAAAAGATGAGGGTAAACTTTAGCTCAGTCTCTCTGAATAAACATATCAGACAAACAGAATTAATGAGATTTTAATACCTATAATTTCTCAACTCTTTAAAAAGGTTACTAAAAGGGTATGAAAGTTATCAAAGACCACTGGGGTTGCATGAAGAGGACTCAGCAGCCAACTTAAAGGGGCTCCCATGGGCCCCAAATGGGACAATCTGAGCATCAAAAATCATGTATCTGTAATGGAATGAAATACATCAAATAAGCTAAAATCCAAGAGTTTATATTGATTCTTGAAAAAAATCACCTTTGGAGGACGTTAAGAAACCATCTCAGCTGGGTGCCTTGGCTCACGCCTGTAATCCCAACACTTCGGGAGGCCAAGGCAGGAGGATGGCTTGAGCCCAGGAGTTTGAGACCAGCCTAGGCAACATGGCAAGACCCTGTCTCTCTCAAAAATTTGAAAAAATCAGCTGGGCGTGGTGGTGCACATGTGCAGTCACAGGGAGGCTGAGGTACGAGGAGCACTTGACCCTGGGAGGTTGATATAGTTTAGCTCTGTGTCCCCACCCAAATCTCATCTTGAATTGTAATCCCCATGTGTCGAGGGAGGGACCTGGTGGGAGGGGACTAGATCATGGGGGTGGTTTCCCCCATGCTGTTCTCGTGAGAGTGAGGGAGTTCTCACGAGACCTGATGGTTTAAAAGTGGCAGTTCCCCCTTCGCATGCTCTCTCTCTCACTCTCTCTCTCTCCTGACACCATTTAAGATGCGCCTTGTTTCTCCTTCATCTTCTGCCATGATTGTAAGTTTCCTGACGCCTCCCCAGCCATGCAGAACTGTGCCAATTAAACCTGCTTTCTTTATAAATTACTCAGTCTCAGGTAGCATCTTTTTTGTTTGTTTGTTTCTGAGATGGGGTCTCACTCTGTTGCCCAGGCTGGAGTACAGTGGCGCGATCTGGGCTCACTGCAACCTCCACCTTCTAGGTTCCAGCGATTCTCCTGCCTCAGCCTCCCAAGTAGCTGAAATTAGAGGCGTATGCCACCACGCCTGGCTAATTTTTTGTATTTTTAGTAGACACGGGGTTTTGCCATGTCGGACAGGCTGGTCTCGAACTCCTGAGCTCAAGTGATCCGCCCGCCTCAGCCTCCGAAAGTGCTGGGATTACAGGCGTGAGCCATGCACCTGGCCTCAGGTAGCAACTTTATAGCAGTGTTAGAATGGTCTGATACAGGTGGAAGCTACAGTGAGCCGAGATTATGCCACTGCACTCCAACCTGGGCAAAGGAGTGAGACTCTTGTCTCAAAAAAAAAAAAAAAGAAAAGAAAAAAACAAACTCAGTCTGTAAATGGTATAGAAAGGGAAAGAACCAAGCAAATAAAAGCATCTAAACACACACGGCTCCCAGGATCCTAGGATTTCACAGTGGCTGAGACAGCAGGATACGTGAGGGCAGGGTACATGACAGCAGGGTAAATGCAGAGAGCTAAAGACAGGTATCGTTGTTTTGGCTGTTGCTGCCACTGCTAAGAAAATTATTCCAACTTTCAGTAACACTAGCTCTTCTCTACTGACAGGTATTATGTGCCAAGAACTTTTCTAAGAACTTGTATTTTCTCATTTAATCCTCGCAGCAATTCTGTGAGATGGGTACTAGTGTTTTCTAATACAGCCTTTGGGTTTAAATACTGGCTCCACCATTTAGTATCCCTTTCTGGCTGTGTGATCATCACAAGTTACCTAACCTCTCTGTGCTTCAGTCTTCTCATCTATAAAATAGAGATCATCTCAACCCTATCTGTAATACAGTCAGGAAGTCTAGTACAATATTTGTTCAGGTGATTTTTTTTTTTTTTTTTGAGACAGAGTCTTGCTCTGTCACCCAGGCTGAGTACAGTGGTGCAATCACAGCTCACTGCAGCCTCGACCACCTGGGCTCAAACGATCCTCCCATCTCAGTCTGCCAAGTAGCTTGGAATACAGGCACATGCCACCATGCACGGCTAATTATTTATTATTTTTAGAGACAGGGTCTCACTATGTTGCCCAGACTGGTCTCGAGCTCCTGGACTCAAGCGATCCTCCTACCTTGGCCTTCCAAAGTGCTGGGATTATAGACATGACCACTGCACCTGGCCTGTACAGATTATTTGATCACTGTCTACTTCCCTTTCTAGGCGTCATGCCCCAAGAGGGCAGGGGCCACCCCTCTATCTCCAGAACCTAGTCCTCGCCTTGCCAATGGTAGGAACCCATTCAATATTTAATGAATAAACAAATGAGTTTACAGTAGGATACAGTACAGTTGAAAAAAACCACTCTAGTTCAAACCACGGCCAATAGCTGGAGTTGCACAGCTGAAGATCTGCTTATAATTCCTCAACCATCGAGGGGCCCATCATCTTAAGAACCTCCAGGCTCTGGGGAACTGAAGCAGCCTAGGAACGAGCCTGCTGAACCCCCGAGGGTTTTCAGTAAAGAGGCTGCCAAGTTCGGCAGCTAGAGTTTAACCAGGGCGAGCTATCAGTATTTTGTATTTTGGACACTTGCCCTTTTTATTACGAGAAACTGACACAATCACAGTCCCTAGTGTGTTCTAGGTTTCGGTACTGAACGACACAAGATGTGCGCCAGATTGAGCGCAGGAAGAAAGAAACACCCTTTAGTGCAATACGAAATGTGACTCAGCCAGCGGGGAGCGTTAGTTATTGATGGAATGGCTGTCCACCATCGAGTCACTATGCAAATAAGTGCTTTTCTTGCATTATCCCAGTTGATTCTCCCAACGACCCTCTGACAGAGACACCATCATTCCTATAAATTGCAGCGCCCCTAGGTAGCTTGCCCAAAGTCCCACAGTTAGGAAACCATACAACCGAGAATTAAGCCCGAATGTATCAGAAATCAAAATCCAAGCACCCAACCATTCAAGGGTGAGCCCTTCCAAAAAAAATTTACAGAAACAAAGTTGATGGTTGTTTCTTTGTTTGTTTGTTTGTTTTTGAGATGGAGTTTCGCTCTTGTTGCCCAGGCTAGAGAGCAGTGGCATGATCTCAGCTCACCGCAACCTCCGCCTCCTGGATTCAAGCAATTCTCCTACCTCAGCCGCCCGAGTAGCTGGGACCACAGGCATGTGCCACCATGCCTGGCTAATTTTGTGTTTTTAGTAGAGACGGGGTTTCTCCATGTTGGTCAGGCTGGTCTCGAACTCCCGACCTCAGGTGATCCGCCCGCCTCGGCCTCCCAAAGTACTGGGATTACAGGCGTGACTCACTGCGCCCAGCCATGTGTTTGTTTTTTGAGGCAGAGTCTCGCTCTGTCGCCCAGGCTGGAATGCAGTGGTGCCATCTCGGCTCACTGCAGCCTCCGCCTCCCAGGTTCAAGTGATTCTCCTGCCTCAACCTCCTGAGTAGCTGGGATTACAGGTGCCCACCACCACGCCTGGCTAATTATAGTATTTTTAGGAGAGACGGAGCTTCACCGTGTTGGCCAGGCTGGTCTCCAACTCTTGACCTCAGGTGATCCACCCACCTCGGCCTCCCAAAGCGCTGGTATTACAGGCACGAGCCATGGCCAGCTCGAAGTTGATGGTCTTTATCACACACTTTGAACATGAGCAACAAAGATTTACCAGAATCACAAAAGATTTTTAAGGATTTTGTAAGAAAAGGTCAATGTATGAACTAAGGTCACTTGCTATTTCCACAGGCAATATGTAATGGGTGTGACAACTCCAATTGGCGTTGTTTCACACACATGAGAATGCGTGTTTGGGTGGCACATACAAAACCCTCAGTCTTCCCATCTTGCAGCCCAGCTAGCGAAGCAGTACTCAAAGTGTGATCCGCAGATCCCTAGAGGTCCTTGAGGCCTTTGCAAGGCATCTGTGGAGTCTAAACTATTTGCACAATGACACTAAGACAGCATTTGCCTTCTTCAGTGTTGACACTTGCAGTGACAGTGCAGAAGAAGCCATGGGTGAAACTGCTAGTGCCTGAGCAGGTCCCGATGCAGGGAAACCAAACTGCACTAGCCCTCAGCTTGTCCTTCACTACCCCACACTTACGAAAGGAAAGGCAGACAGCTTCACTTAAGAATGTCCCTGATGGGCCGGGCATAGTGGCTCACGCCTGTAATCCCAGCATTTTGTGAGGCCGAGGTAGGGAGATCACCTGAGGTCAGGAGTTCAAGACCAGCCTGGCCAATATGGCGAAACCCCGTCTCTACCATAAAGACAAAAATTAGCCGGGCGTGGTGGCACACATCTGTAAATCCCAGCTACTTGGGAGGCTGAGGCAGGAGAATCACTTGAACCCAGGAGGCGGAGGTTGCAGTGAGCCAAGATCACACCACTGCACTCCAGCCCGGGCGACAGAGCGAGACTCTGTCACAAAAACAGAAAAAAGAAAAAAAAGAATGTCCCAGATGAAGCTGTCAACATGAATGATTGGTTAAATCGCAAGCTTGAGTAGGTGTCTTCTGAATAGTCTGAGTGATGAAATGAGAAGCACGCCTACGACGACGCTGCTGCCCATCAAAGCACAGCGGTCCTGGAGAAAAGCAGCTGTGCAGCTGTTTGGATTGCAAGCTGAACTGGCCACCTTTTTGGTAGCACATTATTTACACGTGACCTACAGACAAACCACGGTCGTTCAGGCTTGAGTACGGGCAGACCATTCCTGGGAATATGAATGAGTCTGTCGCTTCAAGGAAAATAACTGACAGTATTTGCCGCCAATGATAAAAAATTCCAGTTTTCAAGTAGAGTTTTGGAAAACTTACATCAGCCACTGTGATGAACTCAACATCTTCAGACTATTAGACTTTACTGACGTCAACATGTGGAAGAGCTGCATCATTCAAGAGACCAATATTTTCCAAATGACTAGTGCATGACGTTATAAAATCACACCTGGGTAAAAACCCAACAGCATTTAATATAATAGTGTACAAAAAAAGATAATAAAATTTCAGATTCCATATTGCAACTAACATTTAAGAAACTACCACTCAAAATAAAAAATCAGCGGGGTGTGGTGGTGCATGCCTGTAGTCCCAGCTACTTGGTAGGCCAAGGCAGAAGGATCACTTGAGCCCAGGAGGTCAAGGCTGGAGTGAGCTATGGTAGCACCACTGCACTCCAGCCTGGGTGACAGAGTAGGACCCCATCTCAGAAAAAGAAAAAGAAACTACTACTCACTTGTTGAATGTTTCTACAGAATCAAAGAAAAATATCCAGAATCACATAAAAAGGCTATGAAAATGCTCTTCCAACTAAAGCCAGATTTTCTACACATTTTTCAACATATTGCAACAAATTGAATGCCAAAGCGGTTAAGAAAATTCAGCGAACACACTTAAAAGTGTTTTAACACGGTAGATTTCTGTTGTGTACATTTTATCACTCAAAAAACCTCAGCCGTGGGTCGGGCGCAGTGGCTAACATGCTGAAACCCTGTTTCTACTAAAAATACAAAAAATTAGCCGGGTGTGGTGGTGCGTGCCTGTAATCCCAGCTACTCGAGAGGCTGAGGCAGGAGAATCGCTTGAACCCAGGAGGCAGAGGTTGCAGTAAGCCGAGATCGTGCCACTGCACTCCAATGTGGGCAACAAGAGGGAAAAAAATCCACCAAAAAAAAAACAAAAAACTTCAACCGTTTATTAATCCAGACATTAAAGAGATTTGCAAAAATGTATGGCAGTGCCACCCTTCTCATCAAATTTTTTCATTTTACAAAATATAGTTACTTTTATAAAAATGTTACTTACATTAACATGCAATGGGTGAAATGAATTACTATTTTGAAATAAATTTAGAAAAGATTTTTAAGCTTCTCAGTTTGTTTCAATTTCTAATACTGTAAATATCAATAGACAACCTATATAAATAATGCACATAAGCCTGGGAAACATAGGGAGACGTCATCTCTACAAATAATTTTTAAAATTAGGCCGGGCATGGTGGCTCACACCTATAATCCCAGCACTTTGAGAGGCTGAGGCGGGCAGATCACTTGAGGCCAAGATTTTGACACCAGCCTGGCCAACATGGTCAAACACCATTTCTACTAAAAATACAAAAAAAAAAAAATTGGCCGGGCATGGTGGCATGCATCTGTAATCCCAGCCACACGGGAGACTGAGACACGAGAATTCCTTGCACCCAGGAGGCAGAGGTTGCAGTAAGTTAAGATCACACCACTGCTCTCCAGCCTGGGCAAGAGTGAGACTCCGTCTCAAAAAAAAAAAAAAAAAAAAATTAGTTGGATGTGGTGGCATGCGCCTGTGTCCTAGCTACTGAAGAGGCTGACATGGAAGGATCATCTGAGTGCAGGAGGTCGAGGCTGCAGTGAACTGTGACTGCACACTGTACTCCAGCCTGGGCAACAGAGGAAGACCCTGTCTCAAAAAGAAAAGAAAAAAAACCTACAGAAACAACAATTTCTACTGGATTAGAGGAAGGCATATAAGCTAGGTGCAGCTATCCCTGACTGTCGGGGCCCAGCATTTCACCCTGTTTCCCAGCTTCTGCCCTCTAGGTCACACTACTGCCACCACTACTGCTACAACTCATTCTGCCTCCACTGCCACCAGCAGCCTCTAGCGGGTTTGATGTTCCCACCTATCCCAGAACATTGAGCCTTCCCACTTAACTCCGCAGAAAGGATGCCAGGAATTTTTTACAAGTGCAATGCTAGCAAAGGCTGGGGAAAATGAGACAAAAAACCTGATTTCCAAGAGCAGACAAGTTTTACAAGGGGCAGTCTTCTTCGCTGAAGTTGACTAAAATTTAGCCACGGGTTGGCTTGGCTGGTGTGGTTCACTGGGTACATCCACAAGACTACAAGAATATCACTGCTGTCTGCAGTCTTCCCAGGGGAGGACCACCCTACCCTTGGCCCACACCACGGATGGCGGCCCCACATCCACCCTCTGATGCAGCCCAGTCCCTTCCCTTCTGTTCCGCGGCAGCACCGGTGCCTGGCCACTTCCCTTGCCAGTTCCCTTCCTGTTTCAAAAACTCTCATCTCTTCACAAAATTCCCTCCAGGGATGCTAGTTCCTGTTGGAAAAGGTCTTGAGGTGTGTCACAGGCAAAGTACAAATGATATGCCCAGGGCCAGATGGATGACAGGCCCCTAAGCTCAGCTAGTCCAGAGTCAGGAGGGGACCTGCAGAATTCTAATGGTGAATGATTACACTCTTACAGTTTTGGAATTCCAGCAAAAACACCAATACTAAAATCACCAACCAAGACAAAGACGAGACTTACGGCCCACGCAGGCTTCTGCACACTCTGTGCCCAGACATGGACAGATTAATGTGGGTTGGTTGGTTGGTTTTTTTCCAAGATTACTATTCCACAGCAAAGTACATAGGCAACGCTGACCAATATGCAGAAACATAATTACTATCTCACCAAGCTGGCCAGAAGACAAAAATCTTGAAACTTCTTGACTTGCTCTAATTGTTCCTTCTCCATGTTTCCCTTCCTTAGGCATTCTACCTGAAAAGACAGCCCTCCCTTCCTTCTTCATCCCATTGGCAATTCAGCAAACCTTAACCTTCTCTTGCTTTACCAGAGGTTACTTCTACTCGAAAGCTTGTCTTCAGAATTAACAGCTGTGTCCTTGTCACTGTAAGCCAGGTCTCAAAGAGCCTGAACAAATGGTCACTGGGGGCAGCTTGAGTGTCGACTCTACTGCTGTTTTCTGTCTCCCACCCCAGCTGTGGAGGGGAACTGTGTGCCTCATCTCATCTCTGCCATTTGCTATCTGAGAGGCTGTATTTCCACGTGCATAACAGATCCTGCTCAAGAATGCAGGTCAAGGCTGGGCGTGGTGGCTCACGCCTGTAATCCCAGCCCTTTGGGAGGCTGAGGCTGGTGGATCACCTGAGGTCAGGAGTTCAAGACCGGCCTGGCCTACATGGTGAAACCCCATCTCTACTAAAAATACAAAAATTAGCCGGGCGTGGTGGCGCACACCTGTAATCCCAGCTATTTGGGAGGCTGAGGCAGGAGAACCGCTTGAACCTGGGAGGCAGAGGTTGCAGTAAGCTGAGATCACGCCATGGCATTCCAGCCTGGGTGACACAGCCAGACTCTGTCTCAAAAAAAAAAAAAAAAAAAAAAAAAAAAGAATGCAGTGCAGGTCAACACAGAATTTCCAAGCAAGGAGACTGAGCTCTGCTAACGGGTTAGCATCCCAGTGGCAAGGGTTGCAGGCTTAGGTGGGGACAAGCTAACGGGGGAAGGAAGGGGAACACCTGAGCATGCAACTGAACCCCAAACCAACACCTGGCTAGGGTTCTGTCAGCTGGCAGGCCCGTGCTCAGGGTTAATGGGGCGCCCAGATTTCCGGCATGAGACAGGTGTTTGTTTGCAGAGGCTAACGCATACAGAATGCCTCCGTCCACTGTCGGTCTGTCGGCCCACCAGACAGGGTCTACATAGGAACTCCTCTAAGGCAAAGGTCTCGATCACAGAGGTGGCCAACAGGTGACAATCTGCCCAAATGCATACCAGCGGGTCTCCTCCCCAAGTTGCTCCACAAGCATAAAGTTTGGCTGGGGAAAAAAGCTTTTTTAATTTCTGCATCTGACAATGTGATCACTCCCTGGTATTCCCCTCTTCAGAGATATGACCATGGGTGTGGATGAGAGCGGAGGAGCATCTTCATTCTGTCTTCCTAATATTTACACGGGAAAAGAAGATGCCTGTAGATATTTTCTAACAGTTTCATTTTCTGTCTTTGTGACCCTGTATCTATGACAGGAAAAGCCAACAGCTCGAGATAACACGTCTCACCATTTTTTGCTTGTGGCCCAAGGCAGAATACAACAGCCACGGTTCCCTCAGGCCTAGCGGTTTCATCCCAAATGCTGTGGAAGGTCCCTCACCTTAATCAGACCGTTTCTTCATTTTTTTTTTTTTTTTTTTTTTTTTTTTTTGGCGACAAAGTCTCGCCCTATCGCCCAGGCTGGAGTGCAATGGCACGATCTCGGCTCACTGCAAACTCCACCTCCTGGGTTCGAACGATTCTCCTGCCTCAGCTTCCCAAGTGGCTGGGACTAAAGGCGCCTGCGACCACACCCAGCCAATTTTTGCATTTTCAGTAGAGACAGGGTTTCACCATGTTGGTCAGGCTGGTCTCAAACTCCTGACCTCCTGATCTGCCCACCTCGGTCTCCCAAAGTGCTGGGATTACAGGCATGAGCCACCACGCCCGGCCCATTTCTCCATATCTTTAATAACTGTCCCTCACACTTTTTTTTTTTTTTTTGAGACAGGGTCTCATTCTTGTCGCCCAGGCTGGAGTGCAATGGTGCAATCTTGGCTCACTGCAACCTCCGTCTCCCAGGTTCAAGCAATTCTCCTGCCTCAGCATCCCGAGTAGCTGGGATTACAGGTACCTGCCACCACACCTGGTTAATTTTTGTATTTTTAGTAAATATGGGGTTTCACCACGTTGGCCAGGCTGGTCTCAAACTCCTGACCTCAGGTGATCCGCCTACCTCGGCCTCCCAAAGTGTTGAGATTACAGGCATGAGCCACCATGCCTGGCCCCTCACTTTTTAGATTATTTCCAAAATCCTAGCAGTATGCTAAAAATTCCTGCAACCTTCTCCCAGTGACTGGCCACCCTAGATAAGATTTCTCACACTCGTACACCCCATCTGCTGTATCCCCTTCCTGCTTTATGTTTGTTCACAAAACACTTTTTCTATTTTACTTATTTATGGTTTGACTCCCCTGTTGTCCCCTCTATTAGATCTCCCCTATTTGAAGGCCTGGTTTTTGTTTCTTAGAGACAGGGTCTCACTCTGTCGCCCAGGCTGGAATGCAGTGGTGCAATCACGGCTCTCTGCAACCTCGACCTCGTGGGCTCCAGCGATCCTCCTATATTATTGACTTAAAAATTCTTGTCCCCTATTACAAGAGCAGGAATTGTTGTCTGTTTTGTTTACGGCTGTATTGCCAGAACCCAGAACCGTGCCTGGCACGGAGTAAATGATTTGCTGAATGAGTAAGCAAGCCAGGGGTTCCGGGCCTCTGTACTCTGCAAGTCCATCCTGCATTCTCCATTCATACCATAGCAACTTCAAAGGCCCCTCACCCATTCCTGACTCCACATTGTCGCCAAGTCACTTCCAGAAACTTAAAATGCCATTTCCCATTCACATGGTCAAGCCCTTCCCCTCCTGCCAGTCGTTTGTTTAAATCTGGCTTGCAGTCCCATCAAGCTGCTCTTCCTAATGCCACTCAGATCCCATCACCTCCATCACTGCTACTGTAACTTTGGATTGGGCCACCATCACCCCTACCTGGGATTTACTCGACACCTCATTAATCTCTTTCCAACCCACACTCACTAGCTCTGAAAGAGTGAACTTTCTAAAACTGCAAGTCAGATCACCTAAGCCCCCTGTTGAGTGGTTCCCTGACACCTATGGGGTCAAATGCAAACTCCTTCCCACGCTACCCATGGCCTTCCTTGTCCTGATGAACAACTAACAATCGTCCGCCCCCACAGAGAAGCACAGGGCCCAGCCATACCCACCTCTCCGCTCTGCCCTGGTGCTCTTCTGTCCACCTGGAGAGCCACAGCCTGATCTCAGGACCCAGCTCCAGCAGGAGCCCCCTCTAAAGCGCTCCCCACTCCCGAACATACTCCACAACATTTTTAACTGTGAGCTCACGGAGGTTGGGAACTATTAACGCAGGTCAGACGCGCCCCAAAGTGGGGCCGAGCCCAAGAGGGTTCTTGGCTTTGCCCAGGAAATAATTCAAGGGTGAGCCGGTGGCAGGAAAGAAAACACCTTTATTGAAGAGGCAGGCAGTGTTATACGGCTCCATGACTGCTCCTGCAGAGCTGGGCTTTCCCAAAGGCGGAAAGTAGCAGCTCAGGGCAGTTTTGCAATCATACTTATACCTACTTTTTTTTTTTTTTTTTTTTTTTTTTGAGACGCAGTCTCGCCTAGGCTGTCGCCCAGGCTGGAGTGCAGTGGACATGATCACAGCTCACTGCAACCTCCACCTCCTGGGTTCAAGCGATTCTTCTGCCTCAGCCTCCCGAGCACCTGGGATTACAGGCGCACACCACCACACCAGGCTAATTTTTGTATTTTTAGTAGAGACGGGGTTTCACTATATTGGCCACACTGGTCTCCAACTCATGACCACAGGTGATCCACCCGCCTTGGCCTCCCAAAGTGCTGGGATTACAGGCATGAGCCACTGCGCCCAGCCTTACCTTATACCTACTTTTAATTTCCTGTAGAGTAAAGGTAGGCTTAGGCAGACACTTCTAGGAAAAGGGTGGTGGCTTTTGGGTTGTCAGGTCACGGCCATGGAAAGAGGCAGTAACTCCGGGTGTGGCCATGGCGACAGTAAACTAACAAGGCACACTGGTGGGCGTGCCTTGCAGAACGCTGCTTCTGCCCCATCCCTGTATCAGCTAGTCCTCAATTCGGTCTGGCATCTGAACCCCGCCTCTGGAGTCGAGTCCCACCTCCTACCTCACGATCACGGATCCTGCTCCACGATCACGGATCCTGCTCCACATCCACAGTGCCAGGTGCACAGTCAGTGCCAGGGGCACGACACAGATTTCAGAGTGAAGGAATGTGCAGAAATCATGAAACTACCCTTCTGCAAAGCCTGTTCGGATAAATTTGAATGAGAGGAGCTTCCTTCTGTGCTCCCAGGCTAGTTCTAGAAGCCCCTTCTCATTCTATGGATGCCCATTCCTGCAGGGCCGCTACTGGCTGCTTTTTAACCCTGGGATCAGAAAAGGGGGTAAGAGGGAAAGGCTAATACACCCAGTATTGGGGTTTTTTTTGTTTTTGTTGTTGTTGTTTTTTAAGACAGAGTTGCTCTGTCGCCCAGGCTGGTGTGCAGTGGCGCAGCCTCGGCTCACTACAACCTTCTCTTCCCGGGTTCAAACAATTCTCCTGCCTCAGCCTCCCGTAATACCCAATATTGTATAGAGAAAACATCTGCCACCAGCCCAAAGGCAGAGGCTAAAATCGATCTTACATGTAGATAAGCTTAACTATGTGTGTGAAAGGGTCTTCTACAAACTGTGCTGTCATCTCAATTTAGCTTTGTAAGGACAGTTTCCAAAAGGGCCAGGAAGTTGTGTAGACATACTCTATTCCTGGAGTCCTATCCACAAAGGTTTGTAAAATGAGCTCAAGAAAACAAAATCGTGGTCTCAGAGAAAGAGCTAAAGGAAAGAATATCACTTTTAAAAAATCAGCAGCTAAGCTAAGCCTTCTATCTTCCCTACTCCCTACAGTACTAAAACTTTTATAAATATACAATGTACACAAATGTCAAGAAAAGTTAATTTACCAAATTTACACTATTTGAGGTTTAAAAAAAAAAAAACACAAACTCACTCTAGCATTTTTTTTTTTTGGCTCTGTGTCTGAGACCCCTGATCTACAAACTTAAAAATAAAACTACTCATAAATTCACAAAATAGGTATTCAATGACTTGGCAATTTCCAAACATATTTAATAATTACACCCTCTTCATTTTTGAAATTCGAGTAATACAGCATACAAAGTACAGCTTACAAAACGTTCTCATTGTCCTCTGGGCCAACATATTTAATTTAACGTACTGCCGCCCAGCTCCACCGTCCCACAGTCTCCAAGGACAGAGCTCACAACACCTGGGCCCTAAAAATGCCAAGGTGGCAAGCAGGGGGTTACACCCACAGCCCCGTCCACTGACACCTTCAGACTCAAGAGCGAGTGCCACCGCCCTAAACGGAAAGACACTCATCACGGCAGCATCTTTCAAGTGAACAGAAAGTGTAGTTTCTGACCTTGTTAACATAGTCCTTAAAGTGCTCTAGGTTAGGGGAATTCTCGGGTGAAAATAGTTTTCGTCTACATCCATAAAATCTTCAACAGCAAAGTTAGTAAAATAAAGAAAAATCAGAAGAAAGATGATGTTCCCTTGCCAGAGAACAAATACATAAAAGATACAGGAGCTCAGATCACAAGCCAGAGAAAGAGAATGCCAACTGGACACATAGGATGATCTCACACCAACGACCTATGCAGGCCCTACCTCAACCACTGGACGTCTCTGACTGACACTATTACTTCTGCCGTCTCTGATTGAAACTATTACTTCTGCCATCTCTGATTGGAACTATTAATTACTTCTTCCGAGGATTCCCTTTCCTGAGGCTTTTAACTGTTTAAGTATGCAGTGTGTGGGGACCACAAAATACAATACAGCTTCACAAAAGCAGGCTTTTAAAAAAAATCAGTGTTATTTTCTCTACATACTTCCACAACAGATGTTCCCCTCAATCCTGAAGATTTTAGTAAAACATAAGGACTGTTTAAAAAGGAGGAAGTGGGGGAAGAAATGTAGCAGATTACTTAAAATCTTTCTTTTTCGTCCTACTTATTTTAATATCATTTTCCAGATCTCAAAGACTTTTGTCCTATATTAGAAAAAACAAGCAGCCCAGTAAAAACATCAAGAATAGCAGTAAGGAGCTTCAAACCAGGGACCAGGCACCAGATCCAAACCTGAGAGGATGAGGGAGGGGAATACCAGCTCTCCGGCAGGTACGTTTCTCCCTTCCAAATCACCTGGTGGCTGGAGAAGCTCAATATGAAGCTCTTCACTTAAGGCAAATACTATGATAATAAAATATCCTTAAACAAATGATGGCTGAAAGCTGAAAATGCAAACTTTTTTTAAAAAAAAAAAAAGACCTAGATAAAAGACAGTGTGTACTCAGAGGTAAGTAACTCCGTCTAATTCTCCAGAGACCTGCAGGACTGCGCCGACTTCCTATCCCTATTTTGAGGATAAGCAAAGTGAGGCCTAGAGAGGAGAAAGATTTTATTCTCCACGTTTTCGCAAAAAGGGCAGAGAGAAACATTTGGATGGGACTTCAGGGTGACCAAATGAATGCAAAGGCAATTTCCTTAAGTGCTAAACAGTGCTGAATGCTGAAGGGCTCCATACCCTTACATTCACCGGACGTGCCCCCACATTTCAGCCAACCAGTGGTTATGCACGTTCAAAGTTCTCCTTCCTTCTAAAGGTCGCGTCTAGGTCATCTCTGCACAGCGTCCCTTTCTGCAGTGTGAACAGATCTGTGATATTTGACCCGCTGAAAGAAAAGTCACACTGACCCTGAGATCCCCCCATGGTAAGGCATTCTGAGATACCTGAGCTGTCTGCAGACACTGAGGCTGGAAGCTTTTTTTTTTAATTTAATACAATCAGGATCAGGGAGGGGGGATGCCGAGGTAAAGCAGTGCACATACCTTTCAACTGGTCAGCAACCACGCTCTGGCCCAGCCGTTCAATAACTTTCCCATCTTCCATTTCGTACCGGTCATCTAAGTATTTTGCGGTGGCCTCAGAAATGTGAACTTTGCCGGCCACTCCCAGCTGCTCCATGAGATTGGCCAGGTTCACATCGTTGGACCACACGTCAAATTTAAACCTCCTCATGCCCAGGATGCCGCAAAGGACGGTGCCCGTGTGCACCCCGACTCTCATGTTCACCATCTCCTTCTTCTCCTGGCAGAACTGCTCGATGGCCTTGATCATGCCCAGGCCCATCTCGATGCAGCAGTAGGCATGGTCGGCCCGGGGCTCGGGACAGCCCGCCACGCAGTAGTAACAGTCTCCCAGGGTGCTGATTTTCTCACACTTGGTCTCCTCACACAGGCGGTCGAAGCGACCGAACAGATCGTTCAGGAGACCCACCAGGGCGTGGGCAGACTTGTTGGCACTCATCTTGGTGAAGCCCACGATATCTGCAAATAAAATACTGACTTCTTCGATCTGCTGCATCTTAAAAGGGCGGAAGGCTATAGGAGCTTTTTGGATGGAAGACTTTTTCTTCCTGTTCTTGGGGCTCGAGGTGGCATGCCTCTTGACAGAATTCTCACTCTCCTCATCTCCCTGCTTCATTAAGTCATCGGCTATGATTCTTGGCATCACGGAATGAATCATCCTCTCTTTGAGGGCTTTTTCCACTTCCAGGTCCTTCCCGTGCATAATGGATTGCCCCACCTTGAGGAAGGTGCTCCTGGACCTCACCTGGGACATGACGAACAGGTGGACCCCGATGGCGTGGATGCAGCCGTGGAGCAGCCCCCTGCTCAGCAGCTCCCAGTGCAGGGCCCCGGCTCCGGGCGAGGGGAAGCAGGCTTCATCCCGGAAATGGTAGCCAAAGGTCTCGAAAAGGACAGAGTAGGCCACCCCCAGACACAAACTCAGGTACAAAGGTAAGTGCATGACGGTATAGAGCAAAAAGAGCACTTCGATGCACATGGAGAAGCTCCCCACTTGAGATAAGCAAGTATCTGTGGGCCGGGCTGTGGCCGTAAGGTTGGAGCTGTCGCCGCGTCCTGAGACAGGCGTCAAGACCTGGAACTGCGCAGCCAGGGTCAGGGCGAACACCAGCAGGGTGAGAGCCAGCGAGGTCCACGCGTAATGCCGGGCGTACAGCTTGGTGAAGGTAAACAGAAAGAAGCCCACACACACCAGGAGGAAGCACAGCGCGGGGGCGACCATGACGATCAGTCTGGATCTCATGTGGACCGCAAAATAGATGCTCCACAGAAGGCAGGCGAAGCCGATGTAGAAGAGCGCATACCGGAACCGGCGCTGGGTCTGCGGGAAGCAGCGCTCCAGGCAGGCCTCCTCCAGGTTCACCGAGTCGAACTTGGGGTCCCACCAGCGGCTGGAGGCCCTCTCGAACAGCTGGGGCAGCTTCTTCTGCCTGCGCAGCCGGCCTCCGCCGCCCACTCGCCGGGGGACGCCCCCGGAGTCCCCAGAGCTGCTGCAGCTAGAGGAGATGCTGTATTTGCAGTGCTTGGGGTGGCTGTTGGAGGACAGCTGCTTGGGGTTGATCTTGACGCGCACGCTGTTGCTGTCCCCGCTGGAGTCGCAGCTCACCTCGGTGCTGTGGTGATGCAGCAGCTGCTGGTGGGGTGGGGAAGCCATGTTGTCGAGTCCCGGGGCCTGCCCCGGCCGGGGTCACCAGTACCTGCCAGCAAAACGGGGAGAGTTAGCGGCGCTC
This sequence comes from Homo sapiens, assembly GCF_000001405.40. Taxonomy (NCBI): domain Eukaryota; kingdom Metazoa; phylum Chordata; class Mammalia; order Primates; family Hominidae; genus Homo; species Homo sapiens. The sequence continues at coordinate 4,115,519 of NC_000016.10, forward strand.
CCACCTAGGCATGCACGCCTAGAGGCCCGGGACCTGCTCCTGTCCTAAGGGGCGGCTCCAGCACGCGACCTGGACAGGCACCATCTGTTCCTGTGGTTCCCGGCTCAGCGGTGCTCCCACCGCCCCCACCGCCCCCACCTTCGAGGCGCACGAGAACCGCTCGGGACGGACCTAGAACGCCCGGGGGTCCCCGCCGCGTGGCCGCCGTGGCTCCGGGACCGCTTTGCTCGCTCGCCTTCCGCGCCTCTCGCCCCGAGGGTGGCCTCCGCGCCGCGCGGCTTCTCCTCCTCGCGCGCTCGCCTCCTCCAGCTGCGGCTCCGGAGGGAAGTTCAGACCTTGAGCGCTCCCAGCCCCGCGAGCCGCCTGCGCACAAACAACTCCGCTGGCGGCGCGGAGCCCTCCATCCTGCAGGAGCCGCGCTCCGATGCGTCAAAGGCGGCGCGCGGCCGGCCCCGGGCCCGGACCCCGACCCGGAGCAGCGAGCTTCGGCGGGCGCCCCCGGCTCGCGCTCCCCGGCCGCCCCCCGCGCTCCGGGCCGGCCCTGCCCGCGGCGGCGGGCGCTGGGGGTGGGGGCGCCCCGGGCTGCGAGTGCGCGGAGCCCGTCGGCGCGGCCCGTCTAGTGGGGCCTGCTTCCCCCCGAGTGCGCCGCCGCTCCCGCCGCGGCCGCAGCTGTCCCGGGACCGAGCGCGTGGAACCACGGACGCGGGCCCCTCGCCGGGCGGCGGTGCAGACGCTGCCGCAGAGCCGGGCTCCCGCGACGCCGGCCGGGACGCCCGCCCGCCCGCGCCCACGCCGGGGGCCGCCTCCCCGAGCTAGAGATGCGGCCGCCGCCGCGCCCGCCGCCGTGTCCCCCGCGGCCGCTGCCTCATGTCGGAAGAGCTGCCGCCGCCACCATCTCCGGCCCCTGCCCCGCCCGCTGTCACTGACAGACGCGCGCCCGCGCCGCCCCTCGCCCAGCCGCAGCGCGCACGCGCGGCCCGCGCTCGCCGCCACCGCCTCCTGGCCCCGGACACGCGCACGGGCCGCGCGCCGCCCCGCCTTGGTGCGCGCGCTGGGCTGGGGCTGCGGGGCGGGGCGGGGCGGGGCGGGGCGCGCGCTCGGCTCCGCCCCCCGCCCCGGGCGGCGCCGCTTCTAGGCGGCGGGCTGTGGCCGCTGTCCGCGCTCCGGGCGCTGTGGGCCCGCCCTCCCTCGGCGTCCCAGAGGCCGCGCGCCGCCCGGGGTCCCGACCCTGCGGAGAGACCTGAAGGCGCCTGCCGTGGAAGAAGCCGCTGGCCGCAACGTTTGGGAAATCAAAATGTTGCCTTCCCACTCGGCACGCCTTTGGGATAAATCGAAGTTTCCAACCGTTGGATTTCCCTCCCGGGAGGCTCCCCTTGCTCTGTAAGCAATGAATGCGGGCCCCGGGGCACTCGGCCTGCCCTGGACCTGCTCACGGGGCGACCTTCACGGGCCTAGCCTCCAAAGCTGGGCCCACCGACGACCACGTTCCCCCGCCCCAGGGGTAGTTTACCTTGCTGTCCTTGAGCCCTTCTCCCCCTCCTCATGAACTACTGCTTTTCCTTTTACACAAATGAGACTTTCAAAGGAGTCCGCGTCCCATAATGGCAGTTGTGCATTGGCCTCCATAAACATTGCCACGTGTAAATAAAATCCTATTCTCTCTAGCATGCAGATCCCGACCCCTTCTCCCCACACTCCACAGTGCCTCCTGCCAGTCACGGGGCTCTCTTCCATCCCCTCCCTCGCCTCCCAGGCCCAGCGCCGGGGCCCACACCAGGTCTCACTGTTGAATTAGAAAATAAAAGTAAAATGTGATCTGTCCATGCAATGGAATATTATTCGGCTACAAAAAGGAATGGAGCACCGATGCATGCTGCAGTGTGGAGGAACCCGGGAAACGTTATGCTAGTGAAAGAAGCCAAACAAAAAAGGCCACATAGCGTATGATTCCATCCAGATGAAATGTCTCGAATTGGCAAATCCGTAGAGGCGACACAGATTGGAGGTTGCCAGGTGCTAGGGGAGGAAGATAAGCAGCTTGGGGTTTCGTTTTAGGATGATGAAAAAGTCTAGAAATGATCCAACAGGATGAATCTACATACTGCCCTTGAATCATACACTTTAAAGTGGTTTAGGCCGGGAGCGGTGGCTCACGCCTGTAATCCCAGCACTTTGGGAGGCCGAGGTGGGCGGATCACCTGAGGTCGGGAGTTCGAGACCAGCCTGACCAACACGGAGAAACCCCATCTCTACTAAAAATACAAAAATTAGCCGGACGTGGTGGCACATGCCTGTAATCCCAGCTACTCGAGAGGCCGAGGCAGGAGAATTGCTTGAACCCGGGAGGCGGAGGTTGTGGTGAGCTGAGTTCGCACCATTACACTCCAGCCTGGGCAACAAGAGTGAAACTCCATCTCAAAAAATAATAATAAAATAAAATAAAGTGGTTTAAATGGTAAATGTTATGTTGAGTGTATTTTACCACAATAAAGGAGGAAAAAACTAAAAGCAACATATTGTGGTGGTATTCCTGCAGAAGTGTGTAATCTCAATCCAATCGCAAGAAAACACCAGACAAACCCAGATTGAGACCTGTTCTACAAAGTGATTAACCAGTACCCATCAAAAGTGTCCTTGGACACTTTGGGTCTTGAAAGACAAAGACTGAGAAACTGTCACAATCTAGGAATCGTCCCTAAGGGGATAGATACAACAACTAAATGGAACATGGGATGCTGGTTGGGAACATGGAACAGGAAAGGACAGTAGCAGGAGAGCGGGCAAAATTCACATAAGATCTGCAATTTCCTGGTTCTGATCCTCTTACTATGGTTAGGTAAGACGTTAACATTTTTAGGGGAAGCTGGGCCCTGTGCAGTGGCTCACACCTGTAATCCCAGCACTTTGGGAGGCTGAGGCAGACAGACCACCTGAGGTTAGGAGTTCAAGACCAGCCTGGCCAGCATGGTGAAACCCCCGTCTCTACTAAAAATACAGAAATTAGTTGGGCATGGTGGTGTGCGCCTGTAATCCCAGCTACTCAGGAGGCTGAGGCACAAGAATCACTTGAATCCAGGAGACGGAGTTTGCAGTGAACCGAGATCATGCCACTGCACTCCAGCCTGGGCAACAGAGCAGGACTCCATCTTGGGGGAAAAAAAATTAGGGGAAGCTGGATGTAGGATACAGGGAAACTCGCTAGTATTTCTGCAACTCTTCAAGTCTAAAACTATTTCAAAATAAGTTTATCTAAAAATTTAAAAAATAAACCTTTAATGAACATCAATTCTATGCCAGGCACTCTCACATACGAGGTTCAGAAACGCATGGTGTGTCACATGCATTCGCTTAGTAAATGGGATAACAATAGTGAACTAACATTGACCGAACACGTCATAAATGCCAGAAACTACTGGACATTTTCACCTGTGACACATTTGGTCATTGCCACAACCCTCTGAGGTAGATACTATTGTCCCTTGTTTAGAGAGGTGAAACCCAGGATTGAAGAGAAACGCACCCTAGGTCTCCCACTAAGGGTGATGAGTTCAGATGGAAAACCAGGTCTCAGAATTCTGAGGCCATGACGCCTTGTGTGACCCTGGCACTACCCTCTGCAAGCCTCACGATGGCCCAGCACAGACTGTACCTGTCTCATCCATCAGCCCAACTGGATGGGAGGCCCTCAGAGCCAGGACTCACAGCTTCCGTCTTCCCTTGCTGGCTGCAACGCTGTGCTCCCTGCTTCCTGGTTTCCTGAAACGATCTGAAAGCTTGCCTGTCTGCACTTCTTTCCTCCTCCCTAAATCATTTGTGGTAACTTATGTGTTTGTAAGTTAGTCACGTCGGATTTTTAGACACAAGTAATGGTCATACTCACCTCCCTACTTCTCTGGAAGCAATTCGGCCACATTGCCTGCTGTGGAAACCTATAAGCTGACAAGCCTCCCCAGTCTCCAGGTCAGGGAGTGAATCATGCCATCAACCCCGGGGGACTGGGGCTGTGGTGCCAGCACTGTGTGTCAGGCCCTGGAGGTACAAGGATATGCCATCCATATCTTTTCTTTTCTTTTCTTTTTTTTTTTTTTTGAGACGGAGTCTCGCTTTGTCACCCAGACTAGAGTGCAATGGTGCGATCTCGGATCACTGCAACCTTTGCCTCCCGGGGTTCAAGCAATTCTCCTACCTCAGCCTCCAGTGGAGCTGGGATTACCACCATGCCCAGCTGATTTTTGTATTTTTAGTAGAGACAGGGTTTCACCATATTGGCCAGGCTGGTCTCGAACTCCTGACCTCATGATTCACATGCCTTGGCCTCCCAAAAGTGCTGGGATTACAGGCGTGAGCCACCGTGCCCAGCCGCCATCTGTTTCTTTAAGGGGCTTAGGAACGATGTCCAGGGGAGGGGTTGGGTTAAGAAGATGGGATCAATTAGGCTTTCTGAAGGATTGGATGTGAAGGAGAGTTCTATAAAGGAGGTTAACCATCTTCTCATAATGCCAAGACCCAAAGGGAAGTCACTGGAGGGTTCTGGGTTCTTCTTGACCTCCCAGAAGCATAAAGGTACCCGATTCACAGAAGATACGGGGCAGATGCAATAGCTTTCTTCAAACATCCAATCCAGGGTGCTGCCAAATCCACAGAGAGTTTCTTTTTTCCATCTGTGATGTGTACAGAACTCCCACCTGGACACAGTGGGAATCAGAATGTGTCCATGAAAACTCTGCAAAAGCTTGCAGAATGCCTTGCCTGCCTCAGTGTCTCCTCCTCACCCTCCCTCACATGCAAATTCACATGATGGGTGAGGACCTTGGCTCCAGGATATCAGAGGTCAGACTGGGTGGCAACCATGACAGGCTTTGAGATAAGTTGCATAATGATTGAGTTGTAGCCATTCTCATCACACCGGCCCCTGAGGACTCGGCAGTGCCTACGTGATTTCATTTGTCAGGTGGACCACAATCTTGGAGAACCATCTGCTGGAAGATGGGATTCCCTGCTATGGCCTGATCATGCGTCCAAAACTGCAGTTACAAGCTTTGAGTCTTTTTCTCTTTCAACTGATGAGGGTGAGTTTGTAGGAACGTACCTGCTTTTTTTTTTTTTTTTTTTTTTTTTTTTTTGAGATGGAGTCTCACTCTGTCACCCAGGCTAGAGTGTAGTAGCATGATCTCAGCTCACTGCAACTTCCATTTCCCAGGTTCAGGCAATTGTCCTGCCTCAGCCTCCCAAGTAGCTGAGACTATGAGCATATGCCACCACACCCAGCTAATTTTTGTATTTTTAGTAGAGGCAGGGTTTCACCATGTTGGCCAGGCTGGTCTTGAACTCCTGACCTCAAGTGATCCTCCTGCCTCGGCCTCCCAAAGTGCTGGGATTATAGATGTGAGCCACACGCTTGGCCTTTACCCACATTTTTTCTCTACCATTGACTGCTGTTCACAAGCCTCCAGCAGCTACCTTCACATTGACAGGAAGATCAGGCGTCTCAGCAAAGCAAAAGATCCTTTGGAGAAGATCACCAAAATACCTGCAGGTGCCTCCATAACCAGGTGTATTCCATCTAGCCACATCCATAGATTCTACATCCAGCCATGCCCAGTTTAGAGGCCAATACAAATTCATTGAATGACTGCATATGGGAGTTATATTAATATATTTTTATTTTTTTTTAATGGGTTCAACCAGGAGGCGGAGCTTGCAATGAGCCGAGATCTCGCCACTGCACTCCAGCCTGGGCGACAGAGACTCCACCTCAAAAAAAAAAAAAAAAAAAGGTTTCAAGAAATTCTCCTGCCTCAGTCTCCAAGTAGCTGGGAATATAGGCATGCGCCCACACACCCAGCTAATTTTTGTATTTTTAGTAGAGACAAGGTTTCACCATGTTGGCCAGGCTGGTCTCAAACTCCTGACTTCAAGTGATCCACCTGTCTCCGCCTCCCAAAGTGCTGGGATTACAGGTGTGAGCACCCAGCTGGCAATCACATTTTAAGGCAAGGAGGTGCCGATTGGTGGCCCCAACAAGATGAGCTTGGTTGAAAGAGCAGATGGGAGATTCGAAGTAAAGCATGGTGTCTGTCACTCAGCTTTGTCACCTGGCACAGCTCCTGCTGGAGCTTCCATCCCATCTGTGTGGAATAATGGTGAGGAGCCCAGGATTGGGTGTAGGAAAAACTCTGCAGGAGCTGTGAAGTGGGTTGAACGGAGTCCCCTCAAAATTCAGGTCCACCAGGATCCTCAGAATGTGGCCTTATTTGGAAATGGGCTTTTGCACACATAATTAGTTAAGAAACAGTTGTACTGGACCACGATGGCCTAAATCTGATGACTGGCATCATTTTAAGAAGAGGAACCGGGCACAGTGGCTCATGCCTATAACCCCAAGGCTTTGGGAGGCCAAGACAGGAGGATCACTTGAGCCCAAGAGTTGGAGACCAACCCAGACAACAGAGTGAGCCCTGCGCTTTTTTTTTTTTTTAATTTGAGATGAGGCCTTGCTCTGTTGCCCAGGCTGGAGCGCAGTGGCGTGATCTTGGCTCACGGCAACGTCCTCCTCCCAGGCTCAAGTGATCCCTCCACCTCAGCCTCCTGAGCAGCTGGGACCACAGGCAGGCACCACCATGCCTGGCTAATTTTTGTATTTTTAGAGAGATGGCGTTTTGCCATGTCACCTAGGCTGGTCTCAAACTCCTGGATTAAAGCAATCCACCTGCCTTGGCCTCCCAGAGTGCTGGAATTACAGGTATGAGCCACTGCACCCAGCCCAAAAATGTTTTTTAAAAATTAGCTAGGTGTGGTGGCACGCACCTGTGGTCCTAGCTACTGAGAAGGTCCAGGTGGGAAGATCGCTTAACCCCAGGAGTTCAAGGCTGCAGTGAGTTGTGATTCCGCCACTGTATTCCAGCCTGGGCACCCTGTCTCAAAATAAAAAATTAAAGTTAAGGCCAGCGCGGTGGCTCACGCCTGTAATCCCGGCACTTTAGGAGGCCAGGGCGGCTGGATCACGAGGTCAGGAGATCGAGACCATCCTGGCTAACACGGTGAAACCCATCTCTACTAAAAATACAAAAAAATTAGCAGAGCATGGTGGCAGGCGCCTGTAGTCCCAGCTACTTAAGAGGCTGAGGCAGGAGAATGGTGTGAACCCGGGAAGTGGTGATTGCAGTGAGCTGAGATCCCGCCACTGCACTCCAGCCTGGGGAACAGAGTGAGACTCCGTCTCAAAAAAAAAAAAAAAAATTAAAGTTAAAAAAAGAAAAAGAAGAGGAAAAGACACAGAGACATGCAGGGGAGGAGAAGACAGATAAGACAAGACAGAAGACATATAAAGACAGAGGCAGAGATAAGAGTGATGCAGCCACCAGCCACGGAACCCCAAGCGGTCCTGGGAGACTCCAGAGGCTGACAGAGGCAAGGCAGGATCCTGCCCTAGAACCTTCAAAAGAAGCGTGGCTCCACGGACACTTTGATTTCACACTTCTGGCCTCTAGAACCATGAGAAAGCGAAATAAGAGAGATGGGGCCAGGCACAGTGGCTCACGCCTGTAATCCCAGCACTTTGGGAGGCCGAGGCGGGTGGATCATCTCAAGTCAAGAGTCTGAGAGCAGCCTGGCCAACATGGAGAAACCCCATCTCTACTAAAAAGATAAAAATTAGCCAGGCGTGGTGGTCGGCACCCGTAATCTCAGCTACTAGGGAGGCTGAGGCAGGAGAATCACTTGAGCCCGGGAGGCGGAGATTGCAATGAACTGAGATTGCACTACTGCACTCCAGCCTGGGCAACAGAGCAAGACTCTGGCTCAAAAAAAAAAAAAAAGGGAGTAATGGAATTTTCTTGTCTCTACAAGAAAATGAGAAGAACAGCCCAAGAAACCCAGCATCCAAATAATAAAGGGTTTCAGAAAGAAGAGAGAACACAGAAGGGAGAAACTGCTGAGCAACCATTCAAGAAACGTTTTCCTAAATGAAGAATGTGATTGAAAAGGACCAGCAAGTGGCCAACACGATGACTGGAAACAGACCCACACCAAGACACAGCGCAGCGCAACTTCAGAACTACAGAGAGCTACAGGGAGAAGCTCCGGCAAGAAAAAGCAGGTTTCAAACAGAGTGTGGAGAATGAGGATGACACCTAGATGCAACCATCTGGGGATGGGGAAGGGGCGCAGACAGGCATGTAAATCTCCCAGGGTGATTCTCGTAATCACGTGTTGTTTAGAATAATCAGGCCAGGTCATTTTGTCGGGGATCCCACCCCCGTGTCACCATCTGCTGGTATTTTTCCTTGGATTAATTAGTCAGGTTTTCCAGAGAAGACCCTTCAGGCTTGCTGCCACTCAGCTGAGAGGGGCAGAAGGCTGGAAGTCTCAGCCTTCAGTATCAAAACCTTCGCTCAGCAAACCATCCGTAGGGATAGTTTCAATCCTATTGGCGTGCTGCCAACCCTTACCCTGAAGTCCTATGGCAGTCACTTGCAGATGGGGCTGGATCTACCATGATGAACCTGAACTTCCTCGGAAGCATGCTTCTGTAGCCAGCATGGGAGAAACTTGCAGGCTTGTTAGGAAGATGCGTGTTTATTTTAGCCACGGGGTAGTACCAAAATACCATTAACATTACTCAAAAATAAGTTTGCCGGCTGTGGGCGGTGGCTCATGCCTGTAATCTCAGCACTTTGGGAGGCCGAGGAGGGCAGATCGCCTGAGGTCGTTAGTTCAAGACCAACCTGGCCAACATGATGAAACCCCCATGTCTCCTAAAAATAACTAAAAATACAAAAATTAGGGGGGCGTGGTGGTGCACACCTGTAATCCCAGCTACTCAGGAGGCTGAGGCAGGATAATTACTTGAACCTAGGAGGCGAAGGCTGCAGTGAGCCGAGATCACACCTCTGCACTCCAGCCTTGGTGACAAAGGGAGACCCCATCTCAAAAACACATAAAATAAGTTTGTGAGCCAGACAAATATGATCGCAATGCCAATAGATAATAATTTTTTTTCAAACAGAAAAACTCCAGGAGAAGCCAGGCATGGTGGCTCATGCCTGTAATCCCAACACTTTGGGAGGCCGAGGCAGGAGGATTGCTTGATCCCAGGAATTCCAGACCAGCCTGGGCAACATGATGAGATCCTGTCTCTACAAAAAATTTAAAAATCACCTGGTCATGGTGGCATATGCCTGCAGTCTCAGCTGCTCAGGAGGCTGAGGTAGGAGGATCGCTTGAGCCCGGGAGGTAGAGGCTACAGTGAGCTGTGATTGCATCACTGCACTCCAGCCTGGGTGACAGAGCGAGACCTTGTCTCAAAGAATACAAATAAAATCAATAACTAATAAAAGTCTTATTGCTCTCGGTAGCCATAAGCTTACGGTTTTCTAGGAATCATGTTTTCATTTGGAACAGCACCCACGTACTCTCAGACACAGCCATGAGCAGCTATCCAGGAGGAGGAGACAGTGGATCCGCATTCTGTATTCTCTCTGGGTCCCTCCCCATCTTGGGGTGGTGAGGCATGGCTCTTCTTTGGCAATTTATAGTGTTGCTGAGAGACACACACACTGCTGGAATAAATCACTGGGCGTCTATGCTGTGAATTGAGCCCCGAGGAGCGTGTGGTTAATGGACCTTACTTCAACACTCTGGTCTGTCTGAGAGAAGCGTTCTCTCTTCCCAGCATGTAGTGGGTTCCAGGGAGGAGGTGAGCAGGGGCAGGAGGTGGAAGCTGGATGGCTTCCCAGCTTCTCCAGGGCCAGGTCTTCATTAGTGTGGCTTCATTATTGCATGTGCAGTGCTTTCCCAGAATATCTGACACATCCATGCTCAAATGTAAGTACAGAAACGAATCCGTAAGGCAGGTAGGAGTTACTACCAACTTTCTGCAAGGGCACCATTTGACCCCTTTGCCCTTCGTAACCTAGGGCACACATCGTCTCATTTGGAGGGAACCTGAAGGCCATCACAGCTGGAAATGAAACCGAGAGTATCTCACAGTAGCCCCAAATCCAAGCCTCGTTCTAAATCTCCAAAGGCCTAGGGGATTTGGGGCCTTGACGGGAAAAATCAATCCCCCTGCATCATACCACCACGCCCAGGCACTGGCTGCTTCACTGTAGCTCGCTCTGGCTCAGTTCATGGGAGCCGTGGAAGGAGAGGTGTGGGTCTCTGGGTTCCCACTGTGTTGAGACAATCTATTCTTACTCCAAAGAGCTATTCAGGCCAAAAAGAGTTGACTAGGGCTTGCAAGGTCTATAACCTTTTTCTAGTCAACCTAATGCTTTTTTTTCTGAGACGGAGTCCTACTCTGTCACCCAGGCTGGAGTGCAGTGGTGTGATCTCGGCTTGCTGCAACCTCTGCCTCCCAGGTTCAAGTGATTCTCCTACCTCAGCCTCCCGAGTAGCTGGGATTACAGGTGTGCGCCACCACGTCTGGCTAATTTTTGTATTTTTAGTAGAGATGGGGTTTCATCTCTCTCAAACTCCTGACCTCAAGTGATCTGCCCGCATCGGCCCCCCAGAGTGCTGGGATTACAGGCATGAGCCACAACGCCCGGCCAACCTAATGCTTTTTGGGCCTTAATTCCCTGATAAAAACTGGAACTCTACTTTTAGGCTATGTCTACAGTACTTTAGAGACTATCAAAATAGCTTTGTATTGATGTCGAAAAAAGAAAGTCTGAGTTCTAGGAATGACAGCTGAGTACCACAGAATTCTTCCTAGACCCCATTCTCCGCCCCAGCCCTTCAAGTAGATTAACCCCATTTAATGAAACAAATCCTGATTGTACTTACTATGTCAAAGCAATGTGGTAAATTGCTGAATACTAAAGATAAATGTAAAACTAACCTGCTTTCCTATGTATAATATTGTTTAGTCTTAAAAAGGAATGGAATTCTGACACGCTATAACATGGATGAACATGGAGGACATTATGCTGAGTGAAAGAAGCCAGACCCAAAAAGACAGACACTATATGATTCCTCCTATACGAGGCACTTAGAGTAGTCAAATTCATAAAGACAGAAAAGAAACTGCTGGTTGCCAGGGGCCAGGACGGGGCTAATGGGGAGTTATTTAACTGATAAAGAGTTTCAGGTTTGTAAGATGATAACAGTTCTGGAGACAGATGGTGGTAATCACTACACAACAATGTGAATATACTTAATGCCACTGAACTGTACACTTAAAAATGTTTATAGACCTGGCAGGGCGCGGTGGCTCACGCCTGTAATCCCAGCACTTTGGGAGGCCGAGGCGGACGGATCACGAGGTCAGGAGATGGAGACCATCCTGGCTAACACGGTGAAACCCCGTCTCTACTAAAAATACAAAAAAATTAGCCGGGCGTTGTGGCGGGTGCCTGTAGTCCCAGCTACTCGGGAGGCTGAGGCAGGAGAATGGCGTGAACCCGGAAGGCAGAGTTTGCAGTGAGCCGCGATCGTGCCACTGCACTCCAGCCTGGGCGACAGAGCGAGACTGTTTCTCAAAAAAAAAAAAAGGGGGTTATAGACCAGATGCAGTGGCTCACGCCTGTAATCTCAACACTTTGGGAAGCCAAAGCGGGGAGTATCGTTTGAGGCCAGGAGTTCAAGACCAGCCTGGGCAACATGGTGAGACCACCATCTCAAAAAAATGATAATTTTTTTTTTTTTTTTGGAGAGATGGGGGAGTCTCACTCTGTTGCCCAGGCTGGATTGCAGTGGCACAATCTCGGCTCAGTGCAACCTCCACCTCCCGGGTTCAAACAATTTCCCGCTAATTTTTGTATTTTTAGTAGAGACAGGGTTTCACCATGTTGGCCAGGCTGGTCTTGAACTCTTGACCTCAAGTGATCCACCCGCCTCAGCCTCCCAAAGTGCTAGGATTACAGGTGTGAGCCACCACGCCTGGCTAAACATTTTTTTTTTAATTAGCCAGATGTGGTGGCATGCATCTGTGGTCCTGGTGCCTCAGGAGGCTAAGGCAGGAGGATCATTTGAGCCTGGGAGTTTGAGGCTGCAGTGAGCTGTCATCACACCTCTGCACCCCAACTTGGGTGACAGAGAGAGACCCTGTCCCAGAAAAAATGTTTTAATGGTTATGGTGATGTTAAGAGCAGAATTGTGTCCTTCCAAAATCCAGATGACGAAGTCCCCAACCCCGGTACCTCAGAATATGACTGCATTTGCAGATAGGGTCTTTGAAGAGGTGATTCAGTTAAAATGAGGTCATTAGGATGGGCCCTAATTCAGTATGACTGGTATTCTTTTTTTTTTTTTTTTTTTTTTTTTTGAGATGGAGTCTCACTCTGTCACCAGCCTCCGCCTCCCAGGTTCAAGAGATTCTCCTGCCTCAGCCTCCCGAGTAGCTGGGATTACAGGCGCATGCCACCATGCCTGGCTAATTTTTGTGTTTTTAGTAGAAATGGGGCTTCACCATGTTGGCCAGGCTGGTCTTAAACACCTGACCTCGTGGTCTTAATCACGAGGTCAGGTGTTTAAGAATACCACCCATATGACTGGTATTCTTCTAAGAGGAGGAAATTAGGGACCAGGTGCAGTGGCTTACGCCTGTAATCCCAGCACTTTGGGAGGCAGAGGCAGGCAGATCACAAGGTCAGGAGTTCAAGACCAGCCTGGCCAACATGGTGAAACCCCATCTCTACTAAAAATACAAAAATTAGCCAGGTGTGGTGGTGAATGCCAGTAGCTGTGGTCTCAGCTACTGGGGAGGCTGAGGCAGGAAAGTCACTTGCACCCAGGAGGTAGAGGTTGCAGTGAGCCGAGATCAAGCCACTGCCCTCCAGCCTGGCAACAGAGTGAGGCTCCGTCTCAACGAAAAAAAAAAAAAAAAAAGAGGAGGAAATTAGGACATACAGAGGCACAGAAGGAAGATGGTGAGGAGACACAGAAAAGACAGCCATCTATGAGCCAAGGAGAGAGGCCTCAGAAGAAACCAACCCCGTCCACACTGTGCTGTCAGTGACAACAGAACTGTGACAACATACATTTCTGTTGTTCAAGCCACCTCATCACCAATACTTAGATATAGCAGCCCTAACAAGCTAATCCAGGTGGTAAACTTTCTGGTATGTGTATTTTACCACAATTAGTAATAATAGGCTGGGCATGGTGGCCCATGCCTATAATCCCAGTGCTTTGGGATGTGAGGCAGGAGGATTGCTTGAAGCCAGTTGAAGACCAGCCTGGGCAACAACACAAGACTCCATCTCTACAAAAAAAAATTTTTTCTTCTTTTTGAGATAAAGTCTCACTCTGTCTCCCAGGCTGGAGTGCAGTGGCACCATCTTGGCTCACTACAACCTCCACCTCCCAAGTAGCTGAGATTACAGGTGTGTGCCACCATGCCCGGCTAAATTTTTTTTTTGTTTTTTTTGACATGGAGTCTCACTCTGTCACCCATGCTGGAGTGCAGTGGTGCAGTATCTGCTCACTGCAACCTCTGCCTCCTGGGTTCAAGCCATCCTTCCAACCTCAGCCTCCCAAGTAGCTAGGATTACAGGCGTGTGCTACCACGCCTGGCTAAATTTTTTGTATTTTTAGTAGAGATGGGATTTCACCATGTTGGCCAGGCTAGTCTCGAGCTCCTGACCTCAAGTGGTCTGCCCACCTGAGCCTCTCAAAGTGCTGGGATTACAGGCATGAGCCACTGTGCCCGGACTAAAAAATTAAAAAACAACAAAACAAAACAAAACAAAAAAAACTTAGTTAGGTCTGGTGGTTTCTGCCTATAGCCCCACCTACTCAGGAGGCTGAGGCAGGAGGATCAAGTAAGCCCAGGAATTGGAGGCTGCTGTGAGCTATGATTGCACCACTGCACTCCAGCCTGGGCAACAGAGCAAAACTCTGTCTCTAAATAATAATAATGAAAATAAAATCATAAGCCTAAGAACATGCAAGTGGAAAACAACCACCACCTGCCTTCCTAGAGCGCACAGACTTCCCGCAGCTCAGAACGGAGCAGGCATGGTGAGTGTTATTAGAAAGGCACCCGGGAGAGTGCAGAAAGACAGGAGGTTCATGTGGACAGAGCAGATTTGGAAAAGCATCTTTGATACAGGAAGGGTGAGAACGGTGTCTTGAAAGAGGTGGTAGGACCCTGCCAGGCAGCCATGGGGCTAAGAGGAAAGAGTTCCAGAAAGAAAGGCACTGTGGGCCAGGGAGCAGGGTGCATTGTGAGAAACAGCACGTGGTGTGGCCCGGGCAGATAAGTGGCCAAGCCAGAGGTGCAGGGCTAGACAAGCAGGCAAAGGGGTCGGTAGGTAGGGCCAGGCTGAAAGGTCAGGATGAAAGTCATTCCAAATTCTGCCCCTGCAAGGAAAGCTTTTTATTTATTTATTTATTTATTTATTTATTTACTTTTTTTGAGACAGAGTCTCACTCTGTCACCCAGGCTGAGTACAGTGGCACGATCACAGCTCACTGCAACCTCAACTTCTCCAGGCTCGAGTAATCCTCCCACTTTAGCTTCCTGAGTAGCTGGGACTGCAGGTGCACACCACCATGCCCAGCATTTTTTTTTTTTTTTTTTTGGAAGAGGCGCAGTCTCACTATGTTGCCCAGGCTGGTCTCCAACTCCTGGGACACAAGTGGTCTTCCATCCTCGGCCTCCCAAAGTGCTGGGATTACAAGCATGAGCCACTGCACCTGGCCTGAGAAACACTATTTTTAAATTTCTATTTCCTGAGCAGGGTTGGAGAGCGTGGGGCTGCGCCTCTCCTAAAGGCACTTGCCAGTGCAGTCCTAGTAATCGCTTCCTGCTCCTTGCCTCCTCCGCTGGCTCCCTGGAGTCCTTGCAAGCCAGTCTCAGGCTGAGTTTCAGAAAGCTGTGGAGGGCTGGGTGTGGTGGCTCACACCTGTAATCCCAGCATTTTGGGAGGCCAAGGCAGGCAGATTATGTGAGGTCAAGAGTTCCAGACCAGCCTGTCCAACATGGCAAAACCCATCTCCACTAAAAATACAAAAATTAGCCGGGCATGGGTGGCATGCAGCTGTAATCACAGCTGCTCGGGAGGCTGAGGCAGGAGAATCACTTGAGCTGGGAAGAAAAAAAAAAAAAAAAAGATGTGCAGGGTATTAAGCACTTTAAGACCAAGCCAGCAGATGATGAGATGCGGTTCCTCTACGGCCACTACAAACGAGCGACTGTAGGCAACATAAAGACAGAACGGCCCAGGATGGTGGACTTCAAGGGCAAAGCCAAGTGAGATCCCTGGAATTAGCTGAAAGGGGCTGCCAGGGAAGATCCCATGAAAGCTAAAGCTTACGTCAACAAAGTAGAAGAGTTAAAGAAAAAATTCAGAATACGAGAGACTGGAATTGGTTGCCAGCCATGCCTTTGTCCTAAACTGAGACAATGCCTTGTTTTTTCTAACACTGTGGATGGTGGGAACTGATGGAAAGAATCAGCTAACCCATCCTCAAGGCTACTCAGGATAAAGTTCTAATAGATTAGGGGCTAAAACGATTACTGACCTTCCCTCAGTAGTTTTTATCTGAGATCAATTAAGTGTATTTGTGGCTGACTGTGGTGCCTCACGCCTGTAATCCCAGCACTTTGGAAGGCCGAGGCGGGTGGATCACCCGAGGTCTGGAGTTTGAGACCAGCCTGGCCAACATGGTGAAACCCCGTCTCTACTAAAAATACAAAAAGTAGCCAGGCGTGGTGATGTGCGCCTGTAATCCCAGCTACTAGGGAGGCTGAGGCAGGAGAATCACTTGAACCTGGGAGGCGGAGGTTGTAGTGAGCCGAGATTGCACCACTGCATTCCAGCGTGGGGGACGGAGCGGGACTCCATCTCAAAAAAAAAAAAAAAGGGTATTTGTTACTTTAAATTAAAAATATCTTTTTCTACTTCCACTGCACAGTCATTTTTCTGGCTCTCCCCACCACACCCCTCACCCTGCACAATTACCCCTCTTGCATGTACCTCTCTAGCCGTGAATCTTCAGGGATGGGAATATGAGGTTCTTGAGATGGGATTCATCGCGGGAATGACTCCAAGAAAAGCTGCCAAGTGAGGCTTTCATTCACTTCCCCAAGATGAAAGAGCTGATCTCTCGCCTGTGTTCCCCTCACAGTCAGGACCTGCGTCTGTTATTTACCACCATGCAATTTAAAATTAGATGCGTGTCACCTGAGGCTCTAACAGCTGGAAGGCTTTAAAATTAGATGCGTGTCACCTGAGGCTCTAACATCTGGAAGGCGGTGATCCAGTCACATTTATGCCACCTGAGGGAACAATCCCGGGTAAGTAGTCCCAGCGGGGCTCAGAGGTTCAGGCTTGTCCCACACAGGGTCCAGGAAGGGCCGGCACTGGGGCAGCCTGGCTCCTGGGCCGTGGGGCTTCAATGCAGGCTGTCCGCACTTCATTGTCCCTCACCACACCTGCTACTAGAAGCCCATCGGTGACCACAGTTGGAGAGAGGGAAGGCCACACGAAGCAAGAAGTGCTGCAAAATCGTGCGATGCTGAAAAGGGAATGCTTGTTTGCAGTTTCGTTCTCCCTGGTTGAGAGCCAACTTTCTTTAATAAGCACAGTTCAAATCCTGGTAAAATCCAAAGCCTGAAACCACCTTTTCCCACCTCTTGAGTTGCACAAACGTGCATTCACAGATACCAGGGTGCAACATGCTGGGACGTTATATTACGTGTAAATCATCATACAAACACCCTGGGCTTTTGAAACATGGCTTGCAAGAGGGTTGCACCCAAACTCTTGGGCCAGGCACAGTGGCTCACGCCTGTAATCCCAGCACTTTGGGAGGCTGAGGCGAGGAGTTCATTGACATCAGGAGTTCAAGACCAGCCTGGCCAACATGGTGAAACCCTGTCTCTACTAAAAATACAAAAATTAGCTGGGCATGGTGGCAGGCACCTGTAATCCCAGCTACTTGGGAGGCTGGGGCAGGAGAATCGCTTGAACCCGGGAGGCGGAGGTTGCAGTGAGTCGAGATCGCGCCACTGCACTCCAGCCTGCGCAACAGAGTAAGAGTCAGTCTCAAAAAAAAAAAAAAAAAAAAAAAAAGAGCCCAGACACGGTGGCTCATGCCTGTAATCCCAGCACTTTGGGAGGCCAAGGTGGGTGGATCACCTGAGGTCAGGAGTTCAAAACCAGCCTGGCCAACATGGCAAAACCCCCTCTCTACTGAAAATACAAAAAATTAGCTGGGTGTGCTGGCACGCGCCTGTAATCCCAGCTACTTGGGAGGCTGAGGCAGGAGAATTGCTTGAACTCAGGAGGCGGAGGTTGGAGTGAGCCGAGGTTACGTCATTGCACTTCAGCATGGGCGACAAAGCGAGACTGTCTCAAAAAAAAAAAAAAAGGGTTGTACCCAAAGTCCTGTGAGTCTCACAGTAGTCCTGCAAGTAAGAGGACAGGACAAACCGGCCCCCTCGGACAGACAGATGCGGGCTCCGAGACTCAGAGCCAGTGTAAATGCCTCCTGGAAAGTCACAGCCATCCCATGATAGAAGAATCTGGGGCTCGAACCCCAGGTTTCTATCCCAGTGTTCCTCTCTGCTTGACCCTTAGAATAATAACCACCATTTATGGTCACTTACTCTGTGACAGTCATTTTCCACTTATTATTTCCTTTGATCCACACCACGCTTTGAGGAAATCAAATTTAGCCAATAAATACTAGAGGAAGCATTGAACTCAGGTGTGTCCTAAATTAGAAGGCCACCTTCTAATTCAGCTGCATTCAATTACTTCTCTTCCTTCCAGTTCAGTTCCACTCTTTATTTTTTTTTGAGACAGAGTCTCGCTCTGTCACCTAGGCTGGAGTGCAGTGGCACGATCTCAGCTCCCTGTAACCTCTGCCTCCCAGGCTCAAGCAATCCCTCACCTCGGCCTCCCAAGTAGCTGGGACCACAGGAACGCACCACCACATCTGGCTAATTTTTTGTATTTTTGGTAGAGACGGAGTTTTGCCATGTTGGCCACTCTTAAAAGGACACCTGTCATTGGATTTAGGGCCCACCCAGGTAATCACATCGCGAGATCCTTAGGTTAATTATATCCACAAAGACCTCATTTCCAAATAAGGTCATATTCACAGGGACTAGATTTAGGAATTGCACATGTCTTTTTGGGGGGATACTGTCCAACCTAATTCAAGGACGAGGCAGATTCAGGCCTACAGTATCCCCAGTCCTCAGTGGTAGCTGCCTCTGCCACAACCCTAGGAAGGGTCAGGCCTGGGGCAGGCAGCGGGAAGCAGAATCAGCCCTGGGCGGGTCTGGGCAACCCATCCGTCCAAGAATCAGAGACAAGGGCCAGCATGCTGGTTCCCTGGGCAGCAAGTGAGTAGAACACAGGGCCAGGCAGGGCCGAAATCGTGGTTCATGAGGCTCGGGGAGGTCGAGGAAAGCAAGCGAAACCCAGAGAACTAGGGCAGCACTGCCAGGACAGTGCTAACATCACATTCCTGGGCTCCTTAAGTCTCCCGAGAAGGTGCAAATTGCGTTAATTGCCACTGCTGAGGCCAGGCCATGGCGCCCTGCTGGGGGCTAACCTTGCGTGACCCGTCAGACCAGAGCTGGGCTTCCTCCTGGTTTGGTATCCGCTGGAGCTGTAAGGGCCCGAGGGTCACAGTGCCTCTTGCAGGAGGTATGGCCTCACCAGTGCCCAGGCAGGGACAGTGGCCATTCAGGAGTGCCCTGGTTTCCAAAGTGATAGAGGTCAGATGTGCCTGGCCACACGCAATCCTGGGCTTCATTTATATGCAACAAACCCATTATCTGCTCCCAACAAATAGGGAAGGAGGCTAAGACGTAGGCGGATGAAGGGAAAGTGCCTCCAAGACCTGCAAGTTAGGATAGAGCTGGCAGCCAGGGGTTAGGGAAGTGGAAGGAGGCCCTGCGGGTTCTGGAAGAGGACTGTGTGCAGCTACAGCAGCGGGCTTTGCAGTGGGACTGCCTGGCTTCAGACCTTGGCTCTTCAGCTTGCTGTGCAACCTTGGGATAGTTACTCAACCTCTCTCGACCTCAGTTCTCTTCCCTGTCAACCGAAGACCAAAATAGAACCTACATTATAGGGCTATTATGAGGATTAAATCAAACAAGCCAAAAAAAGCACTTCACACAATACCTGGTATGTAGTAAATACTCAACTAATGCGGGCTATTATCAACCAGCCACACTGGAGGGAAGCCTTGAAGGAGGGTGTGGTTTTCTGTGTCAGCTTGGCCAGGCTATGGTATTTGGCTGTTTGGTCAAACGCCAGTCCAGATGCTGCTGTGAAGGTATTGTTTTAGGTGTGATTAATTAATATTTATATCAGTAGACTTTCAGTAAAGGAAATCACCCTTCACAATGTAGGGGGGCTTTATCCAATCAGTTGAAGGCCTTAAGAGAAAAGACTGAGGTTCCCAGAGAAATAAGAGATTCTGCCTCCAGGCTCAAGGCTGCAGCATTGGCTGGGTGTGGTGGCTCATGCCTGTAATCCCAGCACTTTGGGAGGCTGAGGTGCGTGGATCACCTGAGGTCAGGAGCTCAAGACCAGCCTAGTCAACATGTTGAAACCCCGTCTCTATTAAAAATAGAAACATTAGCCGGGCGTGGTGGCACACTCCTGTAGGCCCAGCTACTCGGGAGGCTGAGGCAGGAGAATTGCTTGAGCCTGGGAGGCAAAGGTTGCAGTGAGCCAAGATCACGCCACTGGACTCCAGCCTGAGTGACAGAGTGAGTCTCCATCTCAAAAAAAAAAAAAAAAAAAAAAACAAAACACCAGGACTGCAGCATCAACTCTTCCCTGAGTCTCCAGCCTGCTGGGCTGCTCTACAGATTTCAGACTTGCCAGCCCCCCAATCCCATGAAACTATTTATTTATTTAGAGACAGGGTCTCACTCTGTCACCTAGGCCAGAGTGCAGTGGTGTGATCATAGCTCACTGCAGCCTTGACCTCCCAGGCTCAAGCAATCCTCCTGCCTCAGCCTGCAGAGTAGTTGGGACTATAGGTGCATGCCACCATGCTCAGATAATTTTTAAATTTTTTGTAGAGATGGGATCCCATTATGTTGTCCAGGCTGGTCTCAAGCTTCTGAGTTCAAGAGATTCTCCCATCTCAGCATCCCAAGTTGCTGGGATTATAGGCATGAGCACTGCACCTAACTGACAATTCCTTTAGGTAGGTAGGTAGCTAGAGGATAGGGATGGATGGAGGAATGGATGGATGGATGGATGGATGGATGGATGGATGGATGGTTGGTTGGTGGTTGGGTGGATGGTTGGTTGGTGGTTGGGTGGATGGATGGATGGATGGACGGTTGGTTGGATGGGTGGGTGAATGGATGGATGGGTGTGTGGATGGATAGACAGATATAGATCTAGCTATCTATCCTTCTATCTGTCCACATATCCTATCAGTTCTGTTTCTCCATAGAACTCTAATACAGTCAGATTAGTGGCCAGAAGACACAAGGACAAATGTCCCAGGCAAAGCCCAAGAGTGTGGGCTGTGCTATGGAGGATCAAACAGGCCAGTGAAGCCACCGGGCACAAGGTGCAAGAGAAGACATCAGGAAATGAAGCAGAACTGCAGGTTGTAGTCATGGTGCAAGGTGGCTCAGCAGCCAGCTGGAAGCCTTTGGAAGATGGAGAGGCAGAGAGTGAGCGTAGGGCTGTCCTTGAGGAAGAGGCATGCACAAAGCCAGCCATGCACACTCCCCAGCCGTATCTGCTGCCAAAGCGAAACCAGGATGGCTGTAGAAATTTGCTTCAAATGAAGAAACCTGTCCCTTGACGGGGACAAATGATGTCAAGCACAAGTGCAGAAGCAGACCACATTCCTGCCACACCATGGCTCAAAGTCACAAGGCAGAAACACCTGAGAAGGGGGGAAGGTCTGAAGGAGGAGCCAGGTCTGGCCACGTTCTCCTTTGGAATCTGGGTGTGGCCACCCTACATGGGGATCTGGAATGTGCCGTGCTGCAAAGTGAATTCCTGGTGCATTTTTGAGGCTCAGGTGATCCCGAAGTTATGGCTGTCATGAGAAAGCAGCACCCTGCAGACAAAAGGTTCTGGAAGGTGGGCAGTACAAGCTGGCTTCATCCAGGAGCCCTGCTCACAGCCTGGTGCTCAATGGATATCATCCCCACCGGAAGTTCTAGGAGCTGCCCTTGGTTAATGAGCCTGGCAGCTAAATGGCGTCACTTGCCAGGTCACATGGGCAAATGGCCAGCGCCTCGTTCCTGGAGACAAGGCGGAGTCATTCAGTTCTTTTGTTATTGTTGCTAGAGATGGAGTTTCACTCTTGCTGCCCAGGCTGGAGTGCAGTGGTGCAATCTCAGCTCACTGTAACCTCTGCCTCCCAGGTTCAAGCGATTATACTGCCTCAGCCTCCTGAGTAGCTGGGATTATAGGCACCCGCCACCACACCTGGCTAATTTTTGTATTTTTAGTAGAGATGGGGTTTAACCATGTTGGCCAGGCTGGTCTCGAACTCCTGACCTCATGATCCTCTCACCTCAGCCTCCTAAAGTGCTGGGATTACAGGCGTGAGCCACAGCGCCCAGCCTAACTTTTGTATTTTCAGTAGAGACAGGGTTTCACCATGTTGTCCGGGCTGGTTTCAAACTCCTGACCTCAGGTGATCTGCCCACCGCAGCCTCCCAAATTGCCGGGATTACAGGCTTGAGCCACTGCGCCTGGCCTGGAGTCATTCAGCTCCAGGGGCTTCTTTCTTCCTTACTAAACGGCTTTGTGCAGGGAGCAGAAGTTCTGCCTGCCCTTTCTAATTGCCGGTCGCAATAATATCATTCCTATTTAAGACTGAATAATATTCCATTGCATGGATAGAGCGCATTTTGTTTATTCACTCATTTGTTGATGGAAATTTGCTTTGTTTCTACCTTTTGGCTACTGTAAAGATTACTGCTATGAACATGCATGTATAGATATCTGTTTTAAGTCTCTGCTCTTTTTTGGCTTGGTGAGGTGGCTCACGCCGATAATCCCAGCACTTTGGTAGGCTGAGGTGGAAGGATCACTTGAGCCTAGGAGTTTGAGATCAGCCTGGGCAACACACAAAGACCTCATCAAAGAGAGAGAGAAGAAAGAAAAGAAAGAAAAAGAGAAAGAAAGAAGGAAGAAAGAAAGAGAGAAGAAAGAAAAGAAAGAAAAAGAGAAAGAAGAGAAAAAGAAGAAAGAAGAAAGAAAGAAAAAGAAAGAGAAAGAAAAAGAAAGGGCACTTCAAGATGATGCAGGTTGGAACAAAAAAAACCAGATTATTATTAAACTTGTTATTAAACAGCACCTAGTTTGACAACACTTGGAGTTTGCAAAATATACGGACTCTCTTGGTTGACAAACAGAAAGGGGATTCTTCCCCAGTTGCTTCCACTGTCCACAGGACAGCAAGTGGCTGTGACTGCCTAAACGCCCTCCTCCCAAGTCACATCCAGCAGTGCCCTGCCTGCCACACCACGTCATTCGTGTCATTTCTCCCACAGGCAGCCCCTTCCTTTGTGTCAATCAAAAGCTGATGGGCACCCGGCAGGCAGCCGGTTTGCTTCTGTCGGCAGCAAATGCTGTCCACATTTCAGACCACTAGTGAAAGTGGAAAAGAAATTATTACCATATGAAGTTTCCTTGATGAAAGCAGATTTAAATTCAGCCTTCATCCCCAAATTTTCAACACTACTTTGACAGTGGTTTATCTATTCCATTTTATTTTTTATTTTTTTGAGACAGAGTTTCACTCTTGTTGCCCAGGCTGGAGTGCAATGGCGCGATCTTGGCTCGCTGCAACCTCCGTCTCCCAGTTTCAAGTGATTCTCCTGCCTCAGCCTCCCAAGTAGCTACGATTACAGGCGCCCGCCACCACACCCGGCTAATTTTGTATTTTTAGTAGAGATGGGGTTTCACCATGTTGGCCAAGCTGGTCTCAAACTCCTGACCTCAGGTGATCCGCCCGCCTTGGCCTCCCAAAGTTGACAGTAGTTTATTTTAATACGTAACTTTGAGTCATGGAATAACTGCAGAATATGCAACATATTTTTAAATTGTTTATCTGATCGTGGTGTCAAAATCCCAGTGATCAATTCATTAGGTTTGCTTGACTCCCAGAATTAATACATATTAATAAATATTTTGTTGAGTACCACTATGGTCTGAATGTTTCTGTCTCCAACAAAATCTATAGCCTCAGAGGTGATAGTGTTAGGAGGTGGGATTTTTGGGAGGTGATCAGGTCATGAGGTTGACGCCCTTATGAACAGGATTAGTGCCCTTATAAGAGGCTCCAGAGCTGCCAAGCCCCGCCCACCATCCGAGATCTCAGCAAGAAGTCACCTCTATGAACCAGGAAGCAGCCCTCACCAGACACTGAATCTGCCAGCACTTAATCTTGGACTTCCCAGCCTCCAGAACCTCGAGAAAAAAAAATTTAAGAGATAGGTTCCGGCTTTGTCCCCCAGGCTGGAATGCAGTGATGCAATCATTGTGGCTCACTGCCGCCTCAAGCTCCTGGACTCAACAGATCCTACCACCTCAGCCTCCCCAGTAGCAGGGACCACAGAAATGCACTGCTGCACCCAGCTGATGTTTTTTATTCTTTATTTTTGTAGAGATGGGGTCTTGCCATCTTGCCCAGGCCTACAGGCATGCACCACCATGCCTGGCTTCCAACCATAATTAATTCTATCAAGACAAGCAGAAAACTCACTTGGACATGGGTGCTGTTTTTTCGTTTATTTTGCCATATGACTAGACTGGGTTGTCAAGAAACATCCATTCCTCTGTGCTACCTGTGTTCAAGGAAAGGAAGATAACAACTGAGATAAAGTCTGACTTTTCAATCTAGAAAATTCCCCTTCTGGCAGCAAATGCTAGTCAGGAAGCAAGGCTGGAAAACACACACACAAAAGGTGTGAGATCAGTTGGTAGAAAAAGGCAATGCAGACCACGTCTGTGTGCAAGGCTGAGTCCAAGACCAAGTGTTGGCTCCTCACCCTGTGGTCCCAGATACACCTGCCATCCCCGCCAGGGCAATGACAGAAACACCACAAAAGGCTGTATCAGGCCAGGTGTGGTGGCTCACGCCTGTAATCCCAGCACTTTGGGAGGCTGAGGGAGGTGGATTGCTTGAGGCCAGGAGTTCAAGACCAGCCTGGGAAACATGATGAAACCCCATCTCTACAAAAAATACAAAAATTAGCTGAGCGTGATGGCGTGTGCCTGTAGTTCCAGGTGCTAGGGAGGCCGAGGTGGGAGGATCACCAGAGCCTGGGGAGTTAGAGGCTGCAGCGAGCCATGATTGCACCACTGCACTCCAGCCTGAGCAACAGAGTAAGACCCTGTCTCAAAAAAAATAAATAAATAAAAAGGTAGGCTTGTGCAAAACTGAAGCACATGAAGTCCATCTGTCCCTTTTGCTTCTGTGTGTCTGTCTCTCTCAATGAGTTGATTGCCCGTTGATCACACCCAGCCAGTGGGGTCCAGAAGACAGGACACTGGACCTGAGATTGAATCCCAGCTCTGAAAGTTGCCACCTAGATACCTCAGGCAAAGCCTGGTTTACCTCTCTGGGGAGGTAAACTCTGGGGAGGATTTCCCCCTCCTGAATAAGATGGTAAGGACTTGCTAAGGGAAAGCCCTTCATTCCTTCACCCTTCCTCTTCTTTCTGCCTGGAACATCAGTGTGAGGTGTGGAGGTACAGCAGCCATCTTGCAACCATGAGACAAGAGGCTTGAGAATGAGGTCTATGCTAAGGACAGAGGAACAGAAAAATGAGAAGAGCCTGGGTTCTTGATGGCATCAATAGTCATTAATACTGATATGGTTTGGATCTGTGTCCCCACCCAAATCTCATGTTGAAATGTAATCCCCAGTGCTGGAGGTAGGGTCTGGTGGGAGGTGATTAGATCATGGGGCGGTTTCTCATAGTTTAACACCATCTCGCTTTGGTGCTGTTGTTATGATAGTGACAGTGATCGGTGGAGCAGGAACAAGAGAGACAGCACCTCCCCTCTCTCTTTCTCCTGCTTCTGCTTCAACCATGTAGGACAAGCCTGCTTCGCTTCACCTTCCACCATGATTGGAGGTTTCCTAAGGCCTCCCTGGAAGCTGAGCAGATGGCAGCACCACGCTTCCTGTACAGTCTATGGAACTGTGAACAAATTCAATCTCTTTTCTTTATAAATTACCCAGCCTCAGGCATTTCTTTATAGCAATGTGAGAATGAACCAATACAGATACCAGCACCAAAGTGCCTACCGTGAACTTTTTCCTACCCAGGAAAAAGGAATTCTTTATTATCATCAGCCTCTAAAACAGGGCTTTCTGTTACTTGCCTCTGTATGAACTCCAAACTGACACGCTATCTAATTTATGCTGAGAGCACAGCTAGGGAACATGCCCAGGCATGCGGCTTTTACCTACTGAGCTGGACAAGATTGTGGAAGTGAAAGTAAAATTTGAAGATTGGATGAAAGATGTTAAAATCATGGGAAGGCTGAATAATTTGAGAATACTCAGACATCTCATAGGTGAGGAAAATGACAGTATTAACATTAATACAAAGAAGGTGATCAGTCAAAACATTCCTCACGAGAAAAGGTCCTTTGGCAAATACTTTCCTTTAAAGTAAATGAATATAACAGGCCAGGCACAGGGCTCACGCCTGTAATCCCAGCACTTTGGGAGGCTGAGGTGGGCGGATCACCTGAGGTCAGGAATTGGAGACCAGCCTGGCCAACATGGCAAAACCCCATCTCTACTAAAAAATACAAAAATTAGTCAGGAGTTGTGGCGCACACCTGTAGTCCCAGCTACTTGGGAGGCTGAGGTGGGAGAATCGCTTGAATCTGGGAGTCGGAGGTTGCAGTGAGCTGAGATCTCACCACTGCACTCCAGCCTGGGCGGCAGAGTGAGACTCCACCACAGCCAAAAAAAAAAAAAAAAGAAAGAAAAAGTGAATGAGACTGACTAGTTAATCAAGCCTTTCCAGCCTTCCACATGAGCCCAATAAATTGACCTCTCAGCCTGAAGACGCATCTGTGGAAATTTCCACCAATGATAACCTGAAGAGTTTGCTCCTGCCGCCTCGTGGGCAGCACGCCAGGCGTCTTCCCTCAGTAGTTAAGTCAACCTGGCTCATAAAGCAATGGAACAAATGCGATTTGTGTCCCCATATCTTGCGGAAGCCAAAGTAGAGAAAATAGCCTAGATCTTTTCACCGATTTTCTGCGTCAATCCTCTTTGATTAAGTATCCGCGCTATCCACTTCAATGAAGCTATGGCCCCATGAATAATACTGTGGTCTGTTGCCATACTCATAATGGAAGGACATAAAAATGTCCCTATTTGGAATTCATAAAAATGAAGATGCAATTTTTTTCCATCCAAAAATGGCTAATAGAGGTTCGTGAGTTGTCTCCATTTTCCTCCCTCAACGGTCCGTTCCTGAGCAAATCATTTCTTTGGGCTCTATCACATTTACGTCGTTCATACATGATACCCAAGCAGGTGCGAGAATGCACCATCTTTCATTGATGAAAATGATCCAATTGGCCAGGCGCGGTGGCTCACGCCTGTAATCCCAGCACCTTGGGAGGCTGAAGCAGGCAGATTGCTTGAGCCCAGGAGTTCGAGACCAGCCTGGACAACATGGCAAAACCCCATCTCTGTTTTTTAAAAATATATTTATTTAAAAGAAATAATAATAAAATGATCCAATTGCCTTCCAAACTGCTTTTCCAGGAAGCAGTTGGATGGATCATGTTGAGATGGTGTGGTTTCTGTGGCAACAAGTCAAACTGTGACACCCAAAGGATTAGACTTCTCACCTGGGCCCCAATATGGTAACCCATGAAAGAACCAGCCTTAGGCTTCCACGACGTCAACACTCATGCTTGCTGCCACCTCCAAGCCCCACCCATCCCCTCTGCCCTTGGTTCCACACCCCCAGCTACACGCTGACAAAGATGCTGGGCTAGAGACACCCAGCTCGCCAGACACACCCAGGATGCTCTCACCACTTCCCAGAGCCAAATGCCCTGGCTGCAAAACAGAGAAGCGAAACCTAGAAATAATCAAGGCTTGTTTCCAGACCTTCAGAGTTCTCACACCCTGCCCTGTCTTGTGTGTGTGTAGATACAGATATAGACAAGATATCATCTGTAGGTAGAGATGTAAATATAGACATAGCTCAGCTATTACTCGGGAGGCCGAGGCATGACAATCGCTTGAACCTAGGAGGCAGAGGTTACAGTGAGCCAAGATTGCACCACCGCACTCCAGCCTGGGCAACAGAGTGAGACTCCGTCTCGAAAAAAAAAAAAAGATGTATCTCAGCTAGACACTTTACACAGATTTTCTGATTTAATCCTATCAATGTGAGAAGTATTATCTGTTTTATTGATGAGAAAAACAGATTTACAGAGTTTCGTTTGTTCATTTTTTTGGTGGGTGGACAGTGTCTTGCTCTGTTGCCCAGGCTGGTGTGCAGTGGTGTGATCACGGCTCACTGCAGCCTCAAACTACTGGACTCAAGAGATCCTCCTGTCTCAGCTTCCCAAGTACCTGGGACCACAGGCATATGCCACCATGCCTGGCTATTTTTTTTTTATTTTGTTTTGTAGAGATGGGGTCTTGCTATGTTGCCCAGGCTGGACTCAAACTCCTGGCCCCAAGCAATCCACCTGCCTTGGCCTCCCAAAGTGTTGGGATTACAGGCATAAGCCACCGTGCTCGGCCCCAAGAGATTTTTTTCTTCAACCTTACCAAGCTCACCAGCTGACAGGAGGTAAAGGTGAGGGTCGCAGTGGCTTTGAGGACTCCGCAGTCACCACGGTGCACTCCTTCCATCTCACTTTCATCAAGCACCTAGAGCCCCACCCTAGGCCATGTCAGGTCTCCTGCTATTTCTCAGGCTGGCCCGACACCGTCACGACTCCATCTCTGTATCCAGGGCTGGCACCAGGTTCCTCTCCCAAGGCTCTCTCCCTGCTTCTTTTGAGATCCTCCTCATATAAGAGGCTTCAGATAAGTGCCGCCTCGGATGCCAGGCCGGATGTTCTGCCGGAAGCTTCACTCACCGAGTCAGAGGTTCATGGGCTGGCTCTTGATCCTCACCCTCAGAACCTAGTTCTGAAAGAGTAGGCATGTGAGTGATTCTATTTTTTTTTTTTTACAGACGGGATCTTGCTATGTTGCCCAGGCTGGTCTCAAACTCCTGACCTCAAGTGTTCCTCCACGGCCTCCCAAGTGGTGGGATCATTGACTTTATATCTTCAAGTTTAGCTCAGGAGGCTCCGACAGAGCAGGCAGCCAAGGCATGCTGGTTGAATAAATGAACAAACTCAGCAATGTTTTTGCACCCCACAAACACTGGTGGACAGTATCACCTTTGAAAAATCATTGATTATATCATAATTGCAAAAATTTAGGTCACCAACTAGATTACAAACACACGATTTTGATAAAATATATGTAACCTAAAATTTACCATTGTAACCATTTTTAAAATGTGCAATTCAGTGACATTAAGTATATTCACATTGTTGGCCGCGCGTGGTGGCTCACGCCTGTAATCCAGCACTTTGGTAGGCCGAAGCTGGTGGATCTCTTGAGGCCAGGAGTTAGAGACCAGCCTGGCCAACATGGTGAAACCCCATCTCTACTAAAATACAAAAATTAGCCAGGTGTGGTGGCACTCGCCTGTAATCCCAGCTACTCCGGAGGCTGAGGCAGGAGAATCACTTGAACCTGGGAGGCAGAGGTCGCAGTGACCCGAGATCGCACCACTGCGCTCCAGCCTGGGTGACAGAGAGAGACTCCATATCAAAAAAAAAAAAAAAGAAAAAGTATATTCACATTGTTGTGCAACCATCACCACCATCTATCTTCAAATTTTTTCATCATCCTAAACTGAGCCCTTGTCCTCATTAAACACTAACTCCTCACCCCTCCTCCCCATTCCCTGACAAACATTCCATTTTCTGTCTCCATGAGTTGGACTATTCTAGGTCCCTCCTGTAAGTGGAATTATACAATATTGTCCTTTTGTGCCTCGCTTATTTCACTTACCACAGTGTCCTCAAGTTCATTCATCTTATAGCCTGTCTCAGAATCCTGTCATTTTTAAAAGATGCTTACTGGATCATCAAAAAACATTGATGAGCTTCTGCTGTAGGCAGGGCCTGTACTCTCCAGTCCAACTAAAAAGAGGTAAATGACAGAGTCTCTGCTCCAAGGTGTCAGACAACCAATTTCACTTTTAATTTTTTTGTTGTTGTTGAGATTTCTGGAATCTGTCTTCTGCAATTAATAGGTTCACCTGGAGAAATAGTCTGTAGTCTACAGGCTAGTGTGGAAAGCCATTTTCAAAGGTGAAGAGGAAGGCCAGGTAGGCCAGGTATGTTGGCTGCCTCTCATATAGTAGCATGGGACCCCTTAAAAGTGAAATTGGCCGGGTGCAGTGGCTCATGCTTGTAATTCCAGCACTTCAGGAGGCCAAGGCAGGAGAATTGCTTGAGCCCAGGAGTTCAAGACCAGTTTGGGCAACATAGTGAGGCCCCATCTCTAAATATATATATATATATATATATATATATATATATATATATATATATATATATATATATATGTACACACAAAAATCAGCCAGGCGCGGGCCAGGCGCGGTGGCTCACACCTGTAATCCTAGCACTTTAGGAGCCCAAGGCGGGCAGATCACGAGGTCAGGAGATCCAGACCATCCTGGCTAACACGGTGAAACCCCATCTCTACTAAAAATACAAAAAATTAGCCAGGCGTGGTGGCGGGCGCCTGTAGTCCCAGCTACTTGGGAGGCTGAGGCAGGAGAATGGCATGAACCTGGGAGGCAGAGCTTGCAGTGAGCTGAGATCACGCCACTGCACTCCAGCCTGGGTGACAGAGCGAGACTCCATCTCAAAAAAAATTAGCCAGACGTGGTGGCATGTGCCTGTGGTCCCAGCTGCTCAGGAGACTGAGAAAGGAGAATCTCTTGAACCTGGGAGGCAGAGGTTACAGTGAGCCGAGATCACGCCACTGCACTCAAGCCTGGGTGACAGAATGAGACTCCGTATAAAAAACCAACAAACAAACACAAAATGTCTTTCAGCAGCATGGTGGCTGACACCTATAATCCCAGAACTTTGGCAGGCCAAAGTATGAGTATCGAGGCCAGGAGTTCAACATCAGCCTGGGCAACATAGCAAGACTCTGTTTCTATACAAATTTTTTAAAACTTAACTAGACCAGGCATGGTGACTCACACCTGTAATCCCAACACTTTGGGAGGCTGAGGTGGGAGAATCACTTGAGCTCAGGAGTTCGAGACCAGCCTGTCCAACATGGTGAAACCCTGCCTCTACTAAAAACACAAAAATTAGTCAGGCATGGTGGCAGGCACTTGTAATCCCAGCTACTCGGGAGGCTGAGGCAGGAGAATTGCTTGAACCCAGGAGGCAGAGGTTGCAGTGAGCCAAGATCTAGCAACTGCACTCCAGCCTGGGGAACAGAGAGACTCTGTCTCAAAAATAAATAAATAATAATTAACCAGACCACAGGCCTGCAGTCCCAGCTACTCAGGGAGGCTGAAGAGGGAGGATCTCTCGAGCCTAGGGTGTCGAGGCTGCAGTGAACCATGACCCCACCACTGCATTCACTTCCGTCTGGGTGACAGAGACAGACTCTGCCTCCAAAAACAAAAAATTAATTCTGGGGGGTTCCTCCCCTGAAGAGCTTTTCTTGAGAGATCATGAATTGACTCATGGTAAAGTGTTAGAAACAGTGTCAAATGGATCTTGAAGAGCTCATGACCCTGCCCAATGCAGGCGTCTCTGTAGCATCTGCTTGTTTATTCCAGGGATACAGAAATCAGAGTCCCAGGAAGCCTGTCCCGTGGCTGTACAGCTCCTTGAAAGCTCCTCCCCTCCCAATATGGCATTGGGAGCAAATATTCTCCTACTTCAAGGCAGTATTGAAAGCTCCCCAAGCACCTCTCCTGCGAACCCCAGCTTTCCCAGGTCTTCCTTGCAGCCTTTCTCTCTTTTTTTTTTTTTTGAATCAGGGTCTCACTCTGTCACCCAGGCTGAAGTGCAGTAGCATGAATGTGGCTCACTGCAGTCTCAACCTACTGGGCTCAAGGAGATATTCTCCTGCCTCAGCCTCCTAAGTAGCTGGGACCACTGGTGTGCACCATCACATCCAGCTAATTTTTTTTTGGTGGGGGTGTGGGTGGAGTTTCGCTCCTGTCACCCAGGCTGGAGGGCAGTGGTGCAATCTCTGCTCACTGCAACCTCCGCCTCCTGGGTTCAAGTGATTCTCCTGCCTCAGCCTCCTGAGTAGCTGGGGTTACAGGCACGCGCCACCACACTTGGCTAATTTTTGTATTTTTAGTAGAGATGGGGTTTCACTTTGTTGGCCAGGCTGGTCTCGAACTCCTTAGCTCAGATTATCCATTTGCCTCAGCCTCCCAAAGTCCCTCAGCTGGGATTACAGGCATGAGCCACCACACCCAGCCCCAGCTAATTCTTAAAATTGTTATAGAGATGGGGTCTCCCTATGTTGCCCAGGCTCGTCTCAAACTCCTGGGCTCAAAGATCCTCCCACCTCAGCCTCCTGAAGTGCTGGGATGACGGGTGTGAGCTGCCATGCCGGGCCTGGCCTGCCTTTCAGACTCCCCGCTATCCAGGATGCCTCTGATTGGCCCCTCCAAATTATCAGTAAGACCTCTGCCTATGTGAGACAAAACTGCAAAGACAAAGTATGGTGTCCCAATTATTTTTGTGTATGCACCCACACATTGACGTAGCCTAGTAACCTAGAGAAAACAAAAGGCTTCCAACTGAGGGAGCACAAGAGCTCCAAGGGCAGTCACAGTTGTGTGAGGGTGGCACCCCTGGATACCAGCGGCAGCGATTCCGAGTCAGTTCTCACAGTGGGTAGGCATTACGGTGGGGAGGCTTGTGGAATAAGGAAGAGAGGAAGCTTAGCCACGGCGCCAGCCCTCAAAGGAGCCTTGGGAAAGTCAAAACACCTAAGCCTTCTGGGGAAAGCAAGAGTCCCAGGAGAGCGAGGCCCCCCAGGCACCGGAAGTGGAAGTCCACTGGAAACCCAAGGCTGCTCCGACAGCAGCCTGTCTGGTAGACCCTCAGGCAACTGCCATTCATGGGCCCCTTCCACAGTGCTCTGCCATTAAAGCCACTCAGCTTCCTTCTCTGCCTCTTCTCATCCATTTCTTGGCTTCTCCTGTCCTACCAAATCCGTGGTTGGTACTACATTTTCTAGTCCCGTAGGGCAGGGCTGTCCAAGCCTGGGCCTCACCAAGGCCACTGGCCACTGTTGCTCAGGGGGAAGCCTCACACTGTGCATCAGAAGCTGGAGACACTGCAGCTTCTCTCAGGAGGGGACCGTAAGCACAGGCAGCCTGTGGCTGATCTGTGTGGGACACCCAGGGTCGAGAAGGGAGGACCAAGGTGTTCACTGCAATGGAACACAGCCTTACTAGCTGTCATGTCCCCCAGACAGCAAATTGGCTTGATTGCAATAACCAGTTGGAGAGGACAAAGTGAGAATCACCCCATGTGACCAGCTGCTTCTTGACGGTGATCATTTTGGGTGCTGAATCGAGCTCCAACCCCAAACATCAGCCCCATAATTGCCCATCAACCATTTCACCTTCACCTTTCTGGGGCTTCCAGGTTCCTTCATTAAAATAAAAAATGCTATTTGGGAATAAATTTAACAAAAGATATGCAAATCTTTTCCACTGAAAGCTGTAACACATTATTGAAAGAAATTACAGAAAATCTAAATAAATGAAGAAATGTACCATGTTCATGGATTAGAAAATTCAATATTGTTAAAATGTCAATTGTCTCAAATTAATCTATAGACTCAATGTAATCCCAAGTAAAATTCCAGAATGCAGACTGGCATGGCCAAAGCAGAAGGATCACTTGAGCTCAGGAGTTTGAGACCAGCCTAGGCAACATGACAAAACCTCATCTCTACAAAAAAATAGAAGTGTTAGCCAGTCATGGTGGAATGTGTCTGTAGTCCCAGCTACTCAGGAGACTGAGGTGGGAGGACTGCTTGAGCCCAGGAGGGTGAAGCTACAGTGACTATGATCATGCCACTGCACTCCAGCCTGGGTGACAGAAAAAGACCCTCTCTCAAAAAAAAAAAAAAAAAAAATTAAAAAAAACCAGAAAGCTTTTTTTAGAAATTGGCAAGCAGATTCTAAAATGTAAGTGGAAATGAGAAGGACCTAGAATAGCCAAAATAATCCTAATAAGGAAAAAATTCAGAGGACTTACACTGGCTGATTTTAAGAACTGCTATAAACAGCAGTAGCTAAGACCATTTGGTAGTGGCGTTAGGATACACAAAATAGAATCAATGGAGCAGAAAACAGAGTCCAAAAATAGACCTACATAAATATGGCCAACTGATTCCCAACAAATGTACCAAGGTAATTCAATGGAGAAAGAAAAACCTTTCAACAAATGGGCTAGAATAATTGTCTATTTGTAAGGAAAAACAAATTGCCTATTTGTAAGGAAAACAAATGAACCTCAACTCCTTTTTTTTTTTTTTTAAGACAGAGTCTCACTCTGTCGCCCAGGCTGGAGTGCAGTGGTGCCATCTCGGTTCACTGCAAGCTCCACCTCCCAGGTTCACGCCATTCTCCTGCCTAAGCCTCCCTAGTAGCTGGGACTACAGGCACCCGCCACCACGCCTGGCTAATTTTTTGTATTTTTTTTTTTTTAGTAGAGACAGGGTTTCACCGTGTTGGCCAGGATGGTCTCGATCTCCTGACCTCGTGATCTGCCCGCCTTGGCCTCCCAAAGTGCTGGGATTACAGGCGTGAGCCACCGCACCCGGCCCCTCAACTTCTTACATCACACCAAAAAATTAAATTGAAATAGATCCAAGACCTAAATAAAAAATTAAATTCATAAAGCATCTAAAACATAGGAAAATAACTTCATGACTTTGAGATGGGCAAATATTTCTAAGGCAAAACACAAAAAGCATTCCATAAAAAATTAATAAACAAATTCATCAAAATTTTAAATTTTGAGTACAGTCACCAGAATGGCTACAATTAAGCAGACTGACAACACCAAATGTTGGCAAAAATATGGAGTAACTAGAACCGTCGTATGTTGTTGATGGGAGTGTAAAATAACAAAACCGCTTTGGGCCAAGCACGGTGGCTGACGCCTGTAATCCCAGCACTCTGGGAGGCCAAGGCGGGCGGATCATGAGGTCAGGAGATAAGACCATCCTGGCAACCAAAAATTAGCCAGGCTTGGCAGTGTGCGCCTGTAGTCCCACCTACTCGGGAGGCTGAGGCAGGAGAATTGCTTGAACCCGGGAGGCGGAGCTTGCAGTGAGCCAAGATGGTGCCACTGCACTCCAGCCTGGCGACAGAGCGAGACTCCGTCTCAAAAACAAAACAAAAAAAAACTGCTTTGGAATACTGTCTAATGGTTTCCTTTTTTTTTTTTTTTTTTTTTTTTTTTTTTGAGACCGGGTCTCTTTCTGTTGCCCAGGCTGGAGTGAGATGGTACAATCACTGCTCACTGCAGCCTCAACCTCCTGGCCTCAAGCCATCCTCCTGCCTAAGCTTCCCAAGCAGCTGGGACTACAGGCATGCACCACCAGGCCCAGCTAAATTTTTCTTTTTCTTTTCTTTTCCTTTTTTTTTTTTTTTTTTTGAGACCGAGTCTCGCTCTGTTGCCCAGGCTGCAGTGCAGGGGCATGATCTTGGCTCACAGCAACCTCCACCTCCTGGGTTCAAGCTATTCTCCTGCCTCAGCCTCCCAAGTAGCTGGAACTAGAGGCATGCACCACCACACCCAGCTAATTTTTGTATTTTTAGTAGAGATGGGGTTTCACCACGTTGGCCAGGCTGGTCTCGAACTCCTGACCTCAGGTGATCAGTCTGTCTCGGCCTCCCAAAGTGCTGGGATTACAGGCATGAGCCACCGCGCCCGGCCTTTCTTTTTGTGTTTTGTAGAGATGGCATCCCACTATGTTGCCCAGGCTGGTCTTGAACTCCTGGGCTCAAGTAATCCTCCTGCCTCAACCTCCCAAAGGAGGCATGTGAACCACTGTGCCCAACCTGGTTTCTTTACTAAACTAGAAAGTAAAATCTTATGACCCAGCAATTCGGTTTTTTTTTTCCAGCAATTCCATTTCAAATGTCCATGAAAAGCCTTGTGCAAAATTATCTGTAATAGTCAAAAAATGGAAGTGGCCCCTGGTGTCTGTCTATAAGAAAATGGATAAACTGTGGTAAAGTCACATATTCGGGTGGTGGGAAAGGCAAAAGGTACGTCACAATGACACAGACAAATCTCAAAGACATAATGCTTGGCGGGGCACAGTGGCTCACACCTGTAATCCCAGCACTTTGGGAGGCCAAGATGGGCAGATTGCCTGAGGTCAGGAGTTAGAGACCACCTTGGCCAACGTGGTGAAACCCCATCTCTACTAAAAAATACAAAATTAGCTGGGCATGGTGGCACACACCTGTAGTCCCAGCTACTAGGCAGGCTGAGGCACAAGAGTTGCTTGAACCCGGGAGGCAGAGGTTGCAGTGAGCCAAGAACACGCCACTATACTCCAGCCTGGGTGACAGAATAAATGAGTACCTAATGTATATTTCCAACTATACGAAGTTTGGGAACAGGTACAATGAATCAATGTTGGAAAAAAAAACAACAGAACAATGGCAGGCTTTGGGGCGTGGGAACTGACTGGGACACACTGTGAAGGCAATTTCAGGGATGACAATGATGTTCAATATTTTCTAAAAAAATCACAGCTTTTGGCCAGGCACGGTGGCTCATGCCTTAATCGCAGCACATTGGGAGGCCGAGGCAGAAGGATCGCTTAAGCCCAGGAGTTCAAGACCAGCTTGGGCAAAATGGCGAAACCCCATGTCTCTACAAAAATACAAATCTCGGCTGGGCGAGGTGGTTCACACTTGTAATCCCAACATTGTGGGAGGCCAAGGCAGGTGGATCATCTGAGGTCAGGTGTTCAAGACCACCCTGGCCAACATGGAGAAACCCCTTCTCTGCTAAAAATACAAAAATAAGCATGACATGGTGGCACTTGAATCTGGGAGGCAGAAGTTGCAGTGGGCTGAGATCACGCCACTGCACTCCAGCCTGGGCAACAGAGTGAGACGTCATCTCAAAAAATAAAATAAAATAAGGCCGGGCACAGTGGCTCACACCTGTAATCCCAGCACTTTGGGAGGCCGAGGCCGGCAGATAACCTGAGGTCAGGAGTTCAAGGCCAGCCTGGCCAACATGGTGAAACTTAGTCTCTACTAAAAATACAAAAATTAGCTGGGCATGGTGGTGGGTGCCTGCAATCCCAGCTACTCGGGAGACTGAGGCAGGAGAATCACTTGAACCCGGGAGACAGAGGTTTCAGTGAGCCAAGTCCACTGCACTCCAGCCTGGGCTACAGAGGGAGACTCCGTCTCAAAAATAAAATAAAACAAAATAATAAAAACAAATAAAAATTAAAAATATATAATATCCATTCTATTGTAAGTAAATTACAATTAGAAAAAAAAAAAGAGCCCCCAAAGGAAAGGAATAAAGACAGAACACAGGAAGAAAGGAGGAGAGACAGGGAGGGAAGGAGGGCCAGCATGAGTTATTTCAGGGGTGGAAAATCACCCAAGTCAAACACCACAGGTATCCCCAGTAGGTTGCAGCAAACTGCTCTCTGTAGGGACCAAGCTGTGCCCAGGATCACCCCACAACCCTGAGATTATCTGGCATGCTCAC
Organism: Homo sapiens; assembly: GCF_000001405.40. NCBI lineage: Eukaryota > Metazoa > Chordata > Mammalia > Primates > Hominidae > Homo > Homo sapiens. The sequence goes on from NC_000016.10 coordinate 4,152,310, forward strand.
CAATCAGTTCTCATGATCTGCAGCAGGGCACATTCGGTCCTGCAGAGACGACCCAGCTGTCACCCTATCCTCCTTGCTGAAGAAGGGACCCTGCGGGGCTGCAGCTCATCTGCCTCAGGCTGGCCCATCCCTGCACAGGCCGCTGAGTCTGAGCATGTACCCTGGGAGTTGCTTACAGAGCAACTTTGTCATGTCAAGTTGACCTCCAGGGTAGATTTTCCTGCTGCAAGAGAGAGATGATATCTGGTTAGCCTGGCGGTTCTATTTCTCAATGTGAATCAGGAAATTGACATCTGATTTAACATTTCAAAAACAATTTGTGTTCAGCCAGAATGGAGGCAGTGTCTGGGAGTGGTGAGGGATGTGAAGTGCAGCAGCGCACAGGACCTCCAGCACTGGGAAGGAGGCCTGAGGCCAAGGCCCCTGGTCAGGACACCTGAGCAATGAATACTCTGTCTCCTTGTCCAAAGACATTTAGCATTATGGAGGTTAAAAACAGCCAAATTCACATGTATACATATGTAACTAACCTGCACATTGTGCACATGTACCCTAAAACTTAAAGTATAATAATAATTAAAAAATAAAAATAAAAATAAAAACAGCCAAATCGGCCAGGTTCGGTGGCTCACGCCTGTAATCCCAGCACTTTGGGAGGCTGAGGCGGGCAGATCACGAAGTCAGATTGAGACCAGCCTGGCTAACATGGTGAAACGCAGTCTCTACTAAAAATACAAAAATTAGCAGGACGTGGTGGCAAACACTGTAATCCCAGCTACTTGGAGGCTGAGGCAGAAGAATCGCTTAAACCTGGAGGTTGCAGTGAGCCGAGATCATGCCATTGCACTCCAGCCTGGGTGGAGCTAGACTCTCTCAAAAAAAAAAAAAAAAGGCCAGGTGTGGTGGCTCGTGCCTGTAATCCCAGCACTTTGGGAGGCTGAGGCAGGTGGATCACCTCAAGAGTTCAAGACCAGCCTAGCCAACATACTGAAACCCCATCTCTACTGAAAATACAAAAATTAGCCGGGTGTGGTGGCATGTGTCTAATCCCAGCTATTGGGAGGCTGAGGCAGGAGAATCACTTGAACCTGGGAGGTGGAGGTTGCAGTGAGCCGAGATCGTGCCACTGTACTCCAGCCTAGGTGACAGGGCGACACTGTGTCTTGGGGAAAAAAAACAAAAAACAGCCAAATCGTGGCATTTTCATGCAGCTCGACCTAGTAGACATCTAGTGGCTGCAAGCGCCTGTGTGCAGCGCTGGAGACCTGAGTCCTGTTGTGTGTGAAGGTGGGGCAGGGCAGCAGGGCAAATGCCGAAAACAAAAACTGATCAGGCCGGGCGCGGTGGCTCATGCCTGCAATCCCAGCACTTTGGGAGGCCAAGGCAGACGGATCATGAGGTCAGGAGATCGAGACCATCCTGGCTAACACAGTGAAACCCAACTCTCCAAAAAAAAAAAAAAAAAAATTAGCCAGGCATGGTGGCGGGCACCTGTATTCCCAGCTGAGGCTGAGGCAGGAGAATGGCGTGAACCTGGCAGGAGGCGGAGCTTGCAGTGAGCCGAGATCCCGTCACTGCACTCCAGCCTGGGCGACAGAGCGAGACTCCGTCTCAAAAAAAAAAAAAAAAAAAGAACTGATCAATGAGCCGCCAGATGCCGAGCACCACACCGGCAAGGGCTGCGGATCGTGAACACTGGAGATTCAAACAGCAGAGAGACCACCTCACACCATTCTGTCAACCCGTGCCAAGTGCCCAGGCCTGTGCCAACGCTTGGCACACAATGATTCAACAGAGGCAGCCTCATGCTTCACGGCCCGATGCTCGCTTGTTGTCTATGGCCGTAGGCTAACCTGCAAATAAAGAACTGGACTGCACGGAGGTGGTCATTCAAATGGAGGGATGCGCTGGGCGCTGTGGCTCACACCTGTAATCCCAGCACTTCGGGAGACCAAGGTGGGTGGACCACTTCAGGTCAGGAATTCAAAACCAGCCTGGCCAAAACATGGTGAAACCCCATCTCTACTAAAAATACAAAAATTAGCCAGACATGGTGGCGTGCGCCTGTAATCCCAGCTACACAGGAGGCTGACGCAGGAGAATTGCTTGAACCCAGGAGGTGGAGGTTGCAGTGAGCCAAGATCACACCACTGCGCTCCAGCCTGGACTGCAAAATGAGACTCTATCTCAAAAAAAAAAAAAAAAAAAAAAAAGAACAAGAAGAAAGAATGTCACAGCTCTGCCAATCTAAGACACCTGTGCAAGACTGAGGTGGGCAAGAGGAGTTTCGTAGAAGAAGACAGGCTGGGGTCAAACTGGGAAATTTCCAGGGAAAAAGAGGGCTCTCAGAGTAAAAGAGTAAAGGTGGAAATGTGCCCAGACCAAAGAGGGGCCTCTGTTTGACCACAGACCTGCTCACGGTGGAGGGCAGCAGCAGGAACCAAGGCTGAGGAGCATCCAGATGGAGGGACTCAAGGAAGACTTCCTGGAGGAGGCAGTCGAGGTCTTGAATGATGGGAAGACTTTAGACATGTACAGATAAGCAGGCATGGCAGGGCCAGGGACCATAGCACATGCCTGCAATCCCAGCACTTTGGGATTACACTTTGGGATTACACTTAGCACTTTGGGAGGCCAAGGTGGGCAGATAACCTAAGGTCAGGAGTTCGAGACCAGCCTGGCCAACATGGTGAAATCCCATCTCTACTAAAAAAAATACAAACTATTAGCTGGGTGTGGTGGCAGGCACCTGTAATCCCAGCTACTCAGGAGGATGAGGCAGGAGAATCACTTGAAGCCAGGAGGTGGAGGTTGCAGTGAGCTGAGATCACGCCACTGCACTCCAGCCTGGGTGACAGAGCGAGACTCTGTCTAAAAAAATAAAATAAAATAAGAAGGCATGCCAGGAGCTTTCTGAATGTGGTAAACTGGACAACGGCCTTCTCAGAGATGTGCAACTTCCAATCCCCAAAACCTGTGAAGATGTCACCTTATATGGTCAAAGGGACTTTACAGATGTGATCAAGTTAAGGATCTTGAGAGATCAGCCTTCATTATTCAGCTGGGCCCAATTTAATCACAAGGACCCCTACAAGTGGGAGGCAAGAGAGCAGAGTGAGTACTAGCAAGAGACTGGAGCCCTGTGAGGAAGGGTCCATGAGCCAAGAAATGCAGGCAGACTCTACAAGCTGCAAAGGCAAGGAGCTTGATTCTCTCTGAAGCCTCCAGAAGGAGAACAGACCTGCAGACACCTTGATTTTAGCTCCATAAGACTCACTTCAGACTTCTGAGCTTCAAAACTGCAGGACAACAAACGAGTGTGTGGTTTTTTGTTATTGTTGTTGTTGTTGTTTGAGATGGAGTCTCACTCTGTTGCCCAGGTTGGAGTGCAGTGGCATGATCTCAGTTCACTTCAACCTCTGCCTCCCAGGTTCAAGCGATTCTCCTGCCTCAGCCTTCCAAGTAGCTGGGATTACAAGCACCCTCCAGCACACCCAGCAAATTTTTGCATTTTTAGTAGAGATGGGGATTTACCATGTTGGCCAGCCTGGTCTGGAACTTCTGACCTCAGATAATCCACCTGCCTGGGCCTCCCAAAGTGCTGGAATTACAGGCGTGGGCCACTGTGCCCGGCCTCATGTTTTGTTTTGAGCCACTCCATTTGTATAATTTGTTACAGTGCCAGTGGAAAACTAGTACCCCGCAGAATCAGTGGAAATTCAATTCACACATCTCCCCTACACATCTCCATACCTCAGGTACATACATTTCCTTCTGGAGATTTCATTAGATCAGAAAGGGCTGGAATGCACATGCATGTTTGGCAAATGTGGGTGCATTCGCCATTCCATTCATTCATTCACCCAGCAAATGACAGGAATGGAGCTAAGACCATGGTTCATATCAATACCCCTGCCCTCAGAGAGCCCAGAATCTAGTCGGGGACACAGACAGGTCAACAGGTAGTTGCAATACAAGGAGATAAAAGCTTTTTTTTTTAAAGCTCATCATCACTGGTCATTAGAGAAATGCAAATTGAAACCACAATGAGATACCATCTCACACCAGTTAGAATGACGATCATTAAAAAGTCAGGAAATAACAGATGCTGGAGAGGATGTGGAGAAATAGGAATGCTTTTACATTGTTGGTGGGAGTGTAAATTAGTTCAACCATTGTGGAAGACGGTGTGGCGAATCCTCAAGGATCTAGAACCAGAAATACCATTTGACCCAGCAATCCCATTACTGGGTATATACCCAAAGGATTATAAATCATTCTACTATAAAGACACATGCACACGTATGTTTATTGCAGCACTAATTACAATAGCAAAGACTTGGAACCAACACAAATGCCCATCAATGATAGACTGGATAAAGAAAATGTGGCACATATACACCATGGAATACTATGCAGCCATAAAAAAGGATGAGTTCATGTCCTTTGCAGGGACACAGATGAAGCTGGAAACCATCATTCTCAGCAAACTAACACAGGAACAGAAAACTGCACACCACGTGTTCTCACTCATAAATGGGAGTTGAACAATGAGAACACATAGACACAGTGAGGGAAACATCACATACCAGGGCCTGTTGGGGGGTGGGGGGCTAAGGGAGGGATAGCATTAGGAGAAATACCTAATGTAGATGACAGGTTGATGGGTGCAGCAAACCACCATGGCACATGTATACCTATGTAACAAACCTGCACGTTCTGCACATGTATCCCAGAACTTAAAGTATAATAACTTTTTTTTAAAAAAAGCCTTTTTTTTTTTTTTGAGACAGATTCTCTCTCTTTCACCAAGGCTGTAGTGCAGTGGCACGATCTCGGCTCACTGCAAACTCTGCCTCCCAGGTTCAAGCAATTCTCCTGTCTCAGCCTCCTGAGTATCTGGGACTACAGGTGCACGCTACCACACCCAGCTAAGAGATAAAAACTTTGAAGAAGGTAGGCAGAGGAAAATGCAGCACAGAAAAGAGCCAACGAATCCAGCTTCCCAGATGACAGAGTGTTGCAGTACAACAGGTCTTACTCAGCTAGGCAAAGAGCTGAGAGAGCAAAGGGAATCCAATCAGATGGAACCATATATTTTTTTCTTTTTTTGAGACAGTCTCACTCTGTCGCCCAGGCTGGAGTGCAGTGCAATGATCATAGCTCACAGCAACCTTGAACTTCTGGACTCAAGCAATCCTCCCACCTCAGCCTCCTGGGTAGCTAGGACTACAGACGCATGTGCCTGGATAATTTTTTTTTAGTTTTTATTTTTTTGTAGAGACAAGGTCTTGGACCTTGGAACCATGTTTACCAAATGGAGGCTAGAGGAGATATGGGGAACTATGGACTAATTGGGTATGACCAGAACAGAGGTCAGAGGCTGGGATAAGTTGTTTCTGATTACAAAGTGGAGACAATTGCTGCATAGCTGCTTCTTGGACTCTTTCTTGGTCAAATAAAAGGGCCAGCCCAGGCACGGTGGCTCACGCCTGTCATCCCAGCACTTTGGGAGGCCGAAGTGGGCGGATCACCTGAGGTCAGGAGTTTGAGACCAGCCTGGCCAACATGGTGAAACCCCATCTCTACTAAAAATACAAAAATTAGCTGGGCATGGTGGCGTGCGCCTGTAATCCCAGCTACTCAGGAGCCTGAGGCAGGAGAATCGCTTAAACCCAGGAGGTGGAGACTGCAGTGAGCCTAGATCGCACCACTGCACTCCAGCCTGGGTGACAAAGTGAGACTTCATCTCAAAGAAAAAAAAAAAGGCAAATAAAGGGGCCAATGCAGGGAGGTTCATGGCAAAGACAGGGAAGGCTCTGGGGACATCTTTCCTACATAACCTGAATCTATGTTCATCGTCATGAAAAGAAGCTCCAGGTGGAAAAAAAAAACACTGGGCTGAGCACCTCTGCCCCTGTTTCTCCTGGGTGACAACTTGCCTGGAATTTCTCTCCCTTTGAATGTCAGTGCCACTACCGGGGACACCTCCGTGTGCATTGCTCCCGTCACACCCTGCGCCAAGAGGCAACAAAACCCTTTCATTGCCACCCTCATGAGTAAAATAAAGAGAAAGAGATTCCCGCCCTGGGAACAGCCTAATTTCTCCAGCTGGTTTCTGGTCTGAGACATTGTCAGATGGTTTGTATTCCAAATGAAATGAACGAGCCAACTGTATTATCATAGTGGCATGCAGAAAATAGCCACATCTTTGAGACAGCATTACCCATGGATACTAACTGGATGATGTTTGGTCACAAGGGTGAGAAAATCTGGAGATGAAAAGAAGATGCCAGCCTGGGCAACATAGTGAGACCCCATCTCCATAAAAATAAACAAAACATTAGTCAGGCGTTGTAGTGCACGCCTGTAGTCCCAGCTACTCAGGAGGCGGAGGTTGGAGGATTACTTGAGCCCAGGAGGTCAATGTTGCAGTGAGCTATGACTGCACCACTGCACTCCAGCCTGGGTGACAGAGCAATAAATACCCTGTCTCAAAAAAAGAAGAAGGAGAAGGAGAAGAAGGAGGAGAAGAAAGAGGAAGGAAGGAAGGAAGGAAGGAGAAAGAAAAAGAAAGAAAAGGAAAGAAAGAGAAAGAAAGAAAGTGAAAGAAAAGAAAGAAAGAAAGAGGAAAGAAAGAAAGAAAGAAAAAGAAAAGGAGAGAAAAAGAAGGTGGAGTTGGGCCAGGCGCAGTGGCTCACATCTGTAATCCCAGCACTCTGGGAGGCCGAGGTGGGTGGATCACTTGAGGTCCGGAGTTCAAGACCAGCCTGGCCAAGGTGGTTAAACCCCACCTCTACTAAAAATACAAAAATTAGCCAGGCGTCATGGCATGGGCCTGTAGTCCCAGCTACTCAGGAGGCTGAGGCAGGAGAATCGCTTGAACCCGGGAGGCAGAGGTAGCACCACTGCACTCCAGCCAGGGCGACAGAGCGAGACAGCATCTCAAAAAAAACAGAAGAAGAAGAAGAAGGAGGAGGAGGAGGAGGAGGAGGAGAAGGAGAAGGAGAAGAAGAAGTTGGAGAGGAGAGGGGATGGAGTATCTCCCCTTTGCACAAGGACTGAGTTACAGGCCAGACTTTCCAAGACTATGTAGAGCTCTCTAGGACTCCTGACTTCAGAGAATAAGATCAGGGCTGTGGCAGAGGAACAGTCTAAGAGGCCGAGGGGACAGAATCGCCCACCTTGTAGCCCAGGGATCGAACCCCTTTAAACCACTGACCTTGTCCCTATGCAGATCTGGGCCAAGGACTGTGTGTAGGCAGAGGAGGCCCGTAGTTCAGACCAAGGGGAAGATTTTGCAAACTTGTTCTTAACTGTCACTACTTATGTGCAAGGATTCTGAAGCTTGACAAGCAGCATTGTTTCCTCCCTGAGCAATCAGAAATCAATAAAAGCAGAACTCTCTGTACTTAGGAGATCTGCGTTGGTGTGGGCCGACACGCAGCAGAACATGGCGGAGCGGGTGGGCAAAGTGATGGAGAGCCCTAGCCACGTTCCAGATGGTGCAGGAAGGGTGTTGCAGCTGAGCACAAACAGGGGAGAAAGCTGCTCCAACAAAAACCGCCGGAGCCACATGTGGGGAAAGTCAGACATTTGCGGTGCACGTGGACGGAGGCCCTCTGGAGAGGGCTGCGGTTGGTATCCGTCATCCCCGCTCCTCATCAGCAGCTGATGCTCTGGCGACAGAGGCTGTTGGCTGGGCTAGATTGGACGCGTGGAGCTTAAATGAAGCTGCCCAGGCAAGGGAGCTAGAAGCTCTGGCTCTGCTGCTAATTGGCCATGAACCTAGGGCCAGTTATTTCTTGTCTCTGGATTCATTTCCTCATTTTGTTTTTTGGGGTGTTTGTTGGTTTTGAGATGGACTCTCACTCTGTTGCCCAGGCTGGAGTTCAGTGGCGTGATCTTGGCTCACTGCAACCTCTGCCTCCTGGCTTCAAGTGATTCTCATGCCTCAGCCTCCCGAGTAGCTGGGACTACGGGCATGTGCCACCACACCCAGCTGATTTTTGTATTTGTAGTACAAATGGGGTTTCACCATGTTGACCAGGATGGTCTTGATCTCTTGACCTCGTGATCTGCCCACCTTGGCTTCCCAAAGTGCTGGGATTACAGGTGTGATCTACTGTGCCCGGCCTAATTTTTGTATTTTTAGTAGAGACAGGGTTTCTCCACGTTGGCCAGGCTGGTCTTGAACTCCTGACCTCAGGTGATCCACTGGCCTCAGCCTCTCAAACTGCTGGGATTACAGGCATGAGCCATGGCACCCAGCCATTTCCTCATTTTGAAAAGGACAGAGAGGAGGTGTGAAGGGGCGATGTTCTCTTCGGTAACACCTGAGGTCTCTGGTGGTATCACTGTTGGAAAGGGGCCTTGACACCCTCCACCCCAAACTCTACTAAAATGTGCTTCTAGCAACTCTAAACTTAAATCATTTGTGATCTTTCCTCTAGCTTTATTAGTCACTGATCTTTCTCACTGGGCCAGGAAATAAGCTTGCAAGGGGGCACTCCTCCAGATTTCCCAAGGAGAGTACCTCTCGGTTGTAAATTCACCAAAAATGTGGAACATCCCCTCCTACTGGGTAAAGTTGGCCAATGAAGTGGCAACCTTTGCTACCATCACTGCTACTGTTTTAGGTCTATTTTCCAAGAAAAAGCATATTAAACCAGTTTTATTGAGACATTACAGAACATAAAATTCACCCATTTAAAGTGTACAATTCAATGGTTTTTAGTATGTTCCTAGAATTGTATAGCCATCACCATCACCATCTAATTCACTACATTTTACTATTTCCAGAAAGAGGCCCTGCCCATTACTAGTCACTCTCATTTTGCCCCAGCCCTAGGCAACCACCAATCTACTTCCTCTCTCTAGAGATGTAAAACATAGCATTTTGCCCCGTTAGGGACATTTCCTACAACTACGTATAGCATCATCATATAGCACTGACTAATCAAGAACTCATGACCCATATATAAATAGCCAACAAAAACATGAAAATGTGCTCAACATCACCGATCATTAGGGAAATGCAAATCGAAAACTACAATGAGATACCATCTTGCATCCATCCGGGTGGCTACTGTCAAAAAAAACAGAAAATAACGAGTGTTGGCCAGGATGTGGAGAAATCGGAACCCTTGTACATTGTTGGTGGAAATGTAAAATAGTGCAGCTGCTGTGAAAAAAAGCATGGTGGTTCCTCGAAAAACTAATAATGGAACTATTTATCAGCGATTCCACTTCCGGGTATATACCCAAAAGAATGGAAAGCAGGGCCTCTAGGAGGTATCTGTATACCCTGTCCCTAGCATTATTCTCAATAGCCAACTGTCCATCAACCCAACTGTCCATCCACAGATGAATGAATAAACAAAATGTGGTCTATACATACAAAAAAAATTCTTTTATTTTTTATTTTTTTGGCCAACATGGTAAAACCCCATCTCTACTAAAAAGTAAAGAATTTTTTTTTTTTTTTTTTTTTTGAGGCAGAGTCTCGCTCTGTCGCCCTGGCTAGAGTGCAGTGGCACGATCTCGGCTCACTGCAACCTCTACCTCCCAGGTTCAAGGAATTCTCCCACCTCGGCCTCCTGAGTAGCTGGATCACAGGCATCTGCCACCACGCCTGGCTAATTTTTATACTTTTAGTAGAGACGGGGTTTCACCATGTTGGCCAAGCTGGTCTCAAACTCCTGAACTCAAGTGATCCGCCCACCTCAGCCTCCTAAACTGCTGGGATTACAGGCGTGAGCCACCACGCCTGGCCAAAAAGTAAAGAAATTCTGTGGCCAGGCGTGGGGGCTCATGCCTGCAATCCCAGCACTTTGGGAGGCCAAGGCAGGCGGATCACTTGAGCTTAGGAGTTCAAGACCAGCATCCTGGGCAACAAAGTGAGACCTTGTCTCTAGAAAAAATACAAAAATTAACTGGGCACGGTGGTGCACACCTGTAGTCCCAGCTACTCAAGAGGCTGAGGTAGGAGGATGGCTTGAGCCTGAGGGACAGAGGTTCCAGTGAGCCAAGATCACACCACTGCACTCCATCCTGGGCGAAAGAGCCAGACCCTGTCTCAAAAAATAACCAAAAAAGAAACAAACAGGCTGGGCACCGTAGCTCACGCCTGTAATCCCAGCACTTTGGGAGGCCGAGGCGGGTGGATTACCCGAGGTCAGGAGTTTGAGACCAGCCTGATCAACATGGTGAAACCCTGTCTCTCCTAAAAATACAAAAATTAGCCGGGCGTGGTGGCGCATGCCGGTAGTCCCAGCTATTCGGGAGGCTGAGGCAGAAGAATCGCTTGAACCCAGGGGGCAGAGGTTGCAGTGAGCCGAGATTGCGCCATTGCACTCCAGCCAGGACACTAAGAGCAAAACTCCGTCTCAAAACAAACAAACAAACAAAAAGCAAGGAAATTCTAGCTGGGTATGGTGGTGCACACCTGTAGTCCCAGCTACTGGGATGGCTGAGGTAGGAGAATAGCTTAAGGCCAGGAGTTCAAGGCCAGCCTGGGCAACACAACACATGCTACAACGTGCATGAACCTTGAGGACATTATCTTAAATGAAATAAGACAATGCTGTATGATTCCATTTGTATGACTCTAGTTACCTAGAAGAGTCAGATTCCTAGAGACTGAAAGTAGGATGGTGATTGCCAAAGAGGAGGATGGGGAGTTATTGTTAATTTTATTTTATTTTTGAGACAGGGTCTCACTTTATCACCCAGGCTGGAGTGAAGTGGTACAATCACATCTCATTGCAGCCTCAGCCTCCTGGGTCCAAGCGATCCTCCCACCTCAGCCTCCCAAGTAGCTCAGACTATAGGCATGTGCCACCACACTTGGCTAATTATAGACTTTTTGTAGAGACGAGGTCTCACTATGTTACCCAAGCTGATCTTGAACTCCTGAGCTCAAGGGATCCTCCTGCCTCAACCTCCCAGCTGTGCAGCACGCGGCTGAGTTATGGTTTAATGGGTAGAGAGTTTCAGTTTTACAAGATGAAAAGAGTTCTGAAGACAGATTGGTGATGGTTACACATCAATGTGAATGTTGTTACTACCATTTAGCTATACACTTTAAAATGCTTGAGTTAGTAAATTTTTTTGTTTTTTTGGTTTTTCTTTTTTGTTTTTGTGAGACAGAGTCTTACTCTGTCACCCAGGCTGGAGTACAGTGGCACAATCTCGGCTCACTGCAACCTCTGCCTCCCAGGTTCAAGCGATTCCTCTGCCTTAGCCTCCTGAGTAGCTGGGCCTACAGGCGTGCACCACCACACCCAGCCGAGTTAGTAAGTTTTATGTCATGTGTACTTTATTATAATTTAAAACAAAAAACCTGGCTGGGTGTGGTGGCTCACACCTGTAATCTCAGCACTTTGGGAGGCTGAGGTGGGTGGATCACCTGAGGTCAGGAGTTCGAGACCAGCCTGGCCAATATGACAAAACCCCGTCTCTACTAAAAATACAAAATTAGCTGGGCATGGTGGTTCATGCCTGTAATCCTAGCTACTCAGGAGGCTGAAGCAGGAGAATTGCCTGAACCCGGGAGGCAGAGGTTGCAGGTAGCCGAGATTGCACCACTGCACTCCAGCCTGGGCAACAGAACGAAACTCTGTTTCAAAAATAAAATAAAATAAAACAAAAAATCTCATGACCCACATCAAAAGGTGTAGGCAAGGGGTGCCTTTCTTATGACACATAAAACGCCCACTTTTTTTCCTTTTAAAAATACAAATATAACTTTTTATTAAACAGCTAAACATAGACAACATTAGCAAAATGCTTTTTAAAGAAATATTATTCACAGAATATGCTTTAAAAAAATTAACATTCAAGCACAATTTGATCTTTTCTCATTAACTCTTCACTAATATCAAACAGGCGTAATCATTTTTGTAAGACTATTTTCTGAATGCTTAAGCGCAAAGAAGAATGCCAAGTACATAAATGTGCATTAATTCATCTACTCTTCCTGACACCAGGAAGTAGATTTTAATATGATACTTATCCCATTTCTCAGAATTAGAACTGAGAGTTAGAGATATTAAAGAACTTGCCCAAAGCCACAAACCCGGTGTCAGAGTTGAGACCCAATCTAGTCTTCTGACTCCAGAATCGATGCTGTCTTATTAAAAGACGACGGTTCTCAAGGAACATGAAAACAGCCATTCTCTCATCAGTTAGGGGCCTGTTTAAACAAATCCACCCCAAAAAGCTTTTTCTTAGCATTCTCTACTAATAGCTTGCAAACTGTCTTCCAAAAATAATTTTTAAGTCTGCATCCTTTACAACAACAACAACAAAAAACCTTCAAACAATTCAGTGTAAGGACCTTTTTTTAGTAGAATGTGGTTTTGGAGCAGAAGCAGACGATGAGTTCTTGGCCAAATCTTACATCTTTTAAGGCCTCTTCTATAAAATCGGACAACTCAGAAGTGATAAGGACCAGAAACACGCCAGGTCCATGTTTTTTACATGGCCCTTCCAGACATAGATCCCGCCTCCGCCACCATCTCTACAGAGTCGTCTAGTTCCTTCTGAGATAGAAAGGTCATCCCAACAGCAATGATTCTGGTTTAGCAGGGGGGATATTTGAAGCAGGTCCCTTTGGAGGAAGTGGGCCCCTCCTACAAGCCAAGCTTTCAACAGCCGGAGTTTGTGTTTTGCGACTCCAAACTGATCACCGTTGACTGTACTAACGTTGGTTCTCCAGGACACATTTGGAAATGAGACAAACAGATCCTCACTGAGTCTTCGCTGGTCTCCTGATCTATTTTTTTTTTTTTTTTTTTTTTGAGATGGTCTTGCTCCATCACCCAGGCTGGAGTGCATTGGCACAATCACTGCTCACTGCAGCCTCTGACTTCCCAGGCTCAAGCAATCCTCCCACCTCAGCCTCTCGAGTAGCTGGAACTACAGGCATGTGCCACCATGCTTAGCTAAATTTTTTGTATTTTTTGTAGAGGTGGGGTCTCACTATGTTGCCCAGGCTGGTCTCAAATTCCTGGGCTCAAATGATCCTCCCACCACGGCCTCCCAAAGTGCTTGGATGAGCCATGAGCCACCACACCCGGCCTTGGCTGTTCTCTTGAATGAAGGGGATTACAAACTGGGGGTCTCAGGCTGGCCCTTTCTTGCCTTCTGGGTGGTCTGGAAGCAGGGACAGCCACTCTGCACAGAGTGCACGTCGCAGCAAGCACACTGAGGGGATGCCTGGCTTCTTGATGGCTTTCCTCTTCCTACTTAAAGTCCCTTCCTGAGACACAGTTGTATTCCCGGCCTTAGATCTCATATGTCCCTGAATCTTTTAAATAAATTATTCTCTTTGGCTTAAACTACTTCCAGATCATTGGGGTACATGTCATAAGAGAATCCTAACTGATACACTATTAAATTCATTTCTTCATGACTTGTATGACCACTGAAGTTAATTTGTCCTATTGTAGTCCAGATTCAAAGAAGAGGAAAGAATCTCCAGACAAGTGTGGCCCACCAGCATGAAGAGGAAAGCTCTCCAAGCCATGAGGACCAAAAATGAGCCCCATCCTCCTATGCTCCTCTAGAAAATGTGCAACAACAAAATATATAAAATATAGTTTGGTTGCCAAAGAGAGGTCAAATGTTGAACTATGACAGTGATGGCATTCAAATGCATTCATCTTTAATGCTGCATCTGTCTACAAAAACGAAAACAAAGCAAGTAAAGCTCCTTGGTTAAAAATAGTGCTTTTTAATTGGCTGGGCCCAGTGGCTCACATTTGTAATCCCAGCACTTTGGGAGGGCAAGGCAAGCGGATCACCTGAGGTCAGGAGTTCGAGACCAGCCTGGCCAACATGGTGAAACCCCGTCTCTACTAAAATATTAAAATTAGCCAGGTGTGGTGGCACACGCCTGTAATCCTCATCTACTCAGGAGGCAGGAGAATCGCTTGAACAACAACAAAAAAAAATAGTGCTTTTTAAAGCAAACAGGTAAGGGCAAGGGAAAGGACATTGACTGGGAGGCAAGGAGTAAACTTAAAGGGAAAACAGCATCCCACAGATGTGCCCTTGAGGTTGACGCCAAGCCAGAAAGGGTGGTTCCCTACAATTCATCTGGACCCCTAGGAAGGGGCAAAAGTTCAGAAATCCTAAGCTTTAATATAAGGGAGAAGGAAGAGTGGAGGGCAGGGAGTCATTTTCTTTTTTTTCTTTTTTTTAAAATTATTATTTTTTTTTGAGACACAGTCTCGCTCTGCTGCCAAGGCTGGAGCGCAGTGGCGTGATATCAGTGCACCACAACCTCTGCCTCCCGGGTTCAAGCAATTCTCCTGCCTCAGCCTCCCAAGTAGCTGGGAATGCAGGCATGCACCACCACACCCAGCTAATTTTTGTATTCTTAGTAGATATGGGGTTTCACCATGTTGGTCAGGCTGGTCTGGAACTCCTGACCTCAACTGATCTACCCGCTTCGGCCTCCCAAAGTGCTGGGATTACAGGCCTGAGCCACCGCGCCTGGCCCATTTTCTTAGATTAAGAAGCAACACCTCCCATGGTCCAAGCCAGCCGCCTCACACTCCGTAAATAAACCATGCTGATTCAAACCCAAATGGCTTTGCTCAGCTCTCACCAAGCCTGGAAGATCTTCCCTTCTCCTGTCTACTTAATCCAGTCCCAGCCATCCCTTAACACCTAGTATAAAAGGTTCCTTCCTCGCTGTCATCTCTCTGATGTCCCTCTCAACCAGATTCCCACAGCACAGAGAATCACAGCTGGAATGGCCCTGATGGAAAGCATCCAACTTGGCCATCCCTCCTGCTGAAGCTCTTGATTATGTGTCTGATGTCGACTGTTGTGTTGAGATGGGCAAGAACAGAACCACAAAGAAGTTCCCTCCTCCTCTGAGTGATCAAGCCCCAGCCATCTGGAGAAACCAAGGTGAAAAAGTGACTGAGAAGCGTGTCAACAGATAAATTACCCAACTTAGCAAGCCACACTCGCAGATCGGGGTCTTGTCTTTACAGAGATCCCATATTTTCCATGAAACCACCTTTATTATCATCACCTGTTGGAAACAGAATGGGTAAAGAGAGATAGGGAAGGAAAAATATGAATGACCAATGATCTAATTTGCAGCAGATAGGCCCAGGAACAGCTGCGGAGGTGCCATGACTGCTCACAGCCCCACCGACATTGCAGTGTGACCGTCTGCGTGAGCTCCTAGGCAGCGTCCAAAAAGTCAACCCGACCTGCACATGGATGCTGCCCGGAACATTTGGCCAAGAGGGGTCTCTGTATTCAGCTCCAGATGCTGACATTGGCTGGTGGTGATTCTGACCCCCTCACCCTCACCCCATTTGGATTTTAACACGTGCAGGGTCTCAGCTGTTCTTAGGCCTCAAAACAGTAACCAGGAGTCAAGGCATAAAGCTGGGTGGCCCTGACGGCTCCTTGCTGATGGAACTGACTTCTCTGAAGACAAAAGACATGGATTAACAAAGCCTGAGGATACAGAATATTTGAAATCCACACAGAAACTTGGTGCCCTTCCTGTCACCACGGAATTAGCCCTGGGATTTACAGTCATGCACTGCATACTGATGTTTTAGTCAATGATGAACTGCGTATGCAACGGTGTTTTTTTTTTCCTGAGACAGGGTCTCACTCTGTCACCCAGGCTGGAGTGGGAATGCAGTGTGGCACACTCTCAGTTCAATGCAGCCTCGACCTCCCAAGGCTCAAGCAATCCTCCCACCTCGATCTCCCGAGTAGCTAAGACTATAGGCATGCATCACCATGCCCAGCTAATTTGTGTATTTTTGTAGAGACAGGGGTCTCACTATGTTGCCCAGGCTGGTCTCAAACTCCTGGACTCAAGCAATCTGCCCATCCCAGCCTCCCAAAGTGCTGGGATTACAGGCATAAGCCACCACGCCCAGCCTGCAACAGTGGCTCTATAAGCTTATAATACAGTATCTTTACCGTACCTTTTCTATGTTTAGATGTGTTCAGATACACAAATACATACCATTACATTACAATTGCCTACAGTACTCAGCACCGTAGCCTGCTGTACAGGTTTGTATTGCTTGCCATATAGCATCGGTGTGTAGTAGGCTGTGCCATCTAGGTTTGTGTAAGAACACTTTGTGATGCTTGTACAATGATTAAATCACCTAAGGATGCATTTCTTAGAACATACGTATTCCCATCATTAAGCGATGCATGACTATATTTCTATTAATGATCCTGCCATCTTCTTCCCCATCCTCTAGACTTGCTGATCATCTTGGATTCCACTTTTTTTTTTTTTTTTTTTTTTGAGACGGAGTCTCACTCTCGCTCAGGCTGGAGTGTAGTAGTGAGATCTCGACTCACTGCAACCGTCACCTCCCGGGTTCAAGCAATTCTCCTGCCTCAGCCTCCCGAGTAGGTGGGACTACAGTTGCACACCACCACGCCTGGCTAATTTTTGTATTTTTAGTAGAGACGGGGTTTCGCCATGTTGACAAGACTGGTCTCAAACTCCTGACCTCAGGTGATCCACCCACCTCAGCCTCCCAAAGTGCTGGGATTACAGGCGTGAGCTACCATGCCCAGCCGAAATTTTCTTTTCAAAAAACAGACTGTTTTCTCCAGGTGGTAACAGAAGAGCAAGTCAGGTACTTAAAATAGGAGGGGGATTTGATGCACTGTTGCTAGATTGGAAATGGAGGGGCCACAAGGAAAGGACCAGAGAGTGGCCTCTAGGAGTGGAGAGCAGCACCCAGCAGACAGCCAGCAGGGAAACGGGGGCCTCAACCTACAGCTGAAAGGATGGAATCGCCCCCACCTCCATGAGCTTGGAAGTGGGTTCTTTCCTGGAACTTCTGGATGAGTGCCTGGCCCCCTCACACCTTGATTTCAGCCTTTCCAGGTCCTGAGCGGGGGGCCTGGTAGAGCCTGCCTGGACTTCTGACCTATGGAACTGTGAGATGATAAATGGATGCTGGTTTATGCTGCCACATTGTGTGGTCATTTGTTACGCAGCAACAGAAAACTAATACAGTCTCCTAACTGGGGCCAGTTACCAAAAGAAGACATTTCGGCGGCAGAGGGGAGTCTCCATGACTAACTTTGTCTTCTTCACACATCTCCTCCCCGTCTAGAAAGCCTTCCTAGCCCCAGTGGGTACCGTCCTCTGTTGCTGGGTATCTCCCACTCCCTTGGCCCTGGGCAAACACTGCCTGTCGGCGGGAATTCCCTGCTCCTCTATGACTTCACCTTCTTCTTCTTCTCCAAAGCATTCAACACAGAGCAAGCACACAATAAATATTTGCTGATTCAGCCATTTTCTTTCAGCTCCTATGACCAGCAGGACCAATGAAGGGGTTCAAAAACTGCCTGGCCACAGGCAGACAGAGAGCCTTTCCCCTCAGACTCTGGCTTCATGGCTTCCCAGGATTCACAAAGCGCCTGGATGGTAACATGCCATTTCCGAAGCTTGGCCTTTTTTTTTTTTCATTTTCTTTTTCTTTTTTTTTTTGAGGCAGAGTCTCACTCTGTCGCCCAGGCTGGAGTACAGTGGCGTGATCTTGGCTCACTGCAACCTCTGCCTCCCGGGTTCAAGGAATTCTCCCGTCTCAGTCTCCCGAGTAGCTGGGACTACAGGTGCATGCCGCCTTGTCCGGCTACTTTTTTGTATTTTAGTAGGGACGGGGTTTCACCTTGTTGCCCAGGCTGCTCGTGAACTCCTGAGCTCAGGCAATCCACCCGCCTCGACCTTCCAAAGTGCTGGGATTACAGGCTTGTCCACCACGCCCGCTCAGCCGCTTGGCCTTTGATTAATACTGGCTAGTCATGCTTTCAAGCTCCATTTCTGTGAATTATGTCCTGGGTTTTTAGGCTGATGTGCAACTGACTTTGTAAAACAAAGGAAGTGAGAATGAGGTCTCACAAATGCATTACTTGTATTTGTTCAACAACAAACTTATCCTGAATATCTGTTGTGTCCATGCACCAAGCTCAACCCTGGAGACAGAGAAAAAAACTAGAGTGACCCTTACTGTAGAGCTTTAATCAAAGTACCCCCTGATCACAGAGGTCACTGCAGTCTGTGGCAGTTTGGAAACGAGGAGACCAAATTTCCTCAAGTCAGACAAATGAGTGACAACAGAATCAGGTCTTCTCCAGGCAGACAGTGGGTGGGGTTCCCTTCTGTGTTCTTCCCTGCCCCCATGACTCTGGGCCTGTCTTCTGTGCCCCACCCTGGACCTCAATAACATGTATATGATGTCACTGTCTAGATGTGCAACAGCCTTGGCAAATTTCATCCAGAGCCCTCAAACACAGATTAAAAAACAAATCTAGGCCAGGCACAGTGGCTCATGCCTGTAATCCCAGCACTTTGGGAGGCCAAGGCAGGTGGATCACTTCAGGCCGAGATTTTGAGACCAGCCTGGGCAACATGGTGAAACTCTGTTTCTACTAAAAATACAAAAATTAGCCAGGTGGGGTGGCAGGTGCCTGTAATCCCAGTTACTCAAGAGGCTGAGGCACAAGAATCTCTTGAACCTGGGAGGTGGAAGTTGCAGTGAGCCAAGATTACGCCACTGCACTACAGCCTGGGCAACAGCACAAGACTCTTTCTTAAAAATAAATAAATTAATTAAAAATAAATCCATAGCATTTGCACAGACCCTTATAATTTACAAGGCAGTGTCATATTAATTCTCAGTTAACCCTCCTAAGTAGCCTAACAAGTTAGGTGGCGTAGAGATTATTATCTCCATTTTACAAATAAGAAAACTGAGGCTCAGAGACTAGAAGCGATTTACCCAAGTCACACAGTGTTCTTCTCTTTTTACCATTTGGATCTAGTCTTGGGACTAGATGGGAATTCAAATGGAGATTGGCCAAGCTCAAGCCGACCTTAGTAGCTGATGATCTGAGAGCTTTCAAAGAACTCACATCTTTCTTATCTCACTTGGTTCTCAGAACAATCTCATAGGATTAACAAAGCAAATATAATGTCACCAGAGATTGGATCAGAATTAGTCCCCAATTCTGATTCCAATGCTCTTTCCATACACTAGGGGAGGCCTTCCCACCACTCATACTCTACTGCTGCTCCTTTAGTCTTAAAGGGTCAAAACCAAAAGAAGATCGACACCCTTCTTTTGTGTGTCCACACAAGTCCTACTTAAAATGACTTTTAATATCACTATGTGCTCCCCTGCCAAAAACTGGCCCTACAAACAGCCCTTCTCCCTTCTGGTTTTAGGATTACTTTACTGTCACCCACCCAAGCGGGAGTGCAGTGGGGCCATCATAGCTCAATGCAGCCTCAACCTCCTGGGTAAAGGGATCCTCCCACCTCAGCCTCCTAAGTAGCTAGAACTACAGGCACGTACCACCACATCCAGGTTTGTTTTGTTTTGTTTTGTTTTTGAGACAAGAGTCTCACTCTGTCGCCCAGGCTGGAGTGCAGTGGTGTGATCTTGGCTTACTGCAATCTCCGCCTCCTGGGTTCCAGCGATTCTCCTGCCTCAGCCTCCTGAGTAGCTGGAATTACAGGCACGTGCCACCACACCCAGCTAATTTGTGTATTTTTAGTAGAGATGGGGTTTCACCATGTTGGTCAGGCTGGTCTCAAACTCCTGACCTCGTGATCCACCTGCCTCAGCTTCCCAAAGTGCTGGGATTACAGGCGTGAGCCACCACGCCTGACCAACACCCTGCTAATTTTTTATTTTTATTTCTTGTATTTTTATTATTTTATTCTTTGTATTGTTTATATTTGTTGCCCAGGCTGGTCTCGAATTTCTGGCCTCAAGGGAACCTCCTGCCTCAGCCTCCCAAATCACTGAGATTACAGGCATGAGCCATGGCGCCAGGCCTAGAACTGATTCTTTAGAACTCAAATACCAGAGAGAATAGAATCTGTTCACTCATTTAGCAACCATTTTCTGAGCAGAATAACACACTAGGCTAGTCATCAGGAGTTTAAGAAATGAATCAGATATAGTCCCTGCTAACAAGAAGCTCACAATCTCGTGGAACTGATGAAAACACTCTTAAACACATGATGAGATAAAATAAATGTCACAATAAAGTTGTAAACAAAGGACTGCAGAGGAACAGAGAAGACAGCAATAATCCTAACTGATGAGAAGAAAGTGTCTTCATGAAAAAAGAGGCATTTGGGCTGGGCCTTGAAGGATGAATGGGGACTCCTGACGAGTAGGAAGATGCAGGCTGAGAAAAGAGCATAAATATTTGGATAACAGGGATGTCTCCCCAGGAAGGCCACACAAAGTGCTGCTTGGCCCTCAACCTCACAGTAACACTAGCTGGGATCCAGCTCAGACCCTCAGGCTAGATCTAGGTGGATCCAACCCCCAACTTGAGGAAACCCAAGACACCTAGAGACAACTAGACACCACTTGCTCCTTTCTCTTTTCTCTTTTGTTGAGACAGAGTCTCACTCTGTTGCCCAGGCTGGAGTGCAGTGGCACAATCTCGGCTCACTACAATCTCCTCCTCCTGGGTTCAAGAGATTCTCCTCCCTCAGCCTCCCGAGTAGCTAAGATTACAGGTATGCACCACCACACCTGGCTAATTTTTGTATTTTTAGTAGGGATGGGGTTTCACCATGTTGGCCAGGCTGGTCTCAAACTCCTGACCTCAAGTGATCTGCCTGCCTTGGCCTCCCAAAGTGCTGGGATTACAGGCATGAACCACTGCGACTGGCCACTTGCTCCCTTTTTTAGGGCTCTGCAGTATCTACAGCCTATACCATCAAATTCTTCTTTTTTTTTTTCTGAAACTGAGTCTCACTCTGTCACCCAGGCTGGAGTGCAATGGTGTGGTCTCGGCTCAATGCAACCTCCGCCTCCCGGGTTCAAGCAATTCTCCCGCCTCAGCTTCCCAAGTAGCTAGGACTACAGGCACTTGCCACCATACTCAGCTAATTTTTGTATTTTTAGTAGAGACAGGGTTTTCATTATCTGGTCTTGAACTCCTGACCCCATGATCTGTCCACTTCGGCCTCCCAAAGTGCTGAGATTACAGGCATGAGCCACCGCGCCCGGCCTCAAATTTTTTTTTTTTTTTTTTTTTTTTTTTGAAACAGGGTCTTGCTCCATCACCCAGACTGCAGTGCCAGTGGCGCGATCATGGCTCACTGTAGCCTCAACCTCCCGGGTAGCTGGGACTACAGGCATATGCCACCATGCCCGGCTAATTTTTTTTTTTTTTTTTTTGAGATGGAGTCTCCCTCTATCACCCAGGCTGGAGTGCAGTGGCGTGATCTTGGTTCACTGCAACCTCAGTCTCCTGGGTTCAAGTGATTCTCCTGCCTCAGCCTCCCTGAGTAGCTGGGACTACAGGCGCATGCCATTACGCCCAGCTAATTTTTTTTTTTGTATTTTTAGTAGAGACAAGGTTTCACCATGTTGGCCAGGTTGGTCTCGACCTCTTGACTTCAGGTGATCCACCTGCCTCAGCCTCCCAAACTGCTGAGATTACAGGCGTGAGCCACTGCGCCCAGCCAATTTTTGTATTTTTTGTAGCTAGGGTTTCACCGTACTGCCCAGGTTGGTCTCAGACTCCTGAGCTCAAGCCAACCACCCACCTTGGCCTCCGAAAGTACTAGGATTACAGGCATGAGCCACTGTGCCCACCGTGTACCACCAAATTCTAACCGCCCTCTTAACTACTTTCATTTTCTCTTCTATAGTTAGCTTTTGTGTTTTGCTTTCCCAACTACTCTAAAGTACCAGTCTCCTTATTCCTTGAGAACATAGCCAGGGGGCGTATATATCCTGTCACAGCTACTATCAGGCTAGGCACACCACAGACACTCCCAACCTATTTGTTGACAGCTAAAGTCTACAGGCCTAAGAATCACAAGATGGACAGGGCACAGTGGCTCACGCCTGTAATCCCTGCACTTTGAGAGGCCGAGGGTGGGGGGGGGGGTGTGGATCACCTGAGGTCAAGAGTTCAAGACTAGCCTGGCCAACATGGTGAAACCCTGTCCCTACTAAAAATACAAAAATTAGCCAGGCGTGGTGGTGGGAGCCTGTAATCCCAGCTACTCTGGAGACTGAGGCAGGAGAATCGCTTGAACCCGAGAGGCGGAGGTTGCAGTGAGCCGAAATCATGCCATTGCATTCCAGCCTGGGTGACAGAGCGAGACTCTGTCTCAGAAAAAAAAAAAAAAAAAAGAATCACAAGATGACTGTCTTACAAGCAAGTAGAGCAAGAAAAGGCAGGATGTGTAACCCTGGCCAGGAATAGAAACAGTGAAGGAATTAGGAGAAGGGATATACTTCTGGTTTTTGGATTACATTTCATAGAAATGGTCTAAATTTAAGGTGCTCAGACTTGCTCGATGACTATGTGGCACTGCCCTGTATCTCACCTTCTGCTCTTAGACCAAGGTCACAAGCTCAGTCTTTAATCCATTTTCCGACTTCCTGCTTGTCAATATCTCCCATTGAGACATGGTGTCTCATCTTTCCTCCTAAAAAGAGTAACGGGAAGGATGGCATAGATGCCAGTGCCAATCTGGAGACCTCAAATCCAATGCCAGAGGAGAGAGGGGGCTGGAGGTGGGGGTGGGAAGGACTCTGAGACAGATAACAGCTTCCTCCTAGTTGGTCTCCAGTGAGCTGAGACTCATCTGAAGTAAGACTTCAGGGATGAACAGAACAGATAAACAGGGAAATCGGATTGGTTCAAAACCCAAACAGGTCACCATCCCCCAAGGATGGGTCATGAACAACCAATTAGGACAATCAGCTAGGAGTAGGGTGGGGAGGAGGCAGGTATAAAAAGCGCCAAAGCAGCCTGGCCTGGTGGCTCATGCCTGTACTCCCAGCACTTTGGGAGGCCGAGATGGGTGGATCACGAGGTCAGGAGTTTGAGACCAGCCTAGCCAACGTGGTGAAACCCTGTCTCTACTAAAGATACAAAAAATTAGCCAGGCATGTTGGCACATGCCTGTAGTCCCAACTACTCGGGAGGCTGAGGCAGGAGAATCGCTTGAACCCGAGAGGCGGAGGTTGCAGTGAGCCGAGATCACGCTGCTGCACTCCAGCCTGGCTAACAGGGAGACTCTGTCTCAAAAAAAAAAAAGATACAAAAAAAATGAGCTGGGCATGGTGGCGTGTGCCTGTAATCCCAGCTACCTGGGAGGCTGAGGCAGGAGAACCGCTTGAACCCAGGAGGCCAGAGGTTGCAGTGAGCCAAGATGGCGCCATTGCACTCAGCCCTGGGCAACAGCGCGAGACCCCATCACAAAAAAAAAAAAAAAAGAAAGAAAGAAAGAAAGAAAAAAAAAAAAAAGAAAAGCGCCAAGCACTGGTGGGTTCAGGAGCATAAAACTTTGATTTTAGGTATTATCCAGTCCAGCTCTCTTCTGTAATACCGTAGTGGAGGTCCTCAAACTTTCCTTCCTGTAATAGTCTAATCTTCTTCTAACCGGTGTCTCTCTCTTCCTCTTTGACCCTTTTAATTCATCCTCCACGTTGCAGCCACAGTGATCTTTCTACAACACAGAGCTGATCATGTCTTGCTGCCCTCAGGATAAGGTCCGAAGTTCACATGTTCTACCAAGGCCCTTGACTCCTGAGACCACACGGACCTTCAAATCTTGTCTCTCTTCACCCTCACCCTTCTCTACATTCCTCTGACAATATTCCCCAAAGATGCAACAGACTTACTCCAGTCTGCCA
Organism: Homo sapiens; assembly: GCF_000001405.40. Lineage (NCBI taxonomy): Eukaryota > Metazoa > Chordata > Mammalia > Primates > Hominidae > Homo > Homo sapiens. The sequence continues at coordinate 4,176,018 of NC_000016.10, forward strand.
AAGGAATTCCAGTTTCAAGGGCTAGCTCAAATGTCATCTTTTCAATTAAATCTAACCTGACTCACTCACTTCCCCTAGGATATTAGTTTCTCTTCCATACTTCAAACCACCTTAGTGCAGTATTGCATTCATTACCCTGACTTGTATTCATTTGCAGAGACTGAGAGACCATCATGGTGAGGGACAGATTTTGACTTCTCATAACCCTTTCTGTCCTTAGTTAGCACAGCAGAAGTCAGCGGTCCAAAAAAAAAAAAGTTTAAGCCTTGTGCGGTGGCTCATTCCTGTAATCCAAGCACTTTGGTTGGCCGAGGCAGGAGGATCGCTTGAGCCCAGGAGTTGGAGACCAGCCTGGGCAAGATGGTGAGACCCCACCTCTAAAAAAAAATTTTTTTTTTTTTTTAATTAGCCAGGTGTAATGGGACTGTAGTCCCAGCTTCTTGAAGAGGCTGAGGTGGGAGGATCGCTTGAGCCCATGATGGCATCACTTCACTCTAGCCTGGGTAACAAAACAAGACTCTGTCTCAAAAAAAAAAAAAAAAAAAAAAAAAGTTTACTTAAAGAATGAATGCTCTTAGACTAGGCGTGGTAGCTCACACCTGTAATCCCAGCACTTTGGGAGGTCGAGGCAGGTGGATCACCTGAGGTCAGGAGTTTGAGACCAGCCTGGCCAACATGGTGAAACCCCGTCTACTAAAAATATAAAAATTAGCTAGGCGTGGTGGCATGCACCTGTAATCCCAGCTACTCAGGTGGCTGAGGCAAGACAATTGCTTGAACCCGGAGGGTGCATGTTGCAGTGAGCCAAGATCGTGCAATTGCATTCCAGCCTGGGCAACAAGAACGAAACTCCATCTCAAAAAAAAAAAAAATTGAATACTCTTCCTTTATAAACACACAGTGAGCTCCTGGAAGAGCCCAGGTGAGACCTGGGTCATCTGATACCCAGATCAGGGCACTGCTTTCTGAAGCTGCTGATTCTGCCTGTTCTCCATGGCCATTCAGCTGGATGGCTCCTCACTGACCTGGACTTTGAAACATCAGTACGGTGACAGGCATTTGCAGAAGCAGGAACCCAAACTGCTGTCTCTAAGGAGAGCCTCTGTGCTTGTCCTAGGGAAGTGTTTTGATTCCCAAGGGCTTTGAGCTGCACTGTAGGCGGCCACAGAGCAGGTGAGTCATCCCAGCCCACACCCGTTCTCTGCGGAAGGGCCCTAGCATCTGTCTGTGTTGGGTGTTATGGGAAATAGGTGCTCTGAACTGACTGGGGTCCCAGGGAGGGAGGACTGCCACTATGGCCAAGGTTTCCCTCATCCCCAGTGGTGAAAGCAGGAGGAGTGATGGCCTTCGTCTATCAGAACAAACATAAAGGGACTTGGGAGCACAAGTGATGGCCTCAGAAAAGCTGCAGCATGTGATAAAAGTCTAGGGACACAGCTCACCACTCTGCTGGGCCCCATCTGGAGAGTCGAATATGTAGGGTCTGGGGGGCCTTTTACCTAAGCAGCCTGTTCCCCACTGCCTGCCCTCATTAGTGTCTCTTCACTTCCCCAAATTCAAAGCTCTCTTGCCAGACACAGTGGCTTATGCCTCCAATCCCAGCAGTCTGGGAGGCCAAGACGGGTGGATTACCTGAGGTCAGGAGTTCGAGAGCAGCCTGGCCAACATGGTGAAACCCTGTTTCCACTAAAAATACAAAAAGTAGCTGGGCATGGTGGCGTGTGCCTGTAGTCCCAGCTACTCAGGAGGCTGAGGCAGGAGAATCGCTTGAGCCTGGGAGGTGGAAGTTGCAGTGAGCCAAGATCATGCCACTGCACTCCAGCCTGGGTGACAGAGTGAGACCCTGTCTCAAAAAAAAAAAAACAAAACAAAAAAAAACCCAAAAACACAAATTTGAAACTCTCAAGGAAAACACAAGGAATTTCTCCCTAGGAGTGCCCTACCATCACGCTAGACTCAACCAGGACATTTATCATACAGCTGAATATTGTTTTTAAGCAAAGTTAACATGTAAAGTAGAGGAAGATATCTTCACTATACAAACCCTTTTCCCCATAAAGGGCTCCCCTGATGCGTGCATTCACTGGCGGCTTGCTAGTTTAAGGTCCTGGAAAGATTCAAGTACTATTGCAGAATAATCCCTGTCCCCCACAACAAAGAAAATAAATCACATGCCCAAATTACTGTAACACAAGGAGTAACGTAAGAAATCCTTCAGGGAAGGGTAACAAAGGTAAGTTTGGGAATCTGGAGGCAAATGAGATCCAAGGGACACAATGGGGGAGGTGGCACTGGAACTGGGCTTGGATGTTGCCATTCAGAAACCGGTGAAACGGCCTCCCAGATGGAGGAGCCATCAGCAGCAAAGGAATAGATGGATGGAATGACAGACGATGGATGGAATGAAATGTTAGGCACTCCACGTGGAAACCCACAAGGGTGAGCTGAAACAGCACCTTCCACACACTCGAGCCCCGGGGATACAAGTAACGGCACAAGGAAAAGGCTCTGACTTGCAAAGGTATAAGATAAACCCAAATACTGCAGCAGCAGGGTTTATTCTTTCTTTTTTTTTTTTCAAGACGGGGTCTTGCTATGTCGCCCAGGCTGGAGCGCAGTGGCCTGATCACGGCTCACTGCAGCCTCAACCACTGCACCCGGCCACGCCCTGCTAATCTGTTTTTAATTTTTTGTAGAGATGGGGGTCTCACTGTTGCCCAGGCACAGGGTTTATTCTGAGTGTGAAGGGTGTTAGAATGGACTTTGGGATTAGACCAGAGTTCAAATGCCAGCTCTCCTCTTAACAGCTGTGTAATATTCCACATGTTCCCTAACCAGCCTTAGTTTTCTCAGCTGTGAGCTCTCTGACTTTTTTACCTAATAAATTGCTATGAAATTAAATGAAATCTAGATATGAAGCATCTGGCACAGCATGTCAGGCACATAGCATGTGATCAATACATATCAGGTTCCTTTTCCATGCTTGAGGGGCTTAGATTATGAACAACAACTGAAAGACTTCATGGGACCCTCCAGGAAAGAAGAGGCCAGTAAAAAGGGGACACGGCAGTAAAGCAAGAGGAAGGCATGGAAGAAATGGCTCGGCGCTTTCCAGCAGAGGTTTCTGCTCCACAGCAGGCCACTTGCAGGGTGCTGGTGAAACTCACCCACCAAACTGGTTGTTGGCTCATCCCTGAATGCTGTGTTCCAACAGCAGCACCAGTGATGCAATCAGCAGAACTGAGCTCGTGGGTGGAGCCGTGGGGAGGAGTTGAGCAGGGAGAGAGGTAGCACCCTGGGCCCCTGCCCAGACTGTGGGGTATTAGGAATAAAGGTGTGGGTAAAGAGGGCTTCAGAGAGACTTTTGTTTGTTTGTTTGTTTGTTTGTTTTGAGACAGAGTCTCACTCTGTTGTCCAGGCAGGAGTGCAGTGGCACAATCTTGGCACACTGCAACCTGTGCCTCCCGGGCTCAAGCAATTCTCCTGCCTCAGCCTCCCAAGTAGCTGGGATTACAGGCGCCCGCTACCATGCCCTAATTTTTGTATTTTTAGTAGAGACGGGGTTTTGCCATGTTGGCCAGGCTGGTCTCAAACTCCCGACCTTAAGTGATCCGCCCACCTCGGGATTACAGGTGTGAGCCACTGTGCCCAGCCCATACTCTTTTTTAAATTCCAAAAGCTAACCTCCACTAGGAAAGCCAAGCACAAGTCCAAGGCTTTTTTCAGACTTTCATGCCTGCCCTTTTCACCTGAAGAAGCTGGCCTATTACAGGCCAACAGGAGACACAGCAAAAGGCACAGGGCTCATCTCTGCAGAGACCCTCCGAGTCCCAAGGAGAAGAGGCCCCGCTAAGGCTCCTCAGGGAGGTTTACTATCTAACCCTATTTATGTCTGCTCCTCATTCATTCATTCATTCCACAAACATTCACAGGGGAACTACTATACACCAGATAAGACTCTGGACGGGAAAATGACAGCTTAGCTGTTCATACCTCCGTCCCTCAAGCTGTTTCACTAGTCAGTTTCTTTATCTGTCCAATGGAGGAAACCGGGTTTATGGGAAGATGCAATGAGATAATGGACATGCCTGACACAGACTAAGTGTCTAAGAAACGTAAACTATTTTTATGGTAGTAGAAGCAAGATTGCCTGTGACGCTGTATATCTTTCATTTGCCTCTTCAGGTACATTTCTCCTTTTCCATGCTGCACTGCACCCTGGAATTGGCCTGTATGCGCTGCATCGAGATGCTCTTGCCCTCTGACTGCCAGCTGGGTTTGGTCCATGTGGAGCCTGGAATCAAAACCAGAGGGAGAAGGTGGGGACAGGGTTTATGGTTTTTATTCCTCCAAGTCCCTTTTTGAGCTCCTTGACTTAAAGTCCCAGCTCTAGTGAGATCGCCCTCCACACAACCTGCCTCCAGGTGCAGAGGTGGTAAGATCCCACTGTCACCAGCCCCAGAATATTCCACATTCCATAGCAGTTTCCCTATATCCTGCCTCAAAGCCCCCACTTTAAATGTCCCCAATTTAATCTGTTTTCTGCTGGATCCTGACTAATACAAAGAGTGTAGAGAACAAGGGCAGGCCTGGGAATCGGGAGACCTGAATTTAAGTCTCATCTTTGCCACCAGCTCCCTCCGTGACCCTGGGCCACATTTTTCCATTTCCAGGCCTCAAACTTCCTCAATTTTAAAATGAGTGGGTTGGGTCCGGACACAGGGCCTCATGCTTGTAATCCCAGCCCTTTGGGAGGCGGAGACAGGGGTATTGCTTGAGGCCAGGAGTTTAAGTCTGGACAACATCGTGAGACCCTGTCTCTAAAAAAAAATATATATATCTATATATATAGATATATAATAGACATATATAGTATCTATATAGATATATAGACACATATATAGTGTATATAAAGATATATAGACATATATAGATATATATAGACATATATAGACATATATATAGACCTATATAGACTATATATAGACATATATATAGACCTATATATATAGACTATATATATAGACATATATATAGGCCTATACATAGACTATATATATAGACCTATACATATAGACACAGACTATATATATAGACCTATATATAGACATACAGACTATATATAGACATATATAAGACCTATATATAGACATATATAAGACCTATATATAGACATATATAAGACCTATATATATAGACATATATAGACCTATATATATAGACATATATATAGACCTATATGCATATAGACATATATATACCTATATATAGACCAATATAGACCTATATATATAGACCAATATAGACCTATATATATATAGACCTATATATATAGACCTATATATATATAGACATATATATAGACACACATACACACACACAAATGAGTAGGCTGGACTATATGGCTCTTTCATGATCCAATTCCCTGCCACTTCTAGGTGTTAAGTTACAGGAGGAGGACACAGATGAGAATAAAAGCTCCCTAGTGAATACGGCAATGATGGCCAGGTTGGCCACTAAGCAGCTCTCCCCACTCTCCACCATTGTATCAGCTCATTCTTACCCAGAAGTCACCTAACTCCTTTCCAAGGACTTTCCTTCTCTTCTCAGGCCATCAGGGTACCAGATGTCTAAATGATCTCCACTCCAAAGCAACAGCCAAGAAAACCCAGGAAATTAAAAATAAATTCCTTTTTCCTTTCAGTAACTCCCTGCCCAGCCCTGGGTTAGCTGGAGAGGTCCCTTCCCAGGTTCCAGTATACCCAGGGGGCCAAACAGGGAAGCCGTTCCACACTGACACCAAAACACTCTCACAGGGAGTGATCTATCTCTGCCCTGGGAAATGCTGGGGACACAGCTGGCTTGCAGGGCAGAGGGAGTGACCTAAACCAGCATCCTGTCAGAAGACATGCAATGCCCTGCATTGAGATCCCTGTCACTGGGCAGGTTTCAAAGAGAGGCCAGGCAGGGTGCGGTTGCTCCTACCTGTAATCCCAGCACAGAGGCTGCAGCGGGAGAATCGCTTGAGATAAGACGTTTGAGACCAGCCTGGCGACAGAGCGAGAAGCCCAATTTATTTTATTTTATTTTTGAGACGGAGTTTCACTCTTGTTGCCCAAGCTGGAGTGTAGTAGCACGATCTGGGCTCACTGCAACCTCCACCTCCTGGGTTCAAGCGATCCTCCTGCCTCAGCCTCCTGAGTAGCTGGAATCACAGGCCTGTGCCTCCACACCCGGCTAATTTTGTATTTTTAGTAGACGGGTTTTACCATGTTGGTCAGACTGGTCTCGAACTCCCAATCTCAAGTGATCCACCTGCCTTCGCCTCCCTAAGTACTGGGATTACAGGCGTAAGCCACAGCGCCCGGTAAACTTTTTTTTGTTCGTTTTTGTGTTTAAGACAGAGTCTGGCCTTGTCAGGCAGGCTGGAGTGCAGTGGCTTGATCTCGGCTCACTGCAACCTCTGCCTCCCAGCTTCAAGCAATCCTCCTGCCTCAGCCTCCCGAGTAGCTGGGACTACAGGCGCCCGCCACCACGCCGGCTAATTTTTGTATTTTTAGTAGAGGGTTTCACCATATTGCCCAGGCTGGTCTGGAACTCCTGACTTTGTGATCCGCCCGCCTCAGCGTCTCAAAGCGCTGAGATTACAGGCTTGAGCCACCGCGCACGGCGTTAGCAAAAATTCTTTCAAATAAAAAATTAGCCAGGTGTAATGATGCACACCTGTAGTCCCAGCTACTGGGAAGGCTGCGGCAGGAGGATCGCTCGAGCCTGGGAGTTTTGAGATTGCAGTGAGCTGAGATCAGGCTACTGCACTCCAGCCCGGGCGACAGAGCGAGGCTCCGTCTCAAAAAAGATAAAAAAGTAAAAACCTAAATTAGCCGGGCATGGTGGCGCGCGCCTGTAATTCCAAGTACTCGGGAGGCTGAGGCGGGAGGATCACCCAAGCCCAGGGAGTTCGAGGTTGCAGTCTCAAAAAGAAAAAAGAGTAGAAAAGAGAGGAAGAAGGTAGGAAGGAAGGAAGGAAGGAAGGAAGGAAGGAAGGAAGGAAGGAGGAAGGAAGGGAGGGAGGGAGGGAGGGAAGAAAGAGAAGCTAATGACCACTTGATCCTCGTAAGGCCTTTTCAGTTCCTAAAATGACTGATTCAGGAAACCCCAAGAGCCACAAGAGTCATTCTATTCAGATGATGACCCTCCCTGACCCTCCTGGTTTCTGGAGTTTTCATTCGCTAAGGGCTGCCCTTCGGTTTTCAATTACTGGCGGAGAGGGCGGTTCGTTTCTGGCGGGGAAGGGAGGTGACATTCCGGTAGGAGAATCTCCTAAAACTCGCATTTCCTGTTTGCCCTGGGCGCCGGCCTCAGGTGGAAACCTCACCCCGATAACTGAGGGCAGCAGTCGGCCTTGGGCGTTCTTCCGTCACCCAGGTCTCCAGAACCTCCCGGACTCAATGGCAAGTCACTGCACAAGTTCAGGGCCTTTTCGGTCCCGATCGAGGATCTGGAGATCTCGGGGCTTCCCGGTCGTCTGCCCCACAGCCCACGAGGCGGACCGACCTGCGGGGTGAGGCACCGGGAGCGCATGGCAGCCCCGGCCTCGGCCTCCTGGCGCCCTCCCAGCCACGCGGTGAATGCCTGAGAGGACAGAGGTTCGCGGCCCTCCCCATCCCACCGGCAGCGACCGCAAAGCCCGGGAGCTGAGTCCGCGGCGTGAAGCGGCGGAGGTCAGCAGCGAGGGGGCAGGGCCGGCGCTGGCGGCCACGGAGCTTGCGCGTCGCTGGGCTCGGAACCCAGGGACGCGAGCCAGCGCTGGGAGCTGGCGGAGAGACGGCTCTGCCATCCGGCTCAGGCAGTGGGCGCCCGCCCCGCCCCCAGCGCCCACGCGACTCCGGCCCCGAGGCTCTCCCGAGCGCAGCGTTCTGGAAGCGCCGCCGCTAAGCGTCTGCGTCTGCGCCTGCGCTGACCCCAGTCCCGGACTCGGTCCGAGGCGCGCAGCCCGGAGGGGGCGGGGCCGAGCCCGAAGGGAAGGCAGTGCGCATGCGCGGGGCGAGCCGGCCGGCACTGTCACAGCTGAGCGGCCGCGAGATCGGTCCCTGTCCGCAGGGTCGGGTAGTGGCCCCCTCGGGGACAGCGTGTGAGGATTCGGGCGCGAAGGACGGGGTCAGATTCAGCCAGGTGCCCACTTTCCCCACGGTCACGACCCTGGTCCAGAACTGCCCTGCCCCGGGCCTCAGTTTCCCCACTAAGGAGAGGAGGCGTGCCGGGGAAATCTGAGGCCCTCCCCAGCCGCGACCTTTTCCCTCAGACGAAGGAAGAGTGGTCGTACCCGGCCGCGATCACCGAAGCCTCCAGCCCTGTCCCCGCACGGATGCTGGAAGCCCGTCCACGCCGCGCGGGGAGTGGTGGCCCGGGTGCTCCTACGACCTGGGGGCCCTGTCACCGCGATCTTAATTGATTCCCAAAGGATCCAGAAAAGGGACACATTGGCGCCCGCCCAGGGCGGGCGGGGTCCCCCGGGCGGCCAGGCCGATGGGGTGGATGGGCTTCTGCTCGCGGCCGCCTTGTGGGGCGCTGGCATCGGATTGGAGTGGGGCAGCATCGGGGGAGGACAGAGACCCCACGCTCCCCCCAACGCAGCAGACCCAGGGGCAGGCCCTTGGCTCCTGCATGCCACGCTCCGGCCTCCCCATATCGCCCTAGCACCGCTGCCCGCTGGTCTTCCCTTCTCAGAAACCTGCAGTGGCCTCAGGCCTAGACTCCCTGGGCTTCCCCTGAAGGCCCAGTATTCCCTAATTCACCTCCTCTCACCTTGGCTGCTCTTCCATTCCCTTATCCCCGCCACACACAGCGGTCTTCCCTTGTCTGCGTCTGGGCGCCCTCGATCTTCCCGTGCTCCACCCCCCTAATCTGTGACCCACCAAACCTGCCCATCCCTCAAAGTGTAGCTAAAACTCCACTCCTTCCCCAACCAAACTCCATAGCCCCACAGTGTGTCTCAGTATTCTCTGAAGAGCCCTGAGGTTGTGTCAATTGATTCTTCTCAACAGAAGTAATCCATTACATAATTTATCAACTTATATGCATTGATCAGGCTTTGCAAATAATTACATTTGCAAATGAGAAAGACAGTCCTTTGCCAGACCCCTGTATCCTGATTTGCAATTGTGCGCTGTATCCCTTACTAGATGGCTACATCCCCCAGGGGAGAGACTATGCCTTAATATGCAGAATATCTAAATTTTTTTGGAATCGTGGTGGGAAAAAATTAAGAAGTTTGGAAAAAATGGAAATATAACATCTTTTTGCACTCTTCACAATACAAAATCTCATCTTTTAGTGGGTCTGAAAAATATACAGTGCACAATATGCTGTCAGCTCTAGATTACCGCAAATCAATGTGATGGAATAGAGTAGAAAGGATATTGGGATGGGTACGAAATTGGCCTTTTGGTGTGGTTTGTCTTGCATTAGCAGAGTGAACTCAGGCCGAACTCAGGCAAAACTGCACCTCTGTAGATGCAGTTTCCCCACATTAGATTTGGATTTAGGAATAAGAAATATCCCTGCCCCCATCTACTTTACAAGATCATGGTAAAGATCAAATATGAAATGGAGATGGAGTTAAGATTTTTTTAAAGTATTTTTTTGTTCAGGAAATAATCCTCAGTAAATTTTCTAATGAAAATTACTTTATATATATATATATGTGTGTGTGTATATATATGTATATATATAATTTTTTTTTTTTTTGAGACGGAGTCTCACTCTGTCACCCAGGCTGGAGTGCAGTGGCGCCATCTCGGCTCACTGCAAGCTCCGCCTCCCAGGTTCACGCCATTCTCCTGCCTCAGCCTCCCAAGCAGCTGGGACTACAGGCACCCGCCACCACACCCGGCTAATTTTTTTTTTTATATATATTTAGTAGAGACGGGGTTTCACCGTGTTAGCCAGGGTGGTCTCAATCTCCTGACCTCATGATCCACCCGCCTCGGCCTCCCAAAGTGCTGGGATTACAGGCGTGAGCCACTGCGCCCAGCAAATTTTTTATATATTTTATATATAAAAAATATAAAATATATATAGATATATATAGAGATATATAATATATATATATTTTTTTTTGAGACAGAGTTTCGCTCTGTCGCCCAGGCTGTAATGCAGTGGCGCGATCTCAGCTCACTGCAATCTCCACCTCCCAGGCTTAAGCGATTCTCATGCTTCAGCCTACAAGTAGCTGGGACCACCGGCATGCACCACCACGCCCAGCTAATTTTTGTATTTTTGGTAGAGACGGGGTTTCGTCATGTTGGCCAGGCTGGTCAGCATTCTACAGACAACCTCATGTCACATCACACTACTCTCAGTTTCTATTTGTTTTGTTTTTTAACGGAGACAGGTTCTTGCTCTGTTTCCCAGGCTGGAGTGCAGTGGTGGGATCATGGCTCACTGCAGCCTCTACCTCCTGGGCTCAAGCGATCCTCCAACCTCAGCCACCTGAGTAGCTGGGACTACAGGCACATGCCACCACACCCAGCTAATTTTGTTGTTGTTGTTGTAGAGAGGAGGTCTCACTATGTTTCCCAGGCCAGTCTTGAACTCCTGTCCTCAAATGACCTTCCCACCTTGGCTTCCTAAAGTGTTAGGATTACAGGTGTGAGCCACCTAGCCCAGCCAGTTTGTTTTTCTAATGCTTTTTTATTGCCTTTACTTTCTTCTAAAGAAAAATGATCTGAGGTGAGAGGATCACTTGAGCCCAGGGGTTTGAGACTAGCCGGGGCAAGATGACAAGATCCCATCTCTCTAAAAAAAAAAACACTCAGCCTGGAGTGTAGTGGTGCCATCTCAGCTCACTGCAACCTCTGCCTCCTGGGTTCAAGCAATTCTCCTACCTCGGCCTCCCAAGTAGCTGGGATGACAGGCACCCTCCGCAATGCCTGGCTAATTTCTGTATTTTTAGTAGAGACTGGGTTTCACCATGTTGACCAGGCTGGTCTTGAACTCATGATCTCAAGTGATCTGCCCACCTCGGCCTCCCAAAGTGCTAGGATTGCAGGCATGAGCCACCGCACCCAGCCAAAAAAAAAACCTTTTTTAATTAGCTGGGTGTGGTGATGTGCACCTATAGTTCCAGCTACTTGGGAAGCTGAGCTGAGGAAGGAGGATCGTTAGAGGCCAGTAATTCAAGGCTGCAGTGAGCTGTGGTTGCATCACGTCACCCAGCCTGGGTGCAGCCTGGGTGACAGAGTGAGACCCTGTCTCAAAAAACCGCACAGACACCTTCTTTACTCCCCCAAACCCACTTATTCACTCTGATGGCACACGGGTGATGAGCTCCTGTGTGTCAGGCACTGTGCTAAGTACCTGGCCACCTGTTTCCCCACACTCATGGACTTTACATATGTATTTGCACACACCTTTTGCATATAACCATGTGTAACCCCCATGGATTCAGATGATACATCCACTTACCCTTAAAAATACTCCATTCATGCCCCTCACTTTATCTATGTTTATCCTGGTCCCGGATTGTGCTTTCTCCGTTTTCTGTTTCTGTTTCTCTATCATCTTAATGGCAGACAATGTGAAGATGGTGAGGCTTGTGAAACAGTACAATTTTGAGGCAGATTCTGGCATATTACTTAACATTTATCTTTAAAACAGTCCTCCTTCTTCCAGGCAAGAGCTCTGGATTTCTCCCGGGAAAGGGTGGAAGAGGGACGCAGGGTTGGGTGGGTGAACAGGAGTGGCCTTAGTTGGGTCATGTTGCTCAGTTGCTCAAAGACCAAGGACTGCAGACTCTCCCTTTCTCCCCAGGGCCCAGTTTTTTCCCTTTCAAAACCCGCTGTCTACCTGCAAGATGGCTCACATCTCTAATCCCAACACTTTGGGAGGCTGAGGCAGGAGGATGGAATAAGGCCAGGAGTTTGAGACCAGCCTGGGCAACATAATGAAACCTCATCCCTACAAAAAAAAAAAAATGTTTTTTTCAATTAGTCAGACATGGTGGCATGTGCTTGTAGTCCCAGCTACTCAGAAGGCTGAAGCAGGAGGATTGCTTGAGCCCAGGAGGTTAAGGCTGCAATGAACTATGATCGCGCTACTACACTCCAGCCTGGGTGCCAGAGCGAGACTCCGTCTCAAAAAAAAAAAATGGGTAGATGTGGTGGCTCAAGCCTGTAATCCCAGCACTTTGGGAGGCCGAGGCAGGCGGATCACTTGAGGTGAGGAGTACAAGATCAGCCTGGCCAACATGGTGAAACCCTATCTCTACCAAAAATACAAAAATGAGCCAAGCATGGTGTTATGTGCCTGTAGTCCCAGCTACTCAGGAGGCTGAGGCAGGAGAATCGCTTGAACCCGGGAGGCGGAGGTTGCAGTGAGCTGAGATGGCGCCACTGCACTCTAGCCTGGGCAACAATGCGAGACTCCATCTCAGAAAAAAAAAAAAAAAAAAATCGAAAACAACAGAAAACCAGCCGGGTGCAGTGACTCATGCCTGTAATCCCAGCACTTTGGGAGGCCAAGATGGGCAGATCACGAGGTCAGGAGATCGAGACCATCCTGGCTAACGCAGTGAAACCCCGTCTCTACTAAAAATACAAAAAATTAGCCGGGCGTGGTGGCGGGCGCCTGTAGTCCCAGCTACTCGAAAGGCTAAGGCAGGAGAGTGGCGTGAACCTAGGGGGCGGAGCTTGTAGTGAGCCGAGATTGCGCCACTGCACTCCAGCCTGGGCGACAGAGCGAGACTCCGTCTCAAAAAAAAAAAAAAAGAAAAAGAAAAGAAAACAACAAAAAACCTGTTCTCAAGCAAGATGTGAAACTCCTTCGAAGACCCCAGAAGTAAAACATAAAAATTAAACGACCTCTGCTCTGAAGAGGATACTAGAAACAGGAAAATGTGATAGAAAGGGCTCAGGGAGTCAAGGACGCGTTCAGGTTTCTCTAAAGACAGGTCCAAGCGGGAGGCTCACGTCCACACTTCGTGGAGGAGGAGAACACTTTCTGGTGAAGCCAAGGGGAGGTGGCAGCCTTACCATTCAGGAAACCTTTGTGCCCTCCTCCACTGGAGCCCTCAGTTATCTAAGGCAGCTGCGTGGATGCCCAGGGGAATGAGGCATTGAGGTGCTGAGGAGAGAGCAGTTCTTTAAGTTTCAGAGGACACCACGCCTTCCTGGGCGGCTGAGAGAGCAACTCAGCCTCAGTCCCAAAAAAGGTCCTGGGGCATCCAGCTAACACAAGGGTGGGCAATTTCTTAATTTCCAGTCTCTCCCCAAGGAACTTACACATGAGTTAACTCTACCAGATAAAAGGAGGATGAAGAGAGTAACCTAGCTGGAGACCATGAGAAAGCACGCGGTGTTAAAGAGAGATCGGAACTTTATTGAGACTGATGAAATCAGAACCAAAAGAACACTGGAAAGGTTCTGCCACTGTCCAGGCACAGATCCTTCCAGACACTCCTCTTGGGGGAATCTCTGGATCATTAAGTTTCCCCCAGTTCCTAATCCCCCACCCCAAAGAGTCAGAATTCTGCTTAAAGCCCCCTCCACGGAGCTGGCCAGAAACCAGACACTGAGTATCTGTACTGACTGATGGGCAGGCCTGTGAGCAGCAGAGACAAGAGAAATCAGAGAAGGAACACGAAAAGGAAAACATGACGGAAAGAAAAGCCCAAGGCAGGGAGAGCATGCTGATAACGCAGCCCCCTGAAAATATAAATATTGCATGAATGTATTAGCCTCATCCCAGCCATTTCCCCCAAAGCAGTGGTGACACCAACAGCTATGACAATGCCCACACAGTTGTGCATCTTTTTTTGTTTTTCCCCTGACTACACAGAAAAACAGATCTGCCAAAGCAGCTCACAGCATGGAGGAGCAGGCAGGGGAAAGTGGGAGGGCCCATCCCCCAAGAGGGCAGACAGTACAGAGATGAGGCGAGGGGTTCTGGGGTTTGCGGAGGGTGGTTAATGAGAAGAAAAGTCCAGGACAGATTCCATCTCATCAGCCCCTATCACAGGCTCCGTGGATGCCCCTTGCAGAACTCACTGTTCTTTCCTGGTCGACTCGTTCCTTGGAAACATTGTCCTGAGTGCCCTGGAACCTCGGGTGTTCTTGTGGAAGGGTCCAGGCCCTCCACAAAGCCAAACGCAACGGCCCCTGTGACAGCATGCACCAGAGTGATAACAATTCTGAGAACCGGGAATTCCTAACTCGAGGTTCTCCTCATAGACCTAACCTGACTGCCAACTGGCTTACCCTGCCTGACCTCAGAGTGCCTCTCCCTCTGCCTGCCTTTCCACTGTCCTGGGTCCAGGATGACTTCCTGGTGCTGAGCTGGTGCATCCTGACTCCTGCCTCGTGGGTAAGGCCCCCAGGACAGCTTGTTCCCAAGAGAAGCGGCTGGCTGTGTACAAAGGAGCCCCTCGAGGCAGCCCGGGCTGGGTCTCCTGGGCATGCACAGACTGTGCACCATGCACATTTCACCATCCAAAGGCTGCTTCTTCCCTGCAGGTCCTGCCCCTCTGCTCCCCACCACCTGCTGTGGAGCCGTGCATGCTAGCCTTGCAAGACTGTTACAAGTTCTCTACTCCCTAGAGTCTATGTGATCTCCCTAATCTCTCTTGGACAACATACACACATATTCACACTTATTGGTATTGAAGGCCCTGGCTTTCCTGCGGTGTGTTCAGTGGACATCTGCATCAAGGTCAGGCGGGAAGGTCAATGTTAAGCCTTGGTGGCCACCGACACCGAGTGGCTGGTGCTGGTTCTGACTCCTAGGAAATTGCTCCAAGTAAGTGTTGATGCATCAGGGAATGGAGAAGAAAGGAAAGGAAAAGCCATGGTGTGGAAACTGCAAAGGAGCAACTCCGCTGCCAAGTGTTTCCACAGGGGAGTTGTGGAAACAGCCTCCTCTGAAATTTGAGAGACTGGCGGCCTAAGGAAAAGGAGCAAGGTCTCCACTGTCCTCTCTGAAACCCAGCGCCTTTGGGATCTGAGTTTTCCAAGACATGCAATAGACAAAGACGCACTGCAAACCAATTAACCCTCTGAGCCCTTCCACGACCTTCACTACAGTCACTTCCAAGAGTAAATTACCTGGATACACCAACCAGTCCCCTCCTGGGTCCGATGAAGGGATCGAGCCCTCGAGCCAGCTTTGAGGAACACATCAGAGAAGTGGCAGTGGGGGAGGCAGATCCTTGTCCTTCCTGGGAACTCCTGTTCTTAGTTGTCGAGTGTCCTAAACCACTGCCCCACCCCTTGAGGAAACCAGGAGCAAGTCCGGGGGATTGGCTCAAAACCCAGGTGGAGGCCGGGTGCGGCAGCTCATGCCTGTAATCCCAGCACTTTGGGAGGCCGAGGCGGGTGGATCACTTGAGGTCAGGAGTTCGAGGCCAGCCTGGGCAACATGGTGAAGTCCCGTTTCTACTAAAAATACAAAAATTGGCTGGGCATGGTGGTAGGCCTATAATCTCAGCTACTCAGGAGGCTGAGGCAGGAGAATCGCTTGAACCCAGGAGGGGGAGGTTGCAGTGAGCTGAGATTGCACCACTGCACTCCAACCTGGCCGACAGAGCGAGACTCCGTCTCAAAAACACAAAAACAAACCCAGGTATATTCAGACCCAAGAGACTATTCACTGTTGAAAGTCAACCCAAAGTTAAGAGGCAGCCGAGGGCTGGGGAACAAACGCGAGACTGTGGGTGTGGAAAGAAGCCAAAATGGACCTGACAATCTCTACGACTCAGGCCTTCGCTGTTTTCCCAGCTCACAGGGAACAAAGGAATTTCAGCTGCTTTTAGCTTATTTGACCCTCACTGATTTAAGATACACTAGAATTTAGCTGCTCTCTGTCCTTCCAAGACAGGACCCAGGAAAAGCAGGTGGAGGCTGACTTGCCTCAATCAGGCCTCCTCATTGAAGCAACAAGACAAGCACACAGGAATTCACAGTTTCCACTCTCCTCCCTAGACCCACACACCTGCCCCGACCCCTGGCCTCAATGAACTCCCAACTCTCCACTGTGTAATAATTCCTGCCAGTGTGGCTCAAAGGGTTAATAAACCAGGACCTCTCAGACAGTTAGGACACAAGCTGATTCACCAACAGGAACCCAAGGACCGCTCCACCACCTAGTGCTTCCTGTAGCGATTTTTTGGTGTTTCGCTACACCCTGTTTTGTCACAGTTGAGAGCACCTGGATTCTTCCCGAGCCCGAGGCTACCCAGGAGGCCCGGAAGCTCCTGAGTGATGGCCCGCTCAATCTTCTCCAGAAAGCAACCTCCCATGTAGGAGCACTGCTGGGAGAGCAGTTTGAAACTGGAAATGGGATTGATGCCGAAGAAGTCCTTATAGGCCTCGCGGTTGGGAAGGTCAAATTTGCTGACATTGGTCTTTGCCAGGATGGTCTTGAAGATGTAGAATTTATCGGGATCTTCCACAATGTCCTTAAAGACCAGTTCTCCATCACTGAAGAAGGTCATTTTGTCCTTGTAAGTCTGCAGGTAGCGGTCAACCAGGAGGGCGTGGATGCGGACCCGGATGGCGTGCTGGCGGATGAAGGCAATCTTGTTCTCCAGTCTGTTCTCGATCACCTGATTCAGGTCTTCTAGGAGGGAGATCTCTTCTTGGAGGAACAGTTCCTGATGGGTGTCCGGCTTATACTCTTGTGGCCAGAAGGAGCTGACGTAAACCCTTGGGGGCTCTGTGACATTGATGAGAGGGGCCAAGCTCCAGAAGAGGGCCCCGTAAACCCGCATGAGCATTTGGGTGGCCAGATTGTCAGCCTTGTTCAGGATGATCCTTATCTGGGATTCACGCCCCTTCAACTGGCGGAAGAGCATCTCCAGCTCTAGACCCACATCCAGCTTTGTTGGGTCAAAGACGACAAAGATGAGGTCAGCTCTGTCGATGAACCACTGGCACACGTCGTTGAAGGGGTAGCCTTTGGGAGACAGAAGTGAGAAGTCAAACTGAGTAGGCCTCCCTCAAAGCCCGCGCACCTCCTTTCAGAACTAAACCATTCTGGGGGTTGAAAGAAGGAACAGCGCTACGGATTTTCTGGGTTTCTACAGACTATTAAAAAATCAATTGCATATCTCCTGTCCCTTGCCAATCTTCAACCAAGAACAGCCTGATCCTTGTTTTTCTTGTTGGTTTGTTTTTTGAGACAGGGTCTCACTCTGTCACCCAGGCTGGAGTGCAGTGGCATGATTATAGCTCACTGCAGCCTCAACCTCCCGGGTTTAAGAATCCTCCCACCTCAGCCTCCCAAAGTGCTGGGGTAATAGGCGTGAGCCACCATGCCCCACCTGATCATTGTTTTAATCTACTGTGAAATCCAAGTTTCCAAGAAAGCTAAATACCTGTTCAAAATGGAGATTGTCCTATTGTCTAAAAGGATCTGGGGCAATGGCAAAGATGCTGAGGGAGAGAAATGAGGAATTAGAAGAACATGAAAGAATGAATGCATTATTTACGGGGAAGGAATGTGGGCTTAGCATTGAGACCTGGACTAGAATTTGAGCTTTGCCCCTGGCGAGCTGTATATTAAATGCCTCTAAGCTCTACCTTTTTAGCTCCAAAATGACAAGAAGAACAATATCAACATCTGAACTGATATAAAGATTACCATGTTGCTGTAAATATAGGACAGCACCTAAAATTCCAGTCATACAGCTGGTGCAGAATACATTTTAATTCCATTAGCTTCTTATTTCCTAGTTTTCTTTGCAAATAAGAAAACTGAGGAGATGAGGACTACCTGTCTTAAAAACATTGAAATCTTTTTTTTTTTACAATAATGTATAAAATTATCCAACGTGTAGTAGGGGTACAATTTACTATTATAATTATTAACATTATTAACATTACTAATAATACTACTAATGTCATTATACCATAATAATATAATTAAATATACTATAATATTATTACTAATATTACTACTAATATTATTAATTGCTTCTAATATTACTGCTAATATCATTACTACAAGATCTATTTATAACCACAATTGGAGTTGTAACCATAAACTGAGATCCACCGTCTGCTCACACATTCCTGCACTGCCCTGTTCAGGACTCACTGCAGACAGCCTTGCCTCATGGCAGGACTCAGTGGCCTACTCCATAGCCACATGCCTGGTGGATCTGGCTTCTAGTCTTGTGGCCTGGTTGTCAGCCTTGTTCATTAAATACATTCACACTGTTGCACAACCATCATGGCCATCCCTCTCTGGAACTTATTCATCTTCCCAAATTGAAAATTCTGTACCCATTAACAGTAACTGCCCATCTCCCCTTCCCCCCAGCCCCTGGTTAAAACCACTCTGGTTTCTGTCTTTCTCATTTTGCCTACTCTCATGTAAGTGAAGTCAGACATTAGCATTCCCCTGCTACCTGAGGGCAAGTAGGGCTTTGAAGAAGCCTGCTAAAGGCTTATGGGGAAGCAACCCTGGAAAAGCAGAAACCGGGAATAGGAGGAGTTGAAGGTCAGGTTCAACCTACAGCAGGCCCAGGAGCACCAAACCCAATTTAGCCAGAAGTCAAACATACTGGTACTGGGATCCAATTAGTCCAGGCCCTTGGCTACACAGGACACACAGGGCCTCCCAAAGACAACTGAGCCCCAGCTTGAACCTCTCAGAGCTGCTTGCAGAGAGGACTAGGCCCCCACTTTGGAAAATATTGCCGTCTCCAAACCAAATCAGTCCTTGGGGAGGTAGGAGCACCAGGCACTCCAAAACCCAGATGGCATCGCAGTAACGACAAGAAGGGTGGAAGTTAAGAATGCCTCTCCTGGTCTTAGGCAACACTGGGCACACTTCCTCTCCCTGCCTGCCTACCACCCACTGTCAAAAGTAGTTTTCTTTTCTTCCTTTTTTTTTTTCTGAGACAGAGTCTTGCTGTGTCACTAAGGCTGGAGTGCAGTAGCATGACCACAGCTCACTGCAGCCTTGACCTCCTGGGCTCAAGCAATCCTCCCAACTCAGCCTCCCGAGTAGCTGGGACTACAGTCATGTGCCACCATGCCAACCTAATTTTTATATTTTTTGTAGAGGCGGGGTTTTGCCATGTTGTCCAAGCTGGTCTAGAACACCTGGGCTTAAGTGATCCACCTGCCTTGGCCTCCCAGAGTGCTGGGATTACAGGTGTGAGCCACTGTGCCCAGCCTTATTTATTCATTTATTTATATAAGTTAGGGTCTCACTCTTGCCCAGGCTGGAGTAGAGTGGCACGATTACGGCTCATTGCAGCCTCAACTTCCTCAGCTCAAGCAATCTTCCCACCTCAGCCTCCTGGGTAGCTAGGACCATAGGCACATGCGAACATGCCTGGCTATTGTTTAAATTTTTTTGTAGAGATGAGGTTTCACTATGTTGCTCAGGCTGGTCTTGAACCTCCGGCCTCAAGGGATCCTCCTGTCTTGGTCTCCCAAAGAGTTGGGATCACAGGCATGAGCCATCATGCCTGGCCAAAAATAATTTTTTGAAACAGAGCTTACACTGTTCAGAAATGAGGGCTAAATTACCTCTTTCTTGCTGCTTGCGGTTCTCGATGATGCCTGGTGTATCCACAAAAGTGACCCTCTCCAGAAGTTTGTGGGGAACCTCAATGCCAATCAGCTTCTCTAGGAAATTCTGGCCAAACTTCTCAAGGGGTGAGAAGGAACGGGCGCTGTCAGCAGCCATGACGATGCCCTCGATGGTTTTCAGCTTAGGCCCATGCATGAGGACCGTGAACTCAGAGGTGGTGGGTTCAGCGCCTGGGCACACGGGGTGAGAGGTGAAGGAATACATGATCTCTGTGAAACAGATCTACTGAGAAGCATGTGTATATGCCTGGTGTCACAGGGAGACTTTTGCAACAGAATTGGATATGTTTGCCAAGCTATTGGGGCTTTCTTTTAATTGTGGTAAAACATACATAACATAAAATTTACCTTTTTTTTCTTTTTGAGATGGAGTCTTGCTCTGTCACCCAGGCTGGAAAGCAGTGGTGCAATCTCAGCTCACTGCAGCCTCCATCTCCCAGGTTCAAGCGATTCTCCCACCTCAGCCTCCCGAGTAGCTGAGATTACAGGCACTCGCCACCATGCCTGGCTAATTTTTGTATTTTTAGTAGAGACAGAGTTTCACCGTGTTGGCCAGGCTGGTCTCGAACTTCTGACCTTAATGATCTGCCCACCTTGGCCTCCCGAAGTGCTGGGATTACAGGTGTGGGCCATTGCTCCTGGCCTAAATTTACCATTTTAATCATTTTAAAGCATGCAGTTCAGTGGCATTAAGCACATTCACCCTGTTGTGCAACCATCGCCACCATCCAGGTCCAGAATGTTTTTATCTTCCCAACTGAAAACTCTGTATCCATTAAACAGTCATTCCCCATTTCCTCTTCCCCCAGTCCCTGGTTACAAGCACTCTGGCGTCTCTCTCTCTGATTTTGCCTTCTTTTTTTTTTTTTTTTTTTTTCCTTTTTGGAGCAGAGTCTCACTCTATCGCCCAGGCTGGAGTGCAGTGGCATGATCTCAGCTCACTGCAACCTCCGCCCCCGGGTTCAAGCGATTCTCCTGCCTCAGCCTCCCAAGTAGCTGGGATTACAGGTGCCCAGCACCATGCCCAGCTAATTTTTGTATTTTTAGTAGAGACAAGGTTTCACCATCTTGGCCAGGCTGGTCTTGAAGTCCTGACCTTGTGATCAACCCACCTCGGCCTCCCAAAGTGCTGGGATTACAGGCGTGAGCCACCGCGCCCAGCCGCCTACTGTCATATAAGTGAAATCAGACAGTATTTGTCCTCTTGTGTCTGTCTTCTTTCTTTTAGCATAATGTCTTCATGGTTCATCCATGTAGCAGATATCAGAATTTCATTCCTTTTTAAGGCTGAATAATAATTTATGTATGAACAGACCACATTTTCTTGATCCTTTCATCCATTGATGAACATTTGACTGGTTTCCATGTTTTGGCTATTGTGAATAATGCTGCTATGGACATTGGTGCAGATGTCTTTTTTTGTTTTCTGTTTTTTCCAAATTTTCTTTTTTTTTTTTTTTTTTTTTTTTGTGAGACAGAGTCTCACTCTGTCGCCCAGGCTGGAGTGCAGTGGCGCGATTTTGGCTCACTGCAACCTCTGCCTCCTGGGTTCAAGCAATTCCGCTGCCTCAGCCTCCCAAGTAGCTGGGACTACAGGCACCCGCCATCACACCCAGCTAATTTTTTGTATTTTTAGTAGAGACGGGGTTTCACCATGTTGGCCAGGCTGGTCTCGAACTCCTGACCTCAGGTCATCCTCCTGCCTCAGCCTCCCAAAGTGCTGGGATTACAGGCATAAAGCCACCATGCACAGCCTTTTTCAAATTTTGTATTTTAACACGTGCATGTGGCATAACTTTTCTTTCCTTTTTTTTTTTTTTTTTTGAGACGGAGTCTCGCTCTGTCACCCAGGCTGGAGTGCAGTGGCACAATCTCAGCTCACTACAATCTCTGCCTTCTAGGTTCAAGCAATTCTCATGTCTCAAGTTCCTGAGTAGCTGGGATTACAGGAACGTGTCACCATGCTTAGCTAATTTTTGTATTTTTTTTTTAGTAGAGATGGGTTTTTGCCATGTTGGCCAGGCTGGTCTCAAACTGACGGCCTCAAGTGATCCACTGCCTTGGCCTCCCAATGTGCTGGGATTACAGGCATGAGTCATAATGTCCGGCCAGTGATTTAAATTTTCATGGTGCTTTTACATACAACATTCAAATCCCAACAATCACACAAGAATATTGATTACCTGTATAGAGCTGATAGCGAGTATTTTCCAGCCCAAGGAGGTAGTTTATCATGGTAGATTTACCAACACTCCACGGTCCCAGGAACAGTACCATGGGCTTGGAGGTAATCTCTCCATCTGTGGGCAACAGGAAGTAGAAATGGAATAAAACTAACAAAAGTTCACACAAGGGGTATGGCACCGTACTCCAAAGCATCTCACCGTCCATCCAACTGAGTTGTGGAATTCTCCATGAATCAGACGTGTGTAGCCCCCAGTGGCGCTTCTCTTGCTACGTAAGTGTGATCACCCAGTAAAAAGACACAGAAGTCACTTTTGGGCCTTGCCCAGATCCTTGGCACGTCTGCCCCCACCACAAGAAGGATCTCAGTGAATTCAACAAACCCTGACTCCGAACTCACTCTGGGTGAGGTCTCCTGGTTAAATCTGGAGGAGAAAAGCCCATAGAGAAAGGAGGACGGAGCTTCCACATGGAGAGAATCTGGGTTGAGAATGGAGGATGGATGTGGAGCAGCTTGTATAATCTTGGGTGGTCTGGACTCAGACCCTTCCTGTCTCCAGCCTCTGCAGCTCTCCTCTCCTCCAGCCTGGGGCTCCCCAAATTCCCAATACAGCCTAATCCTGGACTCTGAGGCCAGTGTCTCTCTCTCTCTTTCTGCCCTCTTTTGTTTAGAATCAGGGTCTCCGTTGCCCAGGCTGAAATGCAGTGGTGCAATTGTGCCCCACTACAATTACTGGGCTCAAGCAATCCTCCCACTTCAGCCTCCCAAGTAGTAGCTAGGACTACAGGCATGCACCACTATGCCCAGCAAATTTAAAAATTTTTTTTTGTAGAGATGGGGTCTTGCAACGTTGCTCAGGCTGGTCTCAAACTTCTGGGCTCAAGCAATCTTCTCACTTGGCTCCCCAAAATGCTGGGATTACAGCTATGAACCATTGCACTTACCCTCTTCTAGGGCCACTCTCAAACACTAGCCTCTAAAGTCCATGACAAATTTGCCAGTGCCCAAAACCAAACAATGAACTGGCAATTCTTGGGTCCTGCATCCAATGTCCTTCCGAAGGCCATGTTGGGGAGATGACCCTG
Source organism: Homo sapiens (assembly GCF_000001405.40). Classification (NCBI taxonomy): domain Eukaryota; kingdom Metazoa; phylum Chordata; class Mammalia; order Primates; family Hominidae; genus Homo; species Homo sapiens. Next base: position 4,198,886 of record NC_000016.10, read on the forward strand.
CAAGGGCCACTCCAGGTGGGTCCCTAAGAGGAAAAATAGAATGCTCTCGTGCTTTCAAATCCAGTGGACAGGGAGGGAAGGGGAGAGGCTTTCAACGTGGGGTGTGGTCAGTCTTATTGCAGATTTTCAGGCCTCAGCTCTTCCAGCTCTTCTCTGGACTACAGCACAGAGGGCCAGTCCTGCATAACTCAGCACTGAAGTTCTCCAGACTCGTCTCCCTGAGGCCAGCAGGCCACCCTAAAAACACTAGGCACTCCCCTTTTGTTTCATTTATTTATCATGATTTTAATTTATTTAATTTCTTGGTTCAAAGATCAGGAATATAAAAAGGTAAACAGTGAAAAGTCTCCCATCTCCATCCCAGTCTGCCTCAGCCCTGACACCCCCTGGAATAGGTAACCACTGCTGACTTCTTACATGTTATTTTAGACATTTTAATGCATATATAAGCAATATTTGTAGCTAACATATTCCCCATCTTTTTTTTTTTTTTTTTTTTTTTTTGAGACAGTGTCTCACTCTGTCGCCCAAACCACAGTGCAGTGGTGTGATCATAGCTCATATAGCCTCAACCTCCCAGGCTCAAGCGATCCTCCCACCTCAGCCTCCTGAGTAGCTGAGACCACAGGCATGTACCACCAAGCCCAGCTCATTTTTGTATTTAGAGTAGAGATGGGGTCTTGCCATGTTGCCTAGGCTGGTCTCCAACTCCTGGGCTCAAGAGATCCACCCACCTTGGCCTCCCAAAGTGCTTCTATTGCAGGCATGAGCCCGGCACCCAGCCCCTCCCCATCTTCTTTTCTTTTCCTTTTTTTTTTTTTTTTTTTTTGAGACAGAGTCTTGCTCTGTTCCCCAGGCTAGAGTGCAGTGGCACAATCTCAGCTCACTGCAGCCTCTGCCTCCTGGGTTCAAGCCATTCTCCTGCCTCAGCCTCCCAAGCAGCTGGGACTACAGGTGCGTGCCACCACGCCTGGCTAATTTTTGTATTTTTAGTAGAGATGGGGTTTTACCATGTTGCCCAGGCTGGTCTCGAACTCTTGACCTCAAGTGATCCACCTGCCTCGGCTTCCCAAAGTGCTGGGATTACAGGCGTGAGCCCCCACACCCGGCCCCATCTTTTTACAGAGAGCGTTGCCATATGCTTCCTCTTCTGTATCTTGCCTTCGGATGCTCTGGTCTTCCTTCTCCGAGGCTAAAGCTCAGTCCTAACCAGGTGGTGTCTTATACATGGCAGGCACATGTACGTTGCCTGAAAGCAACACCATGGCCCTGCCCCATCCCTCCCTGTCTGTGAATACACAGGAGACACTCACATCTCTGTGGAAGTCAAGCCCTGGCTGGGGGCCAGGAAGGGATAAGGAGGCTGAGAGGGTGGCAGGAATCCCCAGTTACAGCCACAGAGATGTCACAGTATCTTAACACCGGCCCAGGCGACACCAAGGAGAGCCCTAGATGTTCCGGTTCTCCGAGACAAACCACAAACAGGGCCCTTTCCTGGTGCTGTGGTTTCGGCTCCTCACAGCAGGGGGCACCGCTGGCCTATACAGGAGGTGGGAGGTGAGCCTGGGAGAGGTTACAAGGAAGCTGGCCAGAGACTAGGAGTTAAGAACCAAGCCCAAAAGGTGAGTGCAGGGGCAAGGAAGCGGGACCTCCCTGCAGAGCGCCATGCCCTGGGGACTCTGGAGCTCCTGGCCCTGCTGCTGTACACACAAGTTTCCTAGGAGGGCCAAGACTCCGGGTCTTAGGGCCAAGAGAGAAAGAAAAACCCTTCGGGAGGCTCTGCAAGCTCATACCAATAGCTGTGCATCCACTACAAAGGGGGGCGATAATTGGCTGCTAGGCTACAAAAAATAGTACAGGTAGCTGTGGAACAGGGTATTCCCTGCTTCCAGCTGTGTGATCCTGGGTAACCCAGCACGTCTCTGGGCCTCAGGCTCCCCTCTGTAGAGCAGGAAGAATACAAACCCTATTACACCCTGGCCACTTACAGCCATCCAGAGCATCAAATGAGATCATATAGAAACAGCCCAATTAACACAGGGAAAGATTTCTAATCTCATTCAAAAAACAATAAGATACCACTGCTAAATTTTTTAAAGATGAGTAACATTTTTAAATTGCATTGCTGTTGGGAAACAAGGACTCTCATCTACTGTTATTGTGAGTACAAATTGGTATCATGGGAGACAATATGGCAACAACTAGCAAAATGTTTAATTCCAGGGTTCCAATTTTTTTTTTTTTTTGAGACAGGGTCTCACTCTGTCGCCCAGGCTGGAGTGCAGTGGTGCAATCTCAGTTTACTGCAATCTCTGCCTCCCAGGCTCAAATGATCCTCCTGCCTCAGCCTCCCGAGTAGCTGGGACCACAGGCGCATGCCACCATGTCCAGCTATTTTTTTCTTTTTTTGAGATGGAGTCTCACTCTGTCACCCAGGCTGGAGTGCAGTGGCACAATCTCGGCTCACTGCAACCTCTGCCTCCCCAGTTCAAGTGATTCTCGTACCTCAGCTTCCCCAGTAGCTGGGATTATAGGCACCCACCACCACACCCAGCCAATTTTTGGATTTTTAGTAGAGGCAGGGTTCTGCCATGTTGGCCAGGCTGGTCTCAAACTCCTGGCCTCAAGGGATCTGCTCGCCTCAGCCTCCCAAACTGCTGGGACTATAGGTGTGAGCCACTGTGCCCGGCCATCGGATTGTTTTTAAAAGTGCTATGAGCCATCACGCTGGGCCCAATTTTTGTGTGTGTGTTTTGTTTGTTTGTTTGTTTGTTTGTTTGTTTGTTTTGAGATGGAGTCTTGCTCTGTTACCCAGGCTGGAGTGCAGTGGCACAATCTCAGCTCACTGCAACCTCTGCCTCCCGGGTTCAAGCAATTCTGTTGCCTCACCCTCCTGAGTAGCTAGGATTACAGCCGCCAGCCACTAGGCAGGGCTAATTTTTGTATTTTTAATAGAAACGGGGTTTCACCATGTTGGCTGGGCTGGTCTCGAACTCCTGACCTCATGATCTGCCCGCCTTGGCCTCCTAAAGTGCTGGTATTACAGGTGTGAGCCACCACGCCCGCCCCTAATTTTTGTATTTTTTGTAGAGATGGGGTCTGACTATGTTTCCCAGGCTGGTCTCAAACTCCTGGGCTCAAGCCATCCTCCCACCTCTGCCTCCCAAAGTACTGAGATTACAGGCGTGAGCCACCAGGAGGGTGCTGGTTTTCCAGAGCATGGCGTGGTCACGCAGGGGAGGAGCACACAGCTGTCAGAGGGAAGGAGGGAGGTTTCCACACACACAGCTCACCTAACAGGATCCCATGTTTGTAAAAACAAAAAACAACATCCATCTATGTGCTCACACATGAAGAGGAAATGCTTGGAAGGCTTCACTATAACGATGTGTTTCTCTGGGAGTCGAATTAAAGAAGTTGGAGGTCGGCTGGGAGCGGTGGCTCACGCTTGTAATCCCAGCACTTTGGGAGGCCGAAGCGGGCAGATCACGAGGTCCGCAGACAGAGACCATCCTGGCTAACATGGTGAAACCCCATCTCTACTAAAAATACAAAAAATTGGCCAGGCGTGGTGGCAGGTGCCTGTAGTCCCAGCTATTCGGGAGGCTGAGGCAGAAGAATGGCGTGAACCTGGGAGGCAGAGCTTGCAGTGAGCCGAGATTGCGCCACTGCACTCCAGTATGAGTGACAGAGCGAGACTCCATCTCAAAAAAAAAAAAGCTGGAGGTCAAGAATATAATTTTTATTTTTCAACGTATACCATTCTGCACTATTTGAATTTTTGCAACAAGTGTGTCTTATTTTTATTATTTTGAAAATCAATTTTGTAAAGAATCCAGGCCCAAGGGAAGCAGAGTGGAAGGGCAATAGCAGGAGGGGAAGGAACGGAGTGATCAGAGGACTCAGGCACCACCCATGAGTAGACAGGGGGCACCTGTGGCCTCTGGAGCACAGGAGGGATTGAAATAGGCATCATCGCCTTTGAAAACTCAAATGTGCATGACTGAAGCATAAAGGCTTAAAACCAAAATGCATCTGTAACACCCTGGTAAAGCATCGCGCTGTGCTGGTGAAAGGGTAGTTCCGTGATGGAGGTGTCGTCCTTTCCAACTCCCAGGGGGAGCCCAGACCCAGACCCACAAGTCCTTGCACACATCATGAATGAGCTCCTGAACCTGTGTGGGTACCGGGAGAGTCCAGGCCGGTCAGCAGTGTGGCCCCGCCGACAGGCCTGCGCCGTACCCGTAATCTCAAGCCCTACCTGTTATCTCAAGCCCTACCTGTGATCTCATGCTGCCGGAGCTCATTGTACTTGTAGGACTGCTCCAGAGGCTTGATGGATGAGTGGTAGATCTTCCGAAGCCGCTGCAGCACCGCTGGAGACAGAGAGGGCCGGGGGAAGAGCATCACGCAGGTGCGATCCAGGCAGCTCCTCCATTGTGGAGGGGCCTCACCACCCAGGGCAGCTCCACCCCTGCCTGGTGGGCAGCAAGTGCTGTTTGCAGCCCAGCGACTGTGCAATGTATTTGCATATGGGGAGCTGGCCCACATCTCAACTCGCAGAAACCTCCAAATGAAAAGGCATTCTCCTACCCACCCCCAAAGCTTCCTGAACTGTTTGGTTATTTTATTTTATTATTTATTTATTTATTTAGAGAAAGGATCTTGCTCTGTCACCCAGGCTGGAGTGCAGTGGTGCAATCATAGCTCACTGCAGCCTCTAACTCCTGGGCTCAAGTGATCCACCCACCTCAGCCTCCCAAAGTGCTGGAATTACAGACATAAGCCACTGTGCCCGGCCTGAGCTGTTTTTTTTTAAAACCTCTCTCCTCCTTCCTCACCTCAGTAGTGTGTCTGAAACCTTGTCTCGGCCTGCTGCCTCACTGCAAGCCCTTTCTTTGGTGGATGAGAATTCCATCTCTGTTGCCCACCTCTGTGTGTGCTCCCTGAGGCTTAGAAGGCAAAGAGGCCCAGCACCCAGCAGGCGCGCAGAACAGCACCCTGGCCCTGGCGTTGGCCTGTCAGTGTACTCCCAGACACTCCCCGGAGGGGTGGGGTCAGATAACCCAGGTGGCCTCTTTCTAAGAGTTAGCTCCCTGCTGGGAGCCCACAGTGGGAAGGCCTATGGGGTGACGAGTCAGGCTAGCGAGACTCTACCCCTCGATCCGCCACCCTCTAGCCGTGGGCCAGGAGCAAATCGCTGCTAGCCTGAGCTCCAGTTAGGTGGCTCATTGATTAAGAGGAGACAAGCCCTGCTGCAATCCTTGGGTTTCAAAGATAAAATGAAACAGCACACATGAAACGGCTTTATAAACTAAAAATCACAGCGAGGGAGATGGCATCAGCACAGCATGGGGCTGCACTGGCTTCGCCCACACCAGGCCGTCTACTTGGATGGCCCTTCCTCCTCTGTGCCCACCTGGAACCCCAAGGCTTGGACCTTGCTCACAGAGCCTCCTCCACGAAGCCTCCCACCTTCAGGGCTCTCCTCTTCCCCAACGTCCCCTCCAGCCTCCAAGATAGATACAGCCCCGGCCTCCAAGATACAGCCCCGGCACGCCCTGGCTCTCAGGAGCCTCCAGGAGTCTGCCCGGGCCCTGGTGGCCGGGCTCTCCCAGCCCTGGGCATATCTCCCTCCCCTGGTTACCAGAGTAGTCATCGGATGGCTTGTCCTCATTCAGCATGAGGGTCTTCTCGATGTGGGAGCGGTCCCTCAATGGGGCTTCTTCATTTGCATCCTCCGTCTCTTCTGTGGAGAGAAGCAGACAGCCAAGTGAGAGCAAAGCTAACAGCCAGCTGAGCTCTGGGCCCCGGCACAGCAGACGAGGGCTGGGCCTCAAGCAGGGGCTCAACAGGGTCTTGCCAAGTTACACTGGACTGAGCTCTGCCTTTAGGAAGGAATTTGATCATCCAGACTCTATGAAGTTCCATGTGTAGTGTATTCGCATTCGGGGAGCTGGTCCACAGCTCAACCTGCAGAAACCTTCTTATCTATTTATTTCATATATTCAACAAATATGCATTGAACACCTTCGCCACGCCAGGCACTGAGCATCATGCTGGGAATACAGTGGTGCCCAAAACAGGCACAACTCCTTAGGCAGCTGCTCTTAGTCCAGTGGAGTCAGAGATGATAGTCTTTAAAGTAACGCTAGGGCCGAGTGCAGTGGCTCACACCTGTAATCCTAGCACTTTAGGAGGTCCAGATGGGAGGATCACTGGAGCCCAAAAGTTGGAGACCAGCCTAGGCAACATAGCAAGACCCCATCTCTACCAAAAAAAAACTTTCCAAGGAGTGGTGCACACCCATAGTCTCAGCTCAGGAAGCTGAGACAGGAGGATTCTCTCAGCTCAGGAGGTCAAGGCTGCAGTGAGCCATGACCACCCCACTGCACTCCAGCCTAGGTCACACAGCAAGACCCTATCTTAAAAAATTAAAACATCAAACATCTCAGGAGGCTTTAGGGCTAGGTAGGAGAATGCCTTTTGGCTTGAACCCCAGCCTGGGCAAAAGAGGGAGACCCTGTCTCAAAAACAATAAAAATAATTAATAAAATGTAATCATTACAGATGATGAGGTGGCCACAGAAGGAAACATTCTGAAAGCTAAGTGCGGCTCAGGAGTGTGCCTGCACCAGTGGTCTCAGCAGCACGGTCAGAGAAGGCCTCCCCAGGTCTCTGCTGGGGGGAGTGAGTTAGGTGACCAGTGGAGAGAAGCGTTCTGCAAAAGCCCCAGACGAGCCTTATTTAGCAAGAAGCAGGAGAAGGGGTGTCTGGCTGCAGCTGGGGAGGCCTGGGTGCTGGGGAGCTGCTGAGGTCCTCAGGGCTGACCGGGCAGGACCTTCCACAGGGCTTTGGGTTTCATCCCAAGAGCAATGGGAGCCAGTGAGGGGCTCTAGGCAGGCAGCCTAGCGTGATAGTGCATGCCTGTAGTCCCAGCTACTCAGGAGGCTGAGGTGGGAGGATCGCTTGAGCACTTGAGCTCAGGAGTTAGAAGCTGCAGTGAGCTATGACTGCACGACTGCAGCCCAGCCTGGGTGACAGAGTGAGACCTTGTCTCAAAAAAAAAAAAGTATGTAAATTAATTCTTCAACGAAGCCTGTGGGGAAGCCATCTTGGAGAGTGAAGACTTGACCTCGACCTCTACCCTGAAAGCCCCACTCCTGGTCTAAGTCCATGTACTAAGCAGATGCAGCCATGAAGGTGCCTGACCGACCCTCGTATTGGCTGCAATTCTCACACTGCCCGAGAGCTTAGCCCGGCCCTTCCCCCTCTGCTCCTGGCCCCGAGCCCTTTGAGGGCAGCTTTGGCTGCTTTAGGTGGGCACTTGAGAGTCAACAGCGGTCACAGCCTGAGTTCTCATCTCATGATCCTGACCCCTCAGTCCTGGTTCTGCAATGCTTCCTACAGCCTAGTCTTCAAGGGGAGACCCCAGTCCTAGCCCACTAAGGGAATCACCAGGGAAGTTCCCAACCCACCCCCATCCATTCCCTGCACGTCCCTCCACCCGCTGGCCCCGGGGCACCAATCATTCCATTAGCTCGCTGCTCCTTTAGGCTGAGGCACTGGCATGGGCTACGGCGCATCAGGGACCCTAAGGGGAGGTTCTGGGGCCCCTGACTCGGAAGTACCAGGGCCCCTCTGACCCCTCTCACTGGCCCCTCCAAGCTGGAGGCCAGTGGCCAATGCACAGCCTGAAGCCACCTCCCCGGGCCGGGACTGTGAAAAGGGCCTGCCACCCTCTGCCACCTTCTGTCCCTGCCTGTCCCCTACACACAAGACTTCCAGGGAGAATGCAGCTGCCCAAGGGACGGGGTTGCTGTTAGGGAATTAATTCCTACCCTGGGCAACAATGATGGGACTCTCCCTCCCCCTGATGTCCCTCCTCGGGCTCCTCTGCCTTCATATCCAGGGTCTCACTGCCCATGGACTCTGTATTCAATTCCTCCGGGCCAGGCTGGGCCCCTCTGTCCCTGTGACTTGTGGTTCCTGTGGCTTCCGGAAGCTCTGCACCTTCCTGGGGTTCCCTGGCTTCCTGGGGCTCCCTGGCTTCCTGGGGATCCCCACCTTCCTGGGGCTCCCCGCCTTCCTGTGGCGCTCCACCTTCCTGGGGCTCCTCGGCTTCCTGGGGATCCCCGCCTTCCTGGGACTCCTCGGCTTCCTGCAGATCCCCGCCTTCCTGGGGCTCCCTGGCTTCCTGGGGCTCCCCAGCCTCCTGGGGCTCCGTGGCCTCCTCGGAGGCGCCCTCTGCTTCTTCTGAGCTAGCCCCATCGCCGCTGTCCTCTTCGGACTCCTCTTCGGAGGGAACTCCTCCTTCTTCCTCGCTTCCACTTCCATCACCACTTTCCTCTTCAGAGGAGGCTTCATCTGCGTCCTCCTCAGTCATCTCTGGGGACTGGTTCTCCTCAGTGTCCCCTGCCTTAACGCTTTGGGCGCCCCCAGGCTCTGCACTGGCCTCTGCAGCTGGGCCGGGCTCCCCCTGGTCCTCGGTGCCCTCACTGGCTTGTGTGTCAATATCTGGCTCCGACTCTCCCCCAACAGCCGCGACGTCAGGGGCTCCCTCTGGCACTGCAGGCTCCTCGCCAGGCCCAGGGCTGCCCTCGGCCTCTGCGTTCAGTGGGCCGACCCCATCACCCTCTGAGTGAGGAGAGGCCCCCTCTGCCTTTGGCTCTGCTGTCCCTGCTACTGCTCCCTGCACCAGGCTGTCCCCTTGGACCTCCTGGACTTCCTCGGGGAGTTCATGGCCCCCAGCCTGTCCTCCTGCCTCTCCACTGGCAGTTCCCTCCGTGGGGAGCCCAAACCCAGTCTCCTCCTCTCCTTGTCCCTCTCCAGAACTGGGCTCCGGCCACTCCTCTTCCACAGGCCCCTTGGCCCCTCCTGGAGGGAGGGCGCTTGCCACTGGTGGGCCATTCTTTTCCTCCCCAGGCCCCGCAGCGTCCCTGTCGTCCCTTTCCCCAGGTGGAGGTGACTCTGTGGCTGAGGCATTGGAGAGGCTGGCTTCAGGATCGGGGCCCGCGCTGGCGGCAGACGCGGGGGTCTTCTTGGGGCTCTCGGCCTCCCTGCCATCTGGGTAGTGAAGGAGCAGTTTCTTGTCTTGAGGGGCTGTGTCTGCATAAAGCGCCCTTTCTTTCTCCTCTAGACTTGCGTCTCCAGCAGAGAAATGATTCTCCAACAAATTGCCAACATCTTCTGTGCCACCCGACGCGGAGACTTGCAGTTCTAAATGATTAGAACATGATTGGTCAGTTTCACAGGGTTGGCACCGGCTCTGTTTCTCAAGAGTCTATAATAACCTAGCTCCCGTCTTCTGGGATGTGGTGTTGGCCTGGTGTGCAGTGTTACGCCCACCAACCTGGGTCTTCAGGACTACCTCGTGCGTAGCGAGCAGAATAGGTGTTATTCTGCCTCCCTCCCAAGATGTAGAAGCTGTGGATCAGGGAGTTAAAGGACTGACCCGTTGTCCATCACTAACGAAGTGAGCAGCTGTGCTAACCCGAGAACCGCCCCCGCACCGCGACCCTGGCCCTGACCTTCAAGCTTCCGGGCTTGGTCCTGATGACTGTATATGGAGGGAAAGTTGGGCGAGCCCTTCCAGTCCCTCAACCTTGCTCACGGGCGTGTGCAGCTGGGCTCAACCTTGGAGATGCTTCCAAGAAGGGACAAATGCTTGTGCATCCCACCTCATGGCAGTTCCTACTGTCATTAACCAGCAGGCTTTTAATACTGCTCTCAGCGAAGGAGTGAAAACAGGTGTTTGCAGGCCGGATAATCTTAGGTTACACAGCACGGTGCTTAAGGGATTACTTGTGGCTCTCAACCTTATTAAGTCACACATCTAACCCTGTCCCAGTAAGGGCAGGCATTTGCTGGCCCCCCTACCTTAGATTAGAGGGTACATGGCCTGAGGAGGAGATATCTAAAACAGGCCGGGCCTGGCTTCCCAAAGGCTCTGGCCAACCCCTTCCAAGGGGATCCCCTTGTAAGGGACTGCAGCTTAACCCAGAGAGCAGAGGGCCCAGGAAGAGAGAAGAGTAGGGGCCTCATCTGTGCCAGAGACCTCTGTCAAGGATCAAGTTTAATATGTTTGGAAAATGGGGTCAGAAAAGGCTAAGTGTGGTGGCTCATGCCTGTAATCCCAGCACTTTGGGAGGTCGAGATAGGCAGATCACCTGAGGTTGGGAGTTTGAGACCAGCCTGGCCAACATGGTGAAACCCCATCTCTACTAAAAATATGAAAAATTAGCTGGGTGTGGTGACACACACCTGTAATCCCGGCTACTCAGGAGGCTGAGGCTGGAGAATGACTTGAACCGGGAGGTGGAGGTTGCAGTGAGCCGAGATCGCGCCACTGCACTCCAGGCTGGGCGACAGAGTGAGACTCCATCTCAAAAAAAAAAAGAAAAAAGAAAATGGGGCCCATTAGGCCCACCCCTCTGCCCCCTGCCCCCAGGCTAGGGTCTGTTTATGGGGGACATTGCAGGCTCATGGAGATGAGGGGACCACAGGTGTCCTGCCTTGGAGCAGCTGAGGCAGCCTCTGTTCTTCCTTGACTCTCAAGGCCCCTCTCCGAGGAAGAGTACCCCACCTATCTGCTGGATGCAGACAACCCCCCTCTCTCAGGCCACCACTTGCTACTCCCATCTCTCCCTCCCACAAAGAAAAGCCACTTCTTGGAGTACCCCTTCTCCCTCAGGGTACCCACCCTTGTTCCCCAAAAGCTGGGTGGCCTCCAGGGATCAGGAGCAAATATTTTCTCATTAGTTCCCATAGACAGCTAGCCTGTTGTCGAACTCAGAAAGATGTGAAGCTTGGTGCCTTTTATTATAGAGGAGCCCCGTGGATTGAAATATACAACTTTTCCCCCAGCACTTTCATATGCATGGCCATTTAACCTTCTTTACGACTGTCAGAGAGATTTCAGAGCTGAATAAGTGAAAGTCCAGAGATCTTTGCCCTGCCCTAGATACATCACCACTAGGTAGTTAATGGGTGACCGGAACCCAGAACTGCCCAGTCCCTGTCCAGGCTTCCATGCCATGCTGTGCTTAGCAGGGCACAGGGGACCCCTTCCTGCTGGAATCTCAGCTCCTGCCTGCACGTGCCTTCTCTTCAGGCTCAAGCTCCGTACTGGTCCTGGCTCCTGATTTGCAGGAATCCAATTTAATTCTGTGTTCCCAGGGCCTGGCACCCTGCCTGACCCACAGAAAGTGCTGGAAGAGGTCCGCGGTCAGATTGGGGTACCAAAACGAATTCCTGGTCCCTTAGTGGGGGACAGGACAGGGAGCTGACTGTTGCTCAGTTTAATCTCCTTTCATCACCACCTACATACCTGTAAGTCCTGACTCCTTCACCTACATCTCTATCTCTCCACCTTCCACCCCTGCAGAAAAATCTATGGTGGGAATTTGGTTTAATCAGAAGAGACTGAATGTCCTCTGAACAGCAGGATACGTATAATGTATATGACATACATCTGTATGTACATATCTGAGATACAGCCTGCCAGGCAATGCTTAAGCACTTTATATATAAAACAGTATCTTCATCATACTGAATTTTCTTAATCTTACTTGTTTTGGTAAAATGAGTATTACTCATATCTTTTTTTTTTTTTTTTTTTTTGAGACAAGGTCTCACTCTGTCACCCAGGCTGGAGTGCAGTGAACGCGATCTCGGTTCACTGTAATCTCCACCTCCCGGGTTCAAGCGATTCTTCTGCCTCAGCCTCCCGAGTAGCTGGAATTACAGGCGCATGCTAAGTTAATTTTTGTATTTTTAATAGAGACAGGGTTTCACCATGTTGGCTAGGCTGGTCTTGAACTCCTGATCTCAAGGGATCCACCCACCTCAGCCTCTCAAAGTGCTGGGATTACAGGCATGAGCCACCACACCCAGCCTCATATCTCTATTTTTACAGATGAGAAGTCTGGAACCAGAGACATTGAGGCCCTTGTTGAATGTCACACAGCTAATAACTGGCTTGGGCCATGTGACTTCAGAGCCACAGTATCCCCCGGGAGCCTGTTAGAGACGCAGACTTTTAAGCCCCAGCCTGGACCCATTGAATCAGAATCTGCATTTTAACAAAATGGCCAGGTGATTCCTGTGCACATTACAGTCTGAGAAGCGCTGGGCTACACTGCCTCACAAACTGCCCCTCAGCCAGCGACTCTCAGCATTGGCTGCATATTGAAATCACCTGCTTCTTGGTCCCATGCTTCCCTTTCTCTGCAGTTTTGATTTAAATAATCCAGGGTATAGCACCAGCATCATGATTAAAAAAAAAAAAAGTTCTTAGGTAACACACAAAGTTGCAAACCACTGCAACTACCAAATCAAATAATCTTGACCCCCAGGCTTCAGCTCCCAGGCCCTCCCTACTCGCAGGCCCACCCCACTAAGGATCCCCATTGTGGGCTCCCACGTTGGGGGGGGTCTCCTAGGGCCTGGCATTTGCCTTTGGAACAGCAGTAGTTAAGGCTTCTCCTCTGGGAATCCAGCCCTTTCCATGGGCTCCTGTTGTCCTTCAATGATGATGGTGATGACCGTGCCGATGATGAGGATCGTGATGATGATGATGATGGTGATGATGGTGATGGTGATGACCATGCTAATGATGAGGATCGTGATGATGATGATGGTGATGATGATGGTGATGACCGTGCCGATGATGAGGATCGTGATGATGATGATGATGGTGATGATGGTGATGGTGATGACCGTGCCGATGATGAGGGTCGTGATGATGATGATGATGGTGATGATGATGGTGATGACCGTGCCGATGATGAGGATCGTGATGATGATGATGATGGTGATGATGGTGATGGTGATGACCGTGCCGATGATGAGGATCGTGATGATGATGATGATGGTGATGATGATGGTGGTGACTATGCTGATGATGAGGATCGTGATGATGATGATGATGGCAGCAATGGTGGTGATGATGATGATGGTGATGACGACGATGACGACGATGGTGATGATGGTGAGAGTGATGATGACAATGATGATGAGAATGATAGTGGTGATAATGATACTGAGTTGAATGAACTCTAGGTCTGATGTCCTATAACATTTCTGACAGTCTCAAAAGCCGTTTTCCCTGGTAAAGGTGAGAGGGCCACACAGTCCCAAGGGGGATGAAAGTTCCAAATGTTGGAGGTTCACCGTGACCATGACCTTCACACTGCTGTGTGTTTCCACTCCTGCGCCCTGGGCAGGAAGCAAGGTGTGTGCATATGTGTATGCACATTTATATTCAAGCTCTTCCCTGGTTTTCACAACTTAGGGCTGAGCTTCCCCTGAACTTCTGCTAAACAATTTGGAGTAAAAAGGACTGAGGATAATGGCTTCTTACACTGTGACCTTTCTCCCAGGCTAAAAATAACTGCTCCAACAGAAAGTCTCTCAATGAAACAAGCTGTCCCATTGGGCCCCAGAGCTCACTCCCCAGGAAGCAGCTGTGCCACTGGACCCAGTTCTCCTCTTGGAGGCGCAGACAGAGGTGTGGGAGCCTCCGATTACACTCACTTCCATCGCATGACATCTCACTTCAATCCTGGGAAATCAAGGCTGGTGTCTTTCCCACCTCCCTTGCTTCTTGCCGAAGCACCCTATTGGCCCTGGAGCAGGGAGGCCGCAGAGGACCCAGGACACCCTGGAGAGGTGAATCCCCAGTAAGATGAGTCTTGGTCTATCCTGGGACATGAAGTACCGCACTGTATGTGCTGCTGCCAGGGTGGCCCCCCCGACTCCGGCCAGGCCAGGCCCGGGACTGACGTCAGGGCACAGGAATAGCAGGCCCCAACTCTGCCCAGAGACCATGGGAAGGCCCCACCCCACTCACACCCAGTCCAAGCACAACACACAACAATCCTGCTTCTCCCACCAGCCCCTCTGCCACCAGCCTTTCTCGGGGGGCCAGCTTTCCAGCAGGTCCCACCAGCCCCACAGCCTCAGGGCAGGCCCAGGCTCAGTCCCTCTCTCCTCTCTCCATCACCAACCAAATGCCCTGATTTTGTTTCTTCAGCCCTGTCTCTTTCCAAAGCACTTCTACATGGACTCAGAGGACTATGGAGTTGCCAAGGGCCCTCGTGAGTCCAACTGTAAAGGAGGACGCTCTGGCCAGATACCTTCAGAGACTTGCCCAAGATTGGGGCAGGGGTGGGACAGAGTCCAAATATATGAACCTTAGTCTGGAGTTCTTTTTGCCCCCATGGAGTTCACAAACCATGTCCCATGAAGTGCTAGGGTTCCATAGAAGTGACTCATGGGGTGAGGAAAGATCAAACAGCAGAGACAGCCACCCACTTTGTACTTCCTGCTCTCCTTGAATTTGTCTGCCCCAGTGTCCACAGAGAAAGACTGCAGGGAGATTGGCAAGCCCTGCTCCTTTACTCTCCTCGCTTCTTCCTTCAAAATATTAGTATCTGCCTTGAGCCTCCTATCCATTATTTTCTCCAACGTCCCAAGACATCCTGCTTACAGCATCTTTTTTTTTCTTTTTCTTTTTCTTTTTTTTTTTTTTTTTTTTTTTTTTGAGACAGGTCTTGCTGTCGCCCAGGTTGGGGTTCAATGGCACAATGACACCTCACTGCAGCCTCCACCTCCTGGGCTCAAGGGATCCTCCCACCTCAGCTCCCCCAAACAGCTGGAACTCCATGTGTGTGCCACCACATCCAGCTGATTTTTTTCATTTTTGTAGAGATGAGGTCTCGCTATGTTGCCCAGGCTGGTCTCAAACTCCTGGCCTCAAGCGATCCTCCCACCTCAGCCTCCCAAAGTGCTGGGATTACAGGTGTGAACCACGCTTACAGCATATTTTCACTTTGCCAGTCCACACGTGCCAGGCTCTCAGCTGGGTCATCTCCTGCCCTCACGTAGGACTCCATCTTTCCAAGGTAGTTTCCTGTGCTTATTCTTCTCTGATGCTCCTAGCAGCCCTCTGAGGCAGAAAAAGCAAGGGTTGTTAACCTCTCTTGAAATGAGGAAACAAACACACGGAAGTCAAGTCGTTTGCCTCACAAGTCATTCCAGGGATGGGCTGGAACTCAGGCCAAGAGACAGAACAAAGCTCCCTGGGAGCGACCATGACCTGCTGAGCTGTTCAAGCCCAGATACCCAGCTTCTGGGGCTGGGTCAACGTGTACCTGTGTGTTTCACAAGGGGATTCTACAGAACACCAGCATTTCGGACCCTCTGCACTAGCCATCCTCAGTACCAAGGGCCAGGAAGCTCTGTCTTGAAGTTGAAACTAGAGATGGAGAGAATAGAGGTCAGGACCTGTTTTCAGCCCACCTCTGGGTGTTGAATGTATTCAGTGCCTTCGTGCAATCAAATGTAGATTCTATTCCAGCCCGTCCAAGTCTCCTTAGCACATGTTTATAACAAGTACCTGCCAAGGTTATTCTTCCACATGACTTCTCATCCATTTGAACTAGAGCTAGCAAGTCCAAAGTCATGCGTAAGTAAAATACCTCTGACCATTACTCATACACAGTTATGCAAATCAGTCATTAGTAACAGAATCCCCAGCGGGGGCAGGAATCACTCTCCAAATCTCTGCCTGGTTCATCTGTCCCAGAGAGTGAGGAGCACCAGCCATGGCATACATGTGAGCCCCATGTCTTGCCCCCATCCACCCCCCGCCCCACGTTTTGGCTCTCATTGGCTGTATATTAAGTGCAGCAGGGAGCAATTCAGAAAACAGAGTTCATGCCGCAGAGCAGGCAGCCTGCCCCCTTCCTTGTTCTAGATCTTGTCTCTGAACACTCGTGGACCGGGCAAACGTGGGCCAGCAGCCTCTTCTGGTGTCCTGTTTTTCCTTGACTTTATCCTACTGGGTAAACATTCACTGCTCAGGACCCCTTGCTCTTCCACTTTTTTTTTTTTTTTTAGACGAAGTCTCATTCTGTCGCCCAGGGTGGAGTACAGTGGTGCGATCTTGGCTCACTGCAACCTCTGCCTCCTGGGTTCAAGCGATTCTCCTGCCTCAGCCTCCCGAGTAGCTGGGATTACAGGTGCCTGCCACCACTCCTGGCTAATTTTTGTATTTTTAGTAGAGACAGGGTTTCACCATGTTGGCCAGGCTGGTCTCAAACTCTTGACCTCAGGTGATCCACCCGCCTCAGCCTCCCAAAGTGCTGGGATTACAGGCATGAGCCACTGCACCCGGCCTCTTCCACTTCTTAGATGAAGTCTTAGGACAACTTTGCAGAAGGCTGTTGCCCATAAGGACCCGAGAAGAGAAATTCTGGCTGGAGGAAGGCTTGTCTGCATTCTCCCAGGACCCCTGAGGTCCTCTTCTGCCATTCTCTCAGCCTTTCCCTCTTCTCCCAACATGGGCGACCAGAGTGCAGGGGCTGAGGCAGCCATTCTTGGAAGGCTTCTTTGGCTTCCTGGCCATGCTCCTAAAGTCAAGGCTAATCCCACTGGGACAGCTTGTCCCTGGCTGGACTCTAGCCCTTAAAATGATTCATCCAGGGAATCAGATACAATGACAAAAGTATGACAGGGTACAATGACAAAGGTAGCAATCAGAAAGAACCTTGGGATTTGGGGGTCCAGAGAGATCTTCTGATAGACCAACTGGCTTGATTTCACTCATGAACAAAACCCCAAAACCCTGGTAAGTGCTTGTCCCAAGGCCATGGGGCTAGTTAAGGTAGTAGGCAGCAGTCTGCTTCTAGAACTCAGCTCTCTATGGACGCTCTCCCAGCAGTGGGCCAGCCAATAAGAGGGTCTAAGTCTACCCTAGGACAGTGATTTCTTAGCCCACCCTCTTCTACTCTTCAATAACAACTGTTTTAGGCTGGACGCAGTGGCTCTGAGAGCCCATGGCTCACACCTGTAATCCCAGCACTTTGGGAGGCCGAGGTGAGAGGATCCCTAGAGCCCAGGAGTTTGAAACCAGCCTGGGTAACAAAGCAAGACCTCTGTCTTGCTTACTACTTGCTTTGTCTTACTACTGGCCCATCTTTCCAAAAAATTTTAAAATTAGCTTGGCATGGTAGCGTGCGCCTGTGGTCCCAGCTACTGGGGAGGCTGTGGTTGACGGACCTCTTGAGCCTAGGAGTTTGAAGTTGCAATAAGCTTTGATAACACCACTATACTCCAGCCTAGGCAACAGAGGGAGACCCTGTCTCAAAAAAAAAAAGGATTAAGACTTCAGCACAATTGTTTTTAACCCATAGAGTCCTGAGAATTGACAGAATAACTTCACTCCTCACCCCACCTCCAATTCCTGGGAATTCTTGGTTTGGGAGGTAGAAAGAAATTACCAGAAATCCCACAACCATCATATATATACATGCTTGTCACTGATGCCTGGAGGAGTCATCAGTATAAATGACTATTCACTTTTATTTTATTTTATTTTTATTTTATGTATTTATTTATTTTTTGAGACAGCATCTCTGTCACTCAGGCTGGAGTACAGTGGTACAATCTCAGCTCACTGCAACCTCTGCCTCCTAGATTCAAGCGATTCTCCTGCCTCAGCCTCCTGAGTAGCCGGGACCACAAGTGCACGCAACCACACTCGGCTAATTTTTGTATTTTTTGTAGAGATGGGGTTTCACCACGTTTGCCAGGCTGGTCTCAAACTCTGGACCTCAAGTGATCCACCCGCCTCAAGTTCCCAAAGTGCTGGGATTATAGGCATGAGCCACGATGCCCAGCCACTATTCACTTTAAAAAGACAAATACCTCAGAAAGAGCAAAACATTATATCCTAACCCCTCAGTATGAGTCAATCACTAGCAGGGATACTCTATAGAGCACTCAGTTTTTCCAGAGATCAGCCGTGCCTGCAGTGAACAGAAATCCTTGCAGAAGGCCTTGGGCCTGCTGCCTCCCTTCAGAGGGGCCGAGCTGGGGAGGAAAGGGAAAGGAAGGGGAAAGGGATGCAGGCTGGGTTCTGAGACAGACCAAGGCAGGTGGCTGGCTTCCCCCCACATCCCAGTCCGAAGAAATCCAATCTCCCTGGGATCTGTGGGGATGAGGTGCTGGTCTAACTTTTGGGCCCCAGACAGGAAAAGACTTACTGGAAGCCAAGGGAGCGTGGCTCCCGCAGGTCTCAGTCTAACAGCTATCCTGGGTTAAAGTCAGAGCCATCTCCAGCTTGGCAGGTGAAGGGGTCAAGGAATCTGGGCCCACCCCATCCCCAATCCAGGGAAGCTGGAGGGAATCTTCTTGAGAAACGTGGGAGCTTGGGAAATGGGTGTGACACCTTCCCTAGCCTGAGCCAGGCCCACGGCTATGCCTTTTCTTTCTTCCTGGGGCTGAGGCTCCAGCCTCCTAGATAGTGGCTGGTCTCTCTGAATGCACCTGGAAGTCAGGAAAGCTGGGTTCTGCCCCTTACTCTTTTTCTTTTTTTACAGACCCTGTCCCTTAGAGACAGGGTCTTGCTCTGTCACCTGGACTGGAGTGCAGCAGTGTGACGAAAGCTCACTGCAGCCTTCCTACTTGTCACACTTCAGCCTCCAGAGTAGCTGGGACTACAGGCACGCGCCACCATGCCTGGCTAATTGTTTTATTTTTTGTAAAGACAGGGTCTCACTATGTTGCCCAGGCTGGTCTCAAACTTCTGGGCTCAAGCGATCCTCCAGCCTTAGCGTCTCAAAGTGCTGGGATTACAGGCGTGAGCCACTGGCCCCTCCCCTGCTGTCTTACCACTGGCGCCCCCACCCCCCGCTGTCTTACTACCCAGCGAAGTAACCTTGGGTTGCTCCTTACTCCCTCTGCACACAACTTTATTCGCCCATAAAATGTAGATAACAATACCTGCTTTGCCAGCCCCATCAGAGCGTTTTAAACATCAGGTGGTGCTCAGAAGCATTTCAATAAATGTCAGCTATGAGCATCATTCTTTCCTAGAAGAGCAAAGACACCAGGCCAAATCCCAAATTTGCTGAGTGGGCCACAGCAGAGCCAGCTTCGGACAGGAGCCGAGCCAGCTGGCCCTTCACGCTGTTCCTTTAGCCCTCCGGGTCTGGGGGCTCAGTCAGGGGGCCCGGAGCCATCCATCCTTCTGCCAGGGACTCCTCCTCCCTGGCTGCCAGCCAGAGGCAGCTCAGGCGAGGAGCTGCAGGGTGCCTGGGGGTGAGCCCTGCGCTCTTGGTGAAGTTCTGGCTGGTCTGGGAACGGAGCAGGCTGAGCTGTCAACACTCCCAGGGGCCAGGAGCTCGTTCTGCTGATCCCAAAGTTAACCCCTGCAGTCCCTGACTCCAGCCTCAGTCAGCCCTGATTCACCAGCAACATCTGAGGCCACATGTGGCCTCCCCTTTCCCCACCACGTCCCATCCCTTCTGTCCAGTCACTGAAGTGAGGTGACCCCGCACTTCACCCCAACGCAAACGCGCACTCAGGAAGTTTAAACAGACCCATTCTAAGGGCCACGTCTTTCTGAGAATGGGAGGGAAGCCCTTTCCGAAGGCAGAGGACCGGTAAGGGCCCTTCAAAGCTCTCTGAAACAGCAACACGGTCGGAGGGAGGTCATTAGCAGTGCTGTGTGGCTTCCTCATCCTCATGGTAAGTGAGCACTGGGAGTAAGACAATCAGCCCTTCAGAAACCACTCGGGCCTGGAGAACGCAGCCAGGGCTGAGCCACAGAGATGGGGCAGGAGCAGTTCTGGCCTCCAATATACAGCGGCGCTTTGCTCCTCTCGCACAAGTGAAATCACAGCTGATGTCTCCATGGCTTTGAAGAGCCTCACACACAGGCCCGCTGGACCACGTGGGCCCTGCTCCTCCATCACCAGCAGCTCTGTCCCCATTAGCAGAGCAGGTGAGAGGAAATGCCACACCCAGAGTGCCAGACAACAGGGCGCACAGCCCCCAACCTGCTCAGCCGGGGAGGTGTCCTCAGCCATCTCTCCTACAACTGCCAGGAAGACCACAGAAGCCGGCGGTTCCCAAGTCTACGCAGAGTTAGTTAAGGAGGAAGGCCAGGCCTCTGGCAGAGCTAGGGCAGCAAGAATACACAAATGTCCTGCCCATGTGCCCCAGCTCATAGACCTCTCTGGAAAAACTTCTGCCTAGACACCAAAAGGCCAGATTTTTCAACCTTCTTTCCCAGAGGGTGTCACCGAATCCATGACAGATGGGCCCCACCGCCAGGTCCTGGCATTCATGGCCCCAGGTCTCATCTTATTTATCCTTATGGTTATTTTTGCATTCAAGGCTCTAGAATCAGAAAGAAACTTAGAAAGTAACTAGCCCAACTCTTTAGCCCAACTCTTTCTTTTCACAGAGGAGGAAACCAATGCCCAGAGAGGAAAAAGGAGCTTGCCAGAAGTCGCCAGTGCACTGGGACAAAGCTAGAACTAGAGACAAGGTCTCCTGACCCCGCAGCCGTAGTCTTCCCATAGGGGGCCCAGACAAATACAACTTCCCCTTCTCCCAGACGTTTCTAAGCTTTGGATGCTCACATCCTGCCCTGTCCCTGGGAGCTGGGGCCCCTGGATTGCTCATCTGTCCCCCTATTGTTCCTACAAAGGACAGCCCCTTGGTGAGTCTCAGAGGGCTGTGTCGGGGCAGCCACAGTAGTGTCAGGCTGGCGCCCTGAGCACAGCTTTTTTTTTGAGACAGTCTCGCTCTATCACCCAGGCTGGAGTGCAGTAGCGCGATATCGGCTCACTGCAACGTCCACCTCCCAGTTTCAAGCCACTGATTCTCCTGCCTCAGCCTGTTGAGTAGCTGGGACTACAGGTGCATGCCACCATGCCTAGGTAATATTTTTTATATTTTTAGTAGAGATGGGGTTTCACCATGTTGCCCAGGCTGGTCTCAAACTCCTGCACTCAAGTGATCCTCCCGCCTTGGCCTCCCAAAGTGCTGAGGTTACAGGTGTGAGCCACCACGCCTGGCCTGTATGGAGATTTTAGGAAGGACCCAGGGTGAGGGTTAGCTCCCTGCATTCAGCATTAAGTCTGTGGTATTCCTGGCGTCAGCAGAGGCATGCAGGAATGGTTGTCATCACCACCAAGAGACAAAGGACAGTTGGTTCCATGAGGGCTGTGTGAGATCAGCTCTTAGCTATCTGAGTTCAAGGTGGCAGAGGCCAAAAGAAGATGGGACCAGAAGAGCATTCCAGCGTCTGGGTCATTAGAGAAGGGAAGACCCTCCCAGCCCACCTTGCCGCTCCGTGAACAGTACAAACTCTGGATGCCTCCAGAGCAAATCTGACCATTACCCTGAATTTTCACTCCAGAGTACAGGTGTCCAGAACACCCAGCCACCCTAAGGGGAACCATCCTAGAAATCTCACGTCTAGGCCAGGTGTGGAGGCTCATGCCTATAATCCCAGTACTCTGGGAGGCCAGATCACTTGAGGCCAGGAGTTTGAGACCAGCCTGGCCAACATAGCGAAAATCTGTCTCTACTAAAACACACACACACACACACACACACACACACAAATAACCGGGTGTGGTGGCACACAGCTACTCAGGAGGCTGAGGCACGAGAATTGCTTGAACCCGGGAGGTGGAGGCTGCAGTGAGCCGAGATCACGCCATTGCACTCCAGCCTCAGTGACAGGAGACACTGTCCTAGAAAAAAAAAACACACACACATCTCATGTCTTCCCTGGGAGCAGCCTTGCTAGAGCCTCTGATTTACATCCCCAGACCCCTTAACCCCAGACACATGGGGATGCACTTTCCTGGGTGAGCTGCAGGCTCCATCCCGCCCCTCAGGCCGGGCCTCCAAGTTGCCTGGCTCCCTCTCTGGATATCCCACCCCAGGGAGAAATCATCATTCAACCCAACAGCAGCTTTCTCTGGTGAACTTTGTGTCACTGAGAGCCTGGGCTCTCTGCATCTGTCTCATCTAGTCAAACACTGAAATAACTCTGGGTGGCTGAGGCAGGGGGATCGCTTGAGCCCAGGAGTTCAAGACCAGCCTAGGCAACATAGTGGGACCCCGAATATACTTAAAAAAAAATTAGCTGGGCCTCGCGGTATGCTCCTATAGTCCCAGCTACTCAGGAGACTGAGGCAGGTGGATCGCTTGAGCCCAGGAGTTCTAGGCTGCAGTGAGCTATGATTGTGCCACTGCGCTCCAGCCTGGCAACAGAGCGAGATCCTGTCTCAAAAAAAACCCCACAAATACTGAAACCAGATGAGGCCCTCATCGCCTGGGACCATGGGCTATTCCATTATTTTTTTTTTTTCGATACGGAGTCTCACTTTGTCGCTCAGGCTGGAGTGCAGTGGCACTATCTCAGGTCACTGCAACCTCTGCCTCCTGGGTTCAAGTGATTCTCCTGCCTCAGCCTCCTGAGTAGATGGGACTACAGGTGCATGCCACCATGTCCAGCTAATTTTTTGTATTTTTAGTAGAGATGGGTTTCACCATGTTAGCCAGGATGGTCTCGATCTCCTGACCTCGTGATCTGCCTGCCTCAGCCTCCCAAAGTGCTAGGATTACAGACGTGAGCCACTGCACCTGGCCTATTCCGTTCTTTTCTTTTCCCTTGGCAGCCTCATGGCCACACAGCAGGCCAGGCTGCCTACTCCCTAGTTCCCAAAGGACTCCCCTGAAGAGAGGAAGGCTGAAGCCACAGCAGGGCTAGAGCAAGTGTACATTCCACACTCGCTGTCCCCAGGCTGACCCTCCCCGGTCAACACTGAGAGCCACATGGGGCCACCTCCAGCCCATGTCTGAGGAGCTTAGTGGGCCGGCCTGGCCAAAGGGTCCCACTCAGCCCTGGTCAAAAAAGGCCCAGATCCCTGCACTGATGCCTGAATGTGGTTTTGTATTTGTTCTATGGGGCTGCTGTGACAAAGCACTATAAACTTAGTGGTGTAAAACAATGGAAATGTGTTCACTCACAGTCCTAGAGGCCAGACGTCTCAAATCAAGGTGCCAAGAGGGCCACCTCCTCTGAAACCCACAGGAGAGACTCCTTCGTTGCCTCTCTAGCTTCTGGTGTTTGCCAGCAACTCTTGGCTTGTGGCTGCGTCACTCCAGTCTCTGCCTCCACTGACACAAGGCCTTCTCTGTGTGTCTGTGTCTTTTCTCTTCCCATAAGGACACCTTCATATTGGATTTATGGCCAGCCCCACTCCAGCATGACCTCATCTTAACTAACTACATCTGCAACCACCCTACTTCCAAATAAGGTCACATTCTGAGGTTCTGGGGTTAGGACTTCAACACATCCTTTTGGGGGATGCAATCCAACCCATAACAGGTCCCCCAATAGCCCACACCACCACCTGCCTAACCCACTGCCACTCCCTTCCCCCAGCCTGGCCCCTCGCTAATCCCAGCTCACATTTCAGATCTCAGCTTTGAGTCCCATCCCTTGGGAGTCGTCCCCGACCCCTCCTCTGGTCTGTGTCCCTGCAGCACCTGTCACCTATGTGACATCACCCTATGTGACGGCTTTTTTTAAAAACAGGGTCTCACTCTTGTAACCCAGGATAGAGTGCAGTGGCACGATCTCAGCTCACTGCAACCTCCACCTCCTGGGTTCAAGTGATTCTCCTGCCTCAGCCTCCTGAGTAGCTTGGAATACAGGTGTGCACCACCATGCTCAGCTAATATTTGTATTTTTGGTAGATACGGGGTTTTGCCATGTTGCCCAGGCTGGTCTTGAACTCCTGACTCAGGTGATCCACCCGCCTCGGCCTCCCAAAGTGCTTAGATTACAGGCATGAGCCACTGCACCCGGCTTTTTTGTTTTTTTCTTTTAACCTGTGTCCCTCCATAGATGAGCAGCTGCTAGAGGCTGGTGCCTGTGACTTGTCCCCACTGGAGGCTGCAGATATCCCCTCACCATAAGTAACCTGCTGGCTGCATTGAGAGCACCTGACAGTAAGGAGCCTTGCTCCTGGCCAGCACTTCTCAAGGTGTGGCTCGAGGGCTATCTGCAAAAGGACCACAGAGGAGCTTGATTAAAAGTACAATTCCTGGCGAGATGCGGTGGCTCACGCCTAGAATCCCAGCACTTTGGGAAGCTGAGGCAGATGGATCACCTGAGGTCAGGAGTTTGAGACCAGCCTGGCCAACATGGTGAAGCCCCGTCTCTACTAAAAACACAAAAATTAGGCTGAGTGCGGTGGCTCATGCCTGTAATCCCAGCACTTTGGGAGGCTGAGGCGGGAAGATCACTTGAGGTCAAGAGTTCCAGACTAGCCTGGCCAGCATGGTAAAACCCCATCTCTACTAAAAATACAAAAAAATTAGCCGGGCATGGTGACGGGCGCCTGTAGTCCCAGCTACTCGGGAGGCTGAGGCAGGAGAATGGCATGAACCTAGGAGGTGGAGTTTGCAGTGAGCAGAGATCATGCCACTGCACTCCAGCCTGGGCAAAAGAGCAAAACTCTGTCTCAAAAAAAAAAAAAAAAAAGCAAAAAAGCAATTCCTAACGTTTGGGGCTCGATGATTGAAAAAAAAGAAAGAAAAAGAAAAGTACCATTCCTAGGCCTATTCTCAGGCCTCCAGAACAAAGGAGTGGGCAGGAGGCCTCAGGAATCCACCTTTTTTTTATTTTAAGATACAGAATCTTGCTCTGTCACTCCAGCTGGAGTGCAGTGGTGCAATCATGGCTCACTGCAGCCTCAAACTCCAGGGCTCAAACGATCCTCCCACCTCAGCCTCCCGAGTAGTGGGACTACAGGTGCATGCCATCATATCTGGCTAGGTTTTTAAATTTTTTTTTTTTTTGTAGAGACAGGGTCTTACTCTGTTATCCAGGCTGGTGTCAAACTCCTGGGCTCAAGTGATCCTCCCACCTGGGCCTCCCATAGGGCTGAGATTACAGAAAGATGAGCCACCACATCCGGCAAGGAATCTGCCTTTTAAACAAGCTCCCAGAAGATTCTCACACACACTAACATCCGAGAACCACCATCCTTGGACCTTGATTATGGGAGCCAATCTAAGCCCATCTTCCCAGAGACCTACGGGTTGCAAAGGGTGGAGGAACCTGCTTGTGTGAGGCTGCACCAGTCCTGCCCCTGGGACCCCCTTCCTAGCTACGATCCACTTCCAGGGCCACAGGCGGCCAACAAAAGCTGATGTCCATCAGCCCTAGGCCCATCATGGGTGGGGGCATAGCTGGCCCTGCTCCCTGCCCGATAATATTCCTGGGAGGAGAAAGAAGAGAGAGGAGCAGCTGGTGGTCGGGGGCCCTCACAGCAACTACCATGGATGGAACTCTAGTAGCCAGAGCTGCCCAGGGAGCACAGTGATGGAACAGCCCTGGGACCCCGGGCATCTGGAGGAGGGAGAGGAGAGGAGGAGGGAGAGAGAGAGGAGTAGAAAGATCAGTGTTAGGAGCCCAAGTGTTCTCCCCTAATCAGCAGTGGGACCTCAAGCAAGTATTTAAACATTTCTGGGCATGTTTCATTAGTAATAAAACAGAAGAGAAAAACACCAACCCTGCCCACCCCTCAGACTTGCAGTGCCTTCACCCCACTACTATTGATGGAGTGCCTATATACTGTCACACAGTGGGAGGAATTCTGAAAGCTGGAGAGTACTAGAACGTACAAGATATTTCTAATTATAAGATAAAGTGAGGCCAGGCACGGTGGTTCATGCCTGTAATCCCAGCACTTTGGGAGGCCGAGACGGGAGGATTGCTTGAGCTCAGCAGTTCGAGACCAACCTGGGCAACAGGGTGAAACCTCAGCTCTATAAAAATTTTTAAAAATTAAAAAAATTAGTGTGATGGCTCACACCTGTGGTCCTACCTACTCAGGAGGCTGAGGCGGGAGGATGGCTTGAGCCCAGGAGACGGAGTTTGCAGTGAGCGGAGATTGCGCCACTGCACTCACTGCACTCTCGCCTGGGCAACAGAGCAAGACCCTATCTCGAGAAAAAAAAAAAGAAAAAAAAAGGATAAAGTGTCCCCAGAATGTATATCCACACAAAAAACTGTACACTGATGTTTATGAGCAGTGTGATTCACAATAGCCAAAAGGTGGAAACAGCCCGACTGTCCATCAGTAGATCAATGGATAAACAGAACATGGTCTATCCACACAATGCAATATTTCCCAGCCATGGAAAGGGGTGGAGCGCTTCCACCTGCTACAACACGGCTGAACCTGGAAGACACGGTGGTAAGTGAAAGAAGCTGGACACAAGAGACCACATCTTGTGTGATTCCATTTATACGAAAGTCCAGAATAAGCAAATCCATAGACACAGAAAGCAGATTAGTGGTTGCTGGGGGAGCAGGGAGGAATGGATGGTGGAGGAGAACTGGGGAGTGTGTGCTAAAGGGCCCAGAGCTTCTTTTTGAGGTGATAAAAAATGTTCTAAAATTGACTGTGTTGATGGCTGCATATATCTGTGAATATACTAAAAACTACTGAATTGTATGCTTTAAATGAGAAAATTAAATGACATATGAATTATATCTCAATAAACCTGTTTTCAAAAATAATAAAGAGCCGGGTGTGGTGGCTCACCCCTGTAATCCCAGCACTCGGTGAGGCTGAGGTGAGAGGATCTCTTGAGGCCAGGAGTTCAAGATCAGCCTGGGAAACATAGGGAGACCTCATCTCTACCAAAAATACAAAAAATGAGCTGGGTGTGGTGGTGTGCACCTATAGTGCCAGCTACTCAGGAGGCTGAGGTGGGAGGATCGCCTGAGCCCGGGAGTTTGAGGCTTCAGTGAGCCCTGATTGTACCAGTGCACTCCAGCCGGGGTGACAGAGTGAGACCCTGTCTCTAAAGTGGCTGATTCTTTTCTTTCTCCAAAACCTTAATTAAGTTGTTTACCTTTAAAATATACCCTCAATCCAACCATTTCTTAACACCCCTGCCCCCACCGGCTCCCTGGCCCAGCCACTGTCATCTCCCACCTGGATTGTTGATGTCACCCTTTCCCGAGCTGCCTGCTTCTGTCCCCCATCCCCTGTGTGTTTCCCACACAGCAGCAGAGCAACAGGAGACCCCCACTCCACACACTCCCTCCGGTGGCTCCCACCTCATGCAAAGAAGAGGCCAACATCCTACGGTGACCTGGAGGCCCACACCCTCTAGCCCTGCTTCACCTGTAACCCCATCTCTCCCATGTGCCCCCTCGTCCACTGTGTCCAGCCACTCTGGATTTGCTCTTCAGGGCCCCTCCTGCCCTCTGTGCTTGCTTTGCTTTTTGCTGAGAATGTTCATGCTTCCCAGACAACCGTCTGTCTGACTCACTCCTTCCTCTTCTAAGTCTGCTCCAATGTCACCAGCTCCATAAGGCCTTCCCTGGCCACCTACTGAATTATTGAATATTGTCTCCCAGTCAGTCTTCCCCATCTTCCATCCCTGGTTTTTCTCCATCGCATCTACCACCTTCTAATAATCTACATAACTTACTCAGTTTCCTGTCTGTCAGGGATTGTGTAGCCCCTGCACCTAGGGCAGCCATTGGATGGATGGGTGGATGAACGAATGGACAGCTGGATGGATGAATGAATGGAAGGATGGATGGATGAACAGACGAATGGATGGATGGGTAGATGGATGAATGGAAGGATGGATGGATGAACAGATGAATGGATGGATGGGATGGATGGATGAATGGATGGATGGGTGGATGGATGAATGGAAGGATGGAAGGAAGGATAGACGGATGAATGGGTAGGTGGGTGGGTGAGTGGAAGGATGGATGGATGGATAAATGGAGGGACAGATGGATGGACACATAGATGGAAAGATGGATGGATGGGCAGATGAATGGGTGAATGGACAGATGGATGGATAAATACATGAATAGATAAATAAATGGGTAGATGGATGGAAGGAAGGAAGGGTGAATGGAAGGATGATGGATGGTTGAATGTGTGGATGAAGGAATGGAAGGATGAATGGAAGGAAATATGGATGAACAGATGGATGGAAGGATGGAAGAATGGGTGGATGGATGAATGATAGATGAATGGGTGGATGGATGGCTGAATGGATGGATGGATGGAAGAATGGACGGATGGATGGATGGATGGAGGGGTAGATGGATGAATGGAAGGATGGATAGGAAGAAGATGAATGGAAGGATGGATGAATGGATGAATGGATGGATGGAAGGATGAATGGATGGGTGGATGGATGAGTAGATGCATGGACGGGTGGATGAATAGGTGTGTGGGTGGATGAGTGGGTGGATGGATGGATGAATAGATGGAAGAATGGACTGATGGATGGATGGATGAATGGATGGATGGATGGATGGATGATGGATGGATGAACAGATGGATGGATGGATAAATGGGTGGATTGATGAATGGAAGGATGGATGAAAGCAAGGATGGATGGTGGATGAATGGAAGGGTGGATAGATGAATGGACAGACGGACAGATAGATGGGTGGATGGGTGGATGAGTGGATGGGTGGGTGGATGGATGGATGAAGGGATGGGTGGATGGATGGATGGGTAGGTGGACAGATAAATGGATGGATGACGGATGGATGGGTGGATGCATGGATAGATGGGTGGATGGACAGACAGATGGGTGAATGGCTGGGTGGAAGGATGGGTGGATGGATAGATGAATGGAGAGATTGATGGATGGGTAGACTGATGGATGGAAGGATGGATGTGTGGGTGCGTGGATAAGTGAATGGATGATGGGTGGATGAATGGATAGATGAGTGGATGGGATGAATGGGTGGGTAGATGAGTAGATGGATGATGGGTAGATGATGGATGGGTGGATGGATGGATTGGTGGACAGATGGGTGAATGGAAGGATGGATGAATGGATGGATCGATGGTGGTGGTGGCAAAATGGAAGACCTTCCGTCAACCCCACTTGCGTTCCAAGAGACAGGAGAGGACCCAGATTCAGAACCAGGGAAGTGCTTGCCTAAGAGTAGGCTGTGTCCTCAGGCCATGTCACCTAACCTGTCCAGGCCCGCTTCTCATTATTAAAAGGCCCCAGAGGAGCTGCTTTCCACACCTTTCATCATGTGACAGCTACATGAACTGAACTGCTGAGTTGCAGGGCCTCCTCTTAAAGACCTTAAGATCTTATTGGAGGGAAAGGCAAGCAGGCAGAAAGATGGAACTAACTTCAGGGCAGCTCCTGAGCAGGAATGTGAACCCAAAGGGCTGAGCGAAGGAGCCCATGAGGAAGTGAAGTCATTTGGGGTGGGACACTGCAGGAGCCCAGCCAGGTGTGTGGGGACAGTGGCTGTGGTTAGGACAGTGGGACACAGCCAAAGGAGAGCCTGGGATGCTGGTCTAAGGAGGGCAGCCTGGGATTCCTGGACCGGGCCTCCCTGACCATTGGTGGCCACTTCTGAAAAGGCCTGAAGGCCGGGAGCAGTGGCTCACGCCTGTAATCCCAGCACTTTGGAAGACTGAGGCAGGTGGATCACGAGGTCAGGAGTTCAAGATCAGCCTGGCCAAGATGGTGAAACCCCCTCTCTACTAAAAATACAAAAATTAGCTGGATATGGCGGCGCATGCCTGTAATCCCAGCTACTCGGGAGGCTGAGGCAGAGAACTGCTTGAACCCGGGAGGTGGAGGTTGCAGTGAGCCGAGATTGCACCACTGCACTCCAACCCGGGCGACAGAGCGAGACTCCACCTTGAAACAAACAAACAAAAAGGCTGGACGCAGTGGCTCACACCTACAATCCCAGCACTTTGGGAGGCCGAGGCGGGCGGATCACTAGGTCAGGAGATCGAGACCATCCTGGCTAACACGGTGAAACCCCGTCTCTACTAAAAATACAAAAAATTAGTCAGGCGTGGTGGCGGGCACCTGTAGTCCCAGCTACTCGGGAGGTTGAGGCAGGAGAATGGAGTGAACCCAGGAGGCGGAGCTTGCAGTGAGCCAAGATCATGCCACTGCACTCCAGCCTGGGTGACAGAGCAAGACTCCGTCTCAAAAAAAAAAGAAAAAAAGAAAGAAAAAGTGAAAAAGAAAAGGCCTGAAGACCCCGGGGCTGGGGAAAGGTGGGGACCAGTCTCCTCACTCTTGTTCCCCTCCAGAACTGGACTGAGCCACAGCCACAAGCTTCAAGGGCTGCCCAAACACCCCAGACTCTGGGTTTGGGACCCCTACCACCCACAGCGAGAAGACACAGCCTTCTAGTGGGGGACCCCTCCTTCTAGAGAGGGAGAGGTCATGAGAAAGTGAACTTCTCAGCAACATTCAAGAAGGTTCCACACACACACTTATGTGTTCACTGCAGCGTTACTCACAACAGCAAAGACACAGAATCAACCCAGATGCCCACCAACGGTGGCCTGAATCAAGAAGATGTGGTACATCTACACCATGGAATACCAACCAGCCATTAAAAAAAATCATGGCTGGGCGCAGTGGCTCGCAACTGTAATCCCAGCACTTTGGGAAGCCGAGGCGGGTGGATCACAAGGACAGGAGATCGAGACCATCCTGGCTAACACAGTGAAACCCCATCTCTACTGAAAATACAAAAAAATTAGCCAAGCGTGGTGGTGGGGACCTGTAGTCCCAGCTACTTGGGAGGCTGAGGCAGGAGAATGGCGTGAACATGAACCCAGGAGGCGGAGCTTGCAGTGAGCCAAGATCACGCCACTGCACTCCAGCCTGGGCGACAGAGCAAGACACCGTCTCAAAAAAAAACAAAAAACATGTTGTTTGCAGAAACATGGATGCAGCTGGAGGTCATTATCCCAAGCGAATTAAGGCAGAAACAAAAAACCAGAGACTGCATATTCTCACTTATAAGTGGGAGCTAAGCATTGGAGACACATGGACATAAAGAGGGGAACAATAGACACTGTGGACTACTAGATGGGGGAGTGAGAAAGAGGACAAGTGTTGACAAACTACCTATTGGGTACTATGTTCACTATC
Source organism: Homo sapiens (assembly GCF_000001405.40). Taxonomy (NCBI): domain Eukaryota; kingdom Metazoa; phylum Chordata; class Mammalia; order Primates; family Hominidae; genus Homo; species Homo sapiens. Next base: position 4,229,693 of record NC_000016.10, read on the forward strand.
TGGCTGATAAGATCAACAAAAGCCCAAACCTCAGCATCATGCACTACATCCATGTAAAAAACCTGCACACGTCCCCCCTGAATCTAAAATAAAGTTCACTCAGAAGTTCTTCCTCTGAGGAGCTTCTGCAGATGAGGAGGTGCTTCCACATCCTGCACCATCTCCTGCTTGGCTGCTGTGCCCAAGGCCAAGACTTTGAGGGGACTGCGTGCTGGGGCCTCGTGCAGAAGAAGAGCTGGGCCTCAGGTCACAGAGTAAGCTGGTCCTGGGCTTCCAGCTTCTTGCTCCCTTACTCTTTTCATCACACAGGCAGCCAGGACCCAGACCTCCATCCCTTTCCCCTCTCTACCTCACCCTGCGTCAGAGACACACCCCCTAGGAACTGGGCAATTCTGGTCAATTCTCCCCACCCGGGCAGCCACCCTCCTACCTACCACCACTACTAGGCCGGGCTACCTCCTGAGATTCTCTGCCTGAGCCAGTCCTCCATCTGTTCATTCAACACACTTGCCCGGGTGTGTCTGCAGAGCTCCAGATCAGCCAGGGGGGGCAACCCATGAGCTGTGGAACAAAGTGGACCAAGGAAACAGGTACCCCCTCCACCCAGTGGAAGACCATCCCCTAGGAGAAAGCCCCCCAAAATTAGTGTATCTCTAAAATTCATATCCACCTAGAACCTCAGAATGTGATTTTTTTTTTTTTTTTTGAGACAGAGTCTTGCCCTGTCGCCCAGGCTGGAGTATGGTGGTGCGATCTCGGCTCACTGCAACCTCCACCTCCCGGGTTCAAGCGATTCTCCTGCCTCAGCCCCCCAAGTAGCTGGGATTACAGGCGGGCACCACTATGACTGGCTAATTTTTTTTTTTTTGTATCTTTAGTAGAGACGGGGTTTCACCATGTTGGCCAGGCTGGTCTTGAACTCCCGACCTCGTGATCCGCACCCCCTTGGCCTCCCAAAGTGCTGGGATTACAGGTGTGAGCCACCACACCCAGGAAGAATGTGACCTTCTATGGAAACAGGGTCTTTGCAAATGTAATTAGTTAAGATGAGATCATACTGGATTAGGTGGGCCCTAAACCCAACATCTTCAATGTCCTTAGGTGATGAGGAGAGGACACAGGGACACACAGACAAGGGAGAAGGCCACATGATGACAGAGGCAGAGAGTGCAGTGATGAAGCTACCACTCAAAGAATGCCAGGAATTGCTGGCAACCACTGGATGCTGGAAGAGGCAAGGAAGGATCCCCCTTAGACCTTTCAAAGGGAATGTGGCCCTGCCAACACCTTGATTTCAGACTTTTGGGCTCCAGAATTGTCAGAGAATAAATTTCTGTGGTTTTGGCCAGGCACTGTGGCTCACACCTGTAATCCCAGCACTTTGGGAGGCCAAGGTAGGATCACTTGAGCCCAGAAGCTCAAGACCAGCCCAGGCAACATGGCGAGAGCCCTGTCTCTACAAAAAATACAAAAATTAGCTGAGCATGGTGGTGCATGCCTATAGTCTCAGCTACTTGGGAGGCTGTGGTGGGAGGATCACTTGAGCCCGGGAGGCAGAGATTGCAGTGAGCAGAGATTGCACCACTGCACTCCAGCCTGGGCAACAGAGTGAGACCCTGTCTCAAAAAAAACAATTGCTGTGGCTTTAAGCTACTGACTTTGTGGCAAGTTGTTACCGTGGTCCCAGGAAGATCAAATAGGAACCAACACCTAAGCCTGGCGCTGTGAGAGCTTCCTGACACCATTTAACACTGAGCCAATCGTTTTCACCATCCCCATGGCCGCAGACCCTGTCGTCACCATCCTGGGGCCCACATGCTCTGAAACCCAGCTCGAGCCCCCCTTCCAGGAAGCATGCCCCGACAACCGCTCCCCCTTTCTCTGCACTCTCAGGCTGCTTATTTTTAGCTGCTGATTACGTCTACCTTATATGGTTCTCTATTCATGTCATGAGCAGGGGCTGTCTCCCCTCCTAGTCTGTAAGCTCTTTGAGGACAGAGAATCCCAAGGATATTAACAGTCCTGAGCAGGGGAGGCGTGTTGATGGATTCCCCTGGTTGGTCAAGTTTCATGATATTTCAGGAAACTGGAGGCAAATATCAAGTTGCCGCATACTCACAAGAGTGATAACCTGTCATTCTTGTCATAGTCCTTTTAAGCTTAGAAAGTATCTATTATCAAAAAATATTTTAAGCATCCGATAGCCATTTTCTTATTATAGTCACGAAACAGCCCCATGCTGGAAATAGAGCAAGTATCATTATCCCCATTTTATGGGTGAAGAAACAAACGCAGAGATAGTCAGGGACTTGGCGGCTGATTTGTGACAAAACCAGCATTTGCTCTGCCCCCGGGTTCCGGTGCTCCCGCTGGGCCCCACCCCAGGCCAGCCGCTCTGCCTCTGTGTAGACAGCGCCAAGCAAGGAGGGACTTGGTGGAGTGCTCACCAGCTTAACTACCAATTCGGAAAGGAAACAAAGGCAGGAAAGGAGGTGGGCTGGTGTCTTGGGAGCCCGAGGCCAGGATGGTCTCCCCAGGACAGGGTGAGTACTTGACACTTCTCCAGTTCTTTTCCAGATTCTTCCCAAGTCCTAGAGAGCACTCCCGGTCTCTTGATCTCCTTGGGTAAGTGCAAGAAAAATAAGTAATCATCTACTACTTGACACTAAGTAATCAACAAATTGGCTAGAGGCCTCTCTGGTGGACACAGGGACACAGGTGGTCACATCAGGCCCTAAATGCTGTGTAAGTTGGAGGCCCATCAGTGGCATGGCTTCCAAAGGAATGGCTTGGTCAAGCCTTTACCTATTGCCATCTAGACGAATTTTTTTTTTTTTCAACAGAGTCTTGCTCTGGCACCCAGACTGGAGTGCACTGGCACAATTACAGTTCACCGCAGCCATGACCTCCCGGGCTCAAGAGATCCACCTGCTCCAGCCTCCCAAGCAGCTGGGACCACACGCATAGGCCATTATGCCTGGCTAATTGTTGTATTTTTTTGTAGAGATGGGGTTTCTCCATGTTGCCCAAGGTACTCTTGAACTCCTGCGGTCAAGGGATCTACCCGCTTCAACCTCCCAAAGTGCTGGGATTGCAGGCAAGAGCCACCGTGCCCAGCCTAGGGGAAATTCTATGGGAGAAAACTGAGCTGGCCTAGGTCCTAGCCAAATGACTACCTGAAGGAGGACCGGGGGCTGCAGTTTTGGCAGCAATCCAGTGGTGGGGGGAGGCGGGGGCTCCCAAACCCCGGGACTCTCCCCTGAGCTCCCAGCACAAGCCACTTCCTACAAGCCCAGAACTCCAGGCCAGACTTTGTCTGCACCTGTTTGAGCTCAGAGTACAGTCCCTGCTCTAGAAGCATCCAAAAATATCTGAGAGAGCGGGGAATAGGGAGGGGCTATCTGGAAGAAAACAGGCTAGAGTCTTCAGAGGGCTGAGAGAAAGAGCCACTTGGCTCAGCATTCAAGGTTCTTCCCAACTGGCCCCAACTCATCAGGGTGGCCTAATCTCCCCCGAACACGAGCCCCACACTCTAGCCAGAGCTAGTCTCATCCTGTCCCTGGCAGTGCCGTGCTCTGAGCTTCCTCACCTCCTGGCTTTTGTCACCATCTTCAGGTGTCTCTGCCTGCACAAATCATCTGTCATTCATTAGACCTTGTTGACTGCCTTGAATGAGCCAAGCGTCATGCTACACTGTTCGTGATGAAATACGGGCAAATTAAACAAAGGCACAGCTTCCACCCTCCCCAAGCTGACCGTCCAGCAATTGTCCCCTCCCTGCACGTTGGGCTGAAACCCTGTCCCTCTGCACAGCCAACCTTCCCAACCATCTTCTGAACTTCAACCAGAGTGAGCATAGACTGCTGGTGGGGGGGTGTTAGTTACATTTTTTTTTCAGTGCGTGTCATCTCCCCAAATAGAAGGTCAGCTCCTGAGGGCAGAGACACAACTCATTCCCGCCTGCACAGTGCAGCTGGCCAGGACCTCACAGGGCTGACAAGGGGCTGAGAGATGGGCCTCACAGGGAGGGACCCACAGCTGCCTTACACCTCTCCCTGCTCTCATCAAATGCCCCACTCTCTCTGCTCCCTGCAGTCTCTGAGGCATCTGAGTCTGAGATTGTGCCATACCCTCATGCTTCTATTTGATCCTTTTGTGCCTTCATCCCTAACCCGAGTCCATCCTGCTTTTCCAGCCTAAAGGGGGACTCCCTTTAGGGAGCATCTCTCATTTCTTCAGGATTTGGCACCCAATCTCTCCTCTCCTGCCAGGGCTGGCCATGGCCTGCATTCATTCTGTGTTCTCTCTCTCTTTTTTTTAAATATGGGGTCTCGCTCTGTTGCCCAGGCTAGAGTATAGTGGTACAATCTTGGCTCACTGCAACTTCGACCTCCTAGGCTCAAGCCATCCTTCCACCTCAGCCCCCTGAGTAGCTGAGACCACAGTGTACCCACTACATCCAGCTATTTTTAAAGTTTTTTTGTAGAGACAAGATCTCACTGTGTTGCCCAGGCTGGTCTGGAACTCCTGGGCTCAAGCAATCCTGCCGCCTTAGCCTCCCAAAGTGCCGGGATTACAGGTGTGAGCCACTGTGCCTAGCCTATTAATTAAATTTAATAAATTATTGCTTTAATTCTGATTTAATTTGGTGCTTTCATTCTGATTCTGCCACCTTCCCTGAGATGGGGTGGCTCAGCAATTGCTGCTCTGGGAGTCCCTCTGTGACAGACAATGAGGAAGTCACAGGCAACAGGCATGTCCCCAAGGTAGGGGGGCAGCTGGGACCTTGACTCCGAGTAAAACCACCTTCAGGGCTGCAGAGGGATGAGGGAGGCTGAAAATAGATGGAACAGGACTTCTCTGATATTAGAGAAGGATGACAGCACAGGCTGCCGCCATCGAGGAAATGAATCAGTCTCTAGAAACTCAGTTAAATCCGTCCCATTTGCTAAACTGCACCCACCCCTGTCACGTCCTACTGAGGATACCCAGCTAGGGATGAGCACAGGGGACTGGGACCTCTCGAGCACTGGGCAGATCATGCTTAGCAGCCGTGCTCGCCATGGCTCCAATTCATTCATTCATTATTTCACCCATTCAGGACCCAGAAGAGAAACCCCTGCTATGTAGCTCAGTCCCTCTGCGCTCAGAACCGGTGAACTATTTACCACCTCCGTGTTGAGATTTAGGAACTTTGGGTGAGACCTTGCCTGCCAAATGGGAAATTCCATCTTAGAGATATCTTCCTTGAGCTGAAATCTTCTGAATCCTCTGAAACACAGACAGACTTGAGCAAAGTGCCCATCTGTGCTGCGAGTCACCAGCCTCCACTGCAATGAGCTGCAGCTCCCCCCATGACCAGTGTCTTGGTAGCAGGGACAGGGGTCGGAGCAGGGGCCCAGCCTGAGTAGGGAAGGGAGACCCAAGAGGGAATGAAGGAGCCAAATAGGGCGGAGGCAGACTCTGAAGATCAACTTTTAGCTCTAAGAAGACAGGTGAGGCCAGGGGCGAGGTCCCTGAGAAGACAGGACTCCCAGAGCAAACTCGGGAGAGAACAGAAGCCAGCCCACCACCTTGAGCCAAAGTGAGTCCTCATGCCAAAGTGAGTCCCACCAATGGGACACGAGAGGGCACAGGCCTCACAGCCAGGAACACATCATGAAGGGGACCTGAGGCTGGACTCCCATCCCCAGTCCACAAAGAAGAATGAAAACCAAAGTCAGCTGCGTGCAGTGGCTCACACTTGTAGCCCCATCACTTTGGGAGACCAAGGCAGGAGAATCACTTGAGCCCAGGAGTTTGAGACCAGCCTGAGCAACATAGTGACATAGTGAGACCATGTATCTACAAAAAATAAAATTAGCTGGGTGTGGTGACACATGCCTGTAGTCCCAGCTACTCTGAAGGCTGAAATGGGAAGATCACTTGAACCCAGGAAGTTGAGGCTGCAGTGAGCTATGATTGCACCACTGCACTCCAGTCTGGGAGACTAAGTGAGACCTTATCTCAAAAAAATAAATAAAAATTAAAAAAAGAGAGAGGACTACAGTCATCATCTGAGTAACTCAGGCCACATATCCACCGCGCCAATTTCCACTTAAAAAAGCTAGCCCTGGGCCGGGCACGGTGGCTCACGCCTGTAATCCCAGCACTTGGGAGGCCGAGGTGAGCGGATCTCGAGGTCAGGAGATCGAAACCAGCCTGACCAACATGGAGAAACTCCGCCTCTACTAAAAATGCAAAATTAGCCGGGCATAGTGTAGTCCTGGCTACTCGGGAGGCTGAGGTGGGAGGATTGCTTGAGCCCAGGAGGTGGAGACTGCAGTGAGCCTTGATCAACCACTGCACTCCAGCCTGCGCAACAGAGTGAGTCCCTGTCTAAAAAAATAAATAAAAAGAAAACGTAAAGAAAAATATTTTCTCTACCTCAGTAAACCCATCTGCTTTTAAGTTACTGTTGCTGGCCTTTATTTATCCCAAACTTAATTTTTAAAGGTTTCTATGTCTAAAGATGTTGCCTCCTCATCCTCACTAAATACCCTCAAACCCTCCTCATTGGTCAGTGACCTCCTGGTTGTCAGAAGGAACAGCTCCTCTCCCTCAGCATCTCTGTGATATTTAATCCTGCTGGCCACTCGCCCTTCTTCTAGAAGACCTGGGCTTGCAGGTCACTGTCTCTTCTTGGGTCCCTTCCTATCTTTCTGAAATTCATTTATCTTCTTCCTCTTCCTACTCCTCAAACTTAGCGTTGATCAAGGACTGGTCCTTGAATCTTTGTCTCTCCCTGGTACAGCTCCATGGGTGACCTCAGAGCCTCCCTCTCATCTTTACGTAAATGAATCTCACTCCTAAATGCCCTGACCTGACTTCCCTCCTAAGCTCCAGTCCTGCCTAACCCCTGCCACCTCCTTCCAGATGCCCCACGAGTAACCAATCTTCATAATGACCCAAACTGAACTTTTTTTTTTTGAGACAGAGTCTTGCTCTGGTGCCCAGACTGGAGTGCAGTGGCATGATCTCAGCTCACTGCAACCTCTGCCTCCCGGGTACAAGCAATTCTCCTGCCTCAGCCTCCCGAGTAGCTGGGATTACAGGCGCATGCCACTACGCCCGGCTAATTTTTTGTATTTTTAGTAGAGATGGGGTTTCACCCTATTAGTCAGGCTGGTCTCGAACTCCTGACCTCGTGATCTGCCCTCAGCCTCCCAAAGTGCTGGAATTACAGGTGTAAGCCACTGCACCCAGCCGTGAACTTTTTTTTTTTTTTGAGACAAGGTCTCACTCAGTTGCCGAGGTTGGGGTACAATAGTGCCATCACAGCTCACTGCAGCCTCAGCCTACCAAGCTCAAGCGATCCTCCTGCCTCAACCTCCCAAGTAGCTGGGACTACAGGTACCCGCCATCATGCCCAGTTCATTTTTTCTATTTTTTGTTTTATTTTCTATGTTGTCCAGGCTGGTCTCAAACTCCTAGGCTCAGGCCATCCTCCTGCCTCTGCCTCCGCCTCCCAAAGTGCTGGGATTACAGGTGTGAGCCACTTCATCCAAGCCCAAACTGGACTCAAAATCTGTTCCTCTCTCTTATGTTCCCAGTCTATTTTTCTGGCAAGATCATTCTCCCAGTGACCTCAATGGAACCTGTAAGGGCCCCCTCCCCTGGCCTGGCTCCCAAGCTGGGAAGGCCAGGGATTCTACACCAGCTGTCAGCTGGGTCCACCCCTTCTCTCCACTCCCAACCCCTCGCCCAGGTCCACACTCCCTCACCTACCTCTCTGGCATGGCTGACTAATCAGTCTCCCCCTCCCTACTCTTCCTACAAACAACTGCCAGACGGATCTTCCCTGAGCCCTTGGTAGTGACCCGCTGCCCACAGAGCAAAGCCCTGCTTAGCCTAACAAGGCCCTTCACACTTCAGCCCCACCCCTGCCTTCCGAACACGTCCCGCCACCCCACTTCCATCTGCCCGCCTTCATGCAAGACAGAACAATGCTCCCCTTCCCTGGGTCTCACCAGAGCCCCGTTGCTCTGGCACCGTGAGTTTGCTCATCTTGTTCCCTCAACTCAGAATTCCCTTCCTGCCATCTTTCTGTTCTGAATCCTGCTTTCTTCAAGGCCCAGCTCAAATATTCCCTCATCCGTAAAACCTTTTCTGATCCGATCCACTCAGCTCAGGATGGTCTCCTCCCTGCCTTCAGCCCCACCTTGCTTTTCCTGTGCCTCCCCAGTGACACTGATGTGTGTCCCATTTGACTAGATTCAGCTACGTGCAAGGGAGAAGACGCCTCCTCTCCCCTACTGGACTATAAGCACTGAGGACAAAATGCCTGTCTCAATTCCCCTAGTACCATACTTCAAAAACAGCAGGGATGCAGCAAACGAGGGATGGGTTCACGAATGATGGAACACGTTGAGGTGTTTGAATGACAGGGTTGCACATACGAGCGATGTTTACAGGTAAGGACTTATGCTGCGATGAGGCCTGGATTTGGGTTTGGAGCAGGGCATGTGCCCAGGAGAGAGAGCTAAGTAAGCCCAGGCGCTCCATCCCACAGCCATGGCCCTCCCTGCTCCCCACTCCCCCAGCCACCTGCCTCATTCCAGCCAGGATGCACAGGGCCTAGCTCTGTCCTTAGCCTGCAGGCCAGGTCAGAGAACGGAAACAGCTGTCCCCCTCCTGAGTCCATAGGCTGACTCTCCCCAGCCCACTACACCCAAGCAGGCATCAAACGGCCAGCTAGATGCTACCGGCCTCATCTGGACCTCCCTCTGGGGGATAAGCGGGTAAAAGCACTGGCCAAGGAGTGGAAAGGACTGAATTCCAGCTCTGGCCTGCCATGAACTCACTGTTTGACCTTCACTGTAATACCTGGATGTAGGAAAAAACCAGCAGTTCCTAAACAGCAGTTCCACAGGCCACCATGCCCGGTGCCACTTTTTTTTTTTTTTTCCTTGAGACAAGGTCTCGCTCTGTCACCCAGGCTGGAGTCAGTGATGCAATCACAACTCACTGCAGCCTGACCACCCAGGTTCATGTGATCCTCCCCCCTCGGCCTCTCAAGTAGCTGGGACCACAGGCATGCACCCCTACACCGAGCTATTTTTTTTTTTTTTTAGAGACAGGGTCTCACTATGTTGTCCAGACTGGTCTCAAATTCTTAGCTTCAAGCGATCCTCCCACCTTGGGTTCCCAAAGCGCTGGGATTACAGGTGTGAGCCACTGTGTCCGACCACCGTGTTACCTTCTTGAGGGATGTGTTCATTAGCAAGACCCAGTCTAGTGCATTCCAGGCTCACTGTGGGACCAGATGTCCCCTACAGGCTTGCCCGGCTGCACCAAATGAGGAGTCAGGGAACCAGCTGTGGGGAAAAGGCTTCTGGGGTCTGTTCTCTCCCCAAGACCCCTGAGCTTGCTACATTTTCTCAGCAGCCCTGCCACAGCTAGGCTGCCCTGATGAGGAAACTGGAGTGCTGGCCTCTTTCCAGAAATAACCAGCCAGGGGTGGGAGAGAAAGGGGCGGGGAAACAGCTTCCTGACCGTCACTGCACCCTTGTCTCACATGGCGGGCACTGAGCTGTGGGCACTCACAGAGGGGCAGCCCCAGCATGCACCAGCCCCTTGCCATTGGGGTGGCCGGGTGGGGCCAGGGCAGATGGGCAAGTCTGAAGCTAGGGCTGGAGGTGGAGGAAGGATGAGATGGACAGGAATCCCCAGATCCCCAATCTCCGTATCAAGCAACAAGAGGGACAACAGGAAGCAAAGAGGTCCCAAATTCTGCCTTTAGCAGTAAACACCAATGGCTTAAACCCGAAGAAATGAAATGCTTTCTCAGCAGACTTCGCTCTCCAGGGAAACCAAAAGCATAGCTCTTCGCCCTGCAAACTAGGGAAACTCCCCCAGGACGGTCTTATCCACTGCACCCTTTCTCCTCCTTTCACACTCACCGTACAGGGAGAGAGGGGCTTGGGAGTGCAGGCAGGGTCTGTCACAGAGAGACGGGCTGAGGAAAGGAGAGGACCCTGGCCCGGGTGTGCCTGTCACTGACGCGCTGTCTGACCTCGGAAAAGTTTTCCTGTTTCTCTGGGTTTCCTTCCCTTCCCTGGATGGTGGGGAGACCGATCAAATCATTGCTAGGGGCGTTTCCCACTGCTTTAAGGAGGAACAGCCCCAAGCCAGGACTCCCAAAGAGGAGGGCCCAGTGGGTGGTACAAAGGCCTGAGTGCAGCAGCAGGTCGGGAGGTGGAAACCGGGTAAGGCCCCACCTGGCTGCTCCTTCCCCGTCCTGGCATGGGCACGGGCGACGGGTGGTTGGTAACAGAGGGGCGCTTGTCTCCTCACAGGGAGGCGAGAAGGAGGGCTGCAGAGCCCACCACCCCAGCCAGAGCTGCACACGAGCAACAAGGAGGAGAAGCCGGAGGAGAAGCTCTGTGGGGTCCCTGGCCTAGGAAGCAGATGGGAGTGGTGAGCGAGAATATCTGCCGCCACCCAGCCAAGGAGCAAGCATGATAGGGAGGGAAGTTAGCACACAGCGGAGAGATGAGGGAAAGAGGTCAGGAGCCAAGATGTGACCTTTGGGTGGGGTGGTATTTACCGGGGTGGCACAATTCTGAAGGGGAAATCACCCAGTAGGAAGGACTGTCATGATGGGGGCGTGAGGAAGCCACCTTGTGGGTTAGAACCTGCCGGTGGATGCAGGAGGAGGCCTATTCTGGGGTATACAGTCCACAGTGGGGCAGAGTCCTGATAAAATCCACCACAGTGGATGAAACCCACAGCCCAAGTGCTGAGCAGGAGCAGGGACAGAGGGAAGCTTTACGCCGGAGGTTGGGCCAGGGGCAGACGCACGCTGTGGGACCCAGGAAGGAAAGACAGCAGAGAGAAGGGACCTTTGCACAAGCACCTGCCTGCGTCCTTTCCCCACGACAAGAGCCCCCAGCGAGGCCTGCAGAACATTCCAGATGACCAGTTCCCTCGGTGGGAGGAAAGATAAAGGATGTCCCTAAAAGGCCAAAAATTCCTGGGGCCCAGTGTGTAGCAGCCCAGCAGCTGGGGCTGGGGGGCAGCACAGGAGCGGCCACGAAGGGAGAGGGTGGCAGCGGCTTGGGGCTCCGGATCCAATTACGCGGCTGTTTCCATACTTAGCCGCCTGACAGCCGCCTGGAATACTCAGCACTCAAGCCGCTGCAGCCCTGCAGAGCCCAAATTAACTCAAGGACAGACAAGGGCAGGGCCCAGCAGCACATGCAGTGGCTGGAGCCCCCCACCTTACATCTTGAGTCCCCGAGAAATAGCTTTTGTTCCCACCCACTGCCTGCTCTCCCTGCAGGGACTGTGCCCCTGCAACCCCCTATTCAACCTCAAAGACCTGAGAGGCTGGACTCTGGGCCTCTCCAGTCCCAGGTACGGACCTAGGCTCAGAGCCCAGCTTGGGGGAAGACTGCCGAGTCATGAAAAGACTCGGTGGGCAGTCCGGATCCTAGGGGGATCCCCGGAGCACCTCCCTAAAAGCATTCCCTCGGGGAACCTGGCCTCAGGAACCTTAGGAACAAGAGAGGTGGCAAAACAATCTGGCATCTCCTCCATAGCCTATAGATAACCCCCATGCTGCAACCCAAGCCACCACCTCTGCTACCCAAAGTGCTGAGATGTCAAAGGGAAGCCTCAGCACACAGAGCCAAGCCCCTTTTCTGATGGAAGCCCCCACCCCGAGCAGAGGCTCTACTCCAGAACGGGCCCCGTTCCTCTTCTGAATTGCATCCAATGCTGTTTCCAGCCCAACCGCCAACTCTATTTCCGATCTTATCCCAAACCAATTCCAATTCTATCTCACTGCTCCCAAAACGGTCCCCACCTTTGCCCACTGTATCCCCTTCTGTCCACGCAAACCCAGTTCTCTTACCCGAGTGGGGCCTCCGCCTTATATCCCACCAGGTGGGAGGGTCACCTCAACGACCTCCAGCTCCCAGACTGTGCTATTTTGTCCGTCTCAGAGGCTCCCCCGTCTCGACTTTGAGGGCCCTCTTTCCCACATCTACTGGCCAGACTCCTCTCTGACCCTGGCTCACAGCTCAGCTCTGTTTGCCGTTCCCACTTCCTCTGGCCTTCCTGAGGGCCCCGCAACTGTGCTGCTATTCTCCAGCACCCAGCTCTTTCTCTGAGGCCCCAGGCCCGGGGAAAAGAGAAGGGTAAGAAGACACCAGCCAAGAGCCAGGGTTTGCCATCAGCCCCGACCCCCTACCCAACCCATGGTAGACAGAAAACCTTGGAGGAAGCGTGGGGGACCAGTCTGGGCTGGGTCATGCTGGGAGGGGCCCTACCTGCTTGTCCTGAGAACAGGAGCGAGGCCAGGAGGCAGCCGAGCAGGACCAGCGCCCTCATGGTGACTGCCAAGAGAGCCCAGCTGCTCCTCGCCTCTATTTATACGGCCGGCCGTGGCAGCAGGCGGTGGAGGGGGGAGAGGGGTCACACAGTCACCAGGGCAACTAGGAGGGTGTGATGGGGAAGAAGCCCGGACCCCAGAAGGCTGTGCAGAGGCTCAGGCTGCGCCACTGCTGTCCCAGCTGCCAGGCCCCAGAAGGCAGGGCCGTGGCTGGATTCTCTTCCCCCGAACCCCTGCAGCCCTGGGATCACATGACATGGGTCACAGGGCGTGGGTGACAGGCATAAAATGGAGCATCCCTTGGGCTCAGGCGGTGGAGCTGGGAAGCTGAGTCTTCCCAGAACTTGCAATAACTTGACCTGAAGTCTCGGCAGGTTAAGGACCTTGACACGCCTGCACTGGAAGGAGGAAGTTGTAAGGCCACGCAAAAGAAATCCTATTTAACAGCCACTGATCCACATGCTAGAGAGTGGTCAGCTACGGCAAACCCGCAACATGTGACCTCTGAGGTCCAAGGCTGCAGCCCTGGAACAACCTTCCCAGCCTCTGGAAGAGAGAGAGCACAGACCAGAGGGAGAGGGGCACACTGAGACACAAGCTGAGGCTACGGTGTAAACTGGAGGATGGAGCAACAGATATCCATTTCCAATGGCCCAGGGGTTCCAGAACATTCAGTCACCTCTGCAAAGTGCTTTTTTGTTTATTTGTTTTTGATAGAGGATCTCGCTCTGTCACCCAGGCTGGACTGCAGTGGCACAATCATCACTCACTGCACTCGACCTCCCAGGCTCAATCAATCCTCCCAACTCAGCCTCCCAAGTAGCTAGGACAGTAGTGCCACCATGCTGTACTAATTTTTTAAAATTTTTTGTAGATGGCCCAGAGAGCCAGTTGTAAGAAGCCAAGGGAAAGCAGACACTTGCTTGTCTGGTCGGGGTACAGTGTCACTGTGTGGGGAAGAGGTAGAAGCCAGCCTTGGAGGAAAGGAACTAAATCAGGGCCAGGCACAGTGGCTCACACCTGTAATCCCAGCACTTTGGGAGGCCGAGGCGGGTGGATCACCTGAGGTCAGGAGATTGAGACCAGCCTGGCCAACATGGTGAAACCCCATCTCCACTAAAAATACAAAAATTACTGGGTGTGGTGGCGGGTGCCTATAATCCCAGCTCCTCAGGAGGCTGAGGCAGGAGAATCACTTGATCCCAGGAGGCGAAGGTTGCCATGAGCCAAGATTGCACCACTGACTCTAGCCTGGGCAACAGAGCGAGACTCTGTCTCAAAAAAAAAAAAAAAAAAAAAAAGAATTAGGCATCTGGTAGGCACTTGACTTTTTTTTTTTTTTTAATCTTTTTTAAGAGACAGGGTCTCTGTCACCCTGGCTGGAGTAGTGACACGATCATAGCTCACTGCAGCCTTGAACTCCTGGGCTCAAGCCACCCTCTCACCTCAACCTCCGAGGGGCTGGGAATACAGGTGTGCACCACATCTGGCTAATTTTTTTGTTTTTTGCAAACATGGTCTTCCTATGTCACTCGGGCTGGTCTCCAACTCCTGGGCTCAAGCAATCTTCCTGTCTCGACCTCCCAAAGCACTACGATTACAGGCATGAGCTACTGCTTTTTCAAAGACAAGGTCTTGGGACTTTTCCTCTTGGAAGTCCCCTCTCTCTCACTAAGGAGCTGTTTTTCTTTCTCTTTCTTTTGCCTGTTAAACCTCTGCTCCTAAACTCCTCATGTGTGTCTGTGTCCTAAATTTTCTTGGCGTGAGACAATGAACCCCAGGTATTTACCCCAAACAATGTAGCTGCTTCATGTTGGGGACCTCATCCGGGATCCCAAGGTACAACACTCATCAAAACGAGTCAAGAAAACTTATTGTGAACTATTTATGGCCTTTAATAATTGAATAAGGTATACTCCTGTGAAGAAAATTTGGAGCATGTTTGTTTCTCTCTGCCTGGTTTCTCTGGAATCTGGAAACTATCTCAACATCTGGTGGAGGCAAACCAGTGTTACAACCCATCAGAATGGCTGACAGTAATCAAACTCTAAATGGTGCTGCAGACAGAACCATGCACGGACATGCCTTTTTTCCGAGGACCCTTAGCTCGACCCCAGGAGGAGCCCTTAGCTTCTGTTCCCCACACAACACCCCTTTTAAGTATGAAGTAGCCAGAAAGAGTCATCATCAAACAACCCCGAAGAGCAGTTAGGGTTACCACTCCAGAGTGGGGAATGATACAGGAGTTAAGAGGAAATTACTTAGATAGTGAGGATACAGAAGTCCTCAGTAAGGTTTTCCTTTTACTGAAAAGCAGCCCCAAATCATTTTCCTTTCTAACAAAGAGCAGCGTGTAAAATCGAGCTGCAGACATAGATGCAGGCAGTTGTGCCAATCATGTTCAAAATGGCGGCTCCATCTTCCCTTCTCTGCCAGCCACGTGCACAGTAAGGAGCAGACAAGATGGTGCTGGCCAAGGGGAAAGTTCATTTGCATAATAAGATTAGAGTGGGGAGGTCAGCCTTCCCCACACCCCAGCGCTATGTAAACATCATACCTGACTGAACCAATCTGTGAGCCCTATGTAAATCAGACACCACCTCCTCAAGCCTGACTATAAAATCCAGTGCATCTGCTGCCGGTGGCGTTTTCCTTTCAGAAGTACCCTCTCTCTCACTGGAGAGAGCTGTTTTCCTCTCTCTCTTTCTTTTGCCTATTAACCCTCTGCTCCTAAAAATTAAAAAAATAATAAAAACAAAAAATTTCAAAAAATAAAGATGAGGTCTCACTGTGTTGCCCAGGCTCCTCTGAACTTCCCAGGCTCAAGTGATTCTCCCACCTTGGCCTCCTGAGTAGCCGGGACTACAGGCGTGAGCCACCATGCCCAGCTCTGCTCAGCTCAGCTCAGCCTTCAGACAGAAGCTGCCAGAGCCCTCAGCCTAAAAGACCCCACCCCATTTTCAGAAACCATGCATCCCTAGGCACACCTGCTCCTGACTGTCTCAGACTGACATTCCTCAGATGACTGGGGAGGAAGCATGTTTGAGAACAAGACGTGGGGCAGAAGAAAAACCATGTAGCCCGGCTACTCCTTTCCAATGGTCCCATTTCTGATGCCCTGGAGCCAGCGTCAGCCAGCTGCTTCTATAAGGGGCCAGGCGGTAAACAGTTTAGGTTTTGTTGGCCATCTGCAACTCTTCCACTCTGCCTGTGTAGCTAGAGCAGCTGGCACCACAGAGATGAATGGATGTGGATGCATCCTGATAAAACTTTATTATAAAAAAAAGGCAGCTTGGTTCCAAGCTGTAGTTTGCAAATCTCTGCCCATACTCTAGGGAAATCATTTGGTGAATTACTTTGTAAAGCAGAAAATCCTTTGGTAAAGGACCACCCATATCAGCGCTTTATGAATCTGGGTTTTCCTACGTCTGGCTGCTTCATGTGGGGGTTCAGAGCTAGAAAGGGGAAGGCGGTGCAATATCTCGGGGCCAGGGGATGACGTGTGTGTAACGAGGCTGCTGTGGATTTGAGCCTGGGAGCACATGCTCCGGGGAGAAATACGTGAGGAGTTTCATCATCTTTTTTTTTTTTTTTTTTTTTTTGAGACAGGGCCTCATTCTGTCTCCCAGGCTAGAGTGCAGTGGCACAATCATAGCTCACTGCAGCCTCGACCTCCTGGGCTCAAGCAAACCTCCTACCTCAGCCTCCAAGCAGCTGGGACTACTACACCTGGCCATTTTTTCTTTTTCTTTTTGTAGCAACATAGTCTACCTACGTTGCCCAGGCTGGTCTCAAACAATCCTCCTGCCTTGGCCTCCCAAAGTGCCAGGATTATAGGCGTGAGCCTGACAAGAAGAGTTTCTTGGGGGAAAGAAGTAGGTTTAACCCTGAAAAACTTTCTCCGATCAAATGAGAAGAGGTCCCCAGAAGCGGCAAGTCAACATCACAGTCACAAATGTTTATTTGGAGGACCTGACAGCCAGGTCTCAATTGCTAAAGTGTTGCCACAAGAAGGAAGTATTAGGCTTGTCCTGTGTGGTTCCTGAGGGCAAGGCCAGGTTTGATGGGCAAGGGTGACAAGAAACCCATTTTAGCTCAAGGTGAAGGAGGATGTTCAGGTTGAAGCTGCCCAGGAGAGGAACAGGATTGCTGATAAAGAAGTGTCCTGTCCCTGCATGGGTTCCAGCAGAGGCCAGGTATGCAGGGACGGGCACTGCTCAAGTGCTTTCCCTCCCTGCTTGTGCTTAAAGTCTGATTCTAGGGAAGACTCTGGGGCTGGTGCCTCCTGGAGGCCCTCTGCCTCTGTCCCTACATCATTTCCTCTGGAACTCCGGCCTCACTGGTTTCTGCGGGAGGCGCTTACGTGCAACAAGCCTGGCCCGCATCCTTGTCTCAGGACCGTGGGCTGTCTCTAGGGTGGTGAGGGATTTATCCAGCAAGCAGTGTCCTTGAGATGAGGCTGCATCTGCCAGCGGGCATCTGGGTGGGCAGGGACTCTTGGAAAGCCAGGGGCTGTGAAGGAAAGGAGAGCTTCTGCACGCCGCATCCCAGCCATTTCAGCAAGGGTCTTGGGGGAGGGTCTGGATGGGCCTCCTCGCCTGCTTCCTTTTTTTCCACTTCACTTGCAGAGGGCTGCTCCTCTCAAAGCTCAAAGTGCTCCTCTTCTCTGATGGAGAAAATCCCTGGGACAGGGCTCAGAGCCACACGTCGGTGATTCCGGGGAAGATGCGGGCCTCAGTTGTCAAACAGGGCAGCCAGCCTCATAGAACTGCTGTGAGGGACACGGGAGATGCTGGAGGACACAGGTCATGAGTATGAGCTCACTGAATTATCACAAAGCACGAAGAGCAGGTGATGGGGGGGACAGGGAGTGGAGATGATAAGAAAGGCCACAGCCCCTTTACCGTTCTGGGCACGCACTTCCTGTGGCTAAGCCCCTCTTTGGCAGCTGACTTGCTGTATCGTGCCACACCTCAAACGGTTCCTCAAAGGGCTAGGAAAATCAGATTGAACATGACAACTCAGGTCTCTGAATCCATTTTGTACTCAAGACTGACCCAGCGTTAACATGTAACCCTCATTGAAAGTATTGTCCCATTTATCTCAGAAATCATAGGTTATCTGTCTTAGAGGGACCCAAATTCCCACCCAAGCAGAAATCCCTTAACAGCCAGCCATCCAGCCTCTGAATACTCCCAGCAACAGAGAGCTCACTACCAGACAGCTACAGCTCTGCTGTTCTGAAGAGTGTAGGGCCTAGAACTAGCCACGGTGCTCCAGGTCTCCTCCCAACTTCTAAGTCTCAACTTTCAGCCAAAAGCCAGGAGCAGGCCGGGCGTGGTGGCTCATGCCTGTAATCCCAACACTTTGGGCAGCCGAGGCAGGTGGATCACTTGAGTGTTGCAGGCCGAAAGAGTGAGGGTCGTGATCAACTCAGTGCACCACTGGAGGCTATATGAGTAAACAGCAAACTGTTTTCATGAAAGCAGGGTGTTGGCAAACTGACAAACTGCGTCTGCCACCCAGAAGGAATGCTGAGGGCAGTCACGACCCAGCACAAGTGTTTCTTGTAATGAGATAAGGTGAACCTGTGATCAATCAAGCAGCTGACCAATTGTTACCTCCTCCACCCTGCTCTTTCTACCGAATGAGTATGAAGGGCGGTAGAGGTTCAAGGCGGCTGCCCTTGCTCACTAGAAGCAGGGAGCCCTCTTCTTCTTCCCCTGGCCCCTTCCTTTAAAACAGTTTCTTTTGTTTTAAGTTTTCATTTCTACGTTCGTACCCCTTCGTTTAGTCCCGTGGTAACTGTGGCAAACCGCGGCACTTGAGGTCAGGAGTTTGAGACCAGCCTGGCCAACGTGGAGAAACCCCATCTCTACTAAAAATACCAGGCGTGGTGGTGCACACCTGTAATCCCAGCTACTCAGGAGGCTGAGGCAGGAGAAATGCATGAACCCAGGAGGCAGAGCCGAGTAAGCCGAGTATTGTGCCTCTGCACTCCAGCCTGGGTGACAGAGTGAGACTCCATCTCAAAAAAAAAAAAAAAGCCAGGGACATGCACCACAAGGATCCCATGGAGAATGAGCACTACCTCTCTCCTGATCGCAACCAAGCCACCCCCTGCTAACCCTTATACCTGACATCTCCTTCTCCTACAACAGAACAGCAGATACAGAGACTCACTCTGTCGCCTAGGCTGGAGTGCAATGGCGTGATCTCAGCTCACTGCAACCTCCACCTCCTGGATGCAAGCAATTCTCCTGCCTCAGCCTTCTGAGTAGCTGCGATTACAGGCGTGCACCACTACAGTCCGGCTAATTGTTTTGTATTTTTAGATGGGGTTTCATCATGTTGGTCAGGCTGGAGAACAGCAGTTTGTCAATTCTCTTTGCAACCAGAACGTTCAGAGCACTGTCTACATCTCCCATAGGGCAGGAGACAATAGGAGAGATAATAAATGTGTATCAACAGACTAACCGCTGATGTGTGTGGCACCTGCAACCCCTTCAACCTTCACAAATCACCTGCCTATTTATTGAGGCCATCCACCAAGATAGCCGGCACCCTGGGGAAAACTTGACTTGGGCCCCCTAATTCAGGCAACTTTGCAGCTGTCATTCTTAGCTCCTAATTTTTTTTAATTTATTTTTATTTATTTATTTTTTTGGAGACGGAGTCTTGCTCTGTCACTCAAGCTGGAGTGCAGTGGCACGATATCGGCTCACTGCAAGCTCCACCTCCAGGGTTCAGGCAATTCTCCTGCCTCAGCCCCCTGAGTAGCTGCGACTACAGATTTTTTGTATTTTGGTAGAGACGGGTTTCACCGTGTAGCCCAGGCTGGTCTCGAACTCCTGAGCTCAGGCAATCCGCCCGCCTTGGCCTCCCAAAGTACTAGGATTACAGGAGTGAGCCACCACGACCAGCCTTTGTTGTTGTTGTTTTGAGATGCAGTCTTGCTCTGTTGCCCAGGCTGGAGTGCAGTGGCACGATCTCAGCTCACTGCAACCTCCACCTCCCAGGTTCAAGCGATCCTCCTGCCTCAGCCCCACTAGTAGCTGGGATTACAGGCAGGCACCACCATGCCCAGCTAATTTTTGTATTTTTAATAGAGACGGAGTTTCGCCATGTTGGCCACGCTGGTCTTGAACTCCTGCCCTTGGGTGATGCACCTGCCTTGGCCTCCCAAAGTGCTGGGATTACAGGCGCGAGCCACCATGCCCGGCCAGCTCCTTGTTTTCTCAATCGGGGGTGTGGTGGGAGAAGCTGCTTTGGGGAACTCATTCCTTTCTTCAGCTGCCAGATTTAGAGCTGGTCCTGCCGCAGCCCCCAGTCCTATCCCCTCCTCTGTCAGCACAGGTTCTTGTCAACCAACAGAATAAACTTGCGACTCAGCAGGGCAAGAGGAGAAAGGAGACAAAGGCAGAGGATGATATAACGCCATCCCTGCCCAGGACCTGCAGGACAAGGGAGGCCAAGCCGGCCAACTCAACAGAGTGAAAATGACAAATGCTACAAGGCCACACAGCATCGAGGAAAGCACAGACAGACAGCTGGTTCAAGAAAGGACAGGAGGATGGACTAGGATGCGGGGGAACACCGTGGAGCCAGAAACACAAAAAAATCTGAAGCTGAGGACAGCATGGCCAGCTGGCTCCAAGAGGCTGTTTGAGGATTTGCATGTGCTTTACATACTGGTCTGGGGCCAGTTAGTCAACTGATAAGGGGGCCAAGGTCACAGGAAGGGACCCCTCTTCCACTCAATAGCCCTTCAAACATCTAGCAGAGCTGGGGCATCGCTCTGCTGCACGGCCAAAGACACCCCCAAATCATGGCACCAAAGGCACGTTTTTATTATAACCCACCCAGTACCAGAAAGACATAGAAATGGCCTTTCTCTATAAAATATAGCAAGAAAGCACGAACTGGAAGTACTAGTGGAAGAAAAACAGGAAGGCACACAGTATGGAACCATTCGTAAGACTAACGGGAAAAAATGACACCATATATTTCAGTCCCTCACATGTGTGTAACTTGACCACCTGCCCAATTCAGTGTCCTTAAAATAAGAGCAAACCAAATGCTTGGAAGGAGTGAAATTATTTCAACTATTGAGACTCGGCAAGAATTTCTTCTGAGAATCCTCGTAAAGAGGAAACAGATACAGCACAAGGTAATGACACTTGAGAACATTCTTAGAACAGACATACATTTTCCATGAAGTTTATCCCTAATAGAGACTCTTAAAATAGGGCAGGGGACCAGCCAGGCGCGGTGGCTTATGCCTATAATACCAGCACTTCGGGAGGCCAAGGCAGGTGGATCAGTTGAGGCCAGGGGTTGGAGACCAGCCTGGCCAACATGGCAAAATCCTGTCTGTACTAACAATACAAAAATTAGCTGAGCACGGTGGTGCATGCCTGTAATCCCAGTTACTCGGGAGGCTGAGGCAGGAGAATCGCTTGAACCCAGGAGGCGGAGGTTGCAGTGAGCCGGGATAGCACCACTGCACTCCAGCCTGGGTGACAAAAGTGAAACTTCATCTAAAAAAAAAAAAATAGGGCAGGGGAGGCCACAGAGAACCAAGAATGCCTGGCCCCGCCTCAAAGAAATCACCCCCCAAACAGGGTCCATGACACATGCTTAGGACACTTCTCCTGAACTGTCACCTTACATGCTGTTGGTAGGAGAGAAAATTGGTACCATGCATTTGGGGGATGGTAGCTACTAAAATCTAGTTATAATAGCCCTAAGTTGGAAACAACATAAATGTCCACCATGGCCAGGTGCGGTGGCTCATGCCTGTAATCCCAGCACTTTGGGAGGCCGAGGTGGATGGATCACGAGGCCAGGAGTTCAAGACCAGCCTGACCAACATGGTGAAACCCTGTCTCTACTAAAAATACAAAAAGTAGCAGGGTGTCGTGGTGTGTGCCTGTAATCCCAGCTACTCGGGAGGCTGAGACAGGAGAATGGCTTGAACCTGGGAGGCAGAGGCTGCAGTGAGCTGAGATTGAGCTATTGCACTCCAGCCTGGGCGACAGAGCAAGACTCTGTCTCAAAAATAAATAAATAAATAAATAAATAAAAATAAATAAAATGTCCACCACTAGGTGAATGGATAAACAAACTGTGGTCTATTCATACAATGAAATAGTACTTAGCAAGAAAAATGAACATTTATGTTTACATAAAAACATAAATAAATCTCAGAGATATTGTGTTGAGCAAAAGAAGCTAGACAAAAAGAACTTACGTGTTGTATGACTGATACAAGCTTCTAGAACAGGCAAAACTCCAGCCTGGCCAACATGGTGAAACCCTATCTCCACCAAAAAATTGAAAAATTAGGCCAGGCGCAGTGGCTCACGCCTGCAATCCCACAACTTTGGGAGGCCGAGGTGGGTGGATCACCTGAGGTCAGGAGTTCGAGACCAGCCAGGCCAACATGGTGAAACCCCGTCTCTACTAAACAAAAATTACCTGGGCGTGGTGGCGGGCGCCTGTAATCCCAACAACTCGTGAGGCTGAAGCAGGAGAATCACTTGAACCCAGGAGGCAGAGGTTGCAGTGAGCTGAGATTGTGCCACTGCACTCCAACCTGGGCAACAACAGTGAAACTCCACCTCAAGAAAAAAAAAAAAAAAATTAGCCAGGCGTGCTGGCACACACCTGTGGTTCCTGTTACTCGGGAGGCTGAGACGGGAGAATCACTTGAATCCAAGAGGTGGAGGTTGCAGTGAGCTGGGATCA
Organism: Homo sapiens; assembly: GCF_000001405.40. Classification (NCBI taxonomy): domain Eukaryota; kingdom Metazoa; phylum Chordata; class Mammalia; order Primates; family Hominidae; genus Homo; species Homo sapiens. The sequence goes on from NC_000016.10 coordinate 4,251,819, forward strand.
TGCCCCTGCACTCCAGCCTGGGCAACAGAGCGAGACCCTGTCTCAATCAATCAATACACAACAGCGAAAACTAATATACTGTGACAGGAATTAAAACCAAGGCCAGGTGTGGTGGCTCATGCCTGTAATCTCAGATCTTTGGGAGGCCGAGGTGGGAGGACTGCCTGAGGACAAGAGTTTTCAGACCAGCTTGGGCAGCATGGTGAGACCTTGTTCCTATTTTTTAAAAAAAGAGAAGAAATTAAAACTATGGTGAGATTCCACCATACACCTACCAGAATACCTAAATAATGATAAATCTGACAATACTAAGTGCTGGTGGGAATGCAAGGCAACTGGAACTCTCATAAAAATGGTAGAGAATAGAGAACTACATACACATAAAACATTAAAAAACGTGTAAATCTGAGTAAGTCCCATGTACAGTACCAATGTCAATTACCTGGCTTCTATGCTAACTGTAGCTATGCAAGATGTTAACACTGAGGGATACTGGGTGATCTCCCTATACATCTCTTTCTTTTAAAAAAAAAAAAAAAAAAAAAGATAGGCCAAGAGCAGTGGCTGACGTCGTAATCCCAGCACTTTGGGAGGCCGAGACGGGCAGATCACCTTAAGTCAGAAGTTTAAGACCAGCCTGGCCAACATGGTGAAACCCGTCTCTACTAAAAATACAAAAAAATTAGCTGGGCGTGGTGGCGCACACCTGTAATCCCAAATAACTCGGGAGGCTGAGAAAGAAGAATCACTTGAACCCGGGAGGCGGAGGTCCACTGCGCTCCAGCATGGGTGACAGACCGAGGCTCTGTCTCAAAAACAAATAGAGATGAGGTCTTGCTATGTTGTCCAGGCTAGTCTAGAAATCCAGGGCTAAAGCCATCTTCCCCCTTCAGCCTCTCTAGTAGCTGAGACTACAGGTTAGAACCACCAACCCAGACTTCTCCCTGTACATTTCAATAATTATTTCAAAACTTAAAAATCTGAAAGAAAGCAAACTGCTTGATAGTGGCAGAAAGCAAGCATGAGGGGATTCTGGGGCTTGCTGGGGGTGTTGGCTACCTGGGTGTATGTTCAGTTTGTGAAAATTCACGGAGCGCCTAAGCTATGCACCCTCTTCTGAATGTGTTACCCAGTACTCCAATAAAAGGCTTTTGGCCCTGGAGAGGTGGCTCACGCCTGTAATCCCAGCACTTTGGGAGGCCAAGGCGGGCGGAGCACCTGAGGTCGGGAGTTCGAGACCAGCCTGACCAACATGGAGAAACCCCGTCTCTACTATAAGTACAAAATTAGCCGGGCGTGGTGGCGCATGCCTGCAACCCCAGCTACTCAGGAGGCTGAGGCGGAAAATCGCTTGAACCCGGGAGGCGGGGGTTGCGGTGAGCCCAGATCGCGCCACTGCACTCCAGCCTGGTCAACATGAGCTAAATTACGTCTCAAAAAAAAAATAAATAAATAAAACAGCCGAGCTGGAGGTGTGTGCCTGTAATCCCAGCTACTCAGGAGGCTGAGGCGGGAGGCTCGCTTGAGCCCGGAAGGTGGAGGCTGCAGTGAGCCGAGATCGCGTCACTGCACTCCAGCCTGGGCGACACAGCACGACTCTTTTAAAAACAGGTTTTGTTGAGTGCCGCATTGATCCGGTCCCTCCCACGCCCCCTGTGCTTCACAAAAACGTCAGGTCCGAGCTCCGGCGCGGCGGTCTCCTCCTCCGCGGGTCCGGGCCGGAACTCGGCAGAAGGACGAGCAGCTCCTTGGGGCCGGCAGTCTCCCATCGCACTGAGATTGACACGGCAATGTTTCGGATACTCTGGGTAAAAATTAAATGTCTTACGAAAAGTCCTGTCACCCGTTTCTTGATTACTTTTTACGGCGGCTTCCAGAACCTTTCGTCAGCGCGAGCTCCATGCCCGGAGGCCGCCGTCACCTGCTCTCCGGGAAGGCCCTGGGCAGGCAGGCAGCGCGCTGAAGGAGTCCGGGAGCAGATCGTGCGAGAGAGCGCGCGGGCGCCAGGCGCGGGGGCGGGGCCAGACGTGCGTGCTGGCGGGAGCGCGCGCGCCATGGCCTGAGGCGTCTGGGAACATGCGCGGCGAGGGGACGGGCGGGGCGAGTCCGGGAAGGGGCGGGGCCGCAGCCGCGCCCCTGACTTCCACCGCCTGCGGGTGAGACCGCCTACCATCGCCCGGCGCGCTTGAGCATGCAAGGGGAGGTGGGATTCCCCTGGCCCGCCCCCAAGCCACGCCTCTGGCCTATGAGAACTGAGCTGTCCCGCAGGGACCGAGAGAGGAGCCTCCGCTTTCGCAGGGGCTGGGCGTTCCGGGCGCACTGCGCCCTCTGTTGATCCTCTTAGGAGCTGCGTGGGGACCGTCGGGCCTGCCGTTTCGCACCTGGCCGAAAGGGGTCGCTGTGCCGGGCCAGATCCTATGTAAATTTAGCTGGATAATCTCAGCAAGAGAAAATTGGCTGCAGTGCAAAGAAGCCAGGCTCAAAAGGCAGGGTTATCCCATTTCTATGACATGTCACAGGTAAGACTATGGCAACATAGATCAGTGGCTCCTAGGGGCTGGGTTGACCACCAAGAGGCATGGGGGGCATTGGAAATGAAGGAACTAATTCATATCTTTTTTATTTTGCTTTGGTTTTATTTATTATTTATCTATTTATTTATTTTTGAGACAGTTTCGCTCTTGTTGCCCAGGCTGGAGTGCAATGGCGCGATCTCGGCCCACCGCAACCTCCGCCGCCTGGGTTCAAGCGATTCTCGTGTCTTAGCCTCCCGAGTAGCTGGGATTACAGGCATGCGCCACCACGCCCGGTTAATTTTGTATTTTTAGTAGAGACAAGGTTTCTCCATGTTGGTCAGGCTGCTGTCGAACTCCCGACTTCAGGTGATCCGCCCACCTTGGCCTCCCAAAGTGCTGGAATTACAGGCGTGAGCCACCGTACCCGGCCTGTTTTATTTTTTCTTTAAATCATATCTTGATCATAGTGGTGGGTAGGAAACTATGCATTTGCGTGTAGGAAACACGCAAAACCAAAAATCAGAAAGTGTGACTTCTACTAAATGTAACTACTTTCATTTTTAAAAATTATTTATTTATTTATTTATTTTTTAAGATGGAGTGTCGCCCTGTCACCCAGGCTGGAGTGCAGTGGCACAATCTCAGCTCACTGCAACCTCCACCTCCCCGGTGCAAGTGATTCTCCTGCCTCAGCCTCACCAGTAGCTGGGACCACAGTTACTGGCATTCGCCACCATGCCAGGCTAATTTTTGTATTTTTAGTAGAGACGGGGTTCCACCATGTTGGCCAGGCTGGTCTCAAACTCCTGACCTCAAGTGATCCGCCCACCTCGGCCTCTCAAACTGCTGGGATTACAGGCGTGAACCACTACTGTGCCCAGCCTAATTTTTGTATTTTAGTAGAGTTGGGGTTTCACCATGTTGGCCAGGCTGGTCTTGAACTCCTGACCTCATGTGATCCACCCGCCTCGGCCTCCCAAAGTGCTGGGATTACAGGTGTGAGCCACCACGCCCAGCCAACTACTTTAATTTTTTAAAAAAGATATTAAAACCAGAAAGCAGGTGGTTGCTGGAGACTGGGAGGAGGGGGAAGGAGTGACTGCTTCATGGAGTCATTTTGGAGTGACGGACATGTTTTGGAACCAGGTAGGCTGTGTAACACTGTGAATGTATGAAGTGCCATTGAATTGTTCACTGTAAAATTCCAAGAAAACCTGCAGACTCCTGCCTTTCTGTGAAGAGTTCGTGTCCACTGTCATCGTGGGGTGAGCTGTGATTCTGCCTTCTGCTCTGGCCTCAGTCCCCAAGCACCCAGCACTGTGAGCATGAGGCATAGGAGGGGACCACGGTGTAAATCGATCTCTGGTCACGGAAGAGTGAAGGATTTAAAGGACCATGGCCTAGCCTGGGCAACATGGCAAAACCCTGCCTCTACAATAAAATATAAAAAAGTCAGCCGGGCCCAGGCCAGGCACGGTGGCTCACACCTGTAATCCCAGGACTTTGGGAGGCCAAGGTGGGTGGATCACCTGAGGTCAGGAGTTCAAGACCAGCCTGGCCAACATGGTGAAACCCCATCTCTACTAACAATACAAAAATTAGCTGGGCATGATGGTGGGTGCCTGTAGTCCCAGCTACTCAGGAGGTTGAGGCAGGAGAATCGCTTGAACCTGTGAGGCAGAGGTTCCAGTGAGCCAAGATCGTGCCATTGCATTCCAGCCTGGGTGACACAGCAAGACTCCATCTCAAAAAAAAAAAAAAAAAAAAAAATTAGCCAGGCTTTGTGGTACAGGCCTGTAGTCCTAGCTACTAGGGAGGCTGAGGTGGGAGGATCACTTGAGACCAGGAGGTCAAGGATGCAGTGAACTGTGATCAAAACACTGCACTGCAGCCTGGGCGACAGAGCAGGACCCCATCTCACACCAAAAAATAATAATAAAAATTTAAAAATAGCCAGGCATGGTGGCTCATCCCTTTAATCCCAGAACTTTGGGAGGCCGAGGTAGGCGGATCACTTGAGGTCAGGAGTTCAAGACCAGCCTGGTCAACATGGTGAAACCCTGTCTCTACTAAAAATACAAAAATTAGCTGGGCATGGTGGTGCACTCCCGTAGTCCCAGCTACTTGAGAGGCTGAGGCAAGAAGATTGCTTGAACCCAGGAGATAGAGGATGCAGTGAGCCGAGATCACGCCACTGCACTCCAGACTGGGAGACAGAGACTCTGTCTCGAAATAAAGGACCATGCCAATCCCCAATAGGATGCAATGTCCTTGTGCCGTTATTATCGCCAATTTTTAGAAGAAGAAATTGAGGCTCAGAGGAAGCGGTTTGTCAGAGGGGGAACTGACCTCTGGCAGACCAATTCCAGGATCTTAGCACTTAAACACCACACCACGGGGGGGCAGGGGGGTGCTGGGGGGGTGCGGTTGGAGGGGGTGGGGTTCCCCTCCTAGGGGAGGAGAGGATGAGGCTCAGAGAAGTTACAGAAGCCCAGGAAGTGGCAAAACCTAGGGATTAACCAAAGCGTAGGGACCAAGCAGGGCCCCTGAACACCTGTGTCCTTTCCCAGGTTTTCGGAATCGGTGGCTTGGTTGTCCTTCTCTCCTTGCCGCCCACCAAAGAGCCACTCCCCAGCCTCAACACCATCTTCCATCTTTACAGAATACCCAGGGTCATCCCAGGGAAACTGAGGACCCCAATTTTTCATCGCAACACCACACACAAGCTGAGGGAGTAACTGTGCTCACACACACCCAGTCCGCTTTGGGGGGCCCAAGGAGCCCCCCTACTCTAGATGGGGTAGCCCTGCCCTGGTCTTCAGGCCAGCCCACACCCAGGAGACTCAGAATCTAAAAAACAAAGTACAAACTTTATTTTGTTTCTTTACAAAGGCACGGTGGCCTCTTGGTTTTTTTCTCCCCACTTTCTTAACAAAATATAATAGCTTCTCCTTGAACACGAAGACCTCAAAATTGTAAAAAAAAAAAAAAAAGAAAGAAAAAAAAGAAAAACAAAACAAAAACAGAAAGCAAACCAAAAAGAAATAAAAAACCAACAACAAACAAAACAAAAAGAGAGAGACAGACATTTTTGGGGTGGAAGATGAGACCTGGAGGCAGAGGTGGGGGCTGGGGGGTGGGAGAGTGGCGAATTCTAGTGCCGAGATGGGGAAGGGGGAGGGGGGCACAGCAGCAGCAAACCCCAACCAAGAAGCAACGGAGACCTCCGGGCCCCCAGAATGCCCCAGCCTAGTCTTACCCCCAACCATGTAAGTGCTTAAAGGAGAAAGAAGAAAACCCAAAAAGAGGAAGGAAAGGGGATTGAAGGCTGACAATCCCAGGCTGGCTCTGGGCAGGGAAGAAATAACCTGGGGTTTTGTTTAATTTTCCCTGTTCTTAAAAAACATATTTAAAGGAAAAAATGCTTTTTGGCAGAGAGAGGCCAGGCATCTCCGTGTCAGCTTCCTCCAGCCCCCGGGGCCGAGGCCCCGCCCTGGGGTGCCGATGCTCCCACACGCTCTGCGACACCCCAGCCCCGGGACCTCGGGTTGAGTGGCTTCGTTCAAAGGTCGATTTACAGTATTGAAAAAGAGGTCATAAAAGAGACCCAAATGACATCGTAATTTTGTAAAAATTTCTCACTCATTCGCCCATGTCTCTCCCTGTGGCTGCCCCGGCTCCCTCCAGCCCCCAGAAGGGAGAGGAGGGCTGGGGGGGTAGTCAGGGAAGCTCCCCGTCCCCCGACGGCTCCTCCCGGCTCTGGTCCATGGCGTCACTGTCTGAGGCCTCGGAGTCGGAGGCGGTGTCAGAGGTGGGGGCCTCCGGGCAGCTGCGGACAGGCTTCACGATGACAGCTCGCCGCTGCTCCTCCTCCAGCTCCTGCTTTTCCTGGGTGCCCTCGATGTGCTGGATTGCCTGGACAGGGACGAACCACTGAGAAGGCTCGGCCGGGGATACATGGCCAGCCAGGAGACAGTGGGGGCTCTCAGCCAGCCACTGTCACCCCCAAAACACATAGCCCAGAAAAAAGCCTGGCAAAGCAGCAGGGGAGGCCCGCTAGAGTACAGGAAAAACAAACTCCTTTTACTTTTTTTTTGGAGACAAGCTCTCGCTATATCACCCAGGCTAGAGTGCAGTGGCATGATCATAGCTTACTGCAGTCAGACTCCTGGGCTCCAGCGATCCTCCTACTGCTCCCTCCCTAGTAGCTGGAACCACAGGGGTGCGCCACCATCCCCAGCTAACTTCTGTATTTTTGGTAGAGACGAGGGGGTTCTTGCTATGTTGCCCAAGCTGATCTCGAACTCCTGACCTCAGGCAATCTTCCTGCCTCAACCTCCAAAAGTCCCGGGATTACAGGCATAAGCCACCACGCCTGACCCAGGAACAAACTTTCAAAACCCCTCTGTTAAGTTGAAAAATCCATTCTGGGAAGATGACAGTCCCAGTGCTGCTTAGAAATTATATTATATGTATCAGCCAGGCGCAGTGGCTCACGCCTGTAATCCCAACACTTTGGGAGGCCAAGACGGGAGGATCACCTGACGTCAGGAGTTCGAGACCAGCCCCTCAACAGAGGCCAGAAGCCTACTAAAAATACAAAATTTGCCAGGCGTGGTGGCACATGCCTATAATCCCAGCTACTTGGGAGGCTGAGGCAGGAGAATCACTTGAACCTGGGAGGAGGAGGTTGCGATGAGCTGAGATAGCACCATTGCACTCCAGCCTGGGCAATAAGAGCGAAACTCTATCTCAAAAAAAAAGAAAAAAAAAGAAATAATATGGACCTTTCATATGTTTTTGTTTGTTTGTTTTTTGAGAAAGAGTCTCACCGTGTCACCCAGGCTGGAGTTCAGTGGTGCAATCTCAGCTCACTGCAACTTCCACCTCCCATGTTCAAGCGATTCTCCTGCCTCAGCCTCCCGAATAGCTGGGATTACAGGCGTGCACCACCACGTCAGGCTAATTTTTGTATTTTTAATAGAGATGGGGTTTTCACCATGTTGGCCAGGCTGGTCTCGAACTCCTGACCTCAAGTGATCCACCCACTTTGGCCTCCCAAAGTGCTGGGATTGCAGGTGTGAGCCACCACACCCGGCCATATGTTTATGTATTTTAAAGCTTGCCTATTAACTTATTAAAGGCGTTTGTTATTAATTGTATTACACAATTTGCAAAGTTTATGAGCAATTAAAATTCGAGGAGATTGATGGATTTTTTTTCCTGTTTTGGCTTTTTTGGTTATTTATTTATTATTTACTGATTTCTGATCTTGGGCTCCTCAAGGGGCCCTGTTCAAGGGTGAATGCAACTGTAACTTCAGGCTTGACCCACAAAGCTTCCTCCTCTGTAGGAGGCCCAACTATCACCAGCCCTGCCACCTGTATCTCCATCCAGGTCCTAGGAGATGGAGCTGAGACAATGTTCCGGACCAACCCAAGAGCTGGATGCAGGAACTCTGTAACCAGGGGGCTCTGGGAGCAAAGGACCCTCTCCGGAAACCCCATATTGAGGGAAGGGACAGTCTTCCTGGCCAACTCCTCCTACTGGCGTGGTAGGCCCTGCCCCGATCTCTGGCCCTCACATTCTCCACTTGCAGATCCAGGGACGGGGCCCCCCAAGGCTTCCAGCCCTCCACCCCTTCCCACACAAGCACCATCTTCCTCCGCTTCTGCCCCTCTTTTCCAGTCTCCCCTAAAGAGCCTGTTCCCGGAGTATGACCCCCACAAGCTGCCCCTTTCTCAAGCTCAGGTACCTGCACGATGGTGTCCAGATTTTGCCGGGATGTGGAAACAGAGTTGATGACCGAGGAGGGGCCCATGGTGACGACATTGATGTGGTGGGAGGGAGGAGGAGGCGGTGCTGGCACGATCACCGTGGGGTGGTGGGTGGGGGCCGGAGGGGGCAGAAGCTGCAAGACAGAGGCCCTCAGCCTTTCTCTCAAGGCTTCTCTTGGCCCATCCACCTCCCTTTCATGCAGAGCTGGCCAATGTATAACTGCCTCTGCCCCTTTATATTAAGAAGCAGAGAGGACGTGGCCTAGGGAGAGGCTTCCGCCATTCAAGATCACCTGTCCCCTTCCCGGTCCCCAGAGCCCACTCCCGGGCGCCTCCTGCTCACCTGGGTCCGCAGCTGCTGCTGTTCCCGCTCCAGCTTCTCCTGGTGCAGCAGCCTCACCTGTTCCTGCTGCTGCTGCAGCTGCACCTGCTGCGCAATCACCTTGAGCTTTTCCGGGTACATGTGGGCCTCCAGCGAGCGCACCTGGAGGCAGGACAACCTGGGCTCAGGGCCAAGGCCGGGAGCACACCCTGCCCTGTCAGTCTCACAGCAGCTCATTCACTCCTGCTGAAAACCCTAGCACAGGGCGGGCCCCTCTCAACAGAGGCCAGAAGCCTTTCCAGAGCCCTTCAGCCCCCGGCTCCTCTCGCCTCCCACCTCGGCCTCCACTGGACCATGCTCCCTCCTGCCCGAGTCTTTGCCTATGCTATTCCCTCTGCCGGGAACACCTTTCTCTGTCCTTTGGTTAACTATGAGACTCAACTTCCCACTTCCATGGAGATGCCGTGGGGCGTCCCTTGAAAAACCCCTCCTGATGCCACAGCTCCAGCCTGGCCTTCAATATGGTTTTTTGTTTTTGTTTTTTGGTTTTTTTGAGCCATGGTCTCCTTCTGTCACTCAGGCTGCAGTGTAGTGGCACAATCATGGCTCACTGCAGCCTCCACCTCCTGGGCTCAAGCAATCCTCCCAGCTCAGCCTCCTGAGTAACCGGGACTACAGGCACACCCCACCACACCTGGCTAATTTTTGTATCTTTTTTGGTAGAGACAGAGTCTCACTATGCTTCCCAGGCTGATCTCAAACTCCTGGGCTCAAGCGATCCTCCCACCTCAGCCCCGCAAAGTGCTGGGATTATAGGTGTGAGCCACCATACCCAGCCCATCACGGTTACATTTTTTTTTTTTTGAGATGGAGTCTCGCTCTGTCTCCCAGACTGGAGTGCAGTGGCACGATCTCGGCTCACTGCAAGCTCTGCCTCCCAGGTTCACGCCATTCTCCTGCCTCAGCCTCCCAAACAGCGGGGACTACAGGCACCCACCACCACGCCCGGCTAATTTTTTTTTTTTTTGTATTTTTAGTAGAGACGGGGTTTCACCGTGTTAGCCAGGATGGTATCGATCTGCTGACCTCAGGTGATCCACCCGCCTCGGCCTCCCACAGCATGGTTACATTTTTGAGATCCTTTGGCTAATCTCCCCCACCCCAACGCAGACGGTGGCCCCCAAGGGCAGAGACGTGTCTGGCTTGCTCCCCACTCCTAGGCCTGGCACCGCAGTAGGTGCTCCTGTAAATAGGGCTCCACCGAGGGCCGCAGAGCAAGAGGCGCGACCCCAGGCTCCACGCCCTCTGCACCGCGCGCCGTGCCCAGCAGAGGGCGCTGCCTCACCTGCTCCTCCAGCATCATGCGCACCGAGCGCTCCTTGTCCAGCTGCTGCCGCAGCTCAATCATCTCCCGCCGCAGGTCCTCCGCCTTCTCGTCCTCCCAGATGTCCGGGGAGCCTATGCCTTCGTCCTTGTCCTCTGCCCGCCGTCGCTTGGGGGACGAGCCGCTCAGCTCCTGGGGACCCCAAGGAGTCGGTCAGTGTGCCTGACACCTCGGTACCACCACGGAGATTGGGGTTCCATCGCAGCCCCCCAAAGCTGCCCAACACAGGTGAATCTTCATTAGGGAGCCCCTTCTGCAAGTCCAACAAACCAGCCAAATGCCAGGAGAATGGGCTGCTTTACATAACAGTCACCTGGCTCCTTCCAGAGCCCACTCCACCGCACTTGACCGATGGGGAAACTGAGGCCGGGGCAGGAAAAAAAGTGCCTGGAAGTACTTGTCAGTGGGCAAGAAGGGGCCTGCAGCCACACCTGAGTCCCAGGCCCATGGCTGGGTCCAAGGCATGCCCATGCCAGGGAGAGGGAGCCATGAAGGACAGGGCGCACCTGGATGAAGCGCTTGAGCTGTGTGTTCTGCTGCAAGAGCCTGGTCTTCTCCTGCTCCAGGGAGAAGATGTACTCGGCTGTCTGCTGGAGAATGGCTGCCTGAGGGCGTGGAAAAGCCGAGAGTCAGGCTGGCAGTGTTTACCAGAGCTCACTTTCCTCTCCCAGCGGGAACCTGCCGGCTCCTCCAGGAAGCCCTCCCTGCTCTCACCCACCTTGCTGAGCTTCTCTCCGTCTGTGTGGGGGATGAGGGTCTTGAGGGACTGGAATCCCGCGTTGATGCTCTGCATGCGTCTCCGCTCGTTGCTGTTGGCGATCTCCCGCCGAATCCGCCGCTCCTGGTCCCGCTGAGTCTCGGGGGTTAGTGGAATGTTGGCAAGGCTGCCAGAGAGGACAGGGACAGGCTCGGCCAAGGCGCCCTCTTCATCATTCATCTCCAGAGGGCCCCAGTGGAAACTGCATCCCTCCCCTGCTGCAAAAGATGCCAGGCCACCCCCAGAGAGTGATGGAGGGGTGCTCTCTGGGACACCGGGGCGGACTGAATCAGCTGGCTGCGGGTAAGATAGTCCGCTCAGAACCCACCCCGGGCCAGGCACAGTAATCCCAGTTCTTTGGGAGGTCAAGGCCAAGGATCATTGAGCCTAAGAGTTTGAGATCAGCCTAGGCAACGTAGTGAGACCCTGTCTCTACAAAAAAATAAAATTAGCCAGGTGTGGTGGTGCATGCCTGTAGTCCCAGCTACTCAGGAGGCTGAAGTGGGAGGATCGCTTGAGCCCAGGAGTTGGAGGCTGCAGTGAGCTATGATCACGCCACTGCACTTCAGTCTGGGCAACAGAGCAAGACCTTGTCTCAACAACAACAACAAAAACCCATCCCCTCCCTGGCTTTCCTCACAGGGAGCAGTCTCTCCTCCGGAACAGAATTCCCAGTGTGTCTGAGCATCAAAACATCCAAGAGCTTAGAAACTATGCAGACGACGGGTGCTGGCCCCAGCGTCTGACTAGCAGGCCCGGTGGGGCCCAGAAACGTGCGTGGTGTGATTCTGATGCACGCGGGATGCAGACGACATTCAGGGACGCTGTCCCCGCTCCTGGAACACTTCTGAGTGATTTGCTAGGCACCTGGAGCGCCTCTTCAGCGTCTCAGGCTTTGCCACCCCAGGACTGAGGAAGACGTCCCCACTCCCTTCCTACCCTCACGGCCACGCCTCCCACCACAAGCCCCAGCCCCGCTAGGCTAAGACTTCACAGAAGACAAGTACCACTCACTCCCCAAAAAGACACCAAGCCAACAACCCCTGGGGACACGGCTCCCCACAGCCCACCCACTCCAAGAGATAGACCCACCCTGCGCCGGAGAAGCGAGGCTCCCACCATGCTGTGGGGAGCGCTGCTGACCCTTGCAGGAGCAGTGGCCAGTGCGGTGAGAAGGCAGCCTGGGGGAAGAGGGCGTGGCTGCTGGCTGGGGGCGTGGCTTCGGACGAGGGCGGGGCGTGTGCGCCAGGGGGCGGGGCTGCGGGCCAGGGTGCAGAGGCAGCGGTTGTGGGCCCAAGGCCACGCTCCCGAGGGTTGGGCTTGTGTGTGGCCTGGAGGAGGCATGTCCCCCTCCCTGGACCTCCCCTGCAACTCCCCCCGCCCCTGGCCTGATGGCTTCCAGATGCTGGGCTCTCAGCAGAGGCTGCCGGCCCCACCCGAAGCCGCAGCCCCGGCCTCTTCCTGAGGGGCCCTCCCGGGGTGCCCTGTTCCAGGACTGGGCCAAGGGGGCTCATGCCCCTGAATGTGGGAGAACAGGAAAAGGGTTCTGGGCAGCTCCTGCTCCATTGATGAAGGCAGTCTGGGGTCAAGGGGCTGCCAAGTCTAACTCCCCTGCTGTGTGCCCTGGCCCCTTCGCCAGCCTGCAGGCGGAAAGGAGTTTGCACGGACCCCGGAGGCAGCACATCTGCAACAGCTGGAAACAGCCGTGGCCTTCCTGGCCCCACCCAGCCTGCCCATCTGTCCAGCCTTGGCTCCCTGTGGGACCCTGGACGCATCGCTGCCCCTTCCCCGGCCTCGGCTTCCTCTCCCAATAGAGAGGTGTCCAACGCCGGAAGTCTGGATGCAAATCAGCCTCCTTCCGTCCTCATCAAGCCAAGCCCCCTCCTCCATCAGGACCCAAAGGCCCAGGGCCTGCACCCAGGGTACAAGTCTCTTACAGGGTCTTGAAATGTCCGCACTGCAAAAGGGGCCCGGGCCCCCCACTTTCCATGAGACTTTAGGGTGCAGGGCAGAGAGGGGATGGTTTTAGGGTCGGTCAGCTGGATGTCAGTGCTCTCACTTCTCCCGGTTCCCCTGCCCTGAAGTGGAGGTGATAGGGGGACTGGAGCAGGCCTGCTGCACGGCTGTGTGTGGCCCAGCCTTAGGGCGGAGTCCAGGCTCCCAGGCCTGGCACAAACTCAGACCATACCATGTCTGAGAGGCCAGCAGGCCAAGGGGACCAGGACTGCTCTGCAGTGGGTGGCTTAAAGCTGGGGCTCTTTGGAGGTAAGAGGTGGGAAGAGATGTCCATAGGAAGCCACAACACAAGGTAAGTGCAATCTTGAGGCATCACCATCCCCCTCAGGAGAGATGTGGGGAGAGACCCCTGCCCACCCAGCCCCTGGGTCCCTCCTGGCAATGCCCAAAAGCCAGAGCTGACTAGGGGGTGAAAAGGGAGCACCAAGTCCAGCCTTGGGCCACCTGAGAGCTGGCCCTCCTGGAGGGTCCACAACAGAGGGATACATTTTTTTTTTTAAGTTTTTGGCGAGAATTTTCTCACTGAATTGTCACAATGTTCCTGAGTCAGGTGGCCTGAAGACTCCCATGTAAAGAGGGGGGCACAGAGGTTTGGGTAGGGTCCAGCTGCAGCAAGCGCTGGGCGTGAACCCTGACCCCAGAGCAGGTGTCAGGCCATAGGGCAGAATGAGCTCTGACCGGCCCACAGAGCCAGATGCCCCAACTGGCAGGTGACAGTTATCCCTGTAAAAGAGAAGACTAGGCCGGGCACAGTGGCTCACACCTATAATCCTAGCACTTTGGGAGGCCAAAGTAGGAGGATCGCTTGAGCCCCAGAGTTCAAGACCAGCCTGGGCAACATAGTGAGACCCCATCACTAGAAAAAATTAATCAGCCAGGCATGGTGGAGTGTCCCTATTGTTCCAGCAACTGAGGAGGCTAAGGTGGGAGGATGTAATAAGCCCAGGAGGTTGAGGCTGCAGTGAGCTGTGATCATGTCACTGTACTCCAGCCTGGGCAACAGAGTGAGACCTTGTCTCAAAAAAAAAAAAAAAAAAAAAAAAAAAGGACCAGGCATTCGGAAATCGCTGTAATCGTGTAACTCTTTTTATTATTCACAGACCTCGTTGACATTTTTCCCTGCCTGATTCTCACAAAACCCAGTGGGGTGGCCGAGATTACAGTGAGCAAGCAATGCAGGGTCGTGGGAAGGAAGGTGATGATCCCAAGGTCAAGTAGCCAGACCTGGCACAACAGCAACCTGCAGATGCCAACCCACTGAAGCGCCTCTACTGACTGCTAGTTCACACAGCCCGCCACTTATCAGAAGCGGGTGTGTGACTGCAAGCTCAGCCATCACCCCTGCCCCTCTGAACACAAGCCCACAAGTGAGGTGACTTGCCCAAGGTCACACCCAGCAGCTGGGCAGGGCAGGGTGCAGCCAGATGCACCCTTCTGCACCTCCCGGCCCAAGTCCCACCAACTCCTCTGCTCTTGGGAGCTGACCCTCAGCCTCTTCCGTCCCTTCCCCGCAAGGCAGCCCACTAACTGGGAGACCAAAGGAGACCACCAGACCCCAGTCCCGAAAACCCCAGCCGGAAGTTCTCACAAGGAAGAGGAGCTGGGGCTGGGATCAGGGGCCTGTGTCGCCTCCTCCTCTGCATCAGAATCTGCCGGCCCAGCTTCTCCAATGCTCCATCCTGCCTCCTTCCTCTCCAAAGCCATCAGCCCAGTCTCCTGGCTCAGAAACCAGCTGCTGGCTAACCTAGTGCTTAACTTAGGTTAAGCACTTTCTTAAATCCAAGAAAGCAAATTTCCCCCCAAAAGGTACAGTTCCTCGTGGGACCTGAATCTGCCACCAAGACCCTCAAATATAACTCACCTAAATTGCCCTGGAAGTACCCGCCGACAGAGTCCTTTAATAGAATGCATTCTAACCAAGGCTTCTGATTGGTGGAATAGGAGCTAACCAGGGGTTGTGATTGGTGGAGTGCCGCTAACCAGGAATTCTTATTGGTGGAATGCTGACCAACCAGGGCTTCTGATGGCTGACCAACCAGGGGTTCCTGTTGATGAAGGATGGTTGATTGAAATTTCCAGGTGATACTGCACTGAATAAAGTGGATTTTTCTGCAAATGCCTGAAAGTTTCTGATAGCTCTTTCTGGGGTTTTGCATTTACGGTTAAGGTCTGTAAACGTCCTACACACACAGTAAAGGTCCACTATCCTCTCTCTGGCCACTTCAGACTCCTCCAGGTGAAAATCAAAGGTGACCCAAGTCCACCAACACCGAGGTTCTCTTTTTTCTTTTGACTGAGTCTCGCTCTATTGCCCAGGCTGGAGTGCAGTGGCACAATCTTGGCTCACTGCAATCTCTACCTCCCGGGTTCAAGCGATTTTCATGCCTCAGCCTCCCAAATAACTGGGATTACAGGCGTGATCCACCAAGCCTGGCTAATTATGGGGGGCGGAGGGGGGGTTGAGATGGAGTCTCGCTCTGTTGCCCAGGCTAGAGTGCAGTAGCACAATCTCAGCTCACTGCAATTTCTACCTCCCGAGTTCAAGCAATTCTCATGCCTCAGCCTCCCGAGTAGCTGGGATTACAGGGACCCACCACCACGCCCGGCTAATTTTTGTATTTTTAGTAGAGATGGGGTTTCACCATGTTGGTCAGGCTGGTCTCGAACTGTTGACCTCAAATGATCCATCCGCCTCGGCCTCCCAAAGTGCTGGGATTATAGGCATGAGCCACCATGCCCAGCCACACCAAGGCTCTCTTGCTTCTTGCAAGCCAGCCTCCTGGGTCCAAACAGGGGCTGCCCTAGATTTAGGAATAAGGTCACTGAGCAGCCAATGGCCAAGGAACAAAATTTGGGCACCAGCCTTGGATGCTAAGGCAAGAGCCGCCACACCTACCACCACAGCACCCACAGAATCTGCTGAGACTGACGCTGGCGTCCCAACCAGACACTTGGAGGCATGGGGCATGCCCTTCAAGTCTAGAACCCTGCCAGGTACCTATCCCTCCTGCCCAGGCCAAAGTCAAGTACCCCCAATCCCTCTACACCTGCCTGCCCAGCTCCAGCCTCAAACCGGCCACTGAGAACTTTCATTTCACACTGCCCTGAAGTCACTCACATACCTCAGGGTCACTTAACATCTACACAGTCAACGTGGGAAAGTCCACACGGGATTCTCCCAAACCCAAAAAAGCACTAAGGCACTCATCCTTCTCTAACCTAATCAGCCCGAGGTTCTCATCCATGCTCCATCCCCGCTGCTTCTACACTACTCACCCATACTCTGTACTCTGACCTGGCCAGTCTGCTGCCCTTCCCCTCGGTCCCAGAACACACCATGCCCAGGCTGTTGCCATCAGAAACATCCCTGCCTCCCTCCCTTCCCCAAAGCTCCTCCAGCCCATCAGTGGGAACCCTGCACTGGGCTCAAGTGAAAAAGTCCAGCCTTGCCACTTACTAGCTGTGCAACACCAAGCCTCGGTTTCCTCCGTCTGTAAAATATGGAAACACTGCTTCACTTCACAGGGTCATGGTGAAGTTTAAAAGAGATCAAGAAAGGCCAGGCACGGTGGCTCATGCCTGTAATCCCAGCACTTTGGGAGGCTAAGGTGGGCAGATCACCTGAGGTCAGAAGTTTCAGACCAGCCAGGCCAAGATGGTGAAACCCCCTCTCTACTAAAAATACAAAAATTAGCCGGGTGTCGTGGGACGTGCCTGTAATCCCAGCTACTCGGGAGGTCGAGGCCCAAGAGTTAGTTTGCACCCAGGTGTCCAGGACAACCCATGAAACTCTTAGGGGGTCTACAAGACCTTTTAAGACCACAAGGCTGTGAGCTGCTGAGGACAGGAGTCACATCCTGTTCATGGCTGTATCCTCAGTCCCGGCAGAATGTTGTTGCTTCATAAATAAATCAGGGACCCAATAAACACTCCAAAGCCTTCAATTTTCTTGAACTCCTTCTTATGGGAGCTTTTTAAGTTTTATTATTTTTTTAATTTATTTTTATTTATTTATTTAGAGGCAGGGTCTCACTCCCGTCACCCAAGCTGGAGTGCAATGGCATGATCTCGGCTTACTGTAGCCTCAACTTCTTGGGCCCAGGTCGTCCTCCTTCCTCAGCCTCCCAAGCAACTGGGAGTATAAGTGCACACCATTCACACCCGGCTAGTTTTTTGTATTTTTAGTAGAAACAGGGTTTCGTCATGTTGCTGAGGCTGGTCTCGAACTCCTGGGCTCAAGTGATCCTCCCGCCTTGGTCTCCCAAAGTGCTAGGGTTACAAGAGTGAGCCACTGCACCCAGTCTTACTGTTTTTTTTAAGAGACAGGGTCTCTGTTACCCAGGCTAGAGTGCAGTGCTATGATCATAGCTCACTGCAATCTCCAATTCCCAGGCTCAAGCCATCCTCCTGCCTCAGCCTCCCAAGGAGCTGAGACTACAGGCACATGCCACCATGCCGGGCTAATTTTTTTATTTTTTGTAGAGGTGGGGTCTTGCTATGTTGCCCAGGCTGGTCTCGAACTCCTGGGCTCAAATGATTTTTTCCCCTTGGCCTTCCAAAGCACTGGGATTACAGGCTTGAGCCACCGAGCCAGGCCTAGGAGCTTTATGATACAGACAGAGGCCAGGCGCGGTGGCTCACGCCTGTAATCCCAACACTTTGGGAGGCCGAGGTGGGCAGATCACGAGGTCAGGAGATCGAGACCATCCTGGCTAACACAGTGAAAGCCTGTCTCTAATTAAAATACAAAAAATTAGCCGGGCGTGGTGGTGGGCGCCTGTAGTCCCAGCTACTCGGGAGGCTGAGGCAGGAGAATGGCGTGAACCCGGGAGGCCGAGCTTGCAGTGAGCCGAGATTGCACCACTGCACTCCAGCCTGGGCGACAGAGCGAGACTCTGCCTCAAAAAAAAAAAAAAAAAAAAAAAGATACAGATGGAGAGTCCGGGCACGGTGGCTCACGTCTGAAATCACAGCACTTTGGGAGGACGAGGCGGGCAGATCATAAGATCAGGAGATCGAGACCATCCTGGCCAAAATGGTGAAACCCCGTCTGTACTAAAAATACAAAAATTAGCCGGCCATGGTGGAGCGGGCCTGTAGTCCCAGTTACTTAGGAGGCTGAGGCAGGAAAATTGCTTGAACCCCGGAGGCAGAAGTTGCAGTGAGCCGAGATTGCGCCACTGCACTCCAGCCTGTGCGACAGAGTGAGAGTCCATCTCAAAACAAACAAACAAACAAACAAACAAAACACAAGATATGGATGGAGACTACCATATACCTGCCCATATACCTGCTTTTAAGACTCAGTGGCTGGGCGCAGTTGCTCATGCCTGTAATCCTAGTACTTTGGGAGGCCAAGGTGGGCAGATCACCTGAGGTCAGGGGTTCGAGACCAGCCTGGCCAACCACTATGGTGAAACCCCATCTCTACTAAAAATAAAAAAATTAGCCAGGCATGCTGACACATGCCTGTAATCCCAGCTACTTGGGAGGCTGAGGCAGGAAAGTCGGTTGAATCTAGGAGGCGGAGGTTGCAGTGAGCCAAGATTGCACTCCATTCTGGGTGACAGAGTGAGACTCCGTCTCAAAAAAAAAAAGACTGAGTGTCATTTTTACAGCTACCAGGCACTTGCCATACCCATAGCTAATTTTCTCACAGGTGCTCTGTTTCCCAGAGACTGAGAACCATTAGGCGACAGGTCCAAAACCTGCAGCTTGTGTGTGCAGCACCGTGCCCTACAATCCCCTCTGGCAGGCCTGGGAGACAGAAAGACAGGGAGATCCCTGCTGGTCACTGAGGGATGGAGCAAAGCCCACCAGCCTGAGATGACCCTGAGAAGCAAATGCATCTGGCCAGAAGGTCCTGCCTAATGAACACATTTGATCCCAGACTGGCTTCCCACCTCACCCTGCAACCCCTACTGAAGGTAAACAAATCCAGGGACCCCCAACTCCATGCCTAATGCACAGCTGACAACTGTCTTGCAATGGACGTTGCCATGTCCAACCCTGGACGAAGGCCCTACACCTTCAAGTCCTTGGCCTACCAAGATCCAGCTACCCTGGGGGACTGCTGGTATGCTCCAAAGGAACGCTTGGGGCAGGGATAAATTGAAGCCAGAATCTCAGGGGGCCCTGAGAGGACTCACCCAAGGCCCAGGCATGGCAGCCAGAGGGCCCCCCAACCCTGCCCAGGATCAGGCCCAGAATGTCTTCTCCAGTAGGCACAGCGGCTCAACTGCACCTCCGCGCTGCCCAGCCCAGCCCTGCAGCAGCAGCAACCCCAGGACAAGGGTTCAAGTTCCAGTTCCACCACCTGCTGTAGTGGTCCCTTCTCCAGTCTCTGTGTCCGCCTCTTTAAGCGGAATCAAAAGACACTTTTGACTCATAGAAAGATTATGACAACTCAGTGAGAAAATTCTAGCAAAGTGAGTCCCCAGAACATAAAAAGAGCTCAAGAATTTTTTTTACTTATTATTACTGGGCCCTCCAGGTGGGCCTCGTGCAAGGGCCAGCCCTCGGGGCATCCCTGCCAGCTGCCAAACCCATCAACTGGCCCAAGTCTAGGTATTGACTGGGAACTTCAGAGTAGCCTTAAGGTGGGGACCCCCGGGGCAGAGGGTTGGGCAGGAGTGTCTACACGTGTGCAGCAACCTTCCCTCCAGGCCGGATTCTGCAGGCGCTAGCGTCCACCAGCCTGTGCCACACCGGCGGGCTCCTCCTCCCTCAATCCCCGCCCAGACTGCCTCGGGCGGCAGAGCACGTGGCTCCAGCCCTGGGGAGCCATTTCGCTCCTGGAGCAGCGCGGCAGGAAAGGGGCCACAGGTCCCAAACTTGCGCACGCCGTAGAACGCCCACCTCCCCCACACCACGCCCAGGGGGTCGTTCAAAATGCAGATGTCCGGGCCCCAGCGATCAGAGTTCCAGGCATGTGCATTTTAAGAAGTGTGCGGGGTGGTTTGGCTGTGTGTGGTCCTTGAGTCCATCACCCTTTGGGTTTAGAGCAACCTAGGACCAAAGCTTGCAAAGTGGCTTCTGGGGAGGCCTGCGGACCTCGGGCCACCCACCCGGCTGGGGGACCCGACGCTTTCGGTTTACGGCAGGGGGGAGGGGCGTTGGATGGGAAAGTTTGCAGAGGAAACCCACGTGCGGCGGGAAGCTGCCCTGCGAGGCTAGGGGCGGCCTCAGGTGTCCCTTCCCCAAATGGCCTGCCCACCTGGCCTGCCTTGCCCATCGTGCCCGCGGGGGCCGAGCTTTGTGCAGGGAAAGCGTGGCCCAGGAGCGCCTACAAATCCCACAATGCTGCACCAGCAGGACACGGAGAACTACAGCTCCCGCGAGGCCGCGCGCAGAGGTCCGCCTACTCCAAGAGGGCTGCAGAGTCACGTCCAGGCCTCGCTAGTAAACAGCGCCCGGGCGCGGGCGGGCGAGCGAGCGGCAGCCAACGTGCCCCGGGCCGCGGCGCCCCTACCGGCCGCGCGGGCCCCTCGGGGTCCGCCCACCCCCAACACCCACACGCGAGCACGCCCCCGACCCCGCTGCAGCCCCGCTCTGCAAACACGCACAGTGCCCGGCTCCCCGCCCCCACCCCGCGCCGGGAGCCGCGGCATGGCTGCATTGTAGCCGCCCTAGCTACACCCCCACGCGCGCCCCGGGCCCCCAGACCCCCTTGGATGGGGACGACCTCAGATCCCGAGGAAGGAAGGAGAGGAAGGAAGCCGCCGCAGGAGGGGGAAAGAGGAAGCGCGGGGGGGAAGGCCACCAGCACCAAGCATGGCCGGGACTGCTGCAGAACCACGTGGGTCTGTTTGCAATTTACAAACGTCGCGACTCGCCCGCCTGCAGCGGACAAAAGTGGCCGGGGCCGCTTGGGGCCCCCATGCTCCAAGGAAGGAGGGTCCCGGGGCGGCGCGGACCCGGCGTGTGGGGCTGCAGCCGTCCCGGCAGCTAAGAAAGGCTAGCGGGGTCGGCGGCGCGGGCCATGCGTGCGCACACGCGCGCCCGCCCGGGCGGGCTGGCCGGGGGCTGCAGTGGTAGGAAGGGGGTGGGGGGAGGAGGAGTACACACCTACAGAGCCCTCCTATCACTTCTTTCTCTGTTTTCCTGAAATGTTGCAAAGAGGGCACCTTCTGAGTGGGCACCATGAAATACTCCATAGCGATCGGCCCCCCTCCTCTGCACGAGCCAGGTCCCGCGATCAGCCGGAGAATGCAAGATGGAAATCCGAATCAAAGGGCAGCGCCGGACGGAGGTGCAGAATCGGCCGGTCCCAGATGCTGGCGGCGGCGGCGGCGGCGAGGGGAGGGAGGCGGGCGGGAGGGGCGGGAGGGAGGTCTCTCCGGCCTGCCTCCCCGGGCGTGTGTATGTGTGTGTGTGTGTGTGTGTGTGTGTGTGTGTGTGTGTGTGTGTGTGTTTGCAGCTGATCAGATGTCTGTTTCAAGGCGGGAAACAGCTGGTGAAAACTCAGCACTCCCCCGGCCTCCTTCCGCGGAGTAAGGAATTGCATGTAAACAAAGGACTATTTGCAGCGCCCCCCGGGCGGCGCGAGGCCGGGGCGAGAGGGGCGCGGGCCCCCGGGGACCGGCTGCAACCGGGGTCTGCAGGCCTCTCGCGGGGCGCAGGGGGCCGGGGGCCGCGGGCGGGCTTGCGGGGCGCGGCGTGAATGGAGCGAGCTGCGGCCGAGCTACATGCGCCACTATGGGTGATGAGGTCCATCAGCTGACAGGTTGGCAAGCGTTGCAAAAAAAAAAAAAAAAAGGCCAGCCACCGCGCAGGGAGCCCAGCCCGTGCAGCCCGGAGTCCAGCAGCGACTGGCCCAGAGCAGGGTCCGCGCGCTCGGCCGGCCCGCAGGGAGGAGGGGGCGCGGCTGGGTCGGGCGTGCAGCGGCAGCAAGGAAGGCGGCCTGGGGTTCGCGCTTGGGGCTTCTGCTTTTTCACCATTGCAGCTGCACGGAGCGGAGCCTCTCCGGTGTGCTCCCTTCGAGCCGAGCCCAGGGCCCCCTGGAAACTTGCGTCACAGCCACCGCTTCCCACATGTAACTCGGGGCTGACTTCGGAGGCCGGCCAGCTTCCTCCCTCCCGCCTTGCTTAGCTGGCCGCACGGCCGGGACTCCGGATCCTGGGAATCTTGGACCCGGCGACGGGACGGCAAAGGGCGCCTCGGATGCTGGGGCCGCCCTAGGAAGCCGGGGGCCCCGGCAGGGAGGGGAGGGTGGAGGCGGGCCTGAACGGCAGCGGCCCCCGGGCGCAGGCTGCCAGCGCTGCGGGGAGGTCTGCTGGTTGCTGCCGGGTCCCCTGCTATTCCCCCAGACCCGCACTGTTCCCTCCGCGGGCTGAAGGCTGCAGCTTCCCATTCATAACAAAGCCCGTGTGGGACTTGCCCCTCCGCCAGGATGCGCTCCCCAAGAGGGGGTGACGACTTGGGGCAGGGACGGGGACCCTGGCGGCGAGCTTCCGTCCTCCGCTCGCACGCCGCACCTTCCGGCCCCAGGCCCTCCCCTGGCTCCTGGAGGGTTGGCTCCTGGCTCAGGAAGCCCACGCCTGCCTTGGAATGTCCTGGATCCTGCCCACCGCCTTCCAGGTTCCGCCTAAATCGCGCCTCCTAATTTGACTTATTCCTACTAGTAACAATAGTTACTGTTATTATTGGGAAATATTGTTATTAGATGTTGCCAGCACCCGGTGGATGCCGAGCAGTTTTGCTTACACGCTCTCCAATCCTTGAAGCAACCTGTTAGGCAGTTTCTCTAAGGAGAGATCCCAGACCACTTGACCAAAAAAAAGTCTCTGGAAGGCTTACTATGTTTCTACTTAAAAAAAAAAAAAAAAAAAAAAAACTTTCGGCTGGGCGCGTTGGCTCACGCCTGTAATCTCAGCACTTTGGGAGGCTGAGGCGGGTGGATCACCTGAGGTCGGGAGTTCGAGACCAGCCTGACCAACATGGAGAAACCCCGTCTCTACTAAAAATGCAAAATTAGCCGGGGGCCTGGTGGCACATGCCTGTAATCTCAGCTACTCGGGAGGCTGAAGCAGGAGAATCGCTTGAACCCGGGAGGTGGAGGTTGCAGTGAGCCAAGATCATGTCATTGCACTCCAGCCTGGGCAACAAGAGTGAAACTCCGTCTCAAAAAAAAAAAAAAAAAAAAACCTTTTTACTGTTTTTCAACAAATAGAGATAGGAGTCTCACTGTGTTGCCCAGCCTGGTCTTGAACTCCTGGGACTCAAGGAATCCTACCTCTACCTCCCAAATTGCTGGGATTACAAGCATGAGCCATGGATGGCCCTGGTGGGAAGCCTATTTTTAACTGCCCTTAGTGAGCAAGCTATTCTTTTTTTTGTTTTGTTTTGTTTTGTTTTTTAAGACGGAGTCTTGCTTTGTCACCCAGGCTAGAGTGCAGTGGCACGATCTCGGCTCACTGCAACCTCCGCCTCCTGGGTTCAAGTGATTCTTCTGCCTCAGCCTCCCAAGTAGCTGTGGTTACAGGCACACACCACCAAGCCCGGCTAATTTTTGTATTTTTAGTACAGATGGGATTTTGCCCTGTTGGCCAGGCTGGTCTCAAACTCCTGACCTCAGGCGATCTGCCCACCCCGGTCCCCCAAAGTGCCAGGATTACAGGCATCAGCCACCTCACCCAGCAGTGAGCAAGCTATTCTGGTGCATTACTGTCTCCTTATCCTCTCATTTTGCACATGGGAAGACAGAAGCTCACAGCTGCAGACAAGAATGCACTCAGGAGTGCTGGCTGCAAAAAGCCCTGGTTCTTTATATCACACTCATCCTCCCACCTGCCACACCTCACCTCTGATCAGGGCCTTATTTTGTACTTGCTTTTGTTATTTTCCAGAGCAAAGCATTCTGTCATACTTAGTTATATGTGGCCTTCAGAGTGTTCTCTGGCTGTCTCCCTGGTTCAATTTTTTTTTTTTTTTTTGAGACGGAGTCTCACACTGTCGCCCAGGCTGGAGTGCAGTGGCGCGATCTCGGCTCACTGGAACCTCTACCTCCCAGGTTTAAGCGATTCTCCTGTTCTCCTGCCTCAGCCTCCCAAGTAGCTGAGATTACAGGCGCCTGCCACCAGGCCTGGCTAATTTTTGTGTATTTTTAGTAGAGACGAGGTTTCACTATGTTGGCCAGGCTGGTCTCGAACTCCTGACCTCGTAATCCACCTGCCTCCGCCTCCCAAAGTGCTGGGATTACAGGCATGAGCTACTGCACCTGGCCTCCTTGGTCCAATTTTGTCTCCCAGAGACGAGGGACTGTGCTTTTACTCTTTTCTCTCTTCACGGGGGATGGTACAGGGCTGGGCACATGTGTGAACTGCAGAGAGTGATCTGCAAAGCTGATATCCCTGGAGACAGCCTTGGCAGAAAGGATGAGAGGGAGACCCTAGGCACAAGTGGGTGGCCCAGGCAGACCCGGGAGCTGGCTGCCCACACTGAACTGGGTAGTAGGCACTCATCCCCTCTCCTAATAAATCAAGGAAGCCCCCGCAAAGCAGCGGCATTTGGAGTCCGGCCAGGGGATGGCAGAGACCTGCTTTTTCATTTGTCTTGGAAGTCATTTCTAGGCCCACACAGAATCTGGTTCCTGGGGCAAGAGTTGACATCGCAAAATGTAAGAGAGTGACAAAAATTTCAACACCCAAGATAAATTATGTTGGGTTTTCTTTGTTGTTATTGTTGTTTTTTTTTGAGACAGAGTCTCGCTCTGTCACCCACGCTGGAGTCCAATGGCGCAATCTCGGCTCACGGCAACCTCCGCCTCCCGGGTTCAAGTGATTCTCGTCCCTCAGCCTCCTGAGTTGCTGGGACTACAGGAGTGCGCCACCATGCCCAGGTATTTTTTGCAATTTTTGTAGAGATAGGATCTCACCATGTTGCCCAGGCTGGTCTTGAACTCCTGACCTCAAGTGATCCACCAGCCTTGGTCTCCCAAAGTGCTGGGATTACAGGCATGAGCCACCGCGCCCAGCCTCAAATTACGTCTTAATTTAACATTTTAAAACATCAAAATTGGCTGGGCACAGTGGCTCATGCCTGTAATCCCAGCACTTCGGGAGGCCCAAGTGAGTGGATTGCTTTAGCTCAGGAGTTCAAGACCAGCCTGGGCAACGTGGTGAGACACCATCTCTATAAAAAATATAAAAGAATTAACTTGTCGTGGTGATGTAGTCCCAGCTGTTCGGGAGGGTGAGGTGGGAGGATTGCTTGAGCCCAGGGAGGTTGAGGCTGCAGTGAGCTGTGATCGTGCCGCTGCACTCCAGCCTGGGTGACACAGCAAGACCCTGTCTCAATAAAATAATACATAAATAAAATAATAAAATAAAATAAAATAAATTACTGCCAAAAATCCATACTAAACACACTCTCCACATTTTAATGACTATCTCAGTATTACTGATTTTTCCCTTTCCCTCAGGCTTCAGTATAGCTCTCCAAGACACTGTTGCTGATCCTTAGCTTTAAATTCAAATAATGGCCAGGCACAGTGTCTCACACTTGTAATCTCAGCACTTTGGAAGACCGAGGCAGGAGGATCCCTTGAGGCCAGGAGTTGGAGACCAGCCTGGACAACATAACCAGATGCTGTCTTTACAAAAAAATAAAAAAAAATTAGACTGGCACGGTGGTGCATGCCTAAAGTCCCAGCTACTTGGGAGGCTGAGGCAGGAGGGTTGATTGAGCCCAGGAGTTCAAGACTACAGTGAGCTATGATCACGCCATGGCCCTTCAGACTGGGCAACAGTGTAAGACCCTGTCTTAATAATACATTTTAACTGGGAGTCCAAAGTAGGTAGATCACAAGGTCAGGAGATTGAGACCACCCTGGCTAACATGATGAAACCCCATCTCTACTAAAAATACAAAAAAAATTAGCCAGGCATGGTGGTGGGCACCTGTAGTCACAGCTACTTGGGAGGCTAAGGCAGGGGAATCGCTTGAACCCGGGAGGTGGAGGTTGCAGTGAGCCGAGATCGCACCACTGCACTCCAGCCTTGGTGACAGAGCGAGACTCCATCCATAAAATAATAATAATAATAATAATAATAATAAAATTTTAAAAATTCAAAGACTGGGCCAGGCGTGGTGGTTCATGCCTGTAATCCCAGCACTTTGGGAGGCAGAGGCAGACAGATCACTTGAGATCAGAAGTTCGAGACCAGCCTGGCCAACATGGTGAAACTGTCTCTACTGAAAACACAAAAATTAGCCGGGCATGGTGGCAAGTGCCTGTAGTCCCAGCTACTCAGGAGGCTGAGGCAGGAGACTCACTTGAACCCGGGAGGCAGAGGTTGCAGTAGTGGAGATCGCACCACTGTGCTCCAGCCTGGGCGACAAATTGAGACTGTCTCAAAAATTAAAAAAATAAACATTCAAAAGCTGGTTCAACATTGATTTCTAATACTGATTTATTATAAATCAATAAATGTGTTTTTAATTTGTAATTCAGATATTTTGGTCATTGTAAATTTTTGGCATTAATTTCAATTTTTTCTTGAGACAGGGTCTCACTCTGTTGCCCAGGCAGGAGGAGTACAGTGGTGATACAATAGCTCTTTGCAGGCCTTGAACTCCTAGGCCCATGTGATCCTCCCAACTCAGCCTCTCAAGTACCTGGGACTACAGGCATGCCACCACCATGCCTGGCAATTTTTAAAATTTTTTGTAGAGACAGGGTCTCACTATGTTGTCCAGGCTGGTCTTAAACTCTTGGACTCAAGCCATCCTCCTGCTTCGGCCTCCCAAAGTGCCGGGATTATAGGTGTGAGCCACTGTTCCTGGCCAGTTTTGATTTCTCTAAAGTATTGCATTAAAGTTTTGTGAAACTTGATTACTGAGGGGTTTGGTGCTCCCATTAACTTTTGTTCCCCAAGCAAGGGCCTCCCTTGTATTACCCTAGCCCCACCCTGCTGCTTGTGATTCCCGCAGCTACTGAGGTCTCACTCTAGCCCAGGCAGAAGGCAGCAGAATCAGGGCTGCCCGTCAGCCTTCCGGGACCCACTCTGTGTCCCCAAGGAACATGGGCATCATTTGCACAGCCCTGGAGAGGGACTGTCCAATCAGTCCTGGCTACTTCTTTCTGTGTTCACATATCCTACTTGGCCACACGGAAATCAAACCAGAAATGCTGCCCTCGAGAAGCTGCCGACCACACTGCAGTGACAGGAGCTGTGCTCAGGAAATGATGACATTTGGAGACAATCAATATATGCCATAGGGCCACAAAACCAAATGCACTGAATGACCTCTCCGGTGCCTGAAAAAATGAGTGAATGAATGAATGGCAACTGGAGCAAGCGTGTCTACCTCCTGCTCCTCCCTTACAGAATTGCCTTGACTAGGCCGGGCGTGGTGGCTCACGCCTGTGATCCCAGCACTTTGGAAGGCTGAGGTGAGTGGATCACCTGAGGTCAGGAGTTCAAGACCACCATGGCCAACATGACGAAACCCTATCTCTACTAAAATAAAAAAATAGCCGGGCGTGGTGGCGGGTGCCTATAATCCCAGCTACGCAGGAGGCTGAGGCAGGAGAATCTCTTGAACCCAGGAGGCGGAGGTTGCAGTAAGCCAAGATCGCGCCACTGCCCTCCAGCCTGGGCGACAGAGTAAGACTCTGTCTCAAAAAATAAATAAATACAATAAAAAATAAAAATAATCAATCAGGCCAGGTGCCGTGGCTCATGCCTGTAATCCCAGCACTTTGGAAGGCCGAGGTGGGCGGATCATTTGAGGTCAGCAGTTCAAGACCAGCCTGACCAACATAGTGAAACCCAATCTCTACTAAAAGGACAAAAAAAAAAAAATCTAGGCATGGTGGCACATGCCTGTAGTCCCAGCTACTTAGGAGGCTGAGGCAGGAGAATCGCTTGAACCCGGGAGGTGGAGATTGTAGTGAGCCGAGATTGTGCCACTGCACTCCAGCCTGGGAGAGCCAGACTCCGCCTCAAAAAAAAAAAAAAAAAAATCAGGCCGGTAGCAGTGGCGCATGCCTGTAATCTCAGCACTTTGGGAGGCCAAGGCAGATGGATCACTTGAAGTCAGGAGTTTGAGACCAGCCTGGCCAACATGGGGAAACCCTACCTCTACTAGAAATACAAAAATTAGCCAGGCATGATGGCAGGCACCTGTAATCCCAGCTACTCGGGAGAGTGAGGTATGAGAATCCCTTGAACCTGGGAGGCAGAGGCTGCTGTGAGCCGAGATTGCGCCACTGCACTCCAGCCTGGGTGACGAAGCATCTCAAAAACAAACAAACAGGCCGGGTGCCGTGGCTCATGCCTGTAATCCCAGCACTTTGGGAGGCTGAGGCAGGTGGATCATGAGTTCAGGAGATTGAAACCATCCTGGCCAACATGGTGAAACCCCATCTCTACTAAAATACAAAAAATTAGCTGGGCATGGTGCTGTGTGCCTGTAGTCCCAGCTACCCAGGAAGCCGAGGCAGGAGAATCGCTTGAACCTGGGAAGCAGAGGTTGCAGTGAGCCGAGATCATGCCACTGCACTCCAGCCTAGCGACAGAGCAAGACTCCGTCTCAAAAAACAAACAACAACAACAAAATGAATAAATATATTAGGAGTCAGCAAGGTTTTTTCCCTAAAGTACCAGATAGTAAATATTTTAGGCTTTGCAGACCACACGGCCTCCTGCAAGCACTCTATTGTCCCTCCGGCTGGAAAGCAGTCCTAGATGGTATATGAATGAATGGGCATCTCTGGGTGCCAATAACACTTTGCTTATGGACACAAATGGAATGTCGTATAATTTCATGTGCCACAAAATATCATTTGATCGCTTTCCAACCATTTGAAAATGTAAAAGTTCTATGGCCTCCGTAACAAGTTACTACAAGCTTAGTGGCATAAAACAACATAAATTTGACCAGGAATCATGGCTCATGCCTGTAATCTCAGCACTTTGGGAGGCTGATGCAGGAGGATCACTTGAGGCCAGCAGTTGGAGACCAGCCTGGGCAACAACATAGGGAAATTCCATCTCCACAAATATATGTCTGTGTGTGTGTGTGTGTGTGTGTGTGTGTGTGTGTGTGTGTGTGTATAATTTTAAAAAACAACACAAATTTATTCTCTGAAGGTCAGAAGTCCAGATGGGTTATGTTTGGCTAAATTCAGGGTGTAAGCAGGGTTGTATTTCTCCTAAAGTTCTAGGGAAGAATCCGTTTCCTTCCCTTTTCCAACTTGTAGATGCCACTCACATTCCTTGGCTTGTGGCCCCTTCCTCCATCTTCAAAGTGCACTTCTCAGTCTCTGCTTCTGCCATCCCATCTCTCTCACCCTTTCATCTCCCTCTCTTGATGACCTTGGGCCCACCCAGATAATGCAGAATAATCTCCCCATCTCAAAATCCTTAACGTAATCACAACTGCAGAGTCCCTTTTGCCACATAAGGTAACTATTGATAGGTTCTGGGGATGGGGCATGATCTTCATTGGGGGGGCCATTATTCTGTCTACCACACCATTCTTGGTTTGTGAGCCATGCAACAGGCAGTAGTTATCATAGGCCCCAGCAATTCCACTCCTAGGTAAACATCCAAGAGAATGAAAACAGGGACTCAAACAGATCATGGTACACCCATGTCCACAGCAGCATTATTCATACGAGCCAAAACATGGAAGCAACCTAGTATCTATCAACTGATGAATGGATAAACTAAATGTGGTCTGTCCATACAGTGGAATATTATTCAGCCATAAGACAGAATGAAGCACTGACACCTACTACAGCATTACATTTATTGCATACCTTATTTCTATTATTACACTATAATATATAATAAAATAACTATGCAACTCACCATAATGTAGACTCAATGGGAGCCCTGAGTTTGTTTTCCTGCAACTAGACAGTCCCATCTGGGGGTGATGGGAGATAGTGACAGATCATCAGGCATTAGATTCTCATAAGAAGCACTCAATCTAGATCCCGCACACCCACAGTTCATTCACAATAAGGTTGCACTCCTATGAGAATCTAATGCCACCGCTGATCTGGCAGGAGGCGGAACTCAGGCAGTACCGCTAGCCATGTGGAGTGGCTGTAGATACAGATGAAGCTTGGCTGGCTGGCTCACTTGTTCACCCACCAAGAGTTCAACACCAGCTGGGAGAGGTGGCTCATGCCTGTAATCCCAGCACTTTGGGAGGCCAAGGCAGGCAGATCACCTGAGGTTAGGAGTTCAAGATCAGCCTGGCCAATATGGTGAAACCCTATCTCTACAAAACTACAAAAATTAGCCAGGTGTGGTGGCCTGTGCCTGTAATCCCAGCTATTCAGGAGGCTGAGGAGGGAGAATCATTTGAACCTGGGAGGCAGAGGTTGCAGTGAGCAGAGATCACACCATTGCACTCCAGCCTGGGCAAGAGAGCGAGACTACTTAAAAAAAAAAAAAAAAAGAGTTCAAGACTGTCCCGGGCAACATGGTGAGACCCCGTCTCTACAAAAACAAATAAACAAACAAATAAATAACTGGTTAAACAGTAAGTCTTTGTTATGTATATTTTACCACAATAGAAAAAGGTTTGTTATAAAAGCAGTGGGCTGGGCCAGGCTCAGTGGCTCATGCCTGTAATCCCAGCACTTTGGGAGGCTTGAGGAGGTCAGATCACCTGAGGTCAGAAGTTCGAGACCAGCCTGGCCAAATGGTGAAACCCTGTCTGTATTCAAAATACAAAAACTAGCTGGTTGTGGTGGTGGGCGCCTGTAATCCCAACTACTGAGGGGGCTGAGGCAGGAGAATGGCTTCAACCTGGGAGGCAGAAGTTGTGGTGAGCTGAGATCACACCATTGCACTCCAGCCTGGGTGACAAGAGCAAAACTCCCTCTCAAAACAAACAAACAAAAAATGCAGTGGGCCATAGTCGGCTGACCCCATTGATCCTGCTAACTCCTGCAGCTGTGACCCAGTTCATCTCACACTGCCTGCTCTTCCCCTCT
Organism: Homo sapiens; assembly: GCF_000001405.40. Lineage (NCBI taxonomy): Eukaryota > Metazoa > Chordata > Mammalia > Primates > Hominidae > Homo > Homo sapiens. The sequence goes on from NC_000016.10 coordinate 4,282,550, forward strand.
CCCTACCTGAAAGAAACAGCCAAATATGGCTAGAAAGAGGAAATCCCACAACCTTGCTGATTGGTTTGTTTTTATTTTTTCCCTCCAGTCAGCAACAGTTGTATTAGGGATGTTGTCAAAGTCAAAGTCACCCGCTAGGTGACGGGTTTTTGGATTTTTGTTTTTTTTTTTTTTGAGACAGGGTCTCACTCTCACTCAGGCTGGAATGCAGTGGTGCACGGCTTATTGTAGCCTCCTGGGCTCAAGCAATCCTCACGCCTCAGCCTCCCAAAGCACTGGGATTACAGGCGTGAGCCACTGCACCAGACCCTCTTTTTTTTTTTTTTTTTTTTTTTTGAGACGGAGTCTCTCTCTTTCGCCCAGGCCAGACGGCAGTGGCGCTCTCTCTGCTCACTGCAAGCTCCGCCTCCCGGGTTCACGCCATTCTCCTGCCTCAGCCTCCAGAGTAGCTGGGGACTACAGGTGCCAGCCACCGTGCCCGGCTAATTTTTTGTATTTTTAGTATAGACAGGGTTTCACCATGTTAGCCAGGATGGTCTCAATCTCCTGACCTTGTGATCCACCCATCTCAGCCTCCCAAAGTGCTGGGATTACAGGCATGAGCCACCGTGCCCGGCCTCCACCAGGTCCTTTTTTTGAGACAGAGCTCTGCTCTTATTGCCCAGGCTGGAGTGCAACGGCACAATCTCAGCTCACCGCAACCTCTGCCTCCTGGGTTCAAGTGATTCTCCTACCTCAGCCTCCCAAGTAGCTGGGATTACAGGTGCCCACCACCATGCCCAGCTAATTTTGTATTTTTAGTAGAGATGGGGTATCTTCATGTTGGTCAGCCTGGCCTCGAACTCCAGACCTCAGGTGATCCGCCCGCCTTGGCCTCCCAAAGTGCTGGGATTACACGCATGAGCCATCGCGCCCAGCCTGCCACTGCTCTTATTTTTAAGTGCCTGATCCATACCCTCAAGTGGGTCTGGGGGTTGCTGTGACTGCATCCTGTTGCCCTGGCCCCTTCTTCCTACCCTTCCTTCTCCTCTCCCCTCAAGCCCTCTAGCACCTCCTCCTTGCTTGTAGCTCACTTCCCGTTCCTCTGAGGGAAATGGAAGCAATTAGAAGAGACCTTCCACAGGCTGCCATGCCCGCCACTGCCTCCCTCTCTGTGCCTGGGAACTGCCATCGGCCAGTGTCTCTGGATGAGCATCCATGCTGTTCATGCACAGAAGACCCTTCTACTTGCACAACTCAGAGCCGTCACTCCAGAAACTGTCCTCTCTCCTTTGTCTTCAGTGCACACCGTCTTTTGGATCATACCCATTACTAACAAGCTGTTACTATTCTCCTTTCAAACCAACGGACTGACCCTAGATCCCCTTAGCTCTGCTCTCTTTTCTTGGTTTTGAGACAGTCTCACTCTGTCACCCAAGCTGGAGTGCAGTGGCATGATCTCCACTCACTTCAACCTCCACCTCCCAGGTTCAAGCCATTCTCTTGCCTCAGCCTCCTTTGTAGCTGGGACTACAGGTATGTGCCACCACGCCCAGCCCAGCTCTGGAATCTAACAGCAAAACTCCTTGAAATGGATGTTCACACTCACTCTCTCCCCTTCCCTCCTGCTCACTCCATCACACCCCCATGACTGCATGGGGGCAGTGACTCACTTCTGTAATCCTAGCACTTTGGGAGGTCAAAGCAGGAGGCAGGAGGATGGCTTGAGCCCAGGAGTTCCAGACCAGCCGGGCAACATAGCAAGACTTCATCTTTATAAATAATTAAAATATTAGCCAGGTGTGGTGATGCACATCTTTGGTCCCAGCTACTACTCTGGAGGCTGAGGAGGGAGGATCACTTGATTCTAAGAGGTTGAGGCTGCTTTGAGCCAAGAGTGCACCACTGCACTCCAGCCTAGACCGCAGAGTGAGACCCTGTCTCCAAAATAAAACACATATGGCTGGGCGCGGTGGCTCATGCCTGTAGTCCCAGCACTTTGGGAGGCCAAGGCAGGTGGATCACGAGGTCAGGAGTTCAAAACCAGCCTGGCCAAGATGGTGAAACCCCCATCTCTGCTAAAACTACAAAAATTAGCCAGGCGCAAGGGCAGGCACCTGTAATCCCAGCTACTCAGGAGGCTGAGGCAGGAGAATCGCTTGAACCTGGGCAACAGATCGCACCTGAGCCGAGATCGCACCACTGCACTCCAGCCTGGGCAACTGTGAGACTGTCTCAAAAATAAATAAATAAATAATAAAACACACACACACACACACACACACACACACACACACACACACACAAACCCTTCTCTTTTCAAAGTCACGAGGACCTCCAGGATGCTACATCTGGGTCTCTGTTTTCTGCCTTCACTGCATCTGACCTTCTTGAAATTCTTTTTTTGCTTTGCGTCTAGGACATGCCCACGGCACAGCCCTCAGACCTGTCTCTGTCTACACACACTCCCTGCTCTTCAGACAACAGACTTCCAGAAACCACTAGCAGCCACGAAGTGTGGTACAGAATCCAGGTCCTGCCTGAACCCCAACCCTACTAACCTGACTCTGCTCTCTCATCTGCAAAATGAAAGCCACACAGCATCTCCCTGGCAGGGCTGTTGTGAAAAGCTGGTGACAGCCTGGCATGTCACGGCATCAATGAGTGTTGGTTGCTGTCATCCCTGGCACCAAGTTGCCATGGGCGGCAGTGGCCAGAGGCGTCTGAGCTGACCTTGGAGAACGACAAGATTTCCTGATATGTAGGGAAGGTCGGAGGTGGGGCTCAGCCTTTCCCCTTCCCAGCTCTACGTGGCAGCAGGTGGGAGGCAGCAGGCATGCGCTGGGCTTTGCTGTTCACACAGGGTGCACCTGCTTCCCACTCGAAACACCCTCATGTGGTGGGGCAGTGAAAATTGGCAAACAAACCACTTGCCCTGTAAAAGGTGGGTCTCTTGGCCGGTCACAGTGGCTTATGTCTGAAGTCCTGGCTACTCAGGAGGCTGAGGCGGGAGGATTGCTTGAGCCTAGGAGTTAAGGCTGCAGTGAGTCGTGATCATGCCACTGCACTTCAACCTGAGCAACAGAGCAAGACCATGTCTCAAATAAATAAATAAATAAATAAATACAAATAAAAGGTGGGTCTCTGTAAAAAAAGAAAGTAATCAGCAGAGTGTGGTGGCACACATCTGTAATTTCAGCTACTCCAGAGGCTGAGACAGAAAAATCCCCCAAGTCCAGGATTGCAAAGGCAGCCTGGGCAACAGAGTGAAATACTTCAAAACAAAATAAAATAAAATAATTAAAAAAAAAAAAAGGGAAGGCCAGGGGCAGTGGCTCACGCTTGTAATCCCAGCACTGTGGGAGGCTGAGGCAGGTGGATCACCTGAGGTCAGGAGTTCGAGACCGGCCTGGCCAACTGGTGAAACTTCATCTTTACTAAAAATACAAAAATTAGTCGGGCATGGTGGCGCACGCCTGTAGTCCCAGCTACTTGGGAGGCTGAGGCAGGAGAATCGTTTGAACCCGGGAGGTGGAGGTTGCAGTGAGCCGAGATTGTGCCACTGCATTCCAGCCTGAGTGACAAAGCGAGACTCCATCTCAAAAAAAAAAAAAAGCAACTTTATTGACTGACCCTAAAGATGGCCACAAGTCCAGGAAGCCCCAGAAAGCAAGCATGGGGGATTCCTTAGAGCAGAGGATTCAGGACTCCTTCCCTTGGCTCTTTCCTCACTGGCTCGGAGGTGTCAGCTGCTCTGACCATGCCATCAGCACAGCAGTTTTCAGGACAAAGGCTACCCCCAACCCCTTCCCAGGCTGGTTGGGAGCTGCTGGTTGGAGATGGGAAATCATAAGAACTGCAGCCAGGAGGAAGAGCTGTCGGCAAAGGTGGCTGCTGCAGAGGTGAGGATAGGTTGTTCTCATTTTTACACTTAGGTTTTTGGGTCTTTTTTTTCGGGGGGTGGGGTTTGATCGCAGTGGTGCAATCATGGCTCACTGCAGTGTCAACTTCCTGGGCTCAGGCCGGGCACAGTGGTTCACACCTGTAATCTCAACACTTTGGTAGGTAGGGGCGGGCGGATCACTTGAGGTCAAGAGTTCGAGATCAGCCTGGGCAACATGATGAAACCCCATCTCTACTAAAAAATTACAAAAATTCGCCAGGGGAGGTAGCACACGGCTGTAGTCTCAGCTACTCAGGAGGCTGAGGTAGAAGAATCACTTGAATCCAGGAGGCGGAGGTTGCAGTGAGCCGAGATCCTGCCACTACATTCCAGAACGAGACTCCTTCTAAAAACAAAACAAAACAAACAAAACTTCCTGGGCTCAAGCGATCCTCCCGCCTCAGCCTCTGCCACCACACCTGGCTTTTTTGTATTTTTAGTAGACACGGTGTTTCTAGAATTTTCTTTTCTTTTTTTTTTTTGAGACAGAGTCTCGCTCTGTCGCCCAGGCTGGAGTGCAGTGGTGTGATCTCAGCTCACTGCAAGCTCTGCCTCCCGGGCTCACGCCATTCTCCTGCCTCAGCCTCGCGAGTATCTGGGACTACAGGCGCCTGCCCCCATGCCCGACTAATTTTTTGTATTTTTTAGTAGAGATGGGGTTTCACCATGTTAGCCAGAATGGTCTCAATCTCCTGACCTCTTGATCTCCCCGCCTCGGCCTCCCAAAGTGCTGGGATTACAGGTGTGAGCCACCGCGCCTGGCTAGAGACAGCGTTTCACTGTGTTAGCCAGGAATGGTCTCAATCTCCTGACCTCGTGATCCACCTGCCTCAGCCTCCCAAAGTGATGGGATTACAGTCGTGAGCTACTGCGCCCGGCCTAATATTATTCAGCATTTTTTTTTTTTTTTGAGACAGAACTTTGCTCTTGTCGCCCAGTCTGGAATGCAATGGTGCAATCTCGGCTCACTGCAATCTCCACCTCCCTGGTTCAAGTGATTCTCCTGCCTCAGCCTCCTGAAAAGCTGGGATTACACGCATGCACCACCACGGCCGGCTAGTTTTTTGTACATTTTAGTAGACACGGGTTTCACCATGTTGGCCAGGCTGGTCTTGAACTCCTGACCTCAGGTGATCCGCGCACCTCAGCCTCCCAAAGTGCTGAGATGACAGGCATGAGCCACAGAGCCCAGCCTACACCCGGCTAATTTTGTATTTTTAGTAGAGACAGGGTTTCTCCATATTAGTCAGGCTGGTCTTGAACTCCCAACCTCAGGTGATCCACCTGCCTCGGCCTCCCAAAGTGCTAGGATTACAGGCGTGAGCCACCGCACCCGGCCTATATGTGTTAATTTTCTTAATTTTTTTGTAGAGATAGGGTCTTCCTATGTTGCCCAGGCTTGTCTCAAACTCATGGACTCAAGCGATCTTCCAGCCTCAGCTTCCCAAGGTGCTGGGATTACAGGTGTGAGCCACTGCGCCTGGCCAACTCTGCTTTTTAAGAGTGCATGTGATTAGGTCAGAATCATTGATAATCTCTCTGCCTCAAGGTCAACCATAGCATGTCATGCATCCTAACCACAGAAGTGATATATTTGTAGGTTTTGCCCACACTCATCAAAAGGGGGTTACACCAGGGTAAAGGGCATTGGGGGTCACAGGAAAATTCTCCTGCCCCAGATGGGGGGTTTGAAGGTAGGATAGAGTAAGGGAGGAGAATTTCCTGAGAACATACAGAGAATTGGAGATGGAACCCAGGCAGGAATCTATGTCCTCAGTCTTAACGAGGCTTGTTCCGCTATAGAAATTTGCTGGGAGCAGGGGGATGCAGCACCTGACCTTTCCGGCCCTGCTATACTCCCGTGCATATGGGGAACCATAGCCTCTTTGGGGTGGTGGCGGGGGCAGGGACACCAGTCGTTGGAGCCAGGTTGAGAAGCAAAAAGTCCCTGCCTGGGAAAGGATCCTGGATGCTCCCAGGAAGGCGGAACGGGGGTCAGATGCTCCTACTGGGGTTCGGAGCAAAGCCACTTCCGGTCCTCTGGCCCTCCTCTCCCCAAGTCAGGGGGACATCTCTGGGCTCACAGGGCTGGGGCTCCCCCGACCAGTAGGGGGCGTCCGGCACACGCGCTGCTTTGTGGATGCCGAGCAGGAACACGGTGGGGGAGCCCCAGGCAGGTAGGTGTTGGGGTGAAGGGGCTGACCGCAGCCCCCCACAATCCCGAGGCCCTGCAGATCCCTACAGTGCCTGGCTTGTCTAGGGAGACCTGTGATGCGCGCCTCCTCCTCCTCAGTTGGATCTGATTCACTTTGGCCATGAGTAAGCACTGAAAATGCAGCTGGTTCCCGATGGCTCACACCTGGGATCCCAGCCCTCTGGGAGGCCAGATGAGAGGATCATTTGAGCTCAGGAGTTCCAAACCAGCCTGGGCAACATAGCAAGATTTCATCTTTAAAAAAAATTAGCAGTGCGCGGTGGCTCATGCCTGTAATCCCAGCACTTTGGGACGCCGAGGCAGAAGGATCATTTGAGGTCAGAAATTCGAGGCCAGCCGGGACAACATGGTGAAACCCCACTTCTACTAAAAATACAAAAATTTGCCGGGCGTGGTGGTGGGCAGCTGTAATCCCAGCTACTCAGGAGGCTGAGGCAGGAGAATCACTTGAACCCGGGAGGTGGAGGTTGCAGTGAGCCGAGATCGTGCCACTGTACTCCAGCCTGGGCAACAGAATGAGACTCAGTCTCAAAACAAAAAAAAAAAAAAAAAAAAAAAAAAAAAAAAAAAAATTAGCTAGGCGTGATGGTGTGCACTTGTAGTCCCAGCTACTCATGAGGCTGAGGCAGGAGGATCACTTGAGCCTACGAGTTCAAGACCAGCCTGGGCAACATAGCAAGCCCCCATCTCTACAAAAAATGTTTTAAGGCCAGGTGTGGTGGCTCATGCCTGTAATCGCAGCACTTTGGGAGGCCAAGGTGGGCGGATCACCTGAGGTCGGGAGTTTGACACCAGCCTGACCAACATGGTGAAACCCCATCTCTACTAAAAACACAAAATTAGCCAGGCATGGTGGCGCATGCCTGTAATCCCAGCTATTTGGGAGACTGAGGCAGAAGAATGACTTGAACCCACGAGGCGGAGGTTGCGGTGAGTCCAGATCATGCCATTGCACTCCAGCCTGGGCAACAAGAGCGAAATTTCGTCTCAAAAAAAATTTTTTTTTTTTAATTGGCTGGGCACAGTGGCTCACTCCTGCAATCCCAGCACTTTGGGAGGCCGAGGTAGGCGGATCACCTGAGGTCAGGAGTTTGAGACCAGCCTGGCCAACATGGCGAAACCCCATCTTTACTAAAAATACAAAAATTAGTTGGGCATGGTGGTGGGCACCTGTATTTCCAGCTCCTCAGGAGGCTGAGGCATGAGAATTGCTTGCGCCCGGGAGACAGAGCCTGCAGTGAGCTGAGATCATGCCACTGCACTCCAGCATGGGGGACAGAGAGAAACTCCATCTTAAAAAAAAAAAAAAAAAAAAAAAAAAGGGCCAGCATGGTGGCTCACGCCTCTAATCCTAACATTTTGGGAGGGCAAGGCAGGTGGATCACCTGAGGTCAGGAGTTCGAGACCAGCCTGGCAAACATGGTAAAATCCCGTTTCTACTACAAAAAATTTACCAGGCACGGTGGCGCGCGCCTGTAATCTCAGCTACTCGAGAGGCTGAGGCAGGAGAATTGCTTGAACCTAGGAGGTGGAGGTTGCAGTGAGCTGAGATCGCGCCATTGCACTCCAGCTTGGGCAACAAGAGCGAAACTCCATCTCAAAAAAAAAAAAAAAAATCAGCTGGGCCTGGTGGCACATGCTGTGGTCCCAGCTACTTAGGGAGCTGAGGTGAGAGGATCACTTGATCCCAGGATGTTGAGGTTGGAGTGAGTCATGATTGCACCACTGCATTCCAGCCTTGGTGACCCAGGGAGACCTTGTCTCAAAAACAAACAAACAGACACACAAACAAACACACAAAAATGGGGCTGGCTGCAACCCTATTTGAGGTGGCTGGAGTCCCCTGCACCCTCTCTCTCTGGCCCCAGCTATGGGCGCCTGCCAGCCCTCTCCCTCTCCTTCTCCCTCTGCCTCTCCGTCTCCCCTCCATCAGCTCACCCGCCCTGTCCTTTTCAGCACTCAATTTCTCTTCCTCCTCCCACACTCGAAGAGGATTTCAGCTCCCTTTAGGGACTTTTCCCCTAGGGAAGTGCCTCTCTGCTTCTCAGTGTCCACAAGGAGGAACCAGGTGCCCAGGCCTTCAACCGAGTGCACTCCCTCTAGAAACACTCAATTCACAGCCATGCTGGCTGGACTGTTTCTGCTTTACACAGAAATGGCCATCAAACTGCTTTATCAATTGATTATGAGGCCATGGGGCAGTTACAATAATTTCATCAAGCAGAGCAGAGCCTGTTGACATGGAGGATGGACATTTCTGAAGACCCTCAAAGAATTAGCTGTAACCATGAGACCAGATCTAAGACCCCTGACACCCAGCCTGGGGCCTTCTCACCAGGAGGCCTCTGGTTAATAGAAAATGAGAGTAAATCAGGCCAGGCGTTGTGGCTGACACCTGTAATCCCAGCATTTGGGAGGCCGAGGCAGGTGGATCAACTGAGGTCAGGAGTTCGAGATCAGCCTGGCCAACATAGTGAAACCCTGTCTTTGCTAAAAATACAAACATTAGCTGGGCTTGGTGGCGTACCCCTGTAATCCTAGCTACTCAGAAGGCTGAGGCAGGAGAGTCGCTTGAACCCAGGAGGCAGAGATTGCAGTGAGTCGAGATCGTGCCACTGCACTGCAGCCTGGGCGACAGAGTGAGACTACGTCAAAAATTAAAAAAAAGAAAGAAAGATGAAAGAAAGAAAGAAAGAGGCCAGACACGGTGGCTCACGCCTGTAATCCCAGCACTTTGGGAGGCTGAGGCAGGCAGATCATGAGGTCAGGAGATCGACACCATCCTGGCTACATGGTGAAACCCCATCTCTACTAAAAATACAAAAAATTAGCCGGGCGTGGTGGCGGGCACCTGTAGTCCCAGCTACTCAGAAGGTTGAGGCAGGAGAATGGCGTGAACCCAGGAGGTGGAGCTTGCAGTGAGCCGAAATTGCGCCACTGCACTCCAGCCTGGGCAACAGGGCGAGACTCCATCTCAAAAAAAGAAAAAAGAAAGGAGAGAGAGAGAGAGAAAGAGAAAAGAGCCAGCCAAGGAACCAAGGCAGTGTGGCCAGAGAGAGTGGAGGGTCAAAGGAGGCCCACAAGAAATCAAGGGGAGCTAGGGGCCGTGGCTCACACTTGTAACCCCAGCACTTCGGGAGACTGAGGTAGGAGGATCACTTGAGCCCAGGAGTTTGAGACCAGCCTGGACAACATAGCAAGACTCCTTCTCTACAAAAATTTAAAAATTAACTGGGTGTGTTGGTGGTGCACCTGGCCCAGATACTTGGGAGGCTGAGGAGGTAGGATCACTTGAGGCCAAAAGGTTGAGGCTGCAGTGAGCCATGATCATGTCACTGCACTCCAGCCAGGGCAAGCAAGTGAGACTCTTGAAAAAAACAAAGAGCCGGGTATGGTGGCTCACGCCTGTAATCTCAGCACTTTGGGAGGCTGAGGTGGGCAGATCACTTGAGTGCAGGAGTTTGAGACCAGCCTGACCAACATGGTGAAACCCCATCTCTACTAAAAATACAAAAATTAGCCAGGCGAGGTGGCACACTCCTGTAGTCCCAATTACTCAGGAGGCTGAGGCAGGAGTGTCCCTTGAACCCAGGGGGTGGAGGTTGCAGTGAGCCAGGACTGCGCCACTGCACTCCAGCCTCTGACAGAGCGAGACTCAATCTCAAAAAAAAAAAAAAAAGAATGAAAGAAACCAGAAAGTTGCATTTGGGGATCAGAAGAAAGGCAGGAAGCAGAGGCATGTGGGATGAGGACACCTGGGAGGTGCCATCTCCAGTGTCCCTCTGGGTGACTGGATCTCTTCACATGGAGTAGACAGAGGTTGGGAACGGAAGGTGGAATGTCATGTTCCACTTGAGACTGGAAAAGGGAAGGCTGGGGCTGACCAGGCCAGAGGAGGGCTGGAGGCCTGCGCTCATGAAAACCAAAGCTGGGTGAGTTTCCAGCTGGGAGAGGCAGCCAGGAAACAGGGCCAGCTCTCCCTGGGGAGGGGCAGGCTCCAAGCCCCAGTGTGGGTCCGGGGGCGGGAGCCATAGATCATCACCAGCGCAGGCCAGTGCTGCTGTGGGGGCTTTCTTCGCACTCCTAGTTTCTTTTTTTTTTTTTTTTTTTTTTTTTGAGACGGAGTCTCGCTCTGTCGGCTCACTGCAAGCTCTGCCTCCTGGGTTCACGACATTCTCCTGCCTCAGCCTCCCGAGTAGCTGGGACTACAGGCACCTGCCACCACGCCCGGCTAATTTTTTTTTTGTATTTTTAGTAGAGACGGGGCTTCACCGTGTTGGCCAGGATGGTCTCGATCTCCTGACCTCGTGATCCACCTGCCTCGGCCTCCCAAAGTGCTGGGATTACAGGCGTGAGCCACCGCGCCCAGCCTCCTAGTTATTTTCTTTCCTTCCTTCCTTCTTTTCTTTTTTGAGAGGGAGTCTCACTCTGTCACCCAGGCTAGAGTGTAATGGTGCGATCTTGGCTCACTGCAACCGCAGCCTTCCAGGCTCAAGCAATTCTCCCACCTCAGCTTCCCGAGTAGCTGGGATTATAGGCACCAGCCATCATGCCCTGCTAATTTTTGTATTTTTGTAGAGACAGAGTTTAACTATGTTGGCCAGGCTGGTCTTGAAGTCCTGACCTCAGGTGATCTGCCCGCCTCGGCCTCCCTAAGTGCTGGGATTACAGGCGTGAGCCGCCGCGCCCCACCTGCACTCCTAGTTTCATCCTCACCATGGTGCCCTGAGTCCTATGATCACGCCCAAGGGGCTTGGCCAAGCCCATCACAGCCAGCCACTACCAGGGCCTGCACTTCTTTCAGGCTCCTCCAGATCCCCCCGTGGCTGCCCTGGAGAATGGCTTCCTGTTGGCCTCAAAACTCAAGAGCTTACCTGGTCCTGGTGGCTCAACCGTGGCCAGGTAAATCCGGGTACAAGAGGAGGGTCCCGCTGGGCATGACAAGGCATACGGAGGGAGAAAACATGGCCATGCATGAAACGACAAGGTCAGCTACCAGGTGAAATGTAGCCCCTTCCTGTGGGCTGATGGTCAGAGCCAGACTGTCAGAGGAAGGAGCAACTCGTAGGGGTCAGAAAGGGTTTTGGCTTCAAGTCTGTGCAGACAAGGAAGAAGCAAGCGCAGTAAGCACTGTGGAGTGGGGACCGGGGGCAGCAAAGGGACCGGCTCTGGGATTGCTCTCTCCTCCCTCAAGCCCGCCAGAGCTTGAGCCCCTGGTGCCCCTTTCCTGCTGTGCAGCTGCGGCCGCCAGCGCATCAGGGGTTAATGTCTGGCTGGTGCCGGCTTCAGCAGCAGCAGCAGCAACAGCAGCAACAGACAGTGGTGCCAGTAACTCAGAGGCTGAAATGTGAGAAGCAAGACGAGAGGGGCAGGGCTGGGAAAGGCTGAGCAGCAGCGAGCAGAGAGGGTTTCCCTGGCAGGAGCCACAGGAGGCTGCCTGGTCCTCCCTTCCATGGCCCTGCCGTACAGCTGGCCCTCCAGCCTCGGGCTGGGGTATGGCACCCTCTCAGGGTGGTGGGGGTGTCCATGGTCATGGCCAGCGTCCAAGCCCTTAGGCCACCGGGAAGCAGTTCCCTACTGCAGATCTAGGGAAGGGGCACAGGCGCCCAGGCAACCAGCAGAGAAGGCACCCGGCTCTGCCCGGCTCTGCAGGAAGCTCTAGGTGGGGAGATGGGGCAGTGGCAGAGTGGGGCCTGGAGAACCGAGGAGGAGGACAGGGAGATCCCTCGGGGTGTCCCAACCGCAGAGGCCTGGCCTCGACTTCACCCTTCCCCACCTTGGGAAAGCTGAGGCACAGGAAGCTTCCCTGATAAATGGATAAATGAGCCTCCTGCTGCTTGGGGGCAGGGAATGTCGCAGGGCTGCTGCCCCCTCCACGGGCCTGGGTGTCCGCCTGCCTTTGCACAGGCACCTCAGGGATGCATAAGCACCAACCAGAGAGGTGAGAGGTACCAGGCACAGCGCGAGTGCCTTATCCATACTCTTTTTTTTTTTTTAATAAAAAAAATAGGCCGGGCGCAGTGGCTCACACCTGTAATCCCAGCACTTTGGGAGGCCAAGGCAAGCGGATCACCTGAGGTCAGGAGTCGGACACCAGCCCGGCCAATACGGTGAAACCCTGTCTCTACTAAAAATACAAAAATTAGCTGGGCGTGGTGATGCACGCCTGTAGTCCCAGCTACGCGGGAGGCTGAGGCAGAAGAATCGTTTGAACCTGGGAGGTGGAGGTTGCAGTGAGCTGAGATCATGCCACTGCACTCCAAAATGGGTGACAGAGCAGGACTCTGTCTCAAAAAAAAAAAAAAAAAAAAAAGCTGGGCACGGTGGCTCATGCCTGTAATCACAGCACTTTGGGAGGCCAAGGCAGGCGGGTTGCTTGAGGCCAGGAGTTGGAGAGCAGCCTGGGCAATATGGTGAAACCCCATCTCTACTCAAAATACAAAAATCAGCTGGGGGTGGTGGTGGGCGCCCGTAATCCTAGCTAGTTGGGAGACTGAGGCAGGAGAATCACTTGAACCCAGGAGGCAGAGGTTGCAGTGAGATGAGATTGTGCCATTGCACTTCAGCCTGGGGGACAGAGGGAGACTCTGTCTCAAAAATAGATAGATTAGATAGATAGATAGACAGACAGACAGACAGACAGATAAAGGCCGGGTGTGGTGGCTCATGCCGCCCTGTAATCCCAGCATTTTGGGAGGCTGAGGCGGGCCGATCACTTGAAGTCAGGAGTTTAAGACCAGCCTGGCCAACATGACGAAACTCCATCTCTACTAAAAACGAGCAAAAATAGCCGGGCGTGGTGGTCCACGCCTGTAATCCCAGCTACTCCAGAGGCTGAGGCACAAGTATCGCTTGAACTTGGGAGGCAGAGCTTGCAATGAGCAGAGATTTCACCATTGCACTCCAGCCTGAGCGACAGAGCGAGACTGTGTCTCAAAAATAAAAAGGAACAAGGTGCTGATCTATGCTACAATATAGACGAACCTTGAAACATTAAGTGAAAAGCCAATCACAAGAGACCACCACTTTATTTGAAATGCCCAGAATAGGGAAATCCATAGAGGCAGAAAACAGGCTGGTGCGTTGCCAGGGCCTGGGAGGAAAGAGGAATGGGGAGTGGCTGCTTCTTGAGTATAGGGTTTCTTTTTGGGATGGTGAAAATGTTCTGAAATTAGATGTTGATGATGGTTGCACGACTCTGAATACACTAAAAACCACTGATTGTACACTTCAAAGAGGTGAATTTTACGGTATGTGAATTATATCTTATTTTTATTTTTTAATCTTTTTTTGAGATGGAGTCTCACTCTGTCACCCAGGCTGGAGTACAGTGGTGCGATCTCAGCTCACTGCAACCTCCACCTCCCTGGTTCAAGCGATTCTCCTGGCTCAGCCTCCCGAGTAGCTGAAACTACAGGCACCCACCACCACACCCGGCTAATTTTTTTAGTAGAGATGGGGTCTGGGGTTTCACCGTGTTAGCCAGGATGGTCTCGATCTCCTCAACTCATGATCCGCCCGCCTTGGCCTCCCAAAGTGCTAGGATTACAGGCGTGAGCCACTGTGCCCGGCCAAATTTTTGTATTTTTAGTAGAGACGGGGTTCACCATGTTGGCCAGGTTGGTCTCGAACTCCTGACCTCAGGTGATCTGCCGGTCTCAGCCTCCCAAAGTGCCGGGATTACAAGCATGAGCCACTGCTCCCAGCTTGATTTTATTTTTTATTTTTATTATTATTAACTAATTTATTTATTTTAGACAGAGTCTCTCTCTGTCACCCAGGCTGGAGTGCAGTGGCGCGAACTTGGCTCACTGCAAGCTCTGCCTCCTGGGTTCACGCCATTCTCCTGCCTCAGCCTCTGGAGTAGCTGGGACTACAGGCGCCCGCCACCACACCTGGCTAATTTTTTGTATTTTTAGTAGAGATGGGGTTTCACTGTGTTAGCCAGGATGCTCTCGATCTCCTAACCTTGTGATTTGCCTGCCTCGGCCTCCCAAAGTGCTGGGATTACAGGCGTGAGCGACTGCGCCCGGCCTATTTTTATTTTTTGAGACAGAGTCTCACTCTTGTCACCCAGGCTGGAGTGCAATGGCGCAATTTCGGCTCACTGCAACCTCTGCCTCCCAGGTTTAAGCAGTTCTCCTGTCTCAGCCTCCCGAGTGGTTGGGATTACAGGCACGCACCACCATGCCAAGCTAATTTTTATATTTTTAGTAGAGATGGGGTTTCGTCATGTTGGCCAGGCTGGTCTCAAACTCCTGACCTCAGGTAATCCACCCACCTTGGCCTCCCAAAGTGCTGGGATTACAGGTGTGAGTCACCCTTCTGACCCACTCCCAGGTTCCAGGAACAAGAATACAGGTCCTCTAATGGACAAAGCTCATTCAGGGACCCTCCAATGTGAATCGACCAGACACAGTCCTCATGTGTCATGGGAGGGGGACAGGCAGCAGCTCCTGGAGCGGAAGGACGCCTGGCCCCTCCTCCGGCCCCAGATGCAGCTGCAGGTACAGGGAGGGCCTCCCAGGGCAGGCCAGAGCCTGCAGGCCCCCAGCTGCAGCCCCAGCTGGGACCAGGCTTCTAACCTCACCCCTTTCTTGCTCCTCCCGCCTCCACCATCTCTCCTGTGGAGCCCCCAAGACTCTGGAGGAGAAATCAAATACAAAACTCCTAGGAGAACAGAAAGGGGGCTGCTGCTGCTGCGTGCAGACACACTCATGCACACCCACGCACACACATGCAAACACACACATGCACACCATCCTTCGAGCCCACAGGCAGATCACAGAGAACCTAGATGTCAGGATGAGAAAGGAACTAGACGTGAGCTATCATCTGCCTCCTTGGGGCAAGGCCTGTGCCAAGGGATTTGCCAGGATTGTCTCATCCAATCCTGAAAAGAAGCTTGGAGATTTCAGAGATGAAGAAAATGAGCATCTGAGAGCTTAAGGGAGAGACTCAACCAAAGGGACACCTGGGGACGCTAAAGCCCATGAAGCTGAGCACAGGGCCTGGCAGCCAGCATGGTGGAGGCAGCTTAGCAGAGCTGGGGGGTCGCTCTTGTATTTATGTTTTTTTGTTTTGTTTTTGAGATAGGGCCTTGCTCTGTTGACCAGGCTGGAATGCAGTGGTGCGATCAAGGCTCACCGCAGCCTTAACCTCCTGGGCTCAAGCCATCTTCCCGTCTCAGTTTCCCAAGTAGCTGGGACCACAGGTACACACCACTATGCTCATCTAATTTAAAAAAAAATTTTTGAAAATACAAAAAAATTAGCCGGGCGTGTGGCAGGCACCTGTAGTCCCAGCTACTTGGGAGGCTGAGGCAGGAGAATGGCATGAACCTGGGAGGCAGAGCTTGCAGTGAGCCGAGATCACGCCACTGTGCTCCAGCCTGGGCGACACAGCAAGACTCCCATCTCAAAAAAAATTTTTTTTTGTAGAGACAGGGTCTTGCTATGTTGCCCACGCTGGTCTCCAACTCCCAGGATCAATCGATCCTTCCACCTCAGCCTCCCAAAGTGCTGGGATTCCAGGCGTGAGCCACCACGCCTGGCCGGTGTGGTTCTTTTAAGGGACAGCCCCCCTCATTTCCATTTGCTCCATGGGGCTACAGGGGTATTGCCCTGTGCTGGGCAGGCTCCTGACCCAGGCCTGTCCCATCAGGAGTACGGTGATCGCTACAGGGCTGGGTTGGGACCCAGCTCCAGCCAAAGAGAGGCAAACCTAGGATTCTGCTGGAACCCGTGGTAGACACAAGCTGGAGGTTCACAGGTCTGTGACATCAGGGCCTCCTCTCAGGAAGCGCTGGCCCAAGAGCAAAGCGAAAACGGAGGAAACCTGGCTGGGAGATGCAAGCCAGTGTTCCTGTGAGCACTGGACCCAGCTAGACCCTCGGCCTCTGCAGTTACACGAGCTGTCAAGGAACTGGTCTTTATTTCATTTATTTACTTATTTATTTATTTTTTAATTTGTTTTTGAGATGGGGGGGTCTTGCTCTGTCACCCAGGCTGGAGTGCAGTGGTGCAATCTTGGCTCACTATAGCCTCCACCTCCTGGGCTCAAGCAATCCTGCCTCAGGAGTAGCTGGGACTACAGGCCCGCACCACCACACCTGGCTAATTTTTCTATTTTTTTGTAGAGATGGGGTCTCACTATGTTGCCCAGGCTGGTCTCAAACTTCTAGGTTCAAGTGATCCTCCCACCTCAGCTTCCAAAAGTGCTGGGATTACAGGCATGAGCCGTTGTGCCTGGCCCAGAAACTGGTCTTTGAATCCAGGTCTGAACGCTGAAGCTCATGCTCTCTTCCTTGCGCCCCAGCTGTCCGCATAGAGGCTCTGATAGATCAGGGGCTCAGGCAAGTCTGGGGAGGGGGCCTCACCTCCCTCCCAGCCCCTGGAGGGAGTGTTGGACCCTCTCACCCCCCTCAAAGCAGTTCCATTGCTCCCTTTGACCTTCAAAGTTGGCATCTGCTTGCAGGAATCTGTCTCTCTCCTCCTGGAATTCAGCCTCCAGATGTCAGATCCGAGGCGGTGGCGGCAGCATATGGCTCCCCTCAGAGTGAATCAGCCACATTCCAAAGGTGCACACACAGACGCCACACCCTCAGCAGCCTGGCTGCAGACTTCCTCCCAGCCCCAGCACCCGGCACCCGCCCCAGCCCCCACCTCTTCCCAGCCAGACCCGACTTCGGGCTTCCTTTCCAGAGACTTTCTCCTGGAACTGGAACAGAGAGAAAGCCACTAGGGCTGGAGACACCCTGAGCAGCCCTGCTCTGCTCACTCGCTCCCAACCGCTCACAGCTGTTATCAATATATCTATGGTGCATCCACTCAACAGGTGTGCACTGAGCACCTATGATGTGGCAGACAAGATACAGACAAGCCCCGAACCTCACGGAACTCAGCTGGGCAAGAGCCCAACAAAATCAGGTCCAGAGGCAGAAAAGAATTCCAAGTGTGGGAAGAGCTATAAAAGGAAGAAACAGGCCTGGCGCGGTGGCTCACGCCTGTAATCCCAGCACTTTGGGAGGCTAAGGCTGGCAGATCATGAGGTCAGGAGATGGAGACCACCCTGGCCAACATGGTGAAACCCCGTCTCTATTAAAAATACAAAAATTAGCTGGGTGTGGTGGTATGTGCCTGTAATCCCAGCAACTCGGGAGGCTGAGGCAGGAGAATCGCTTGAACCCAAGAGGCAGAGATTGCAGTGAGCCGAGATCACGCCATTGCACTCCAGCCTGGCGACAGAACAAGACTTCATTTCAAAAAAAAAAAAGGAAGAAACAAGGGCTCAGACACGTGACAAAGTGACAGAGGGAGGGTTATGGGGTGGGGGAGGCTTATCTTGGGGTAACTTGTAAGCTGAGGTCTGAAGGATGAATAGAAACGTCCTCTATCGGCTGGTCATGGGATTGCACACCTGTAACCCGGGAGCTCCGGGAGGCCCAGGCAGGAGGACTGCTTGAGTCCAGGAGTTCAAGACCAGCCTGGGCAATATAGCAAGATCCCATCTCTACTAAATTAAAAAAAAAATTTTTTTTAAAGAAACCTCTTCTATCCCGTCACTTCTGTAATCACTTCACGAGAATTACAGAAATATAACCCAAAAATATTTTCCCCAGTCACTCAGGAAGTTATTGGGTCCTCTTCTCCTGCCCCTCTTTTTTTTTTTTTTTTTTATCACTGAAGCAGGGAATCTGGCTAATTTTTTTAATAAGACCTTTGGTGAGGCCGGGTGCAGTGGCTCACACCTGTAATCCCAGCACTTTGGGAGGCCGAGGTGGGCGCATCACGAGGTCAGGAGATCGAGACCATCCTGGCTAACACGGTGAAACCCCGTCTCTACTAAAAATACAAAAAATTAGCCAGACATTGTGGCAGGCACCTGTAGTCCCAGCGACTCGGGAGGCTGAGGCTGAGGCAGGAGAATGTCCACCAACCTGGGAGGTGGAGCTTGTAGTGAGCCGAGATTGTGCCACTGCACTCCAGCCTGGGCGACAGAGCAAGATACCGTCTCAAAAAAAAAAAAAAAAAAAGAAAAAAAAAGACCTTTATTGAGATATAATCCATATAATTCACCACTTTACAATTACACCACAGTAGATGATTCAGTTGTTTTTAAATATCCACAGATCTGTGCATCTATAACTGCAATTTTGGAATATTTTCTTTTTCTTTTTTTTTCAAGACGGAGTCTCACTCTGTCACCCAGGCTGGAGTGCAGTGGCATGATCTCGGCTCACTGCAACCTCTGTCTCCCGGGTTCAAGCGATTCTCCCGCCTCAGCCTCCCAAGTAGCTGGGACTATAGGTGAGCACCACCGGGCCCAGCTAGATTTTTTTGTATTTTTAGTAGAGACGGAGTTTCATCACGTTGGCCAGGCTGGTCTCGAACCCCTAACCTCAAGTGATCCACGTGCCTTGGCCTCCTAAAAGTGCTTGGATTACAGGCATGAGCCACTGCAACTGACCAATTTTGGAATATTTTCATTAACCCAAAAAGAAACTCCACTTAGCAGTCACTCCCCGATGCTCACCACCACCCCAGGCCCCAGGCAACCCCTAAGCTACCCTATCTTTTTATTTATTTATTTTTAGAGACAGAGTCTCACTGTGTTGCCCAGGCTGGAGTTCAGTGGTTTGATCATAGCTCACTGTAGCCTCTACCTCTCAGGGTCAAGCAGTCCTCTCCTCTCAGTCTCCCGTGGAGCTGGGACTACAGGTGGGCGCCACCACACTCAGCTAACTTTATTTTTTTTTAGAGATAGGGGTCTCACTCTGTTGCCCAGGCTGGTCTTGAACTGCTGGTCTTGAACTCCTGGTCTCAAGTGATCCTCCTGCCCCAGCTTTCCAAACTGCTCATGCCTGTAGACGTAAGCCACTGCCCCTGGCCCTTAATCTACTTCCAGTCTCTATGGATTTGCCTATTCTGGAAATTTCATATGAACAGAAACACACAACATGCGTCCTGTGTGTCTGGCTTGTCACTGGGCATAATGCTTTCAAGGGTCATCCATGTTGTAGTATGTATTGGTGCTTCGTTTTTTTGTTTTGTTTTGTTTTGTTTTGAGACGGAGTCTCACTCTATCTCCCAGGCTGGAGTGCAGTGGAACGATCTCGGCTCATTGCAACCTCCGCATCCCAGGTTCAAGCAATTCTCCTGCCTTAGCCTCCCAAGTAGCTGGGTCTGCAGGCATGTGCCAACATGCCTGGCTAATTTTTTTAGAGACAGGGTTTCACCGTGTTAGCCAGGATGGTCTCGATCTTCTGACCTCGTGATCCACTGGCCTCGGCCTCCCAAAGTGCTGGGACTACAGGCGTGAGCCACTGCGCCCAGCTGCTTCGTTCCTTTTTATGGCTGAATCATATTCCACTGTTTGGAGAGACCACAGTTGATTTATCCATTCATCAGGTGAGGGACACATGGTTGCTTTCACTTTTTGGCTCTTATGAATAACACTGCTCTGAACATTCCCATGCAAATTTTTGTGCAGATATGTTCCCATTCCTCTTAGATATACACGATATATACCTAGGAGGGGCACTGCTGCGTCATATGGTCACTCCATGTTTAACATTTTTTTTTTTTTTTTGAGATGGAGTCTCACTCTGTCACCCTGGCTGGAGTGCAGTGGCCTGATTTCAGCTCACTGCAACCTCCACCTCCCAGATTCAAAGGATTCTCCTGCCTTAGTCTCCTGAGTAGCTGGGACTACAGGTGCCTGCTACCACACCCAGCTAATTTTTTTTTTTTTTTTTTTTACATCAAGACAGGGTTTCGCCATGTTGTCCAGGCTGGTCTCCAACTCCTGACCTCAAGTGATCTGCCTGCCTCAGCTTCCTAAAGTGCTGGGATTACAGGCCTGAGCCACTGTACCCGGCCTCCATGTTTAACCTTTCAAGGAACCAGACTGTTTGAAAGGGGCTGCAGACTCCCAGCAGCACCACACTCTGCCCAGATTCACTGAGACCCCTTCGCATGACCCCCAGTTCACACTACTCAGAGAAGCACCTTAAAATTAGCTGGCCTAAAGGCCAGGCGTGATGGCTCATGCCTGTAATCCCAGCAGTTTGGGAGGCCGAGGCAGGTGGATCATGAGGTCAGGAGAGTGAGACCATCCTGGCTAACACGGTGAAACCCTGTCTCTACTAAAAAAATACAAAAAAATTAGCCGGGCGTGGTGGCAGGCACCTGTAGTCCAGCTACTCCGGAGGCTGAGGCAGGAGAATCGCTTGAACGTGGGAGGTGGAGGTTGCAGTGAACCGAGATCACACCATTGCACTCCAGCCTGGGCGACAGAGTGAGACTCCATCTCAAAAAAAAAAAAAAAAGAAGTATCAGAACCAAGAGAGGATGGCAGCAGGGGATGGCAAGGCGCTCAGTGGTGAAAGCGTCAGGACTTGAACCCCACCGCCACTACTTTGCAGCTTTGCATTTTTGCATGAACCACGCGGCTTCTCCAAGCCTCCCTCTCTTCATCCACAAAACAGGCCTGATTGTGACAATCTACTCAATAGGGTGATTTTGAAGATTAAACATAGTAATACAAAACAAGTTATTCTGTTTGCCAAAGACATTACAGATGAGGTCATGTAGCCAATACCATGCCAGGAAACCAAAACTCACCTCAAGAAATCTGTTGGGTGGGACGGGCATGGTGGCTTATTCCTGTAATCCCATCACTTTGGGAGGCCGAGGCAGGTGGATCACGAGGTCAGGAGTTTGAGACCAGCCTGGCCAACATGGCGAAACCCCCGTCTCTACTAAAAATACAAAAAAATTAGCCAGCCGGGCGTGGTGGCATGCGCCTGTAATCCCACCTACTCGGGAGGTTGAGGCAGAAGAACTGCTTTAACCCAGGAGGCAGGGGTTGCCATGACCCAAGATTGCGCTAATGTACTCCAGCCTGGATGACAGAGTGAGACTCCGTCTTGGGGGGGAAAAAAGAAAAGAAATCTGTTGGGTAGCCAGGGCATGGTGGCTCATGCCTGTAATCCCAGCACTTTGGGAGGCCAAGGCGGGAGGATCACTTGGGGCCAGGAGTTTGAGACCAGCCTGGGAAACACAGTGAGACCCTGTCTTTACTAAATATAAATGTAAAAAAAAATAGCTGAGCATGGTGGTGTGCACCTATAATCCTAGCTACTTGGGAAGCTGAGGTGGGAGGCTTGCTATAACCCCAAAGGCTGAGGCTGCAATGAGCTGAGATCACACCACTGCACTCCAGCCTGGGCGACAGAGTGAGACCCTATCTCAGGAGAAACAAAGAAAAAGAAATCTGTCTTGTCCTAAGGCTGACAGGGGCAAAACCAGGATCTGAATCACGTGATTCCCGACAGGGCTTTGGCCAGCGCTGTGTGAATACTCACACAGATGGGGGATGCTGGGCAGCTTCAGCTCAGAAGGAACACTGAGTGAGGGACAGATGGACTGGTCCGGCAGGGGACCCGCCCATTCAGCAGATGTCCCTGGGCACAGCTCACATGTCAGTTCTCTGCAAAGCGGACAGGCGGCTGAGAAGTGTCAGAGCCTGCTAATGAGGGCTGGGCAAGAGAGAAGCAGAAGCGAACTTGCCTGGGTCGGGGGAAGGGGATGGTGCAAAGCAACCCTGAGGCCGAAAGCCTGTGTAGCTAGAACCAACGGGGGTGGGGGCGGGCGCTCAGGGCTCAGGGCTCAGGAAAATGAGGTGGCTCTCCTAGTTTTACCAGGGAAAGGAAAACAAGGCAGGAATTTCCGGCAGGGAAACCTGGCTACTCGGTGGGACTCTTAAAGATGACACTTTTTCCTCTATCCTCGAGTGCAGCCTCAAGACGGGCCCTGCTGGTCCATCCTGGGGCGACAGGTGTAGCCAGATTCCCCTCCAATCAAGGAGTCCAACTGGAAAGCTCCAGTGGGTTACCCAAGGGCAGATACCAAGCAAGTCCCTAAAAATGGAGGCCAGTGTGCCCTGGAGGGCAAGTATAAATATGGGGAACTCTGAGCCGGGCGCAGGAGCTCACACCTGTAATCCCAGCACTTTGGGAGGCAGAGGGCCGATCATCTGAGGAGTTCGAGACCAGCCTGGGCAACGTGGTGAAATCGTCTCAACTAAAAATACAAAATTAGTTTGGTGTGGTGGTGGGCGCTTGTGATCCCAGCTTCTCGGGAGGCTAGGGTGGAAGAATCACTTGAACCCGGGAGGCAGAGGTTGCAGTGAGCTGAGATTGTGCCATTGCATTCCAGACTGGGCAAACAAAGAGTGAAATTCCGTCACGAAAAAAATAATAATAAAAAATATGTGGGGAACTCTTAAGTAGAGATGGGGGTTCCCCTCACTTTTGCCTCTTCCACGGAGTTAAAGTGTCAAGGAAAGGGGTTCCCAGGATAAAACTTTCAGGAGTATTCGGTTTTAGGGGCTACAGGCAGAGGCGCAGGACCCTAGAGGGATTTTTTTTTTAGCTGGAGTCTCACTCTGTCGCCAAGGCTGGAGTGCAGTGGTGCGATCTCAGCTCACTGCAAGTTCTGCCTCCCGGGTTCATGCCATTCTCCTGCCTCAGCCTCCCGAGTAGCTGGGGCTACAGGCGCCCGCCACCACGTTCAGCTAATTTTTTTGTATTTTTAGTAGAGACAGGGTTTCACCGTGGTCTCGATCTCCTGACCTCGTGATCCACCCGCCTCGGCCTCCCAAAGTGCTGGGATTACAGGCGCGAGCCACCGCACCCGGCTGCTAAAGGGATTTAGGAGGTGGGTGGAACCACAAAGGAAAAGCTAGCTGCTGGTGGGGTCTCAGCTTGGAAGACGTCAGGGTGTGAACTGTCACTTAAGGAACAGTTTAGGATAGAGCAAGGGATGAGGAAGCCCACCTGGAGTTCGGCAGGAGTGGGTGACCTCAGGTAGCCCCCTCTTTTGAGAAACCTGGCCGGGAAGGTTGGAGACATGGCTGTGGCTTGAGGCTAGTGTTTTTTTCTTTTTGGGGACGGAGTTTCACTCTTGTTGCCCAGGCTGGAGTGCAATAGCACGGTCTCGGCTCACTGCAACTTCTACCTACCAGGTTCAAGGGATTCTCCTGCCTCAGCCTCCCAAGTAGCTGGAATTACAGGCGCCTGCCATCATGCCCAGCAAATTTTTGTATTTTTAGTAGAGAAGGGGTTTCACCATGTTGGCCAGGCTGGTCATTACAGGCCTGAGCCACCTCGCCGGGCAAGACTAGTGTTTGATTGTTCGTTTTGAGATGGAATCTTGCTCTGTCAGCTCACTGCAACATCTGCCTTCCAAGTTCAAGCGATTCTCTTGCTTCAGCCTCCAGAGTAGCTGGGACTACAGCCATGTGCCATCACGCCCCGCTAATAGAGATAGGGTCTTACCATGTTGCCCATGCTGGTCTTGAACTCCTGGGCTTAGGAGATCCTCCCACCTCGGCCTCCCAAAGTGCTGAAATTACAAGTGTGAGCCACTGTGCCCGTCCTGGAGTCAAAGGCTTTGGACTTGAATGCCATCTCTGCTACTTTAGAGCTGTGTGTGCATGTACTTTTAACTTCTCTCTGTCTCCCTCTCAAAATGGGCCCGATAGTAGGTTCCATTTTGGTCTGGTCCCACCAGGACCTCTGACTCGCTGGCGACCTCAGGTAGGGGCTCATGTAATAGCCCAGCTCCTCAAACACGGAGGATGGGTCCCACTCCTGACCCAGCCTCATTTTACAGCAGAGCGTGAAGGCCGAGACTAGAGGCTGCACCAGGCTGGGGAAGGGGCAAATTCTAGATTACTCACCAGGCCCGTACCCATGAGAGCCCTCAGGCCTGCAGCACCGTGGATCCAGAGGCAGAGACAGAGCTTTGTAGAAGGGTGAAAACACTTCCTCCCCGCTTCCGGCTGCAGAAAAGCCACTTTCTCGCGGCAGAGCCCAGACTGGCAACCCCCAGGCCTTCTGCACCTCACCTGGGCAGCAGGCACGCTGACTGTGTGTGTTTCAATCTCTCCAGGCTCAGAGGGATGGCGGGGGATGCTGCCTGCGCGGTTGCTAGTGGCGGACACAGCTGCCTGGCTGACACTGCCTTTGTCATGCTCCAGAGCACTCAGCCAGCCCGGGGCCCCTCACCCACTCCCTCTCTCCTCCTGCCACCAGAAGCAGCCTCTTCCCGGCTCCCACCCTTTCTCCCCGAAGCCACTTGTACCTGCTCCAGAGCCTGGAGAGGTGACAAGTGCTTCCCAGACAACAAAAGCATCTCCCAGGAGAACAGATGTTACGCACACTCAGCTACACCCTTGCTCTGTGCCCTGATTTTAAGCTGTGTTTGGGCAGCTCTTTGGGATGAAACTGAGGCAAGGGGTAAAGGGCCTGTCTTGGTCAAGGTCATCCCACCTTGGGACTCCTGGGTGTGTTTCAGACATCCGTCCCCTTGGGTTCCAATGCTGGTCTGGCCACTTACAAGCTGTGTGACCTTGGGCAAGTTATTTGACCTCCCAGAGCCTAATTTCCCCCCAGATAACGACAGATAGGTAGTGAACCCACCTCTTGCTAAAAAATGTGAGCCATTATTGTCATTACTCCATCCTTTTAATTCCTCTTTCTCTCCACTCCAGCCACATCCGCCTCAATGCCTGCTGCCCCTGGACCTTAGGCTTGGGATGTGAAATCTTTCTGGAATGTTCCTTCGTTAGTTCCTCGCATGGCTTGTTCCCTCGCTTCCCTCTTTTGAGTCTTGACTCAAGTCACCTCCCCAGGGAGGCCCTGTCCTGCCCTGTCCTCCCTGGGCGCTTATGTGACATCCGAGGCGGTTTCCCAATTCGACTACCTGTGGCTCTTGCGCCTGGAACGTAAGCCCCACGAGGACAGGACTGTTTCACTTCTGACTCCCGTGTCCGCAGCGATGGAAAGAATGACTGTGGGCGCCTACCCCCGGAGGATGCTGTCGGCGCCCAGTCTGGCGGCTCCCGGCGCGCGCCCGCGAGGTCACGTCCGGGGCGCGCCGGCCGGAAGGAGGCCCCGCGTGGGGGTAGGGGCGGGGCGTCCGAGCCAGGCCACGCCCCCCGGACTCGCGCCCCCCTCTCAGCGGCAGAGCCAGCCAGCCTGGGGCCGCCTCGCACTTCCGCTCACCAGCCGGCTTGTTCATATTCATGAGGCGGGCGAGAGGCGGGGCCCGGGTCACCGGCGGCGCCCCGCCCCTGGCTTGGAATCCCGCCCCGGCGGAGGCTTGGGCCCCAGTGGGGCGCCCCCAGCTTCCGCCTCGGGGAGGGAGTTTCCACTTGGTCACGACTCAAAAATGTGTCGCTCGCGCTTCTCCGCCCCCTCGTTCCTGCCCTGGGGGGGTCTCCTCCCTCGGAAGGCAGGAGGGGAGGGGCCAAGGGAGGGACGGCTCCTCCTCCCCGGGGCAGGTCCTTAGGGATCCCGGGCGGACTCCTCTCCCTCCAAGTTAGCGCCTTCAACAATCTTTCCCCTACCCCGTCAGACAGTCTTCTGTCGCCCAGAGCTGGAGTGCAATGGCGCGATCTCGGCTCACTGCAAGCTCCGCCTCTCAGGTTCAAGCGATTCTCCTCCTTCAGCCTCCCGAGTAGCTGGGATTGCAGGTGCGCGCCAACACGCCTGGCTAATTTTTGTATTTTTAGTAGAGATGTGGTTTCACCATGGTGGCCAGGCTGGTTTTGAACTCCTGACTTCGTGATCTGCCCGCCTCGGCCTCCCAAAGTGCTGGGATTACAGGCGTCAGACGGCGCACCCAGCCCTGCAATAATCTTAAATTTTTTTTTTTTTTTGAGTTGGAATCTCGCTCTGTTGCCCAGGCTGGAGTGCAATGGCGTGATCTGGGCTCATCGCAACCTCTGCCTCCCGGGTTCAAGCGATTCGCCCACCTCAGCCTCCCAAAGTGCTGGGATTACAGGCCTGAGCCACTGTGACCGGCCTTTTTTTTTTTTTTTTTTTTTTTGAGACTGGGTCTCACTCCGTCCCCCAGGCTGGAGTTCAGTGGCACAATCGGCTCACTGCAGCCTCCACCTCCTGGGTTCAAGCAATCTTCCCGCCTCAGCTGTCCAAGTAGCTGTGACTACAGTCATGCACCACCACAACTAGCTAATTTTTTAATTTTTTGTAGAGATGGGGCAGGGTCTTAGTATGTTGCCCAGGCTGTTCTCGAACTCCTGGGCTCAAGCAATCCTCCTGCCTCGGCCTCCCAAAGTGCTGGAACTACAGGCGTGAGCTACTGTGCCCAACCAAAACTACCTTTTTTACTTTTTATTTATTTATTTTGCGATGGCGTCTCGCTCTGTCACCCAGGCTGGAGTGCAGTGGTGCAATCTCAGCTCACTGCAACCTCTGCCTCCTGGTTTCAAGCGATTCTCGTGCCTCAGCCTCCTGAGTAGCTGGGATTACAGGCGTGTGCCACCATGTCCAGCTAATTTTTGTATTTTCAGTAGACACCGTGTCTCACTATGTTGACCAGGCTGGTCTTGAACTCCTGACCCCAAGAGATCCACCTGCCTTGGCCTCCCAAAGTGCTGTGATTACAGGGATGAGCCACCAGGCCCAGCCCAAAACTACCTCTTTTAAACTTCCCAAGGATCTGTGCAATATTATGATACCGAGAAGTTCAGAGCAGTTGAGTGACTCACCCACGTCACACAGCCGGCCTCAGGTTTTCCAGAAAGGTTGGTCCTGCTGGGTTGGGGTGGCAGGTGCATGTCTCCCACGGCCTTTCAGGAAATGAGGCTTACCTAAGGCACTCCTGTCTTGCTGGATGTGGCTGAAGGTTGGGTCTGTGCGCCACACTGATGGGAGGGAGAAGCTACATGCTAGGAGAAACGAAACCATGAAGGCAGGACAGGCTGCGTAATGTAAAATGAAAATTCGCGGGCCATGTTCTAAAATGATTAAGAATTTCAAGACGGTGACAGCAGAACATTCAGCCACACTCAGGCCCTTCTAAGGGCCAGCCCTGTGCAACTGCATAGCTCACATGGCTTCCATGAAGCAAGCCTCTGATGAAGGAGCCCAAGGGTGACAGCGCTGCCACCAGGGACATCCCCACCTCTGATAGAACTCTCCCCCCTAGCCCAGGCGCCCCATCCCGTCCCCGCCCTGGAATGCAGGACCCAGTCTCTAGACTTCCAAAAGCTGAGCATTTTAGGCTTTGCAGGACAGGTTCTTGGGGAGTCAGGTGGGTCACCCTGGGAGTGTCTCACATCTGCAAGTCCCAGCCAGGCCCCTGGGGCTGCACCTCCTGGGCATTTTCAGCTCTGGGCCCTGCGGGCAGGTGGCGCTGTGTTGTACATGCCAGGCCCAGCATGGCTTCGGTTCTGACTTGAAGCCCTCCTTTCTCCCTGGGGCAGGGAATGAGAAGCAGCCAGGGCCGCTTCCTAGAATAAACACCCCACCCGCAGACAGCCCCAGCTCTGTAGGCTCAGCCAGCCAGCGCCAATGGAGAGAGAGGCTCGCCAGGCCACCGGCTCAGGGTTGATAAGTCATCCTGATCTCACTCCCTCCATCACTCCTGCCTTGTGACTGGGCTCTGCCCGCTGTGGGCTGCTTCATTCATAATAGCTACCATTTGCGGGCTCTTTCTCCCAGCCACGTGCTGCTGGAAGCCCTTTCTGTGCACTTCCCACTGAGCCTCACAGAGGCCAGTGGTAATAGGTACCCTGAGGACTGCGATTTCATAGATGGGGAAACCGAGGCTCAGAGAGGTTAGAGGGCTTGGCCAAGGTCAAGGGCCAGAGGTCTGGATCTGCCACCATTCATCCATTCTGATTCCTGTCATCTCTCCTACATCTACAATGTAGGTCTCAAGGGTTACTTCTTTTGTTTTTTTGTTTTTTTTGGTTTTTTAGAGATAGGGTCTAA
The DNA here is from genome assembly GCF_000001405.40 of Homo sapiens. Taxonomy (NCBI): domain Eukaryota; kingdom Metazoa; phylum Chordata; class Mammalia; order Primates; family Hominidae; genus Homo; species Homo sapiens. Next base: position 4,310,495 of record NC_000016.10, read on the forward strand.
GGGCCAGGCGCGGTGCCTCATGCCTGTAATCCCAGCACTTTGGGAGGCTGAGGTGGGTGGATCACCTGAGGTCGGGAGTTAGAGACCAGCATGGCCAACATGGCAAAACCCCATCCGTATTAAAAATACAAAAATTAGGCGGATGTGGTGGCACACGCCTGTAATCCCAGCTACTCAGGAGGCTGAGGGAGGAGAATAGCTTCAACCTGGGAGACAGAGGTTGTACCACTGCACTCCAGCCTGGGTGACAAGCAAGACTCCGTCTCAGAAAAAAAAAAGAGACAGGGTCTCAGCTGCATATGGTGGCTCACGCCTGTTATGAGGCTAAGACAGGAGGATTGCTTGATCCCAGAAGTTCGAAACTAGCTTGGGTAACATAGTGAGACCCCTGTCTCTACAGAAAATATGAAAATTAGCTGAGTGTGGTGGCACATGCCTGTAGTCCCAGCTCCTTGGGAGGCTGAGGTAGGAGGATCACCTGAGTCTGGGATGTCAAGGCAGCAGTGAGCCGTGATCGCACCACTGCACTCCAGCTCGGGCAATAGAGTGAGACCCTATCTCAAAAAAAAGAGAGCTTAATAATCTGTTGGAGCTGGGCGCGGTGGCTCACGCCTGTAATCCCAGCACTTTGGGAGGCCAAGGTGGGTGGGTCATGAGGTCAGGAGTTCGAGACCAGCCTGGCCAACATGGTGAAACCCCATTTCTACTAAAAATACAAAAATTTGCTCGGTGTGGTGGCGTAGGACTGTAATCCCAGCTACTCAGGAGGCTGAGGCAGGAGAACCTGGGAGGTGGAGATTGCAGTGAGCCGAGATCATGCCACTGCACTCCAGCCTAGTCGACAGAGCAAGACTCTGTCTCGAAAAAAAAAAAAAATGAATGTGAACCTAGGTGATGTTCAATAAATGTTTACTGGTAAAGGATTAGGGGACCAAGTTCAGCCCCCAAAGTGTATCTATCAGCGATACTCAGGAAGCACTGACAACATGCCAGGCCCTGGGCAGGACCTTGCAGGGGGAGGGACAAAGCAGACAATGTCCCTCTCCTTGGGGATCTTACCGTCTAATAGGAGAGACCATCCTCCCTCCAAGAGGGGCCTACTCTGAGAGGAGGACGCCCAGCACAATGGCAGGGAGGGGGGACATGCCTCCATGCCTGTTGTTCACCTAGAAGGAGAAATGGGGCCTGGCTCTCCTGCAATGGCAGCTGCTGCCTCCTGGAAAAGCAGAACCTAGAGAAAACAGCTCAGAGCCTGGCCTTGTTGGCTGTCTCCACTGCCTGTCCCCCACCTCGACAGCTACCTGATGCTCCAGGGAAGTAGTGGGTTAGAGAGCACAAGCTTTGGATTCAGACTGCAGACACATGGAGACTGCAATCTGGACTATGCCTCCTACTAGCTTATACAACCCTGGACAAGTTAGTGAACTTCTTTGTGCTGTTGTCATCCATATAATGAAAATGTCCAGTAGAGAGAAAGAGCTGGGGATGGCTCACACCTGGAATCCCAGCACTTTGGGAGGCTGAGGCAGGAGGATCACTTGAGACCAGGAGTTCATGACCAGCCTGGGCAAGATGGCAAGACCTATCTCTAAATATTATTATTATTTTGAGACATATTCTCACTCTGTCACCCAGGCTGGAGCGGCACAGTCTCAGCTCACTGCAGCTTCCACTTCTCGGGTTCAAGTGATCCTTCTGCCTCAACCTCCCAAGTAACTGGGACTACAGGCCAACACACCCAGCTTATTATTATTATTATTTGAGACAGAGTCTTGCTCTGTTGCTCAGGCTGGAGTAGAGTGGCGCTATCTTGGCTCACTGCAACCTCCACCTCCTGGGTCCAAGCGATTCTCCTGTCTCAGCCTCTCCAGTAGCTGGGATTACAGGCGCACACAACCACGCCCAGCTACTTTTTGTATTTTTAGTAGAGACGGGGGGCTTCACCATGTTAGCCAGGCTGATCTCAAACCCTGACCTCAGGTGATCTGCCCGCCTCAGCCTCCCAAAGTGCTGGGATTACAGGTGTGAGCCACCGCGCCCAGCTATTATTATTTTTTTTAGATAGGGTCTTGCTCTGTCACCTGGGCTGGAGTGCGGTGGCATGATCATATAGCTCACTGCAGCCTTGATCTCCAGGGCTCCGGTGATCCTTCCACCACAGCCTCCCAAGTAGCTGGGATTACAGATGTGTGCCACCAGGCCCAGCTAACTTTTTATTTTTTGTAAAGAGATGTGGTCTCTTGGGAGGCCGGAGCGGGTGGATCACCTGAGGTCAAGAGTTCAAGACCAGCCTGAGCAACATGGTGAAATCTCATCTCTAGCAAAAATACAAAAAATTAGCCGGCATGGTGGCGAGCGCCTGTAATCCCAGCTACTTGGGAGGCTGAGGCAGGAGAATCACTTGAACCCAGGAGGCAGAGGTTGTAGTGAGCCGAGATCTCGCACCATTGGACTCCAGCCTGGGAGACAAGAGCAAAACTCTGTCTCAAAAAAAAAAAAAAAAAAAAAGGTCTGGGGTGTCATTATATTGCCCAGGCTGGTCTCAAACTCTTGGGCTCAAGTGATCCTCCCACCTTGGCCTCATAAGAGTGTTGGGATTACAGGCGTGAGCCACTGTGCCCGCCCTGTCTCTATTTATACAAATAAAAATAAAAGTAAAAAAATAAAATGTCTGGTAGAGAAAAAGAACTGGTCTGGAAGTGGCTCACACCTGTAATCCCAGCACGTTGGGAGGCTGAGGTGGGAGGCTTGCTTGAACCCTGCAGTTGGAGGGAGGCTACAGTGAGGTAGGATAGAGCCATTGCAGTCCAACCTGGACAAGAGAAGGAGACCCTGTCTCTAAAAAAATTCAAAGAAAAATAAAAAAAGAAAGACTGGTCTTGCCAAGAACTGGAAGTTTCTTTTTTTTTTTTTTGAGATGGAGTCCTGCTTTGTCACCCAGGCTGGAGTGCAATGGCATGATCTCAGCTCACTGCAACCTATGCCTTCCAGGCTCAAGCGATTCTCCTGCCTAAGCCTCCTGAGTAGTTGGGATTACAAGCACGCACCACCATGCCCGGCTAATTTTTGTATTTTTAGCAGGGATGGGGTTTCACCATGTTGGCCAGGCTGGTTTCAAACTCCTGACCTCAAGTGATCTGCCTGCCTCAGTCTCCCAAAACGTTGGGATTACGGGCGTGAGCCACCACGCCCAGCCAATTTTTAAAAAATATAATAGAGACTAGGTGGGAGGTGGGGGTCTTGCTATGTTGCCCAGGCTGGTCTCCAACTCCTGGCCTCCAGGGATCCTCCCACTTCGGCCTCCCAAAGTGCTGGGCTTACAGGTATGAGCCACCGCGCCCGACCGATAAACATTTTTGCTAACAGATTTAAACTAGCGTCTCCTGTACCTTTTTTCTACACACCTCGACCCCAGGGCTGCAGTTCTGCCTGCCTGAGGTCGGATGCGGTCGGCTGCAGGGCAGGGCTCCGGGCTGAAGCGCAGCGATTCCCGCCGCCGTGAGGGGGCGCTCTGCGGGCCTCGGCCTCGGCCCTTCCGGACGCCCGCACAGGTCGCCGGACCCAGAGAGTCGGCCCTTAATAGCCCCCTCCTGGAAGCGCTAGGTCCCGAAACTGGCCTTCCCCCGGGGCCCATCTCCCGGCTAATGTTTAACCCGGCCACACTCCACATTATCCACACTCAGGAGACCGGGGTGAGGTGAGGGTGGAGGCTGGGGGAGGTCACCTCCAAATCGCCAACTTCCGAGCCTTTGCTCCAGGCAAACGGCCTTCCTACATCCCTTCCAGGTATCAACCTACAGCTCCTGCGCACCTACTATGTGCCCATTTCCACAACAGGTCATGAGCACCTAATATGTGTTCATTAGACCAAAACATGAGCATCCATTACGAGTCCACACCTACTATGTGTGCATTCACCCACAACGTCCTGAGCACCTACTATGTGTGCATTCTCTTAAAATGCAATGAGCATCGATTGTGTGTCCACATAACCCATGAGCACCTGCTATGTGTCCATCTGGGCACCAGCCCATGAGCACCTACTATGTGTGCATTCTCTTAAAATGCAATGAGCATCGATTGTGTGTCCACATAACCCATGAGCACCTGCTATGTGTCCATCTGGGCACCAGCCCAGGAGCACCTACTATGTGCCAAGCCTTGTGCCTGCCATGGATGCCTTGTGATCAAGAGCCACGTGCTTCGGGCTCTGGCGGGGACCGCAGCATCAAATGCACGAATGAAGACGGACTTAAAACCAGCGTCAGATGCCTCACCTCTAGGGGATGCTGATTCTGGGATGCCTTTTTCGTCTCCTAGGCTCCTCAAGGCCAACTGCGCTGGGAAGAGGGGGTGTCCAACAGCAGGAGGGCTGTTTTTTTGAACTACAATTTGCCAGCATACAGCAGAGCAGCAAGAAGATAACAGGGCGGGGGGCACGGGATTAGCCCAAACAAAACACACTCAAGAACGCGAGTCTGTGGTTCAACACGAGGCAGAAAACAGCTGGGCCGGGTGCGGGGCTTCTCCCTCGCGTGTATCCGCTCACTGCACTCGCTGCCCTGGCCGCGGGCGCCGCGCAGGGTGCTGATGTCCAGGAGGGATCTAGACCTCCCGCGGCGCTCGGGCTAGTGGACGCAGGTGGTCCCAAATGCTGGGACCAAGCTAGGAACCAAGCGGAAGCTCGGATTGCTCGGCATCGGGCCTCGTCGTTATTCTACCGTGAGGGAAACTGAGACCGAGGGCACGGCAGGGAGTCGCCCGCCGTCTCACCAGCGTGAGGGGTTGCGCCGGGCCCCGAAAACTGGTTTGCGCCGCCCGGCATCGGGATCCGGGACCTCTGCCCGCCGGGCGCTGCCTGCGCGTTCCTGGAACTGGGCTGGGCGGAGAAATCAGGGCCCGCAGAGAGGCATTCCTGCCGCCTTCCCCGCCGCCCGGGGCCGCAGGGGGGCCTGGCCAAGGTGACCCCGCGGGAGGAGGCGAGGGGTCCCCGCCCGCTCCGCCGCCGCGACCTCCTCCATCTTCCCGGTCTGCGGGGCTTTTCCTCTGGGCCCGCGCGCCCGGCCCCCTCCTCGGGCTTCCCCGAGGGCGGGACGTCTCGGGCTCCCCCGCCCCCCCAGGCCACCTCCCGGCCGTGTCCTAGCGCTGCCCTCGGGCCGGGGGCGGGGCCGCGGGGGGGGGGTGGCGTGAGGATGGGGCCGAGGAGGACGCGCGCGGCTCGGCGCCCCACTTCCCTCCCTCACCCCTCCCTCCCGGTGCCCGCTCCCCGCGGCCGCGCCGCCCTCCCTTCCCCCTCCCTCGGCCCAGCGCCGGCTCCCGCCGCCCCCTCCCCCGACGCGCACGCCCCGCCTGGCAGCTGGCGCCCCGGGCCTGGGGCCGCAGCGGTGAGAGGGGTTTTGCTGGGAGGGAGGGAGCGAGCGAGCGAGGGGAGGGGTGGAGGCCGCCCCCCGCGCCCCTCCTCCTCGCCCTCCTCCGCGGCCGGCGGGCCCTCCTCCCGCCGCCTCCCTCCTCCCTCCTCCCGCCCGCCCGCCCTCCCTCTAAGACATCCCCGCACGGCCCGGCCGCCGCGGCCACCTTCCCTGCCCGAGCTGCAGATGTGGCGGAGCGGCCGGGCGCCGGGCGGCCGTGCCAGGGGAGCCCGCGCCCCGTGAGGCCTCGCGCCCCGGCCCCCGCCCGTCCCGGCCCCTCCCCCGCTCGGCTCCCCGCGCCCCCCGACCGCCGGAGCCCGCAGCCCGGATCCCGACCGCCCCCGCCGCTGAGGTAGGAAGCCCCCCGGGCGTCGCGCCGTGGGGACCGGGCCGGGGCGGGGGGGGGGGGGCCCGCCTGTCGCGCCGGGGCTGCGGGGCCCGAGGGTCTCCTCCCCCGCTCGCGTCCGCGCCCCGGGCCATTGTGAGCCCTCGCCGAGGCCCCCGCGTTCGCTCGCTCGCTGGCTCGCGCGCTCCCTCCCTCGCCGGCTCCCCGGCCGGGTCCCTCGAGCTCTCGGTCTTTCTTCTCCCTCCTTCCTTCCCTCCGTCTGGAGGCCGGGCCGAGCAGCGCCCGGGCCCGGGGCGGGCGCAAACTTCAGCTGGGAAGTTGGGCGGCCGCGGTGGGGGGCGTGCGGCGAGGTGAGAGGGGGGTACCCGGAGCCTGGGCATGAAGTTGTCCGGGGCAGCCGCCCCTCCTCTCGGCCGCGCCGGGGCTGCTGCTAGGAAGGGCTTTGGAAGGTGCCTCCTCCCTTGGCCGGGAGAGTCTCCCTCCTGCTGCCCCTCGCAAGCCCGGGTCCTTCCTTGGACCTCGGGAAGGGGCGTCCCTGGGGGGTCAGGACTGGGAGTTTGGGACAAGTCAGGCACTTGTTACTCCCCTGCGGTCCGGGTGGACGCAGGCGACCGGCCTGGCAGGGAGGAGATGGCAAGGGGTCCATACTCGCCGGAGGGCGGGTCTGGAGCGGGTGGAGGAGGGGGCGAGGCAGGTGCATCCCGAGGGAGGAGAAGCACGCACAGCTTCCCCGCTGGCCCCCTGGGATGGGGCTGGAATCCAGGCTGGCACCTGGAGGCCTTGGCATGCTGCCCTGCCCAGCAGGGTACTCGGGCCACAGCAGGGCAGCGTGCAGCCTGTCTGCCTGTCCAGGAGGGCCCGCCCAGCCTGGCCAGAGGGTGGCCGGGAAGCAATGGTTTCAAGGAGTTGCCCAGCCCTGCCCTGGGGCCTGGGAAGCTGGAAGGGATGCTGGGAGGGGCCCTGGGCCCCCAGCCATCACAGCCCAGGATCTTGGCTCTGGAGGGAACGCTTGACACTGAGGGGGCAGCCAGGCCGGCTGGGGACCTGGCCAAGGCCTGGGCTTGGTCTGGGCCATGGAAAGGGCCTGGGCCATGGTTCTTGGAGGCTGGCACCCTGGGTAGTAGGCCGCCATCCTGCGTGTCCTGGCATCCTGGAGGGAAGGTGGGGCCAGCCTGCGGCTGGGGAGGAAGCCCAGAGACACTGCGCTTCGGAGGGCCTTCCAGCCCCCGGGCTCAGGGGAGGGGAAACTGGCCCCTTGGGTCACCCCTCCCCAAGCCCCATTCTGGTGCCACAGTGCCACAGCTGTCCAGGCCCAGCCCACACACCCATCCCGGGTGACCTCGGACCTCCCCCTCTGCTTCTCCTTCTCCCCAGAGCCCAGGCTGGGCCTCCTAGCTGGCCTGGCCTGCACAGGGGGAGGGGCTGCACCTGGGAGGCCCCTCCCAGGACACCCTTTGCCAAGCTCCAGCCTGGCCCATTTCACTGCCCACCTCCAGCTCAACTTGGCCCTGTCTGCAGCCAGCCAAGCAGGAGACAGTGCCAGGGACTTGGGATGGTGTTTTGGGGGGTGTGCGGACCCCTTGGAAGCAACCCTGTTTTTCTTAGCCTTTCCTCCTCCCCCTCCTTTCCGGAGCTGCCATTAGCGCTGACCCCCTGTGCCTGCCCGCCCTTCCCTGTCTGTGACCTTTGACCTTTGGTGTTAAATCCCTCCAGCTGGGGCTCTTCGGCCCCTGAGTGACCCTGGCCCAGGCCCCCTGGGGAGTTCTCTCCTTGCTCCTGGCTCTCTACACAGGGACACCTGCCAGTCCCTCCCTCACCAATGGGGAGGGGGTGCCCTGGGAAGCCAGACAGTGAGTCACCCCACTTCCAGGCACCGCTGCTTTTGGGGTCAGTGGCTTCTGGGGATTGGCTGGAGCCCAGTCACAGCTTGGAGGGTGACCGGGGAAAGCCCCTGGCCTGGGAGTCTCCTGCCCTGGGTTCAAGTCTTGGCTCCACCACCAACTTCCAGTGGTCCTTGGGTCAGACTCCTCCCCTCTCCCGGCCTTGTCTATGAAACCAAGGGGTCAGACCAGGTGAGCTCCCAGAGTCCATGAGAAGCCTGGGTGGAGGGGGGTCAGGGGGAGGAAAGAGGGTGTAAATCCAGCAAAAGCCAACTCTCAATTATCCGAGGGTGGAGCCCGGATGAATAACTGGATGCCACAGACATCCCAAAACCTCATTGCAAACAATCGTGTGAACCGCGTCCCCCCAAAGCTTTTGTTTCTGAGAAACCCAGCTGCAACTGGGTAGCCACAGCGATTTCTTCCCCCGCCTGAACTCCCCTTGCAGGGAGGACAAGTAGAGGGCTGAGAGTGAACAGGCCGGAGGGAAAACAAAGGTCTCCCAGGGCCCCTTCTTGGGGCCTGGAGGGAGGCCTGGACCCCATTTCCAAGGCCCCCACTCTCCCCTCCACCCTCCTTCCCGGCCTGGCCTTGGCCCCGGGCGGTGGGAGTGTCCTCTCACCACCTAATCCTCTCAGGGTCTGGGCAGCCATATAGGAGGAAGAATGTGTTTTCCCGGCAACAATTTCCCATGTGTATTTCTAGCCACCCGCTCCACTCGCCTGGAATCTGAATTCCCCACTTGGACCAGGGGGTGAGGGCCAGTGCCGGCCAGGGTTTGGGGCAATCTCTGGATGAGGGAGGGTGGCGACAGCTGTGACTGGGGGACCAGATGTGGAGCTCTTGTGGGGCATCTTGGGGGGGCTCCTGGGGAGGCACTTTTGTGGGTCGCCTGGCCTGACCCCCAGCCCCAGAGGCTGCCTCCGAAGGTTCCTGCCTCTAAGGGGAGGCCCAGGGGTCTCTGGCACCTAAGGAGGAAATTGATTCCATGGGAGAGGCCCTGTGCTGGGTGGAATTGGGGCGGGGGTGGCTGCAGAGAAAAGTGTCCCCTGAATCCCTTCCTCTCCTCATGGCTATAATTGTTACTTTATTTCACAGCAGGTGACTGAGACCACAGGGGAACCCCGGAAGGTCCTGGGTGGTCTTCCCCTCACCCAGATAAATGCCCTTCTCAGGGGTAGGGGGCATCCCCAGCTTGGCGGGGCTGTGTATTGAGCAGTAAGAGACCCTCTCCCTGCTGGCTAGGGGATCTGTGGGACCAGCTGAAAGATGCTCTCCACCCTCTGCCTAAGTTGCCTCCCTTCCCAGGGGCTATGAAAGGGTCCACAGAGATGGGTTGAGGCCCTGATGTGTATCTGGGGGTTCACGTCTCTGGGAACTTGCGCCCTGCCCCAGCCTGCTGCCAGCCCTGGGTGTGGGGACCACAGCCCTAGCGAGTCTCCCGGGCCACATCTGCCTCTCAGTGGTTTCTGAGGTGGCCGCCTCCGCCCCACCCTGGTGAATTCTAAGTCAGGCGTGGCTGGGGGCGGGGACTCCGCGCTTCCAACAAGCACCTCTAGTACTCTGCTGGGGGGCCAGCGTGGGGGCACTGCTTTGATCCCAGGGACTGGAGAGGGATCATGGTGATGATGGTGGCAGGGTCTGCAGGGCACAGCCTGGAGGAGACCCAGGTTTCTCTCCTGGCTCCGGCTTAGCCCCTGGGTGAGGCTGGGCAGGCACGGAGGCCGGGTACTCGCCTTCCACTCCCCCACTCCCCCAGATGGGCTGGAGGATTCTGGTTAGCTGGTGGCCAGGCTAAGTGGGCCTGGGGGGCATGGAGATGGGAAGTGATTCCAGCTGAGGGGTGGGGGCTTCCCATCTGCCCCAGCAGCCCCTGCTGGGGGATGGGTGGGGGCTGAGACTCTTCCAGTTCGATGGCTGGGGGGCGGGTGACTTGGGCTCCTCGTGCCCTTTGTCTTCGGTGCTTGAGAGGCCAGGTAGTGCCCACCGCAGGGAGGGGCCGGCCTGTGAGTGTCACATGTGCGTGCACACGGACTCCAGCCTTGGCAGATGGCTGCCGGGGAAGGGACGGAGACCCAGCCCTGGCCCCTTCCTCCAGTCATGGCCAAGGGCGGGTGGGAAGCCAGCAGAGGCCCCAGGAGACCGCTGAGTGGACTGAGTCAGCCCCCGGCCGGGAGCCTCCGGAAAACAGTCCTGCCCGTCACATGGAGGGTCCCCACCGCTGGCACAGCACGCTCCCAGGGCAGCCTCGCTTGGACCCTGGTAGTCAAGAGGTCGTCGGAGGCCGGTGGGGGGAAACTGAGGCTCTGAGACATTTGAGGGTTTGGCCCGAGGTCACTCCCAATCGGGGAAGAACAGAGGGGAACTGGAGTCTGGGGCTGTCTGGCCCTGACCCCTGAAATGTCGGTTTAGCCTGGGAATCCCCCCAGCTCCACTCCTGCCCCCCACGTCCACTGCAAGGGCATGACGGGGGCCAACGTGTCTGGAAGAAGCCTCTCCCCTTCCCTGCATCGTCTGCCTGGGGCTGTCTAGCAAGTCCCGGCCTGCCTGGGCCAGTTCTCCCCTGGGCCACTCCCACCTTCATCCAGAGCCCCCATTCCCCACCCCAACTTCCAGGCAGACCGACTCTGAGCTGGGATGTCCCCTCCCCGCAAGGCTGTAGGGGCCTCCATTGTCCTCCCTATTCTGAAGTCCCCCCAACCCTGTGCTGGTGCTCGTCTCCCTGCCAGCCCCGGCCTCCCCCAGCACCCCCCGGAGCACCTAGTGGTCACCCTGCTTGGTTCTAGGGCCACTGGGCCCCGAGGGCCTGGAGCCACCAGGCCTGGCAGATCCTGCCAGTGGGTGTTCCCCTTTGGAAGGAAAAGGACCTCGATGGCTTTGGAGGCTGTCCCCGGCTTCTGGACTTGCTTTCTTCCAGAGTAGGCGAGCAGAGAGGGGCGGGTGGCTGAGGAGGAGGGCATGGGCTGGAGTCCTGTGTGTGCGGTGCCCTGCTGGGCCTGCTCTTGCCCAGCTATCTGGGGCTGGGGGCCAGGGCTGGGAGGGCGTGGCAGGAGATGGAGCTGGGGGGGATCTGGGCCCTTCCCACCATCCCAGCTGGCCAGGGTGGTTCCTAGGGGCCACCACACCCTTGTCCAGCTCTGTTCCTGGGTCCCTTGCCTGGGACAGGGAGAAAGAGGCATCTATGTCAGGAGACCAGCCCCTGCTTCTAGCCTTGACCTTGGGCAAGTCACATTCCTCTTTGGGCACGAACCCCTCCATACCTACCCCTCCCCTCCTCACTTGGGGGTAAAGGCGGGAATGTCTGTCGAGTGAATGAATACATGAATGAGACGGACTCATTCGCGGAGTGCCAGGTGTTGGGATATGTGAAGGGCAGGTACCACTGTGCCACCTAAGATGAGTGGTTGGGGTTGTTGGAGCTTCGGCTGTCCTCTCAGCAGGCCCCCTCCTGTGGATGGGGAAACCCAGGCCTAGTTTTCTCATTCTGGGTTCCCTGCCTCACTGCCCAGTTCACTCTGGTGGATGGGGTGGGCTCCGTGCCAGGGGCCGTGGGAACTGGGGCAGGGGTCTGCTGGTGAGGCCTTCTCTTCAGTAGCCACAGCGGGTTTGGAGCTGCCCGGCGTCCCAGACATGTCCCGGCCCACTCCCAGGCTCCCTTCTTGGAAGGAGGCTCTGGATACCAGGGCCAGTGGGAGGCCTGGGGCTGAAGGTCGGCGCTGTGTACACCACGCTGTGCACAGGTGACACTGGCTTCAGTGATGCATTGGCAAGGACTTGGACCCGGGACAGCCTGCCTCCAGCGGGGGTGGACAGAGGCAAGTCTTTGCCCAGCAGGCCCTCAGGTACCTGGACCCACAGCCTGTGTGCAGCTCCAGAAACCGAGGCTGGGGAGGGTGAACCAGGGAGCACTTGGTGGAGGAGGGGGCAGAAGGGGATGGTGGCTGGAGGAAAGAGAACAGGGGGGCATGGATGGTGGTGAGGGAGGAGCTGGCACCTGGGAGCATCAGGTTCCCAGGGGGCAGGGGATCCTGAGGAAGGGGGGTGCCAAAGGAGAGGGCCTGGGGCAGGAGGCTCTGGGCTGAGAGAGCAGGTGGCACTCTTCTGTGTAGAGCCCTCTGTGGCTCCCCAGTGCCCTCTAGGTTCTGTCCCAGCCTCTCTGAGGGGCCTCTTTCTCTCCTGCCTCCTCGTCTACTCCATGACTGGTAGGGTCACTGCAGATCAGCCGGGCCATAGCCTCTGGTCCTCTGTGGCACTGGGCTTTGGGGTCTGCTGGCGAACCCAGCTGTGCCCCTTGCTGGCTGTGACAGTGGCAGGTTTCCCCACATGGAAAATGGGGAAAATGGCATCCATTCGCGGGGTCATCAGGGTGATGGACTGTGTGCAGCAGGCATGCTGACCGGGCGCCGACCCGCAGGGCTCCCACCTCCCCAAGGCTCTTCACCCCATATCCATGAGGCTGACCCGGATCTGTGCCCAACCCCCTGCAGGAGCAGCCCCCCCCCTACACTGTTTCTCCCACCCCACCTTGGTCGGGGCACCCTCAAGGTCCGGTTCGATCTAGCAGGGCCTGGCGTTGGAATGCATGAATGCGTGGTTGGAGAACCGAGGCAGGAGGGCAGGCCAAGGTCCACCGCCCGCCTTACCCACTCCTGCTCTCGGAGTTGGCGGGTGCCGTTCCCAGTGGACCTGGTACCTGGCCCCAGGCAGGGGAGGCGTGGGCCACGGGCCTGCCCCGACCCCCCAGGACTTAGGAGCTCCTTGTGGGATCTGCCTGCAGCCAGGCGTGGCTTGGGAGGCGCGGTGTTTCCTTCGCTCTGGGGACCCGGCCTCATCCCTGCTCTCCCCCAGAAGCCAAGGCTCCTGAGTCCTGGCCCCGACACTGGGGCAAGGGGTTACTGTGATGTCCTGTGTGTGCCACATTTGTGCACAGGTGTCTGTACATCCGGGGGTGCTGTGGGTGCCTGCTCATGTCCTGTGCTACACTGGCCCATCCCTTTGCTGGCCTCAGATAGCTCTGGCTGGGTCTGCTGAGAATGGCAGTGCCGCCTGGCAGGGCCTGGGCTGTCTGTGCCCCAGCCTTGCTGGGCGTGCATCCCTGTCTCGCTCCCTGGTGCCAGCCCCTCCCAGGGATTTGGGTGGCAGGGCCCAGTGCTCTGGTCCCCTCCCCTCCCAGCCCGGGTGGGTGGGCAGGTGTGGGGGCTGCGGGGCGGGCTTTCCTCTGGCTGGGGCCCAGGTGCAGGCGGTGATCATAGCTCCAAGCACCCCCCCAAAGCTGGGCAGACAGGAAAATACCAGACATAGTTGTGCAAAGGTGCAGCAGCGGGCAGGCAGCGGGGGGGTGGAGGCCACTGCAGCAGGGGCCCGGAGCCACCAGGATGGGGAGGCCTCTGTGCCAGGCCGGCCCTGCAGCTGGACTGCCATGGCCATCTGTGTGAGTGTGCGTGTGTGTGCCGGGGCTCCCGGAGCCCGGTGTCACCCTCCCTGCTGGCGTTGGAGAAGGAAGTGCCTCTGGTGGGGCATCTCCTAGGAAGCCCGGGCTGGTGCAGGCCAGGGAAGCCCTCCGGCCCGTCTTCCAGCTTCAGCTCTGCCTGAATTATCTGGGTGACCTTGGCAGGCCCAAGTTGCTGTGCAGGGAACCCCCAGCCTGGGGCCGGAAACAAGAATCCTTTAGGTTACCAGTAGCTGGCAGCTTCTTTATGGCAGGCATGAGGACAAGGCCCTCCCTTGCAAGATGCCCTGAGTCCCAGGGACCATTGCCGTGGTGTCTGTTACCTACAAGGAAACCAAGGCTCAGAGACAGCAGGGCCTTTCTGAGTTCCCACAGCCAGGGGTGGCACAGGGGGCTGTAACCAGGCAGCCTGGCCCTGGGGCACACTCTGTGAACACGCAGAAAAAAGATCCCTGGCACATCCCATCTTCAGGTGCTTTCCCGAGGACCCCACGGCAGAGGGCAGAGGTCAGCCCTGGCTGGGTCACCTCGGACCCCTTGTGTTCCCACCCCGGGAGGGGGTCTGCCCTCCCAAAAGGTCCGGGGGTGCTGGCTGAGTGCCCCGTCTTGGGAGGGGGAGGGGCTGCCTACTGAGCCAAAGGTTCCCAGGGACGGTGAATCCCCCACTCTTCCAGGAAGTGCCGCCTGCCCTGGCCCCTCTCCTGGGATCTGCTGGGCCAGGCCTCAGGATAAGCTCCTCCCCCTCCAGTCCTGGGAGGAGGCCTGTCTGCGGCCAGCTCCTTCCAGGGTTGATCAGGCCTTCCCGGGGCCTTGTAGTGCTCTTTCTTTGATGCAGTTGGGCTCTGGAAGGTGGTTAGGGCCAGCTGTGGTCACTCCCCAGGATTGAAGAGGCCTGAGGTTCTTTGAGGGGCATAGGCTTGTTTAGGGTGCACGCTGGCTGGCAGGTGGCAGAGCCCAGGTTCTCCTGGTTCAGGGTGAGACTGCAGTGGCATAGAGGGGATGGCCAGTCCCCACTCAGCTGCCCTCACAGCGGTAGATGGGCCAAAGGCTATGGACTCATGCACACTGGCGACGATTCATTCAGCACGTTTTATTAAGCACCTACTATGTGCCAGGCACTGTTCTCCGTGCTGAACGTTACGGACGAAGGAGAAGCACTCAATAGTGATTGGATGTGCAGCACTGCATTGGTTTCTCCCTGAAACCCAACATGGGGGTCCTATATAATCCCATTTGGGATGAGGGGGATGAGGCGCAGACTGAAGAGACACGCAAAGGGAGTAGCAGAGCCGGGTGGGGCCCCAGATTTCGAGTCCGGTTCTGTTGCCTGGTCAGGAAGGGGGGCCCTGAGAGGACGAGCCCTCCTGCCTGGGGCCCCCAGCAGGCCCTGCCCCTGCCCGCCAGCCCCTGCTGCTGGGCGGCCAAGGAGGGTGGAGCTCTTGGCCAGAGCAGGGAGCCGCAGCTGGTTCCCAGGAATCTGGGGCTGTGGGGCCGTTTGCTTTGGCAGCAGATCTGCCCTCGGCTCTCCAAGCCTCCTGGTGGGCCCCCCACCCCAGCCAGCCCCTCCAGCGCCCACCCACTGCCTGCTCTGCTATCCCTCCTAGCCCCACAAGTCCCTGGGCGGGGAGGGGGTACCAAGCCTGAGCCCCTGACATAGGAAGGGCCAATAGTGAACATGGCTTCTGGACTTACCTGGGGTTGAAACCCAGCTCTGCCACGGACAAGCTGTGGGACCTTGGATGGGTCACTTCACTCCCCTGAGCCTCAGTTTTTGCATCTGTAAAATGGGGATGAAACAGCACCTGCCTTCACAGTACCCGCACCTGGCTATGGGTACTGTCCTCATGCTGCTTGCCCGTGGCTTCTGGTTGTGGGTTTGCCACCTACTTGTGCAGCCTGGGCTGGATGCCTCCCCCTTCAGCCCTCAGTTTCCCCATCTGTAAGACCATACTGCTGAAGTGATGGTTCCAGTAATAGACTCAGGGACACCCACAGACCAGGGTTTCTCTGACTGGTTCAGGAGTGACCAGGGACTCACTTCCTCTTTCTGTTAAATTAGAAGATGACGGGCTGGGCGTGGTGGCTCCTGCCTGTAATCCTAGCACTTTGGGAGGCAGAGACAGGAGGATGGCTTGAGTCCAGGAGATCGAGACCAGCCTGGATGACACAGGGAGACCCCCCCATCTCTGCAAAATAAAAAATTTAAAAATGAGCTGGGTGTGGTGGTGGTGCACCTGTGGTCCTAGCTGCTCTGCAGGCTGAGGCAGGAGGATCTCTTGAGCCTCGGCGGCAGTTAGCCATGACCACGCCACTGCAGTCCAGCCTGGGAGACAGAGCAAGACTCTGTGTCTTAAAAAAAAAAAAAAAAAAAAAAAAAAAGGCCAGACTTGGTGGCTCACGCCTGTAATCCCAGCACTTTGGGAGGCCGAGGTGGGCGGATCACGAGGTCAGGATATCGAGACCATCCTGGCTAACACGGTGAAACCCTATCTCTACTAAAAAAATACACACAAAAAAATTAGCCGGGTGTGGTGGTGGGCGCCTGTAGTCCCAGCAACTCAGGAGGCTGAGGCAGGAGAATGCTGTGAACCTGGGAGGCGGAGCTTGCAGTGAGCTGAGATCGTGCCACTGCACTCCAGCCTGGGTGACAGAGTGAGACTCCATCTCAAAAAAGAAACAAACAAAAAAAACAAAGGTGACCACATAGACTTCTGAGAGATGCATCTTGAGGCCTTGTCTCCAAGTTCTCAGCTAAATGGCCACTGCTGACCAAAAGCGCACTCGCAGGACACTCCAAGGCAAGGGGTGTTCCTCACATTGCCCTTGACAACACTGCCACGCTGGTCACTCACCTGACCCCATGCTGCTGGGAGCGGGGCAGGGATGCAGCCCCATCTTACAGAGGACCCGCTTCCTTCTGCAAAGAGACCAAGTGGTTCTCAGGGTGGGTGCACACAGCCCCCCAGTGCACCCTGCACCTCCACAGGCTTAGGGCCTGCCAGCCACCCTCCCCCAAGCAGGAAAGGAGGAGCTTTTTTTGTTGTTTTTTGAGACAGGCCGGAGTGCAGTGGTGTGATCTCGGCTTACTGCAGCCTCAAACTCCCCAGGCTCAGGCGATCCTCCCACCTCAGCCTCCCGAGTAGCTGGGACCACAGGTCCCTGCTTCCACGCCCAGCTATTTTTTTTTTTTTTTTTTTTTCCGAGATGGAGTCTCACTCCGTCGCCCAGGCTGGAGTGCAGTGGCGCGATCTCAGCTCACTGCAACTTCTGCCTCCCTGGTTCAAGCGATTCTCCTGCCTCA
The DNA here is from genome assembly GCF_000001405.40 of Homo sapiens. Classification (NCBI taxonomy): domain Eukaryota; kingdom Metazoa; phylum Chordata; class Mammalia; order Primates; family Hominidae; genus Homo; species Homo sapiens. The sequence goes on from NC_000016.10 coordinate 4,326,879, forward strand.
GCCTCCCGGGTAGCTGGAATTACAGACACCTGCCACCACGCCCGGCTAATTTTCGTATTTTTAGTAGAGAGAGCGTTTCGCCATGTTGGCCAGGCTGGTCTGGAACTCCTGACCTCAGGTGGTCCGCCCTCGGCCTCCCAAAGTGCTGGGATTACAGGCATGAGCCACCGTGCCCGGCCACCGGCTGATTTTTTTACTTCAAACGGGATTTTTCCATGTTGCCCAGGCTGGTGTAGAACTCCTGCACTCAAGGGATTCTCCTGCCTCGGCCTCCCAATGTGCTGGGCTTACAGGCGTCAGCCACCGCGCCTGGCCTAGAAGGAGCTTTATTCAGAGCAGGACTCCAACCAGCTCCCTATTAGCCTAGTGATCTCAAGCCTCAGTTTCCCCATCTGTGAGATCGGGAAAATGACAGCAGCTACTGCCAGGCAGGGTTGTAGAGGGGTCATTGAATCCATGGACAGATGGGCCTGACACGTGGTCAGTACCTAATGGTCCTTTACCCCCTCTGGTGTATGACCCACCCCAGGCCAAGGGGCCCTGGAAGAGACTGTCTTTTCCGGGCCTTAGTTTCCCTGAGTGTGCTGGGTCGCCCCGTGCCTTCCAGTAGGGAGGGTGGGGACAGTGGCCGGCCCCGCCTGCCAGGGCGGGATCCTTGGCTACCTGGCCTGGCCGGGGACTGCGGGCGGGGGGCCGGGTGGCTCCGCCAGCGCTGCAGCTGGGGGCCGTCTGCTCGGGCTGCGGTCGGGCACACAATAGCAGCCATTGTCTCGGCCAGGGTGGCGGGGGGCCCGCCCAGCCCACCCTCCGGGTGACCCCCGCCCTGCGGTGGGTGGGAAGGGCAGGGCCCGGTCCCCCGAAGCCCCCGCCGTCCCGGTGGTCCCCGCGGCCGCCCCCGCGCGCTTCCTCCCTCGCCGCAGCCGCTTCCTCCCGCTCGCCCCGCTCTAATTAGTTCCTTTTGCAGCTGGAGGAGCCGCGCAGCGGCCGGTTCCGCGGCCACCCCCACCCCCCACCGACAACCCCAGCCCTCGCCCCAACCCCTGGGCCCTTGCGTGTGGGGGCGCTGCCCTGGGCGCATCCCAGGCTGAGTGCTCGAGAGACGCGGCCCTGGGCTCTGTGCACCCTCCACGCTGCGCTGTCCCACCGGGGGGAAACTGAGGAACGGAAGGCTCCACCAGGAGGCGCAGAGGGGCGTGGGGCCGGCGGGCCTTGCGCTGCGCCCGGGGAGCATCCACGGGGTGCCCCCACCTGACCGAGAGCCGGCTCCTGCCCTCGGGACCCCGCAGTAATTAGCACCCAGGCCTCTGGCTGAGCTTGTCCAGAGCCAGGCTGTCGGCCTTACGCTGGGGAGAGCCACGGCCACCCGCTCATGGGCACTCACTCAGGGTTCCCTGGTTGCAGGCCCGCTGCTCCCCGCTCTGGGCCTCCGAGGCTTTCAGGAGAGCAGGAACCTAGCTCTCGCCTGCCCCCTTCACCCAGCCGGGAACAAAAGCACAGAGCAGAGCCCAGAACTGGCTGCTGCCGGTCGGGGCGGGGGTGGAAGGGGAGGCTTTAAGCCTGGCCAAGGTCAGAACTGAAGCAGGGTCACTGACCGTCTCCCCTCTGGGGTGGGGCCTCCATTGGAGGAAAAACTCTGGGTGGGGAGGGCCTGGAACAGGGATGCTGGGAGGTGTAGGGCTGGGGGCAGCTCCTTCCTTTCCCGGGGGCAGGGACGCAGGCCGTGTGCCGGGCTCTGGCCTGCATTGGAATGAACCCCTGCCTCCCTGGCAGGACCCAGTGGCAGGAAGTGTGTGGGGGTGCCCCTGGGGACTGGACCTGCTGATGAAGGGGGTGCATTGGAGTCCTCCCTCTGGCTTTGGGCCGTGTGGCTGGCCCCACCTGGGGAGACAGGCTCCTCCTGGGGAAGTGTCCCCTGCAGGCCCTAAGAACAAGGTGACTCAGGGCCCCTGGCTCCCCGAGTCCCCATCTGTCCTGGGAAGGCAGTGGGGCAGGTGCCAAAGGATGTTGCTTGGGCAGCGCTGCCAGTGAGTGTCCCCGTCAGCTGGAATTCCCAGTTCCCAAACCATCCTGCCCTTGTGGTCCCCTTCTCCGGAAGGGTGGGGGTGGGGGTGAGGACAGAGGCTGTGGGGAGGCCTGTGGCCCCAGGCCAGCCAAGGGACCAGGCCACCAGCCCTTCCTGGCTCCTGAATTCTTCATCAGCATAAATATTTACTTCCTTCCTCCCCGTCCAGGCTTCCAGCACAGAGGAGCTTCGGGGAGGCTGGATTGCGCCTGTGTCTAAAAATAAACAGGTAGCAGGACGATAGACACACAGATAGACAGATGGAACTGGCAGGGGTTCAGGCAGAGGGCAACTCCCTGTCCAGCCAGAGAAACAGTGGAGGGGACCCTGGTCCATCCATCACTGTCACCCACCCACCTGCTAGCGGGGGTGTGGTCCCTACCCCACCGCATCTCTGGGAGCCCCTGGCCCATGCATGGCCTGGGAGGCAAATTCAAACAATCTGACAGCTCCAACAGGGGCGAATCGCAGACCTAGGTCCCACGGCCTAGTGCAGCTGCCCTGGCTCTGATGATGCAGCCTTGGGAGAGGTGGGCAGCCCCCCTGTGCTGAGACCCCCGTGTCAGCCATGTTGGGGTGGGGTCTGGGGATGTGTCCCTAGAAGCAGAGGATCTCCAGTGAAGGGGGGACCATTTTATGCCCTACTTGCTTGGAGAGTCAGGGCAGAAGGGGAGGACGTGGGAGCTGCCTTCCTGTCCTGCCCTGTGGACAGCATCTCTCCCCACTCACAGGCTATGCTAGCCCCCAGGGAAACACACGGGGGCATATCCAAAGTATTTCACCATGTAGTAGTTATGTCCACCATGGCCGCCCTTTGGTATTGAGTAAAGACCCCAATACCGCGAAAGACGGGATCTCACAGCGTGATTGTGCGGCAGTTAGATTTTCAAGTTGTAATAATCCCAATGAACAAACGCAAGGAAATGTCGTGTTTAACCGCGTAGGAAAAGATTGCTGCTCTGAATGTGAAGTTTGGGTTTAGAATGAAGTGTTGACCTTGTTCTTGGGTCGGTGGATACTGTTAGATCATTTGCATGTGAGGAAAATTACACCAGGTGGGGCGAGGTGGCTCACACCTGTAATCACAGCACTTTGGGAGGCCGAGGTGGGCAGATCACCTGAGGTCAGGAGTTTGAGACCAGCCTGGCCAACATGGTGAAACGCTGTCGCTACTAAAAATAGAAAAATTAGCTGGGTGTGATGGTGTACACCTGTAATCCCAGCTACTTGGGAGGCTGAGGCAGGACAATCGCTTGAACTCGGGAGGCAGAGGTTGCAGTGAGCCCAGATCACACCACTGCACTCCAGCCTGGGTGACTGAGAGACTCCATTTCCAAAAAGAAAATGAAAATTAAACCAGTGAGAAATTCTAAGAAAAATGATGAAAATTACAGCATGGGAAGTGATACTAAAAGAATACCATCTCCAGTAAAAAATAATTTCTACATATTTATATATTAACCGCCAGATACAGCTGGTCAACTCCACCAACCCTGCCCCAGCTGGCCAGGCCAGGCCACAATCCCCAGCTGCCCCCTGGTGGCGACCCAGCGCCCTGGGGCTCCCTGGCTTGCGATGCCTCTCCTCTAGGCCTCTGCAGGGAGGGCGGTGGGGCCCCTGGCTGTGCCCACTTTCTCGGTTTGCCTGGTGCGAGTTCCTTGGTGGTGAGCGTGGCTACCTGCCGGCCATTTCAGAGGATGCTCCTTGCCCCCTGGCCTGGTTCTAGATCTTTGGGGTCAAACAGGGCGGGAGTCCGGAGCATGGCTCCTGCTCTGTCAGAAAAGGCTGTTAGGACACGGCTAGCCAGTTCCCGGGAGATCTGGCTTCAGGCCTTGAATCTTGTTGGGAACAGGCCCCCCAAAATCTGGCTGTAAACTAGCCCCAAAACTGGCCATAAATAAAATCTCTGCAGCGCTGTGACATGTTCATGATGGCCATGACGCCCACGCTGGAAGGTTGTAGGTTTACCAGAATGAGGGCAAGGAACACCTGGCCCACCCAGGGCGGAAAAACTGCTTAAAAGCGTTTGGCTTTTTGTTTGTTTGTTTGTTTTTGAGACGGAGTCTTGCTCTGTCGCCCAGGCTGGAGTGCAGTGGTGCGATCTCGGCTCACTGCAAGCTCTGCGTCCCGGGTTCACACCATTCTCCTGCCTCAGCCTCCCGAGTAGCTGGGACTACAGGCGCCCGCCACCACACCTGGCTAATTTTTTTTTTTGTTATTTAATAGAGTTGGGGTTTCAGCGTGTTAGCCAGGATGGTCTCTATCTCCTGACCTCGTGATCTCCCCGCCTTGGCCTCCCAAAGTGCTGGGATTACAGGTGTGAGTTACTGCGCCCGGCCACAGGCGTTCTTGAACCACAAACAATGGCATGAGTGATCTGTGCCTTAAGGACACGCTCCTGCTGCAGATAACTAGCCAGACCCATCCCTTTATTTCCCATAAGGAATACTTTCAGTTAGTCTATAATCTATAGAAACTATGCTAATGACTGGCTTGCTGTCAATAAATACGTGGGTAAATCTCTGTTCAAGGCTCTCAGCTCTGAAGGCTGTGAGACCCCTGATTTCCCACCCCACACCGCTATATTTCTGCGTATGTGTCTTTAATTCCTCTAGCGCCGCCGGATTAGTCTCCCGACCGAGCTGGTCTTGGCAAATCTGATAGTTTTTCCACTTCTGAGCTCTGCGATCTGAGGCGATGCCTGTAAAAGACGCAGTTTCGCCAAGCGTGGTGGCTCAGGCATGTAGTCCCAGCGTTTTGGGAGGCCAAGGCAGGAGGATCGCTTGAGGCCAGGAGTTCGAGATCAGTTTGGGCAACATGGAGAGACCCGATCTCTACAAAAAAGAAAATTTTTTTTTTTAATTAGCCAGGAGCGGTGCCTGCCTGTAGTCCCAGCTACCAGGGAGGCTGAGGTGGGAGGATCGCTTGAGCCTAGGAGGTCGAGGCTGCAGTGAGCTATGATTGTGCCACTTGCACTCCAGCCTGAGTGACAGAGCGAGACTCTGTCAGCAAATAAAATTCAGTTTCATGGCAAAATGAAGAATGTGAGCTTTGTCTTCCCCAAGAGACTCATGGGAAGCAGATGCGGAATCTCTGAGGAGGCTGTTGGCTCTCCCCCCATGATAGCTGCCGGCCAGGTCGCTCGGAGGGTCTCCCTACCCAGGAGACAACCTCACACTGCCCCCTGCTCCTGCTCCTGTTAGACTGTCATGAGTACAGCCCGAGGAGAAGCCTGGGGTCTCAGTGCCACAGCACAGCTCCTGTCCTTCCCCAGGTTCCTGCGTGAAGACCAGCTGGGAGCCCACTGCCTGCTGCCACCTCCAACTCCGGCCCCCTCACCATGCACTCCCTGGACGAGCCGCTCGACCTGAAGCTGAGTATCACCAAGCTCCGGGCGGCAAGAGAGAAGCGGGAGAGGACGCTGGGTGTGGTCCGGCCCCGTGCTCTGCACAGGGAGCTGGGCCTGGTGGATGACAGCCCCACACCTGGCTCTCCAGGCTCCCCGCCCTCAGGTACTGGCCCTGGGCAGGGCAGGGGGACTTAGCCCTGATCCAGTCATGGTGACAGGGAGAATGGCCAAGTGTGTCCACCAGCATGTAGCTGCAGCCCCTCTCGGCTTCCGGTTCATGGGAAGCCCGCACGCTTGTCCTTCCATCCGCCCAGCATCGTATGTCTGCAGGGAGGTGGGAGCTGCAGTGCCCAGCTCACGTGGCTGGCACACGATGCAAACTGAGGCCTCTAGGCAGATCTGGAACAGAGCTGGTCGGGCAACCAGGCATTCAGAAGGAGCGGCAGTAGTCCCAGGACCTGCACCCTAGGCTGTGGGGTGGTGCCGCTGGCCAACCTGGGCAGTAGAGGCTGGGTCTGAGCCCAGGAGGTGCCTCTCAGGGATTCCCGGTGCTTGGGCCCAGGGTGGTGGGCACCACTTCTGCCCTGCCTCCAAGAGCAGAGTCACCCGAAAACCAGATTCACCGCTTGTCTGAAGGGGAAGGCTATGGGAGCAGCCCAGCCCGAACCTGCCACTTTACAGAAGGGAACACTGAGGCAGGAAGGGGCCTGGGAAAAGCTAGAAAGGTTCCTACCTGCCCGTCTGACAGGGACCCAGGGGCCCTGGGTTCGAGTCCTGTTCTGTTATTAACCCTGCGTGCCAGACCATTCCCGTCTGCAAAGCGGGCACTTCCCCCCTCCCCGGCTCACGGGGGCCAAGCTCTGGCGGCTGGTAAAGCTCAGAGGTGGTGGGTGGTGTCACACACCTGTCAGCTCCACAGGCTGCTCCTCACATTCGTGTGGTCTGGGGGCATGGCTGGTGTCTGCTCCCAAGGTCACAGTGGGGGTTCGGAGGCAGGAGTACCTGGCCCACTGGGACTCTACACTCCAGCACACCCTGAACTGTGCCTCTCCCTCAGGCTTCCTGCTGAACTCCAAGTTCCCCGAGAAGGTGGAGGGACGCTTTTCAGCAGCCCCTCTCGTGGACCTCAGCCTGTCACCACCATCTGGGCTGGACTCCCCCAATGGCAGCAGCTCGCTGTCCCCCGAGCGCCAGGGCAACGGGGACCTGCCTCCAGTGCCCAGTGCCTCGGTAAGGAGGGGTGAGAGTTCCGGAGAGAGGGGTGGACTGGTTTCCTGGGGTTGCCATGACAAAGTACCCCAACACTGAGTGGTTTAAAAAACAGATGTGTTACCCCTCATAATTCTGGAGGCTGGAGTCTACCTGGAAGGCTCTAGGGGAGAACCTTCCCTGCCTCTCTCCTGCCTTCTGGCAGCTTCTGGAAATGCCTGGCACTCTAGCCTGGTAGCTGCTTCACTCCAGGCTCTGCCCTGTCTTCACACGGTCTTTGTCCCTCTGTGTCCGAATCTCTCTCTGGTTTCTCTTATAAAGACACCAGTCATGGCCGGGCACGGTGGCTCACACCTGTAACCCCAGCACTTTAGGAGGCTAAAGTGGGAAGATCGCTTGAGCCCAGGAGTTCAAAACTAGCCTGGGCAACATAGCAAGACCCCATCTCTATTTATTTTTTTGAGACAGAGTCTTGCTTCATTGCCCAGGCTGGAGGCCAGTGGCCCGGATCTCAGCTCACTGCAACCTCCGCCTCCCGGGTTCAAGCGATTCTCCTGCCTCAGCCTCCCAAGCTGGGACTACAGGTACACACCATCACACCTGGCTACTTTTGTATTTTTAGTAGAGACAGGGTTTCTCCATGTTGGTCAGGCTGGTCTTGAACTCCTGACCTCAACTGATCCGCCCATCTCGGCCTCCCAAAGTGCTGGGATTACAGGCGTGAGCCACTGTGCCCGGCCTTTTTTTTTTTTTTTTTTAAACAGGGTCTAGCTCTGTCACCCAGGCTGGAGTGCAGTGGCATGATCTCGGCTCACTGCAACCTCTGCCTCCCAGGTTCAAGCAATTCTCCTGCCTCAGCCTCCCAAATAGCTGAGATTACAGGCATGTGCCATCACGCCTGGCTAATTTTTGTATTTTTAGCAGACATGGGGTTTCACCATATTGGCCAGGCTGATCTTGAACTCCTGACGTCAAGTGATCCGCCCACCTCAGCCTCCCAAAGTGCTGAGATTACAGGCGTGAGCCACCGCACCTGGCTATATATTTTTTTTAATTAAGAAAATAAAAATTTAAAACACACCAGTCACTGGGTGTTGGGCCCACCCTAATCTAGTGTGACCTCATGTTAACTTGATTACATCTGCAAAGATCCTAGTTCCAAATAAGGCCACATGCACAGGTAGGGGCTGGGGAGAAGAGGACCTGAATGTCTCTGTTTGGGGACACCATTCAGTCCACTACCGATGGGACGGGGGGCTCTGGGCCAGCAGGACCTTGACTAGCCCTCCCCTCGCACCCCAGGACTTCCAGCCACTGCGCTATTTGGATGGTGTCCCCAGCTCCTTCCAGTTCTTCCTGCCCCTCGGCTCCGGGGGGGCCCTGCACCTGCCTGCCTCCTCCTTCCTTACCCCTCCCAAGGACAAGTGCCTCTCGCCAGACCTGCCCCTGCCCAAGCAGCTGGTGTGTCGCTGGGCCAAGGTGAGTGGGGGCCAGCAAGAGTAGTGTGGAGTCTGGGGCAGGTCACCCCGCATGGGCTCAGAACACTTCCCATCCTCCGCAGTGTAACCAGCTCTTTGAGCTCCTGCAAGACCTGGTGGACCATGTCAACGATTACCATGTCAAGCCCGAGAAGGATGCGGGGTACTGCTGCCACTGGGAGGGCTGCGCCCGCCATGGCCGAGGTTTCAACGCCAGGTGAGGTGGGGGAGAGAGGGGTAGAGGGAGGACTGGGGTCTCCAGTGAGCTGAGCCGTGCCCCCCGCCCTCCCTGGAGCAGGTACAAGATGCTCATCCACATCCGCACACACACCAACGAGAAGCCACACCGCTGTCCGACCTGCAGCAAGAGCTTCTCCCGCCTGGAGAACCTGAAGATCCACAACCGGTCGCACACAGGTAAGAGGCCGGGGCCGGGCGGCTTGGCCCATGAAGGGGGCGCTCAGCTGAGACCGGCTGGGCAGGTCCCCAGGGGGAGGGGACTGTTAAGTAAATCCCGGGCCTCAGAGATAAGGGTTGATGTCATCGCCCAGGGGTCCCTTTTCCAATGCAGTTTGCTAGGGGAAGCATCCCCTGGGGGTCAGACCCCCACCCAGCACCTGCTCTTGGAGCACCAATGCCATTTCCTGGTTCCCGTGGGTATCTTCTGACTAATGCCACCTCTGTGATCGCAGAGGCCAGGTCGGCTTCACTCCTCACTACAGCCCAGGCCCATACCAGGACAGCTCTGGTTGTCAGAGCCACAGACATAATTTTACATTTCCTAATCGCTGCATAAAACACAGCAAAAATAAATGGGTGAAATTAATTGTAATATGGTTCGTTGACCCCGGTACATCCAACGTGTTATCAATTCATTATTAAAGACAAATCAGTGAGATATTGAAGTTCTTCATTTCATGACAAAGCCTCAAGGAGCTGATGTGTATGTTTTTTCCTGGTGTTTATTTCACCCTGGCAGCACATCTCCAGGTGGAGAGCCATGTATCAGGAGGTCAGTCACTACATGTGGCCCCCTGCTCTGGCCAGGGCAGCAGAAGATGCCTGGTGAACCTTCAGCCATTTGTTGAGTGAGGGCAGTAGCGCCCAGGCAGCACTCCCTGTGGCCAGGCCCACGCTGGGCGCCTCGTGCCAGGATGTGATCTCCAAGGCCATGGTGTCTTTTTTTTCTTGAGACAGACTCACTCTGTCACCCAGGCTGGAGTGCAGTGGCATGATCTTGGCCCACTGCAACCTCTGCCTCCCAGGTTCAAGTGATTCTCCTGCCTCAGCCTCTGAGGTAGCTGGGATTACAGGCACCTGCCACCACACCCAGCTAGTTTTCGTAGTTTTAGTAGAGACGGGGTCTCACCATGTTGGCCCTGCTGGTCTGGAACTCCTGGCCTCAAGTGATCTGCCTGCCTTGGCCTCCCAAAGTGCTGAAATTACAGGCGTGAGCCACCGGGCCCGGCCTCCAAGGCCATGTTCTGCTGCTGAAAGGCACATCCTCTGTAGCAGAGGGTGCAGGGCGAGGCTAGGCAGAGCTGGAGTCAACCAGGCTGAGTTTTCAGCCTCTGTGCCCTGCCTGGGGGCAGATCTCATGCCATGTGCTGGGGATGCCCCCTGCCCCCAGAATTGGGGCATCTATGTTCCCAGGGAGTGCTTGGCCCGGGGAAATGTTGAGTGCATGGGGTGAGACCCAGGAAGGGGAGAGACCCCTCATGGCGGCACTGCACTGCACCACCCTGCAGGTGAGAAGCCCTACGTCTGCCCCTACGAGGGCTGCAACAAGCGCTATTCCAACTCCAGTGACCGCTTTAAGCACACGCGCACCCACTATGTGGACAAGCCCTACTACTGCAAGATGCCCGGCTGCCACAAGCGCTACACGGACCCCAGCTCACTGCGCAAGCACATCAAGGCCCATGGCCACTTTGTGTCCCACGAGCAGCAAGAGCTCCTGCAGCTGCGCCCACCCCCCAAGCCGCCACTGCCCGCCCCCGACGGCGGCCCCTATGTCAGTGGGGCCCAGATCATCATCCCCAACCCAGCTGCCCTCTTTGGAGGCCCTGGCCTGCCCGGCTTACCCCTACCCCTGGCCCCCGGCCCCCTTGACCTCAGTGCCCTGGCCTGTGGCAACGGTGGGGGCAGTGGGGGTGGGGGGGGCATGGGCCCTGGGCTGCCAGGCCCCGTCCTGCCTCTCAATCTGGCCAAGAACCCGCTGCTGCCCTCGCCCTTTGGGGCTGGCGGACTGGGCTTGCCTGTGGTCTCCCTCCTTGCTGGCGCAGCTGGTGGCAAGGCCGAGGGGGAGAAGGGGCGTGGGTCGGTGCCCACCAGGGCCCTGGGCATGGAGGGCCACAAGACGCCCCTTGAAAGGACGGAGAGCAGCTGCTCCCGGCCAAGCCCCGATGGACTCCCCCTGCTGCCAGGCACCGTGCTGGACCTGTCCACGGGCGTCAACTCAGCTGCCAGCAGCCCAGAGGCGTTGGCCCCTGGCTGGGTGGTCATCCCGCCGGGCTCGGTGCTGCTCAAACCGGCTGTGGTGAACTGAGCCCATCCTGCGGACAGTTGTGGTGCCCCCCCGGCAGCTCCCGGCACTGCCCCCGACGAACGGAAACTCTTCTGTGAAATAGCAATAATGTCCTACTGCCCGGGCAGCCCCAGCCCAGCCCGCCGGGAGCAAGGATGGTGCTAGGTCATTCATGGCTGGCCTCCCAGCCCCCGGGTGGGGACCTGGCCTGTCATGCAGGGAGAGCTGTGCTCCTGGGTGCTGAAGCCTCGCTCCTGTCTGTCCCCCACCACCTGGCCCTCAGCTTCTGAGAGGCTTTCCCCTGCCCGACCTCCTCCCGTTTCCCTCTCCCACCCTGGCACCTCCCTCACCTAGTGACCACCCATGGCAAGTTGCCCTCTCCCAGCAGAGGGGGTGGGTGGGGTGGCATCTGCCCTCCCTGCTAGCACCAGGCTCCCCCTTCCTGAGAGGAGCCCCCAGGGACCAGAGGCCTGCCCTTCCCTCCTAGGCTTACCCAGCCCCTGCCCTGGGGGCTCCTTGGACCCCTTTCCCTCTGACCCTGCCTCCAGAGGGAAAGCAAGACAGATGCAGGCCCCTGCAAAGCCCCAGGTAGAAGCATGCCCCCCAGGACAAGGCGCCTCCCACTAGTTAGGAGGAGGCCCGCTCTGCAGCCGCCGTCCTCACCCCAGGCCAGGCCTGCAGTACCAGACGGGATAGCTGGCCACTCCACCCCTGCACCCCAGGGTCTCCTCCCTCTACCTTTTGGGGCACCCTGGGAGCGTGGGAAGCAGGTCCGAGGGCCCCTGAGCTGGCAAGGGGAGGTGCCAGGCCAGCTGTGGTGCCAAGATACTGAGTGACCTGGGCCCTGGCTCAGGGAGCATGTGGGGCCAGGCCCAGCGCCCCGTCTTCCTCCTTCTACCCCCGCTGGGCCTGGCCTGGGCAGCGCCCCCTGCAGAGGCCTTTGGGTCCTTGGTCCTGTAACAGGAAGGGGGAGGCTGGCTGGGGACGACCGACCACAGGCTGGGACACAGCTCCTGGTCTGGGGGCTCCAAGTGACAGCATGCAGGGGAGGGGGCTCCCAGTCAGTGCTGTGTTGGGAGCTTTCTGGAGGCTGTGGACTGAAGGCCTTGAGGGAAGCAGTGGCTGGAGGAGGGTGCTGGACCCATGACACGTTGCTTCCTCTGGCTTTTCCCTGCTGGGCCGCTTTCTCAGAGGCACTTCCCCACCCCTAACACCCAGTGGGCCCCCCCAGGTTCTGTGCCACTCAGAGGGACCCTGGCAGGGGCCAGAACCACTTAAGGGTGGTGCTGGAGGGCCTTGTGCCCCAGTCCCATCCCAGGACGCCCTGAGGGATGGACGCAGCCATGCACCCCCCATCTGGGGCCTCTCCCTGCTCCCTCTCCCACCTGGCAGCTGGGAGTTCTGGCTTCTAGGCCTGCCCTGTCACCAGGCCTCTGAGTGGCCAGGCCCTTCCACCTCCCCATCTGTAAAACGAGGCAGCTGCCCGGACAGCCTTGGGGTCCTTAGTGGCCCTGCAGGTCCTCTGGCAGCTCTGCTGACCCCACCCTCTCCCGGACTGCCCTTCTGTCCCAGAGGGGTCACCCTGACCCGGCCCACCTTGCCACTGGGCTTTGGACTCCAGCCCTGACAGGGCCCAGCCACACTGGCTCTGCCCCTCGAAGGGGCTATGAGCAAGGTAGGAGGGAGCTGGTCTCCTTTCTTCGGGCCCCACCCAGGCCCTGAGCACCCCCCACCCCTGTGAGGGCCCCAGGCCTTAAGTCCCTGGCGGGGTCATGGGTTTGCGACTTGAGCAGAGCGGAGGAACAGGGCACTGGAAGGCCGACGAGCTCAGCATGCGACTCGGTGACGGACCAGGCTCGGCAGGGCCGGTGTACTTTTTGTGGTTGTCATTGGTGTGTTGTTGCACATTCCAGGACGTCAGTATTTTAACAGGTTCTAAGTGCCTTTCTATCGTAGCTTATGTTTTCCTCCTCTTGGCTCCATTGCTGTTAGCATAGAGTTTTAAAAAAAGAGATAAGCTAATGACTATAACAATATATTCCTCCATGGGAGAGGAAGTTTATAAAGAAACAATAAAAGTGAGTTGCAAAGATGGCTTGTATGTCGTGGATGTGCCAGGAACCCGGCCCTGACATGAGGCCACCACTGCCCTGAGCCCCTGCAGGCCTGATCCGGGCTTTCTCCCCGACCCTGCAGGTGCCCCTCCCTCTCAATCTGCCGCTTAGAGCAGGAACTGGAAGGTTGGGAAGGAGGTAGGTGCTGAGGGCGCACAGGTGACAGGAACTGAGACAGAAGATTCCAGGCGGAGCATCCCAAGGTCCAAGTCCTCAGCCCACTACTGCCCGCTGCGGCTTTGGAGAGTGGTGGGCAAAGGCCCTTCTCCCCCCAGCCACATTCTGGGGTACTGTGCCCAGATTACTGAGGTGCTAGGTTCAAACCTGCCCCAGGGACAGGGTGGCTGCCGACAAGAGCTCTGGGGCCAGGAGACCGCCACCCCGTGGGAGGGGCAGGGGCGCTATGGGAGGGAGCCTCACCCTGGCACGGGTGCTGTGGAAGCAGGAGCGGCTGCATCCTGTACGTGACAGGACTCAGCTGGAGCCCACTGGCTGGCTGCCCGCCAACCTTACCCAGCCCGGCCCTTCTGGGCTGTTAAAGGCTGCTGCCTCCCCATCTCCAGCACCCACAGCCCTGCAACCGGCAGGAGGAGCAACCTGCCTTCTGGAATCTGGACACATGCAAACGAGAAATGCAGAAAAGAAATTTATTACCAAGCTATAAATTAGAGGCGGCGGGGTGGGCGGGGGGAGCCGAGCAGTCACGTATGGGGCATCTGCCCTTTTTCTCTGTCCTCCTGGGCCTGGATTTTGAGTTCCTCATCCAGGCGCTCCTTTGCGCGGACCACCTAGTGGGTCACGGATAATCAGGCCGGGAGGCCAAGCCTCCGCCCCATACCCCTTGCCCACATGGGATGGCCTATTCCCATCAGCCCAGGTCCATTTTTTGAAGGGCAGTGGGTGGATACCAATGCTTCCTTCAGTGGCACCCCAGGGTCGGGGTGGCCTGGGGAGACAGAGCTGGGCTGCAGGGCCCAGCGCATGCTGTGACCTCTGTGAGCTGAGAGCTGTTTCTAGCACCCCACCCACGGGGGCTCCTGCTCCTTCGAAGTCCCAGCTGCTGGGAGGGAGGGCTCTATCTGGGGTGACACAGCCTGAGTGGCTGGACCCCGCAAAGCTGAAGCAGTCAGAGGGGTGGCAGTTCAGGGGGCCTCCCTGAGGCTGGGGCACCATGGGAAAGCCTGGCACAGTTTTCTGTGTGCCAAGCCCTTAGCTGGCCAGCTCCCCCAACTAGGAATTGAGCCCCAGGTGAGAAGAAGGGGTCCCATGACTTCATTCCTCCCAGAATCAAAGACCACTCACCTTTGACTGCAGGTAGAAGGAGCCACCCACGGATTTATCATTCACCTTAAATAAGTGTTCATAGTTCTGCAGAGGAGAGGGGACGGGTGAGAGGGCTGCAGACTGCAGGCAAGAGATGTTGGGCAGGCTATGTGGGGCCACGTGAGAGAGGCAACAGGACTCCTCTCCACCCTGTGTGCCACACCCAGCTGTTGTGGCCACTGAGAGGCAGAGATGGGGACGGGTACCCTGGAGGGCAACTGAGCTGCTACTGGAAGGCACTCTTTGTCTCTAGACTGTCCTGCCTCAGGCCTAAAACTTCACGAGCAACAGTGGCTCCCGAAAGTTGGAGTCCGAGCTGGGTGCAGCTGCAGCCTCCACATCGGACCTCCCTGGCCAGGCCTCCCTTCACTCTTCCCACCCTGGCAGCCTCTCCCTCTCAAACTTTGGGGTGGCCCAGTGGCCTCACCTTCTGGACCTCCTCAGGGCTCAGCTTGGACACGTTGAGAATCTGCTGTGCCTCCTGGAGGCTGAGGCCGGAGAGGTTGGAAGCGGCTGCAGACCGGTGTCCAGCGCGTCCTCGGGCATCAGCTGCGGCCCGGCTGGCTGTGTGGACATGTGGGTGATCGCTCAGTCCTCAGCAGCCCACACTTCACCCTGGGCCTTCCGAGTTGGTGGCTCACCCCTGCCACCAGCACAGGATGAGAGACACAGGGACAGGTGGCTAGGAGCTGCCTCTTCTCCAGGAGTGGTTTCCTTTTTAGGGGGTAGAGGCTGGGAAAGTGAGGACAGACGTGCCTCACTGGAGGGTAAGGGCAGGATCTGACCGCTAATCCTGGCTCCTGGTCCCCAACCTAGACCATGAGATGACCCTGTCCCCCAACCCCCATATCCCAGGGGAACAGCAAATTGGGGAGCTTTAGGCTACGATGGAGACTGTATAGTGGGGCTGCGGGCATGAGAGGGCTCTGCAGGGGCCCAGCTGCCCACCTGTCACCTAGACCACCAAAGCCACTGCCTTGGGTGACCTCTCCCCTTTCAGTGACCCCAGAACCTAGAATCAGGAGCTGCTAAACTTTTCCTAAAGGCTCAGAGAGTAGCTATTTTAGGCTTTGCGGGCTAATGAGCCTACACTGGAACCATTCAACTCTGCCTTGAAAGCAGCCTGTCGGCCGGGCACAGTGGCTCACGCCTGTAATCCCAGCACTTTGGGAGGCCAAGGAGGGCAGATCACGAGGTCAAGAGATCGAGACCATCCTGGCCAAAATGATGAAAACCTGTAAAATACAAAATTACTAAAAATACAAAAATCAGCTGGGTGTGGTGGCACATGCCTGTAGTCCCAGCTACTGGAGAGGCTGAGGCAGGAGCATTGCTTGAACCCGGGAGGCAGAGGTTGCAGTGAGCCAAGATCGCACCATTGCACTCCAGCCTGGGCAACACAGTGAGACTCCGTCTCAAAAGAAAACAAAAGGGCTGGGTGCGGTGGCTCACGCCTGTAATCCCAGTACTTCAGGAGGCCGAGGTGGGCATATCACGTGAGGTTGGGAGTTCAAGACCAGCCTGACCAACACGGAGAAACCCCGTCTCTACTAAAAATACAAAATTAGCCGGGCATGGTGGCGCATGCCTGTAGTCCCAGCTACTCAGGAGGCTGAGGCAGAAGAATTGCTTGAACCCGGGAGGCAGAGGTTGCAGTGAGCCAAGATCGCACTATTGCACTCCAGCCTGGGCAACAAGAGCGAAAACTCCGTCTCAAAAAAAAAAGATTTATTTACAAAACCAGGGCCGGGCGCTGTGGCTCACACCTGTAATCCCAGCACTTTGAGGCAGGCGGATCACCTGAAGTCAGGCGTTCCAGACCAGCATGGCCAACATAGTGAAACCCCGTCTCTACTAAAAATACAAAAATTAGCCTGGTATGGTGTCGGGTGCTTGTATTCCCAGCTACTCAGGAGGCTGAGGGAGGAGAATCACTTGAACCAGGAGGCAGAGGTTGCAGTGAGCCAAGATTGCCCCACTGCATTCCAGCCTGGGCGACAGAGTGAGACTCCATCTCCAAAAAAAGAAAAAACAAGTTTACAAAATCAGGTATCCAGATGGGCCAGTGTGCCAGCTCCTGCCCTGGATGCTCTTGCTAACCAGGTACCACTGAAGAATGCCCCGGTCTGGCATCACCCCCCACCATGGGAAGTGCCTCAGGCCACGCACACTTCAGAACCGCCAGGCCTGAGGTGCCCATGGCTACGGGGAAAATCTGACCTGGAGAGGAACTCCCAGCCCACAGGGGAGACGGACCCATGCTTACCTGCAAACTCCTGCCGCAAGGCCCGTGCAAAGGCCCTGCCCACCACCTGCACGCCCATCACAATGATCTGGGCCAGGTACTTGGCCTGTGGGCAAAGCAGGCACCCGGTTAGCAGGCCACTCCCTGTGGGCCCACAGAGATGGGCCCTGGAAACGGCTGCCGAGGGGCAAGGCTCCCGGAGACCCGAGGTCATGAAGCACAGAGCTGCAGCCCCAGGCCAACCCCTCCAAAGCACCCTGAATGAAAGCTTCCATGGTGGGTGGCTTAGTTACTCACTGGACAGGCAGGCAGGCGGGTGAACTTGACCGAGCTCCCAGAGGCAGACTGGCCCCACCTCATCCTTCAGGAAAGGCGTAGAGGAGCAAGGCAAAGTGGCTGCAACCACCGGCTTCAGGAAGAAACACTGTGGTCTGGGAGCCAGAACACAGGGACAGCCCTGGACCTGGCAGTAACTCACTCTCGACCCTGGGGCCGACCATCACTCTTCCTGAGTTTCTGAGATCATCAGGCCCAACCTTTACTTTACCAACGGGGAAACAGATCTGTCCTAATTCTCCCAAGTCCGAAGACTTTAAGTCCATTCCATTCAATAAAACAAACTTACTATGCAAACCTGTTTCCATCTTCAAGGAGCTAAAAGCCCACTAGGAGGGTATTTAAACACACTATGGACCAAATCATGAGGGAGAGTCAGGCTCGTTCATTTGTGCAGCCATTGGTTCACCCATTCATTCAAACATCTGCTGAGAGTCTACTCTGCTCAGCACTTGAGCACAAAGCTACACAGAACCTGGTCCCTGCCCCGAGTCAGAGCACACTGCTGGCCTGGCAGGGAACCCCACTGTCACACACCAGGCTGAACATGCCGGAACACTGCACGTGTGATTCCATGCCCCGCAGAGGCCCTGGGGACTCACTAAGATGTGAGCGGAAGCAACAGAGTCGAGGGAAAACTCAAGACTGAGATGGGATTCGGTGAGAGGAGGGGGTTCTGTGTGAGAGGAGGGCGTTCCGTGAGAGGAGGGGGTTCCGTGAGAGGAGGGGGTTCCGTGAGAGGAGGGGGTTCTGTGAGAGGAGGGGGTTCTGTGTGAGAGGAGGGGGTTCTGTGAGAGGAGGGGGTTCCGTGAGAGGAGGGGGTTCTGTGTGAGAAGAGGGGGTTCTGTGTGAGAGGAGGGGGTTCTGTGTGAGAGGAGGGGGTTCTGTGAGAGGAGGGGACTGTGTGACAGGAGGGGGTTCTCTGAGAGGAGGGGACTGTGTGAGAGGAGGGGGTTCTGTGAGAGGAGGGGGTTCTGTGAGAGGAGGGGGTTCTGTGAGAGAAGGGGACTGTGTGAGAGGAGGGGGTTCCGTGAGAGGAGGGGGTTCTGTGAGAGGAGGGGGTTCCGTGAGAGGAGGGGATTGTGTGAGGGGGGGTTCTGTGAGAGGAGGGGGTTCCGTGAGAGGAGGGGGTTCCGTGAGAGGAGGGGGTTCTGTGAGAGGAGGGGGTTCCGTGAGAGAAGGGGGTTCCGTGAGAGGAGGGGGTTCCGTGAGAGGAGGGGGTTCTGTGAGAGGAGGGGGTTCCGTGAGAGGAGGGGGTTCTGTGAGAGGAGGGGATTGTGTGAGAGGAGGGGATTGTGTGAGAGGAGGGGGTTCTGTGAGAGGAGGGGGTTCCGTGAGAGGAGGGGGTTCCTCCTGGGCTGGGCTTTGCAGGGTAGGAAGAATCATGATGGAAATACTAGGGCTTTCTAGGCAGAGGGACTGGGTTGAGCCAAAACTGGCAGGAGAGAAGGCAGAAGGGAGTTCCTGCGAGCAGCCAATAGCCTAGGCTGGCCTGGGAAAGACTGGGAATCTGGCGGATGACATGGAAAGATGCACAGATCTTTGTGAAACAAAGCGATTATATATAGACAGCACATACAAAGGATCTTGTGACTGCAAAGCCGTAGACGCAGGGGGGTGGCGCGGGCTGGAGGCAGCTCGGCATAGGTTGAAAGCTCATGTGGCACAGCCGAGTGACTTTCCCTTTCTTCCTAGTGCTTTTCTGTAGATTTGCCTTCAGTCAACAAGTATCAACTGAGTCCACACACCAGGCACGGTGCCAAACACGTTCAATTCATTGTGCCGTTTAATTCTGACAACTCAGGGGTGGGGGACTGCTGACTGGCCCGAGGACGTAACAGCAGGTGCCTCGGAGGCAGATCGGAAACCCAAGGCTGGTGCTATCTGTCACAGCAGTCACTACGCAGGGTCCCGGGGTCTGAAGGTAGGGCACCTGGGCAAGCCGACAAGTATCAAGAACCCAACCCCGAGGCCAGAGGGGCTTGCTCCAGATTCCAGTGGATTCGACTCCAGAGCTGGCCTTGTTCAGCCTCCGAGGACCTGCTCTTTCCTTAACAGGTGGGATGTCATTATGGGCCATTAGGGGAATGAACAAACAAGTGGGTTAAGATTTCAAAAGTAGGTGGAAACTTCATAACTTCTGGATTTCACAGCAGAAAGAGCCCAGAGAAGACCCTCCTGTGATCACAGCGAGGGGCAGGGCTGTGGCTGTACTGCAGATGAGGGAGGGTCAGGGATGCACCTGATGACACCTGCGGTCTCACCTGACTTCGCCTCCTTCCTAAAGCCCCTCCCGAGTGGAACAGGAGGCTCAGGGATGGGATGCTGGTGCTGTCTGAAGGACAGAGGTGAAAGTCAGAGGGTCCCCTCGGCTTGAAACACGGCTCAGGTCTCAGACTACCCCTCACACCAACAGCCTTCGGTCCCTCTGCTGCCATCGTACAGCCTTGCAATCACTTGTTTACTTTTCTGCCAAGGCCAATGACTGTTGCAAAATAATGAACGGTAAGAGCTGAGGTCATAACTGGGGAGCTTCCCCGACCATCCCCTGCACACTTCAAACCAAAGCGGCGTGGTGGCCTGTGGCTTCAGCTGCCTAGAGCTGCAGGGCAGAGGGGGGCTGGCCTGCAAAGTTTCAGCAGACTGGACGGCCCATTGAGGCCAGCAAGGTTCCTATAGGAGGCATCTCTGAGAAGACGCAGTGTAGTGTAATGGTTACACCTGCAGGCTTTGGGATCACCTGTGTGCAAAAATCCCAGCTATCTGACATAGACACGTTCTCAACTCCTTTGAGCAACCCAGTTTGCTTACCTGTAAAATGTGGCCACCAATAAAGCTGAGATAATGCCTGTCAAATGCCTGGCACACAGCCTAATGGTACAGCAGGTGCTCAATAAACATTGGTTTTCATTCATTACTACTGTTTCACAAAATCTGACAATGACCAGGCACTATGAAGTAACAAAGCTTCTTTCAAAATAGCAGCTCATTTGATACAGGCCCTTTGCTTCCTCAGGGGTGAAGGCTGCAAAACACCATACTACATTCCCTCAGGGAGCTGGGAAGCAGCAAGGAAGCAGAACGAGAACCACGTTGACCTGGGACCAGAACCCTAGCTTTCTTTCTCAATAGCTGTGTGACCCTGGACAAATTACTCAACCTCTCTGAATCTTTTTTTGTTTTGGTTTGGGTCTTTTATTTTTTATTTATTTTTTTGAGACTGACTCTCGCTCTGTCACCCAGGCTAGAGTGCAGTGGTTCAATCTCGGCTCATTGCAACCTCCACCTCACCAGTTCAAACGATCCTCCTGCCTCACCCTCCCAAGTAACTGGGATTACAGGTGAACACAACCAAGCCTAGCTAATTTTGTATTTTTAATAGAGACGAGGTTTCACCATGTTGGTCAGGCTGGTCTCAAACTCCTGACCTCAGGTGATCCACCCGCCTCGGCCTCCCAAAGTGCTGGGATTACAGGCATGAGACACCACACCTGGCCTTTTTTTTGGAAGCAGAGTCTAACTCTGTCGTCCAGGCTGGAGTGCAGTGGTGCAATCATGGCTCACTTGCAGCCTCAGCCTCCCAGCCTCAAGAGATTCTCCTGCTTAAGCCTCCCGAGTAGCTGGAGCTACTTGTACTCAGCCTCCGAGGACCTGCTCTTTCCTTAACAGGCGGGATGTGATATGGGCCATTAGGGGAATGAACAAACACAAGTGGGTTAGGATTTCACAAGTAGGTGGAAATTTCATAACTTCTGGAGGCTGAGCACACGCCACCACATTTGGCTAAATGTACTTTTCTGGAGAGATGGGGTTTCGCCATGTTGCCCAGGCTGGTCTTGAACTCCTAGGTTCGCATGAACTGCCCTCCTCGGCTTCCCAAAGTGCTAGGATTACAGGTGTGAGCTACTGTGCCCAGCCTACCTCAGTTTTCTTAACTGCAAGATGGAGAGAATAACACCCTCCTCACAAGAGGACAGTAAGGCCCTCAGGAGGCAATGCCCATTAACACCACATGGACAAACAGCGGCAGGTCCAGAACTAGGCGGTGCAGGCAAGCCCCTCATCCACCTATCCAGTACCCCAACATCCCCTGAGCTTCTGCCATGGGTCAGGCTGAGTTCAGAGCTCATTCACAGGGAGCAGAGCTCTGCCAGCTGTGGCTACCATGGGTGACCAAAACAACCACTGCCTGAGGCCCCTCCCAGAGGCTCCAAACATCCCATAGTCCACCGACTGACACTTGGGCCTGAGGGTCCCAGGTGAGAGGACCCAGCTGACTTGGCATCCAACTTCAGGCCACGCGGCTGTCAGAGAGCAGCAGTCAGAAGCACAGGATCCAATCCTGGCATGCGTGGGGGCAGCATGTGCACTTCGTTGTTGGGCAGCAACCTGGCCCAAGGCAGGACCAGATCCCAGCAGCTGGGACCACAGACAGTGCTGTGGGAGGCACTCAGCAATGGGGCTTACACTGACTTGTGTCTTTGAGATTCGCGTGCAATGCGCCTTTGAGGCCAAGCCCCAGGCTCTGGGTAGATAAGCAGACAGCCTGAGACTCACTCTCAAGGACACTCTGGTCACCCAGGGCCCCTGAGAATAGATACGGGCATCACAACTAGACAGGAGAAAGGTCAGGACCACAACTGTAGCACGTGCCACAACATCAGGGACCTGGCCAGTGGCTGGCGCAGTAAGTGCCCCTGGTGCATCTGAATGAATATGGCTGTTGCAGCTTTGCCCAATCTGCTGTCTCATGAACTCCATGTCCCCAGGCAGGGTTTCCAAGCGCCTCCTAACCCTTCTGCGGGAGGGTTCTGGCCATCTCCCAGTAAACACACAATTCTCCACCGCCGCCTGCAGATTTGGTCCACTCCCCAGCTTGGCATTCACAGCGCCTGGTCTGGCCTCAACTTCTCAACCTCACCTCTCTCCACGCTGCAGCCACACCCTCTGCTCCTAGAGCCGCTCTCATACTTCTGTACTCCTCAGGGCCTTTGCTGTTCTGAGTTCCTCCACCTTGAACATCCTCCCTTCTACCCTGATCCTGTCAAAACCCAACATCCCTCAGGACCTAATATCATTCCCCATCCCCCGGGTGAAACCCTTTCCAGGCTCTCCCATGTATACCTTCCGACAGCACTTTCTTTTTTTTTTGGAGATGGAGTCTTGCTCTGTCGCCCAGGCCGGAGTGCAGTAGTGCGATCTCGGCTCACTGCAGCCTCTGCCTCCCGGGTTCAAGAAATTCTTCTGCCTCAGCCTCCTGAGTAGCTGGGACTACAGGCACACGCTGCCATGCCCGGCTAATTTTTTGTATTTTTAGTACAGAGAGGGTTTCACCGTGTTGCCCAGGCTGGTCTCGAACCCCTGAGCTCAGGTAATCCACCCAAAGTGCTGGGATTACAGGCGTGAGCCACCGTACCCGGCCTAGCACTTTCTTTTTTTTTTTTTTTTTTTGAGACGGAGTCTTGCTCTGTCACCCAGGCCGGAGTGCAGTAGCGCGACCTTCGGCTCACTGCAAGCTCGGCCTCCCGGGTTCAAGCCATTCTCCTGCCTCAGCCTCCTGAGTAGCTGGGACTACAGGTGCCTGCCACCACACCCGGCTAATTTTTTGTATTTTTAGTAGAGACGGGGTTTCACCATGTTAGCCAGGATGGTCTTGATCTCCTGACCTCGTGATCCACCCGCCTGAGACCCCCAAAGTGCTGGGATTACAGGTGTGAGCCACCGTGCCCGGCCAGCACTTTCTTTTCCTGTTAATATACTGTCATGCTGGGTGCGGTGGCTCACGCCTATAATCCCAGCACTTTGGGAGTCCGAGGCAGGAGGACTGCTTGGGCCCAGAAGTTTGAGACCAGCCTGGCAACATGGCGAAACTGCATCTCTACAAAAAA
Organism: Homo sapiens; assembly: GCF_000001405.40. Lineage (NCBI taxonomy): Eukaryota > Metazoa > Chordata > Mammalia > Primates > Hominidae > Homo > Homo sapiens. Next base: position 4,349,410 of record NC_000016.10, read on the forward strand.
TACAAAAAATTAGCTGGGCATAGTGGAGCATGCCTGTTGTCCCAACTACCCGGGAGGCTGAGGCTACTGGGGAGGATGAAATGGGAGGATCACCTAAGCCCCAGGAGGTTGAGGCTGCAGTGAGCTGTGATCGTACCACTGTACTCCAGCCTAGGAGACCCATCTGGGGCAACACAGCAAGACCCCACCTCTACATAAAATTTAAAAATTAGCCAGGTGTGCTGGCACTCACCTGTAGGCCCAACTACTTGGGGGTCTAAGGTAGGAGGATGGCTTGAGCCTAGGAGTTCAAGGCTGCAGTGAGCTAGGATCGCTCCACTGCATCCTAGCCGGGGCGACAGACAGACATCCTATCTCAAAAAACAAACCAAAAAAACCCCATGAGTTTTGGGACAGAGCTGGGCTCAAAAGAGGTCTCTGACACCATGGGATGCATGACTATGGTGGAGTCAAAACTGTCTGGGGCTCAGGTTCCTTATCTGTAAAATAAGGACAATGACAGCAGGACTTCATAAACACTAAATGAGAGACTCTACATAAAGCCTTAGCTCAGGGGCTGGCACTTGTACGCCGTTAGCTGTTACATTATCCTTATTACTATGTTAGTTAAGAAGTGGCTCCCCGAACCAGCTGCAACAGAGTCACTTGGGGAACTTACGTGTGCAGAACCTCCAGGGATAGAGCTCAAGAACCTGAACTTTTTTTTTCCCCCTCTTTTTCTTTTTGAGAGAGTTTTGCCCTGTCGCCCAGACTGGAGTGCAGTGGCACAATCTTGGTTCACTGCAGCCTCTGCCTCCTGGGTTCAAGCGATACTGGCGCCTCAACTTCCCAAGCAGCTGGGATTACAGGTGTGTGCCACCATGCCTGGCTAACATATGTATATATTATGTGTGTGTGTGTGTATATATATATATAAAATACATGATATATAAAAATATATATAACATAATAATATGTAGTATACATAAATGTATACGGTATATATAATACATATATATAATTTTTTTTTTGAGACGCAGTCTCACCCTGTCGCCCAGGCTAGAGTGCACTGGCGGATCTCGGCTCATTGCAACCTCTGTCTCGCGGGTTCAAGCGTCTGTCCTGCCTCAGCCTCCCGGGTAGCTTGGACTACAGGCGCGCACCACCCCACCCGGCTAATTTTTTAAATTTTTTGGTGGAGACCGGGTTTCATCATGTTGGCCAGGCTGGTCTCGAACTCCTGACCTCGTGATCCGCCGCCTCGGCCTCCCAGAGTGCTGGGATTACAGGCGTGAGCCACCGCGCCCAGCCAAACCTGCACTTTTAAAGCTACCCTAGGTGACCTGACAGTGTGGCGCAGGTCTGTTGACTGGCTCTACGTGCCAACGATATCACACAAACGCTCCGTGCTCGGTGTCTCGGGGCCTAGTTCAAGTCCCAGGTCAGCCACTTCCCTGGAAAGGCCAGCTTTCCACTGGGGATAACAACAGGGCAGCAACATCGACTCTGCAGCGCTGTAAGGTTCCAGGGCAGGGGAGGCGCTCACCAGCCAGACTCATGCTCCACCGCTGCCCACGGCTGCTCGCTCACACGCGGGCTAGGCACAGCGCGACCACGTTTGCCCGGCCTCTTCCAGGCAGACGGTTTTCCCTGGCCCTGAGGCCGCCGGTGCCGCCGCTGCCGGCCTCGATTCCCCCGGGTGCAACGCCCCCAGACCATGCTTCCCGCCGGGCACGCAGGGGGCGCACGGCGCCCGCCGCCCAGCCCGGAGCTCGCCGCCCGGCCCCCGGCCCCCGGCCCGACTCGGCTTCCCCTCCCCGGTAGCGCCCGACTCGGGGCTCACCATGGCAGCCGCTCTGCCTCCGGGGCTCAAACTCCGACTTCCTGGCCCCGCGGCCGGGGATCAAGCGTGGTCGGCGGGTCAGAGGTCAAGGAAAGCCGCAGAGAGCGCGTGCGCGATACGGCGCTGGGCATGCGCATTGCCTCAGTCTAAGGGCGGGCCACCGGGAGCGTCTTAGCGGCTCGGGGCGGGGTCGGAGGCGGGGTTTGACTGAGCCTGCGTCGGGCTCTGGATAACTGGGGGCGGGCTTGGGAGGGCAAGGGGCGTTACCGGGAGTCTCAATTGCCCGCGTGCTTACCCCAGTGCGCTGGAGCAGCTAAGCACATCGGTCAGACGTGGGGCGATTTCTGCCCTTGATTTTGCCAAAATATTTGGGAATGCAACATTATATGAAATCAATGAACATAATATGGAGTAGGATGCTAAATTCTCAAAAATACTTTAGAAAATAGAAAACTTCAAAATAGGTTTCATCCACATTCCTCCTGCCTGAGAAGCTCGTTCCCTTCTTCAAATCTTTGCTCAAATGTCACCTCAATGAGGCCCACCTGGACCCCTTAAAACGCCGTGACTTGCCCTCCATGAATGAAAAAAGTAACAGCTTTATTGAGATATAATCCATACACTGTAGATTTCATGATTTTCAAGTGCACAGTCCAATGCCTTTTATTCACAGAGCTGTGCCACTGTCACCACTATTAGTTCCAGAACGTTTTCATCACCCATTAGTCACTCCCCAGCCCCCTCCCCCAGCCCCTGTCAACCACTCATTTTTCTCTCTATGGATTCACAGGTTCCGGACATTTCATAGAAATGGAATCATACAAGCCAGGCGTGGTGGCTCATGCCTGCAATCTCAAAACTTTGGGAGGCCGAGGTGGATCGCTTGAGGTCAGGAACTCAAGGCCAGGCTGGGCAACATGGTGAAACCCCATCTCTACAAATACAAAAATTAGCCGGGTGTGGTGGCAGGTGCCTGTAATCCCAGCTACTTGGGAGGCTGAGTGGTGGATCTCTTGAGCCCGGGAGGTACAGGCTGCAGTGAGCTGTGATCACTGCACTCCAGCCTGGGTGACAGAGTCAGGCCCTGCCTCAAAAAAAAAAAAAAAAAAAAAAAAGGTAAAAATGAAAAATGAAAAAAAAGAAGAAATTGAATCATACAATGTGCAGCCTTTTGTGACTGGCTTATCCTCCCTTCTTGTCTCTATTTTTCTTCCAAGACTCTGATCACCCTCTACCATACCACATAATTTACTTATTTATTTTATTTATCATTTTGAGACAGGGTCTCACCCTGTCGCCCAGGCTGGAGTCCAGTGGCACAATCCTGCCTCACTGCAACCTCCACCTCCCAGGTTCAGGCGATGCTCATGCTTTAGCCTCCTGAGTAGCTGGGATTACAGGCATGGACCACCATGCCCCATTAATTTTTGAATTTTTAGTAGAGACAGGGTTTCACCATGTTGGCCAGGCTGGTCTTGAACTACTGGTCTCAAATGATCCACCCGCCACAGCCTCCCAAAGTGCTGGGATTATAGGCATGTGACACTGTGCCCAACCGGTTTTTTATTTTTAAATTATTTTTCCTTTTTTTTTTTTTTTTGAGATGAAGTCTTGCTCTGTCACCCAGGCTGGAGAGCAGTGGCCCAATCTTGGCTCACTGCGATCTCCACCTCCTGGGTTCAAGTGATCCTCCCACTTCAGCCTCCGAAAGTGCTGGGATTACAGGTGTAAGCCACCGTGCCCAGCCAAAAAAAAATTTTTTTTTTTCAAGATAGGGTCTCACTCTGTTGCCCAGGCTGCAGTACAGTAGCATGATCATGGCTCACTGCAGTCTTGACCTTCCAGCCTTGAGTGATACTTTCACCTCAGCTTTCTGAGTAGCTGGGACCACAGGCATGTGCCAACACATGTGGTTAATGTTTGTTTTTTGTCTTTTTGAGAGCGTCTCCCTGTTGCCCAGCCTGGAGTGCAGTGGCATGACCTCGGCTCACTGCAACCTCTGCTTCCTGGGTTCAAGAGATTCTCTTGCCTCAGCCTCCTGAGTAGCTGGGACTACAGGCATGGGCCACCATGTCCGGCTAATTTTTTGTATTTTTAGTAAAGACGGGGTTTCACCGTGTTAGCCAGGATGGTCTCGTGCTCCTGACCTCGTGATCCGCCTGCCTTGGCCTCCCGAAGTGCTCGGATTACAGGCGTGAGCCACCGCGCCCAGCTAATGTTTGTATTCTTTGTAGAGACAAGGGTTCCCCTATGTTGCCCAGTCTGACCTCAAACTCCTGGGTTCAAGCAATCCTCCCACCTTGGCCTCCCTTTATTTTTATGTTTATTGTTGAGAATCTGTTTCCTTCCACTAGAATGGGAGTTCCTTTTGGGCAAGCATTTCCTCTCTCTTCTCTGCTGTTAGATGTCAAGCGCCTGGAAGAGCATCTGGCGCACAGCATTCGGCAAATGGTGGGATGAAAGTTGGGCCACCTGGAATCCTACTCTACACCGCTGCCCTTCTTCCTCTTCCTCCTGGCCTCCACATTCCTCTCTCTGTGCCCACATTGTACTTCCTTGCCTCGGAAGTGGCTCTCTCCCTGGCTGGCTCCTCATCAGCCTTCAAGTCTTGGCTCTTAGCTGAAAGTCACCTTCTCAGGCCCTGAATTCCCTGCCTCGCTGCATCCCAGTTGCTTCCTGTCCCACAGGTTTTTTTGTTTGTTTGTTTGTTTTTTGAGACTGAGTCTTGCTCTGTCACCCAGGCTGGAGTGCAATGGCAGGATCTTGACTCACTGCAACCTCTGACTCCTGGGTTCAAGCAATTCTCCTCCCTCAGCTTCCCAAGTAGCTTGGATTACAGGCGCTTACCACTACACCTGGCTACTTTTTGTATTTTTAGTAGAGACAGCGTTTTACCATGTGGGCCAGGCTGGTCTTGAACTCCTGGCCTCAAACGATCCTCCCACCTTGGCCTCCCAAAGTGCTAGTATTATAGGCATGAGCCACCGTGCCCAGCCAGTTTCTCTTCTTTACTGCTGTCTTCACACTCTATATGCTCGTGTGCAGTCTGGTTCCCCTGCATAAGGAGGCTGTAAGAAGCTGAAGGTCCTTGCAAGACCTTATCTCTCCTGTCCTTTATAGCATCCCGCCATCCAGAGCACTGCCAGGAACCTGCATGGTGAGCGAATGACTCCCAGCAGTGCGCAGGTGATTGGGCCTTGGGACCAGAGTGAGGCTGAGATAAAGGGGAGCCCAGGGCCAGACCCCTGTCACCCACATTCCTGTCCCCTTCCCTTTCCAGCCAGCCCAGAGACCACAGCAGCACAAGAGGTGGCCAGCTTAAAAAAGTTTAATTGCTGAAAACATCCAAGGCAGGTGCGGGCCAGTCCCTGCGGGGCTCACACCCCCCTTATTGGACCATCAGCTCTGTGATGCCCCCTTCTCCTGGCTACAAACCTGGGAAGTAGGGCAGCTGGTCCCAGGGCCCTGAGACTGGTGCTGCTCTAGAAGGCCTGGTGGGGGGCCAGCCCCCAAGGCCCTTGACCAGAACTGGAACAGCAGGCAAGATGGGGCAGCGTGGGGTGACCAAAGATCCTGGATGAGGCCAATCCAGGCTGGGACCAGCCCAGGTCAGCAGTGAGACCAGGGGAGACAGGGTGCCCAGGGCCTGCCCAGGGACATGCTGCTGACCCCCCGCCACCCTGCACCCCTGGCCACATGCTAGCGGGCAGCTGATGAGCAGCAGCTGACCCCAGAGACAGCAGAGGTGAAAACAGTCCCTGGGAACTGCCAGAGGCCCAGAGGATGTGGAAGTGCCCACGGGAAGGCAGGAGTGCAGGGGTGACATGTGCCGGGGCCAGAGAGGTATCTTCCAGCTTGAGGATGAGCCGTGAGGTGTGCACTAGGAAGTGGCAGCACAGGTGAGGTGGAGGTGACGGGGGCGCAGGCTAGTCCTGGGGCGAAACACCAAGAGGTGGGAGGGAGTCAGGAGGGCCTGGGAAGGGAGGAGGCATGCACCGTGGCATGTGCGAGGGACCGCGCTGCCTGCCGGGAAGTGAGGCCACTCACTACTCACCCACTCGTCCTCGTCCACGCCTTCAAAGGAGTCCTGGGGGAGTGGGTCCTCCCGGTTCCCCAGTTTTGCCACCATGGCATTCAGCAGCTGGGAGAGAGGGCAGAAGAAGGGTAGGTAAGGGAATAGGACTCCCTGTTCCCTCTCCCACTCCAAGAACAACCCTGACAAGGCTGTGAAAAGAACTTTTTTTTTTTTTTTAGACGGAGTCTTGCTCTGTCGCCCAGGCTGGATGGAGTGCAGTGGCGCGATCTCGGCTCACTGCAAGCTCTGCCTCCCGGGTTTACACCACTGTCCTGCCTCAGCCTCCCAAGGAGCTGGGATTACAGGCGCCCACCACCATGCCCGGCTAATTTTTTGTATTTTTAGTAGAGACGGGGGTTTCACCGTGTTAGCCAGGATGGTCTCGATCTCCTGACCTCGTGATCCGCCCGCCTCGGCCTCCCACGGTGCTGGGATTACAGGCGTGAGCCACAGCGCCCGGCCTTTTTGTTTGTTTGTTTGTTTTAGAGAGAGACAAGGTCTTGCTCTGTCACCAAGGCTGGAGTGCAGTGGTGCAATCATGGCTCACTGCAGCCTTGACTTTCTGGGTGCAAGCAATTCTCCTGCCTCAGCCTCCCAAGTAGCTGGGACTACAAGTGTGTAACACCACACCTGGTTAATTTTTATTTTATTTATTTATTTTTTTGAGACAGAGTTTTGTTCTTGTTGCCTAGGCTGGAGTGCAATGGCACAATCTCGGCTCACCACAACCTCTGCCTCCTGGGTTCAAGCGATTCTCCTGCCTCAGCCTCCCAAGTAGCTGGGATTACAGGTATGCGCCACCATGCCCGGCTAATTTTGTGTTTTTAGTAGAGACGAGGTTTCATCATGTTGGTCAGGCTGGTGTCGAACTCCCAACCTCAGGTGATCCGCCCTCCTCGGCCTCCCAAAGTGCTGGGATTACAGGCGTGAGCCACCATGCCTGGCCACACCTGGTTAATTTAAAAAATTTTTTTGTAGAGATGGGGTTTCACTGGTCTCAGGCTGGGTCTCAAACTCCATCACTTATATCCTCTTGCTTTGGTCTCCCAAAGTGCTGGGATTACAGGTGTGAACCACCATGCCTGGCCAAAAGAGCCACTATATTTTATTTTTATTTTTATTTTTATTTATTTATTTATTTATTGAGACGGAGTCTCGCTCTGTCACCCAGGCTGGAGTACAGTGGCACGATTTCGGCTCACTGCAATCTCCACCTCCTGGGTTCAAGTGATTCTCCTGCCTCAGTCTCCCGAGTAGCTGGGATCACAGGCGCCCGCCACCATGCCCGGCTAAATTTTTGTATTTTAGTACAGACGGGGTTTCACCGTGTTGCCCAGGGTGGTCTCAAACTCCTGAGCTCAAGCAATCCGCCTGCCTTGGGCTCCCAAAGTGTTAGGATTACAGACATGAACCACCGTGCCCGGCCTCAAAAGAGCCATTTTAATTACAGCCCTGACAAAATCGATGGGTTTCTATTGAAAAAGACACAAAGAAGAGACAGGGGGAGTAAGAGACTGAGAGGCTGCGGCATGTGGCACCAGATACAAGGGCTACTATCTCTGCACATGGCCTCAAGTGCTCAAAATATACTCCAAGGTCCCAAAAGCACTTGGGCCCAGAACTGCCGGCTTAGGCTGGGTTTGGCCTGGCCAGGGCAGGGCTCCCACTGCCCTCCCCCACTTCCCGGGCCCCATGGTCAGTGGTAGGGCTCTGGAAGGTCTCCCCACCAGGCTCTGGTGTGAAGGGGACGTGACATGTGGCTGCTGTCCCAGTCTGGGTTGGGGATGGAGAACTAAGGGGCCGTGGCCAGGTGCAGCCAGGACTCTGTCACCTCCGCACAGCTGCTCTCTCCCATGCCTACCTCCTCCTTCTTTTGCTGGTCAGACTTTTCTTCCAGGTACTGCGCTGAGGATGGGGCCCGACGAGCAGGGGCCTCTCGGGGGGCTTGGCTCACTGGGACAGAGCAAGGACACGTGTCAGAGAGTCCCCTTCGTTAGGGCTCTTTGGTGCCAAGCCCTCGGGGATTTCTTTCTTTCTTTTCTTTCTTTCTTTTTTTTTTTTTTTTTTTGAGATGGAGTTTTGCTCTTGTTGCCCAGGCTGGAGTGCAATGATGTGACCTAGGCTGACTGCAACCTCCGCCTCCTCTGGGTTCAAGCGATTCTCCTGCTTCAGCCTCTGGAGTAGTTGGGATTGCAGGCGCCCACCACGCCAGGCTAATTTTGTATTTTTAGTAGAGATGGGGTTTCACCATGTTGGCCAGGCTGGTCTCAAACCCCCGACCTCAGGTGATCCACTCGCCTCAGCCTCCTAAAGTGCTGGGATTACAGGCATGAGCCACCGCGCCTGGCCGACCTAGGGGATTTCTATGGCGCAGATCTAAGAGGTGGTATTAACAGTCAATGGAGCCTCACTGTATAAGCCCTGCCCTAGACACCACAGTGTGTGCGTGTGTGTGTGTGTTAGGGGTGGGGACCTGTGATGAAAACACAGACCACGAGCCCTGCCCTCCACTGGCTCAGAGACTGATTGACACAGCCACTCCACCCTCCCAAAGGCCAGAGGATTCTGCGTGCCAACAGGAATGGAACTTCAACCTGGGCCTTCTGTCCCTTTCTCCAACCCCCATCCCGCTTCCTCCCCACACCCAGTCCCTCGGTGCACCTGGGCTCATGTCAGGAGGCTGCAGGCTGAGAAGCCAGGGCTGCCCATTAGCGCCTTGCAGCCAGGCCTCGGCACTGAGCACAGGCTCCCAGATCACAGCCGTGTCTGGGAACACGTCATCCTGGAAGAACTCTTTCTGCAGAGGGAGAAACGGGCTGTCCTGAGACATTGACCAGGTGCCCAGGGCACACGGGCATCTGTTGGGGAGGGACAGGGCAAGACCTGGGACCCTCCCACCAGCCTGGGGCTTCCATGAGTTTCAGCATCTCAGCAGAAGGGGGTAGGTGTCCCCATGAACAATGGGTAGGGAAGTTTGGAAGCTGGGTCAGACGGGACCCAAACTCCCCTCTAGGCACCGAGAAGGCGGTGGGCATGGGAGTCCCAGGTCCCCACCCTCACCCGGACTCGGGGCAGCCGGAAGGCCACAGGCTCCAGGGAGGACTGACGCAGCCGCAGGCACCGCATCAGCTCCACTTCCCGCACGTCGCACTCCGTCTTAGGCAGGAGGACGAGGCCCTGGGGGAGCAAGGGAGTCGGAGCTGCCGCTGGGACCTAGAGCTCATGGCTGGGCACGTAGTCTCCCCAGGGTGCCGGCACCCCTCACTTAGGACCACCATGCCTAGGGCCTGTCCCTGGACAGTAACGTGTTGATCATGTTGAACAACCTGCTCTCTGGAGGGAAAGCCCTGATTTGTGGTGTTTTCCTATTTCCACAGTTTACAAACTCCCACCATGGGCAGCTTCTACGTGCCACCTCCACTCCCTGAATGTGGTGTTGGGAAGAGATGTAAATAGCACATCATCCTGCATTTCCTCCATGCACTCCAACACAGAAACATGTGACCTCAGCACAAATAATAGTAAAATTGGATAAATTAATTAGAAGTGATAAACTGAGTGTTTATTACTTTGGTTTTTAATATTATTTTTAGGTTCATATTGTAGGTTCATATAGTTTAACCTTATCTAGTGCAATTTTTTGTTTGTTTTGTAGAGATGGGGTCTTGCTATGTTGCCCAGGCTGGTCTTGAACTCCTGGGCTCAAGCAATTCTCCTGCCTCAGCCTTCCGAAGTGTTGGGATTCCAGGCCACCGTACCCGGCCTACAGTATGATTTTTAATAATGGTTGAGTATGACAATGGCTCTCAAAATTCCTAAATAATTCCAGCAGCAACTCTTCTTGCCAGTCACTGGGCACAGCCCCAGGCCCAGCCCCAGCCCAGGACTCTGACCCCCGACCCACAGGCTCCTGTACTTGCCCACATGGCCACCAGGGGGCAGGGCAGCCTTGTGGTCCCATCGGGGACGAGGCGCCAGGGTGGCCTCACCTTGTGGGGGTCAGGCGACGTGAAGCTGTTGCACTCCAGGAAGAAAGGGGACTCGGGGAGCAGCTCGTACAGGAATACACGGGTGTCGCCCTGCGGGGAAGAAGGCAGGCTGGGAACCCTCCGGCAACACTGGCCTTCCCCCCACCACCTCTCACCTGCCATCCCGCCCTCCAGCCCAGCCCACCTTGCCGGTCAGGAGCACCAGGCCAGTGTCTGGGTCGTAGCTGGGCAGCAGGGTTGAGGGAGCCACGTCCAGGCCCAACACTGCCAAGGGTCCGCCGGCCAGGGCCTCAGCTTCATATAGGAGCAGCTGGCGCTCACTTTGGCTGCAAGGGGGTTTGGGGGCTGAAGCAGGTGTTTCAGAGCTGAAGGGGCCTGGGGCAGGGAGAAGGCGCCCACGTAGCCCCTGCTCTGTTCTGGGTTGTAGGCGAGGCCTAGTGTGGCCCGGCACCGCAGCCACATCCTAACCTGCCCCTCCACCTCTGGGTTCCCCATTGACTCTTTCTCCTCCACTAATCACTCACCCATCCATCTACCCCTGACTGCCTCACCGCCCCTGCTTCCATCTCCCCCAGAGCCCCTTGTGCACCCCTGCATCTATCTCCCCCCAACCCCTCACCCACCCCTCTATCCATCTCCCCACTACCCCCAAAACATCCCTCCATCTCCCCTACCCCCCTCACCCTCCCCTGCATCCATCTCCCCCTTACCCCCAACTCATCCATCGATCTCTCCCTACCCCCTCATTCATCCATCCAGCCATCCGCCCATCTATCCCCACATTCATTCATCCACCCATCCATCCATTCACCCACCTATCCATCCACCCATCTACCCACTCATCCAATCATCTACCCACCCACCCAACCATCCAGTGAGGGGCAGGAATGGTTTCTGAAAGCCTGACAAATGTATGTGACTGTGGAGAAGGGGGACACAGGTGGCTTCTGAAGCCTGGGGATGGGGATGCCTGAGTCCTCACCTGTCAAAGCCAGACACCAGCAGACAGCGACCATCACATACCCAGACAATGCGAGCTCCGCGTCCTCCCTTGGGCCCTGGGCCTTCCTGTTGAGATACATCGCGTGACACCCAGCCAGCACCCCTGAACCAGGTCTGAGGCCACTCCCCAGCCCCTGTGTGCTCACCTGCAGGGGCTCAGGGCCACTCCGGGGCCTGTAGACCCGCACACGCCCATCCTTGCAGACAGTGGCCAGCTGCTGCCCATCAGGACTCCAGGCCAGGCTGAAGATCTGGGGGCAGGAAGGGATATGAGAGACAGCCTTGCTTCACTGCTGGCCCCACCTCTCCCCACTGCTCCTGCCCCTCCTCACTGCTGGCGCCGCCCCTCCTCACTGCTGTTCCCGCCTCTCCTCACTGCTGGTCTTGCCTCTCCTCACTGCTGGCCCCCCTCTCCTCACTGCTGGCCCCCCTTCTCCTCAATGCTAGCCCGGCCCCTCCTCACCGCTGGCCCTGCCCCTCCTCACCACTGGCCCCCCTCTCCTCACTGCTGGCCCCACCCCTCCTCGCTGCTGGTCCTGCCTCTCCTCACTGCTGGCCCCGCCACTCCTCACTGCTGGCCCCACCTCTCCACACTGCTGGCCCCGCCTCTCCACACTGCTGGCCCCACCTCTGCAGCCGTCCTACCTGGTCTTGGTGGCCCTGCAGCTTCAGCCGATCAGCTCCAGCCTGAAGGTCCCAGATGCGAACAGTGAGGTCATAGGAGGACGAGGCCAGCACATTGGCTGCCAGTGGGTGGAAGCGCAGGGAGCAGATCTTCTCCGTGTGGCCTGGAGGAAGGCAGGGGTGATCAGGAGCCCTTGGGAGACACTGGCCACCCCAGCCCCATTCCTGAGCCTGCCTGACCTGTGAGCACAGTCTCTGGCGTGGTGAGCACCTCTTCCAGGCCCTCTGCGGGTACCCGCCACAGTCGGATCCTGGCGTCCTCACCAGCTGCAGAGGACAGACAGGGGCTCATCATTGCTGAGCCCAAGACCTCTGGGCTCCCCAGCCCCTATCCGGGACCCAGGACCCTCCCTCAAGCCCAGGCACCCAGCCTCCTTACCCACAGCGAGGCGATGGGGGTCAAAGGGGTCCCAGGCCAGATCAGTCACAGCTGCCCCATTCTGCAGCGTGGGCAGTGCCGTGTCGGGCAGGCGGCCAGGCTTCCGTAGCTGTGGGAGGTGCCCCCACCCCGAGGCCCATCAGTACCAGGCAGAAAAGCCAGTCCCCAGGGGCTGCGGGCAAGCAGCATGTCTGGGAGCCCACCCTCTGCAGCAGAGGCTCCCACCGCTGGGTGACCCAAGCTCTCTGCCCTGACCACCTTGCGCTCTGAGCCCCAAGTGCCAACCACAAGGCCCCAGAGAGTGAGGGGGCAGCAGCGTGAACTGGCGGGAAAAGCTCCGGCTTAGGGCTCAGGTGGCCGGGCTTCGGATCCCAGCTCCACCACTTACACAGCTGTGTGACCCGGGCAGGTCACTAAACCTCTCTGTGCCTCTTCTCCCTCATCTGTAAAATGGGGATAAAAGTGGCAGGCCCCATGGCAGGTGGCTGGGAGGATCACAGGACAGGCGGGCAGGAGCCTGACACAAGGTTTGTGCTCCCTGTGTTGTGTGGGTAGCTAAGGCCCTCCGCGTCTTTGCCACAGGCAGGGAACTGAGGGGCAGCCCTGGTGGGGTGGGGCCCTCACCTCAAGCACAGCCACCTGTCCCCCGCTGCTGAGCAGCGGCACGGCCACACGCAGCTTGTTGGCACAGAAGCCGTCACTCTCACCAGGTGTGGTGAGGTTGAGCCCCTTGAGGTTGGTGATGTGGCTGTCTCGGTGCAGGACAGTGCCCTGAGCATGGCGGAACTTGGAACTGGGGCCTGGCAGGTGGCAGGGACATGGAACCACGTGTGAGGATGCCGTCCCCGCCCGCCCTGCACTCTTTGAGTCCCGGCTGCCCACTCCCCTCACCCCAGGTGGATGTACAGCATGGACCTAGGCCCAGGCCTTTGCTAATCCAGTGGATGCAACTCGCCCAGGAATAATGTCTGGAATGATATACCCTGTTCCATGGTGGCTCGGGGAATCTTGGTGGAGCCCAGGGCTTTGGCTGCTCAGAAGCTGGTGGCCCCAGCCGCCCTCCTATTTTGCAGGTGAGACTCAGCCACCACACCCCAGCCCCCAGGACAAATGACCCTGCCAGTGAGTCTGGGTGAGGGGGGTGCCCTGCATGAGGCCTGTGCTCAGCAGTAGGGTACACAGGAGGATGACGGGGAGTGGGGCAGACAGGGCTCCTGCGGTAGGGGTGAGCTCCCCGTCCTGCCTCCTTACCCAGCAGGCTCTGCAGCGACCTCAAACTGGGGCTGGTCCCGATGCCACTGGTGCTGGAGAGTGAGGGCCCCAGGCTGGAGGGCGTGGAGGGCGAGGTCAGCGAACTGGGAGGGGAAGAGAAACCCTCCTGGGGAGGGGCATGGGGTCAGCCAGCCTGCTCCTAGGTGTACTGGCCAAAAGGAGGGGGTGCCAGCGGACTCCAGGGTCACCACTCTGGGCCCCCTGCGGACTGGAGGAGCCCCCACTGTGGGCATGCGACAGGAGCGGCGGGGGGCACGGGCATAAACGCAGACACACAGGGAAGCAGCCGAGCTTCAGACCGCGGGGACAGCAAGTGGCAGCTGCTGGCTCCCAGCCCTGCAGGAGGGTGTGCCCAGTGGGTTAGATCTGCCAGTATTTTAAGAGAAGCCAGAAATCTAGATCTGTATGAAAATTCTTGCTTTTTAAGTGTTTGCCCAATTTAGAAAGCACTGTGCAAGTTCCTTCTTTATGCTCCACGTGTTTCTCTGTCTCTGTTACACTTGACAAAGAAGGTTGGGGCCAGGCGTGGTGGCTCAAGGCTGTAATCCCAGCAGTTTGGGAGGCCGAGGAGGGCAGATCACGAGGTCAGGAGTTCAAGGCCAGCATGGCCAACATGGTGAAGCCTGACTCTACTAAAAAAAATATAAAAATTGGCCAGGCGCGGTGGCTCACGCCTGTAATCCCAGCACTTTGGGAGGCCCAGGCGGGTGGATCATGAGGTTAGGAGTTCAAGACCAGCCTGGCCAACATGGTGAAAACCCGTCTCTACTAAAGATACTAAAGATACCAATTAGCCAGGCGTGGTGGTGCGCGCCTGTAATCCCAGCACTTTGGGAGGCCCAGGCAGGTGGATCATGAGGTTAGGAGTTTAAGACCAGCCTGGCCAACATGGTGAAAACCCATCTCTACTAAAGATACTAAAGATACAAATTAGCCAGGCGTGGTGGCGCACGCCTGTAATCCCAGCTACTCAGGAGGCTCAGGCAGGAGAATTGCTTGAAACTGGGAGGCGGAGGTTGCAGTGAGCCGAGATCGCACCATTGCACTCCAGCCTAGACGACAGGGCGAGACTCATCTCAAAAACAAAAACAAAAACAAAAATTAGGCCAGGTGCAGTGGCTCATGATTGTAATCCCAGCACTTTGGGAGGCCGAGGCGGGTGGATCACCTGAGGTCAGGAGTTCGAGACCAGCCTGACCAACATGGTGAAACCCCATGTCTACTAAAAATACAAAAATTAGCCAGGCATGGTGGCGGGTGCCTGTAATCTCACCTACTCGGGAGGCTGAGGCAGGAGAATCACTTGAACCCAAGAGGCGGAGATTGCAGTGAGCCGAGATCACACCATTGTACTCTAGCCTGGGCAATAAGAGCGAAACTCTGTCTCAAAAAATAAATTAAAATATAGTCGGCCATGGTGGCACATGCCTGTAATCCCAGCTACTCGGGAGGCTGAGGCAGGAGAATCGCTTGAACCTAGGAAGAGGAGGTTGCAGTGAGCCGAGGTTGCGCCACTGCACTCTAGCTTGGGTGACAGAGTGAGACACTGTCTCAAAAAAAAAAAAAGGCCGTTCAGCCGGTGAACACTCAGGGCAGCCACTGCAGTGTCGCTGAGGGAGGATGGGGGCGGCCCTGGTACTTACGCTTGCGTCTGCATCACCCACGGGTGTCTCCATCACCGCAGGCTGGGCTGTGTCAGGGAGGGGCTCCGCAGGGGGCACCAGACAGGAAGTGAAGCTCGGGTGGGGCCGGCAGGCGGGGTTGAGGCTGACCTTCTGCACCTGCATGGAGGCCGGCAGTGGGGAGATGGGGGCATGGGCTGCCCGGTCAGGAGGGCCCCCATGGGAGGGTCAACTGGGTAGGGATGGGGGGCACCCAGCAGGCCAGACTGAGTTGGCACACAGCCACACGGGGCTACCAGGGACTCGGGGAGGCTGGGAGAGGTGAGCCAGCCCTGGTCCTACCTGCTGGTTGTCCCCAGCCCACCAGCTATGGGGGTCGGTGGCAGGCACACAGCCGGCAGTGTCCGGGAACAGGTCCTCGTGGAACTCCACAGCCTGGCCGCAGACAAGCAGGCAGCTAGTGAGGCCCAGGCCCCCCGACTCCCCAGCCCCCGCAGTCCCTCGCCCAAGTCCCCCTCACCTTGCGGGGCACATGGTAGCCGATGGGCACGATGGCTGTGTCGCTCAGCTGTAGGACGCGGAGTACCTCGCAGCTCATGACGGCCAGCGCCTGCCGGGGCACAAGGGCAGCCCCACGCAGCACGCTCTCCAGGACACACTGGGTCACTGTTGAGGACACCATAGGGGAACAGGCAGGATGGGCAGGGGAGGGGAGGGTAGGGGATGGGGGCGAGGAAGCAAGGCTTACCTGGGCTCAGCGCCGGCTGCTGCGGGACCACCTCGTAACAGTACAGCTGCCTCTCGCCCTGAAATGAGTCTGAACTGAGCCCCGTTTGCTGACTGAACCCCTGGGGAGGGCCCAGGACTGGCATCAGCTCCCCCACAGGTCCCCAAGGACCTGAGCCACAGAACCACAGTGGCTGGAGATGGGGCTCCCCAACATGCTGGGCGCTGAGCTGAGCCCTAGGCTGACTACCTCACTTGCTCAGCCTCGTTGCACATGGGGTGAGCACCGGGGGTGTACGTCAGTATTTATGGAGTGCTGACTGTGTGCTGACACTGCTCTATTCTCGGCCTTGTTCTCAGGAAGGCCAGTGTTCTAGGAGAGCTACAGTCACCTTGGCTGCACAGGGGAAGACACAGAGGCCCTGTTCGAGTTCCTCCTCTCTCTTGGGGAAGGCCAGGGGCTGGACTCCAGGCTGTGGATGTGGGTGGGAGCCCCAGCTTCTCACTCACCTTTCCTGCCAGGACCAGGAGCCCAGAGTCAGGGTCCAGCAGAGGCACGAGACACCTGGGGAAGAGAGGGCAAGATGGCGGGTCAGGGCAGTGGGAGGGCTGCCAGACTCGTAACCCCATGTAGGAGCCCAGGACAGGCACCACAGTGACTGGGAGCCGCTTGGCCATCCAGCCATGTTCAGCCTGGTCCCCAGGAACCCCCTCCTCTTCCTGAGCTTCCCACATGCCCAACACACGCCCACACCCCAGCTGCTCCTCCCCAGGGCCTCCACCTGCACACCTGCGTCACTCCAGGACTGGAGTGGGCACAGGGGAACTCGGGCCCGATCTCAGCCACAGCTCTTCCTCCAAGAAGACCCCACATGCATTCTGTGCCCCTCCCACCTTCGACAGCCTAGACATCAGGCCAGCATTGCCAGGGAAGGTGGAGAGGTGAGGCCGGAGGCGAGGAGCCTCCCGTCCCCACTCGGCACTGCCTGTGGACAGGCAGCATCCGGGAGCAGTGCAGGCAGCCCTGCCGTTCCGAATCTGCACTAAGGTTTGGGGCCCTCTACTCAGTTACCCCACGTTTCCTGTGCCTCAGTGATATCTTGGAAGCTCAGAGACCCCCCCATGCTGAGTTAAAGTTCCTGTGTCCAAATCTGAGCCACGTGCCCGGGAGAAGGGGCTCCTCCGGCCGCTGGGCTTCCCTGCACACCCCAGGCCTGCTGCCCCGGCCGAGCCTGCCAGCAGCATGCTCCCAGGCCTTCTCTGGTCTCGAGGCAGGAGCAGGGCGGGGTGGCAGCTGGGAATAGAGTGGGCGGGCCGGAAGCCCCCAGAGCCCCTGCCACTCTATGTCCAGCTCAGCCTTGGCCAACTGCCTGTCACTGGCCGGGCTTTATGCCTCCCTCCCGGGGCCCCTCAGAGACCCCTGCACAGCCCCTCAGCCCTGTGAGAGCTGCCTTCCCACTCCAGGGCCTTTTGAGGGGAATGGGGACCTGGAAGGACTCTGACAGATGCCCAGATGCCCAGTTGCCTTCCTGTGTTTCTTGCTCCTGATCTTTGCTTTTTTTTTTTTTTTTTTTTTTAAGAGACACGGTCTCCCTCTGTCACCCAGGCTGGAGTGCAGTGGCACAATCATTGCTCACTGCAGCCTCAACCTCCTGGGCTCAAGCAATCTTCCCACTCAGCCTCCAGAGTAGCTGGGACTACAGGTGTGCACCACCATGGCTGGCTATTTTTACTTCTATTTTTGTAGAAACAAGGTCTCACTATGCTTCCGAGGCCGGTCTCAAACTCCTGGCCTCAAGTGATACTCCCACCTTAGCCTCCCAAAGTGCTAGGATTATAGGCATGAGCCACTGCACTTGGTCTTGGTTTCTTGTTTCTGGGACCTGCAGGCCTGGACCCTCCCAACCCAGACACTGACACCCTTAAACAGGACCCCGTCCCCACTGTGTTGCCAGGGTCAGAGGTCACCCAGCTGTGGCAGCTGCCTCTATCCCTCACTGCGGTGACAAAGGGCCCAGCCGCCCTCCACTGTCCACCCATCCCCTCCTGCCAGCCGACCACTAAGCAGTCCTGCCCACCTCCCCTCCCCACACTTCCAGGAGCCACAGAGTGGCTGGGAAGCTGGGTGGGGCCCTGGGTGTCTCCATGACTTCCTGGAGTGCCTTGGGCTGGTCACCTGTGAGTAACACAGGCCCCTACTTACTGAGGGCCCAGCAGGGTGAGCCGGGCTCAGCAATGCCCTTTGCATCCCGGCCTGACCACTGCTTGTAGAGGTGGAGGCGGAGGCGGAGGGTAGGGGACCAAGGTGGTGCGTGACCTGGAGTGCCCTCCACACTGACACTGGCTCCACTGGGGCTGGAAGCAAGTCCCTTCAGCAGCTTTGACAGGGCTTTCACTCATTCATTCGTTCACAATCATTCACTCCTTTGATGAGCTGGTCTGTGCCTGGTCCTCGGCTCGACCTGCATGTAGGTATGCCCAGAGATGAGTGCAACAGACCCTGCCTCTGTCCTCAAGGTGCTCACAGCCTAGCACAAGAGGCAGACAGACACAATCCCATAGACAAACATGTGAAGGGAAGGTTCACCGAGGACACACAGTGACAGAGCAGGGGGACTGGGCCTCAGCAGTGGGGGAAGGGGTGATCCCTGCGATCCCAAGGTCATGCAGAAATCAAACACCTCACAGGAAGAGAGTTTCAGAGAGAACACAACCTGTGCAAAGGTCCTGTGGCAGGTGGGTTCATGGCCTGTTTGAGGAACAAGATGGACAATGTGCCTGACAGCCTGGACAGTGTGGGTGAGGGCTGAGGCTCAGGATGGGCAGGTGGAGGCTAGACGGGAAGGGGCCTGGTGCATGTGGGGAGGGGGAGTTCTGCCTCCAGTGGACGAGCAATGAAAAGGTGACGGTGCGTTTCAAGCAAAAGAGGCTAGGCCAGGCCTAGTGACTCATGTCTGTGATCCCAGCCAGCACTTTGGGAGGCTGAGGTGGGAGAATCACTTGAGCCCAGTAGGTCAACACTGTGACCAGCCTGGGCAACATCATGAGACCATGGCTCTTCAAAAAATTAAAAATTAAAAAATTAGCGAGGTATGCTGGCTCACGCCTGTAATCCCAGCACTTTGGGAGGCCGAGGTGGGTGGATCACTGGAGGTCAGCAGTTTGAGACCAGCCAGGCCAACATGATGAAACCCTGTCTCTACTAAAAATACAAAAATTGGCCAAGTGTGGTGGTGTGCATCTGTAATCCCAGCTAATTGGGAGGCTGAGGCAGGAGAACCACTTGAACCCGGCAGGTGGAGTTTGCAGTGAGCCGAGATGGCACCAATGCATTCCAGCCTGGGTGACAGAGTGAGACTCCATCTCAAAAAATAAAATTAAAAATTAGCCTGCTGTGGTAGTGCACACCTGTGGTCCAGCTACTCGGCTGGCTGAGGCAGGAGGGTCACTTGAGCCCAGGAGTTTGAGGCTGCAGTGAGTCAAGATCGCATCGCCAGCTGGGCATGGTGGCTCACATCTGTAATCCCAGCACTTTGGGAGGCCGATCACTTTGGGTCAGGAGTTTGAGACCAGCCTGGCCAACATGGTGAAAACTCGTCTCTACTAAAAATGCAAAAATGAGCTGAGCATGGTGGCGTGCACCTGGAATCCCAGCTACTCAGGAGGCTGAGGCAGGAGAATCACTTGAACCCGGGAGGCGGAGGTTGCAGTGGGCCAAGATTGCACCACTGCATTCCAGCCTTGGCAACAGAGTGAGACTCCATCTCAAAAAAAAAAAAAAAAAAAATCACATCAGCCTGGGTAACACAGCAAGACCCTATCTCAAAAAAATAAAAATAGAAAGAGGATAGGACCAGACTGGCACAGAGTAGGGATCACACTGGCTGCTGGGGGCACAGGCTGGGAGGAGTGGAAACAGGTGCCAGGACAGAAGCTGAGGGCAAGTAGGATAGGCAGGTCTCCTGTGGCCCCTCTGCTGCCCTTATGAGAGGTGGGAAACAGGCCTGGGGCCACCTCATGGCATCAGAGGCTCACCTGTGCGCTGAGCCAACTGCCTGAGGAGGCCTGGTGCTCAGCCTCCCTCACCCCCGTTCCATCGTCCCAGCCAGCCAGCCACTGACTCAGGAGCTGAGGCCGAGTGGGCAGGAAGTCAGGGAGGGCAGGGCTGGCTCCTCTGACAGGTCAGGCCAGTCTTCCTTGCCTCAGGCAGAGCCATCTGGACAACTCTGCCAGGCAGGGGCATCCTGTCTGCCGTGGCACGGGCCAAGAAATGGGGTCATGGCACCCAGCCCCAAAGGTTGGCCAAGTGTTGGCATGGGCCTGACCCCAGGCTGTGTGAAGAGAGCCAAGCTGGGTCTGGGTCTGGAACATGGTACATGAGCCCCAGCCAGGCAGAGGGCCAGAGGTGGTAAGAGGTATTGCCGGCACCTCTCCTGCTGGAATCTGGGCCTGCCACTGGGAAGGGCTCTGACCCTGACCCAGGTCCAGGGGTCTGTCCCAGGCATAAAGTTATAGAAGGTCTAAAGCCCAGATCTGCCCCCGCCCCTCAGCCAGGTCCCAGGAGCTAGAAGACAACCTCAGTACCAACTGGGAGGCACGAGCAGTTTCAGCCTCCGGATAAGCCCCGCCAGCTCTCCCAGGACTCCTGTGATTAGCACCGAGGGGAAGCACCAAGGGTGTGCTTGCTACAAGGAGCAGCTGCAAGGCTCCTCCTCTGTCCTCCCCTCCAGCCCATCCCTCCCGCTCAGGCCCCTTCCCACCAACCCAGACATTCTGCCATTGCGCCAGTTCAAAGCAGGCTGGGTCCCTTGGATCTGTCCCTATCACCCAGGCTGGAGAGTTAGTTAGGATCCTTTGACCCCCCTCCACCCCCACAGCCCCTAGCTCCCCCGCTGTGTGCAGACTGCTGGTAACCAGGTTCTAAAGGCGGGTGGCACCTTGAAACCATACAAGGCAATGTTGGATAAACTGAGAGGGGTCTCCTAAAAGCTTCCCTTGAGCCTCTGGGTAAGTGGGGACCTGTGTAAGGCCAGGGCACAGGATTGGGGCAGGGGGTGAACACCAGGCAGATGGGGTCTCTCCGTCTACAAGAACCTGCCACAGAGGTGAGAAGCTTCAAGGACATCAGGAGGTCCTGTTCCTTGAGGAAAGCCAGGCTGGAGGCTCTTGGAGCCCTCTTTACCCCTGACCCTGGGCATCTGTGGATGCTTCTGAGGGCTTCAGAGGACACAGGGCCAAGGGAAGAGGCAGGGAAACAGTCCGACAAGAGGCTGCACAGCACTGATTGGAAACTCAGATGGTTCTGGGGCCGGGCAGGAAACTCAAGTGAGTGGACAGCTTGGCAGGAGGCAGCAGGGAGTGGTGGGGACTGGGGTGACCCATGAGCCCACATTTTGGCAGAGGGAGCAACCGCCACTCAGCCCCAGCTGAGAGTTCCTGTTCAATGCAAGCTGGGAAGCCCCATTTTAATATGAAACCACCTGATTTTTCAATGTTAGCAGTGCCTTCAAAGTTGTAAAAACTCCCATAAAGCCTGCACTAAATGCACCCAAAGGCCAGCCCCAACCCAGGAACAGAGGTCCGCAAGCCATGCCCTAATCCATGTAGACCGAGAAACGTATGGGTTGTGGAGCCCTGCCAGCCCTGGAAAGGGGCCCTGTGGGGAGAGGGCCCTGTGGACGGGAGGTCCAGAAGGTGACTGTCCCAGCCAGGCCCTGCTTAGCCCTTGACGGCTAGACACAGAGGCCATCCTGCCTTCTGGAGATAACTGAGTCCTCCAGAGACTAGGAAACCCTCCAGCTGGTGTGGCCCAGCCTCCCAGGGATAAGCCTTCAGGCCCCCCAAAGACTAGAGCTAGCCCAGCCAAGGGCCTTGGCTACAGGCCGGGCTGGAGGGGGTGTGGGTGTCCCAAGGCTCTCCGGAAGTCAGGAGCTGAGCTGGGCCCCCAAAGGCTCTGAGGCATGACTGACCACAAACGCGGAGGGGGAGGAGGGCAGAGTGTTTTCCTGGAATCCTCCAAGGCAGGGGATTTTTCTGGACTAGTCCGGCCCCTGGCACCCGCCCCTCCTGCCCAATCAAGGGCCACTGTCAACTGCAGCCCAGGCCCCACCCACCGACGGTGACCACCCCTATGCCTCCACAGCTCAGGCTTGAAGCTGCCAGTAACTGTGGGGCCGTGGGCAGACCACCACTGCCCTCCCTGACACAGCCCCTTCATCTCATAATATGGTGGGGAAGAGAGTCCAGGGCTGCTCACAACTCTTAAGGCTGTCGTGGCTAAGAGGACCCTGAGCTCAGATTTGGCATTGGAGTTTATACTTAGGAGGCTCTTGAAAGGGCTTTGTGTGGGCTGCCAGGAGTTTTTTGAAATTGGGATTAGCTACCAACAATAACACATTGAGAGATTTCACCTAAAAATCTGGATTTCCAGTTTCTCTTCAAAAATCCAAAGCTCTAGCTGGCCCGGGCTGGTCATGAGGACTCAGCCCTTACCAGCCCCACTCCCGCCATCCTGCCTCTCCAGGGCCGCAGAGGCCCTGGGGTGGACTTCTGGCATTTGTCACCTGCCTGGTGCCTCATAGGCATCTGGGCTGTGACGCTTAGGATTCCTAAATAGTCTCTCGCTTTTTACACAAAAAGCAGAAACCTGCCCAGTGTCATCCGGCAAACCCACGACGGGCAAGGTCTCCCCGCGCAGGTCAGGTGGCCGCAGGGTGAGGGCCAGGGCAACCCGGCCCACGAGCCCCTCGGTGGGGAAGGGGCGTGTCTCCACGCGGCTCCGCCCCGGCCAATGGGGAGAGGCCCCGCCCCTGCCGCGGCGGGCCCGCCCCCCGGGACTCTTAAGGCGCGACCTGCCTCCAGCGAGCCGACTCCGGAGCCCGAGCCCGGGGCGGGTGGACGCGGACTCGAACGCAGTTGCTTCGGGACCCAGGACCCCCTCGGGCCCGACCCGCCAGGAAAGACTGAGGCCGCGGCCTGCCCCGCCCGGCTCCCTGCGCCGCCGCCGCCTCCCGGTGAGTTTCTGTGGGGCTGGGGGGCTGCGGGCGGGGAAGGGGGCGCCACGGCCAGGCTGTGCACACGCGCGGGGACCGCCGCCGCGCGCACACACGCACTCTCGGGCGGGACCGCGGCCCCAGCCCCACACGGTCACCTGGGCCGCCCGGCGGGCAGGCCCTGTACGCTCCCTCCCCCGCCGTCCTGGGGCGCCGACAGCCCCGCGGCCGGCCAGGGTGCGCGCCTGAGTGTGCGGTGAGCCCGCGAGGCTGCAAGCAGACAAAATAAACACCCCGTCCCATGCTTCCTCCTCCCACGGCTGGGCCTCCGGCATGACCAGTTTTATGAATCAAACCCCTTTGAGGGGGATAGCCAAGCCACAGGCTTGGGTCACTTTTCCCTCCTGGGGTCCGGCAGTAGGTGCTGCTGTGCAGAAGGGCTGCCCGGGGTCCTCTGGACCCTTGTCACTCAAAGCACAGCTGGGGGCTACAGATATGCAGCCCTAGGGAGGGGCGGGGAGTGGCTGGTGGGCGTCCGATGCCCATCCCTCCAGGTGGGGGATGGACCTGTACTGGCCAGGGCCCTTAGAGCTTCGGGTATCAGGCAGGGTGCCGGGTCTCTGCCTCTGCCAGGGAAGGGGCTTTGCTTGGGCTGCAAACCCAGTGGCCTGGAGCCAGCCTAGTCCTTTGTGTCCCTGGGCTGGCAGTGCTGGGGCCTGAGGACTGCTGAGGTCCCCTGTGGTCACTGGCAGGCCAGCCGATTGGTGCCAACCATTCTGCCTCTCCCCCATTCGTTAACGATTGCCACACCAGGGTCACTGACCGCCTCCCCTGCTGTGGCCCAGGGGTGGAGTGTGCAGGGTGGAAGGAAGAGGTCCTGGGGGTCTAGGTGTCCCCATGCCTGCCTTTTGCACCAAGGACAGGTGAGGCTCTGGAGAGAGGCAGCGGGACCTAGAGCCCCCTTCCCCAGGCTGAGAGCCTCCAGGGCTGGGGATTGGATAAAATCTCCAAGGTCCCTTCACACTAGACTGTACTTTGGGTGTTGAGGGCATAGAGGGGTGGCCGGGCTGGGACCTTCCAAGCAGGGTCCATTAGGGCCAGTCCAGGGGGCAGCAAAGTCCAGGATGGGCCCAGCTATTGACAAAAACCCAACAGAGCTGGGGCAGGCGGGTGGGGGATGGGGAGCAGTCCCCTGAGTTTACTCTCTTCTCCCAGGGGAGTTGGCCTGGAGCTTCTGTAAACAGAGTGTCAGAGGCAGGAAGAGGCTCTGGTGATGAGCAGCCCAGCTGGATCCCCTCCAGACCATTATCTAGCCTCCCCTGGGCCTGGGGAGGGAGGATGCGCACACACATGCCAGCCTGGGGGCCGGGCACTGCCTGTCCCCACCCCGCCCCTGTCTCCTGCACGTTGGAACAGCTGTCCTGCTACCTGTGGGTCCGGAGGGTCAGATGGGGATGGGGCTGGGGGCTGGGGTCCCAGGGCATTTGTCCAGATGGCACCTCTCTCTCCATATTCTGGGAATGGGAGAATGGGATTCAGCATAAGGAGCCTCTCAGACACTGCCCAGACCTGTGCTTACCCGAGGAAGGCCCCTCTGGCACGCAGCCCAGGGGCCAGGGAGATGGCAAGGGAGATGCCCCGGGCAGGAGATGGGTCCGCGGCTCCTAGCTCCCATTACTGTCACCCCCACTGACAGCCCCGGGGGAGCTGGGACAAGTCCCAAGTACAGAAAATTAAGTCCTTGCCTGGGCTTATAAGTGGGTCCCAACACAACACTGGGCAGCCTCTGGGAACAAGAAAGCAGGGCCCTGCTGAGCCCAGGAGGGAGCTCCCACCTCAGCAGGCCAGACAGCCAGTCCTGCCAGTGAGCAGAGGTGTGTAGAGGGGAGGCTGCCCACAGGGATGGCTATCCCTGACCACTGGCCAGCCCTGAGCTCATGGGAGGGCAGCAAGGCCACCTAACTCTGTTAGTGACCTCTCCTGGACCCCCCATCAGCTGCCCTTAGAGTCCCCTCCCTGGGCTGGGGAGCCCAAGGCTCTGTGCTGCCAAGAAAACCAGCTCCCCTCACTGCTGTGGAATTTGCGTGAGTTCTTGGAGAAGGGGGAGGGTGCACGTGTGTGTGTGTGTGTGTGTCTGCAGGAGCACTGCCCAGTGGGCGTGTGTCTGGCGTGGGCGTGTCTGTGTGCGCGTGACTGGAGCAGGGCTGTGTATTTGGGGGTGGGTGGGGGTGTTTGGGGGAGCCTGCTTGCACCAGGAGGGGCAGGGCCTCAGCCTCCTTCCTTTTATCGGTTTCCACATTCCAGAGTCAGCCGGATCGCTTTCCCTCCGCGCTGGGCCGCCGGCCTCCCCCGCTTTTCCTCATTCCAGCCTCCCTGGGTGTGAGGAGGCTGGAGGAGGCTCCCTCAGGCCACCTCGGTTTTGGGCAGGGGGTGGGGGCAGGCGAGGGGCCAGTTATTCTTCAGGGTTCGGGACGGCCCCCACCAGACTCTTCGTGGGGAATGCAATAAGGTTCTGACATTCCTCAGGGGCTGCCTGAGAGATTTAATTAAGGAGGGAGGAGGGAGCCGGCCTACACCGGGAAGGGGCTGGGGCGGCCGCTGGGGCCCCTGCTGGCCCTGGGCCCCGAGCCCGGCTGGGCATTGAGAGCAGTGCGGGGGCAGGGTTGTGGTTCAGTGGCCAGGTCCTGTTCTGCCTCCCTGAATCCATCCCGCCTGCCCATTGATCAGCTCACAGACCCCAGGGGCGCCATTTCTGCCACGGGTTGGCCAAGAACCCTGGGTGATTGTGGGGGGTTCGGCATGGGGAGCTTGAGAAGGGCAAGACCCCTTCCAGGGCCACTTCCTTCTCAGACCCCCAGGCCCAGGAAGCTTAGGGCTGGCGGCCTTCCTTGGTGACTAAGGTGTTCTTCTGGCAAGTTCAGGGTTAATTGCAGGTTAGGGCCTTACTAGATGGGTGCTTGCCCCTGGGTGGGGACAGGGCAGTGAGGAGGCCCCGTGTGAGGGCCCAGCCCTGGTGGCATCACACCTGCCGCGTGCCGAAAGTGGCATCTGGACTGGCCCATTTCTAGTTGGGCTGCAGCCACTGCACAGCTCCCAGGGCCACAGGTGTCCTCCCTGACAGGTTGCACCTCTTGTGACTACGATGGCACGTCCCACCGCCCCAGGGGCTCACTTGAGCTGGGGCCTGGCCTTAGTCACTGGTCTCCCTGCCCTGGGCTAACAGGTCTGGCAGCTGCCAAGTCACCCACGGTGCTACTGAAGGCACCCACCTGGGGCCGGGCCAGCCTCCTGGGTGGAGGGAGGAGGGAAGACCCTGTGCCTGCCCCTCTCCCAGCCCTGCCAGCTGGTCCACACCTGCTCCAGGATACAGAGCCTCCTCCCTGCACAGGAAGACGAGCTGACATCCTGACTGTCCCCTTTGCAACCCTCTGTCCTGGTGTTCTGAACCCTGGCTGTGCGGAGGACTCGCTCAAGGAGCTTCTCCAAAATACAGCTCTGCCTGGGTCTCACTCCTAGACATTCTTTTTGTTTTTGAGATGGAGTATTGCTCTGTCACCCAGGCTGGAGTGCAGTGGCGCAATATTGGCTCACTGCAAGCTCCGCCTCCCAGGTTCACACCATTCTCCTGCCTCAGCCTCCCAAGTAGCTGGGACTACAGGCGCCTGCCACCAGGCCTGGCTAATTTTTTTGTATTTTTAGTAGAGACGGGGTTTCACCATGTTAGCCAGGATGGTCTCGATCTCCTGACCTCGTGATCGTCCTACCTCGGCCTCCCAAAGTACTGGGATTACAGGCGTGAGCCACCATGCCCGGCAGAATTTCTTGTTTAATTGGCCTGGGGGTGGGGCCCCAGCATGGAGGTTTTTTTTAGAAAGCTTCCTGGATGATTCTGATGTGCAGCCCGGCGGGCAAAGCCCTGGCGTCACAGGTGGGAGACGGAAGCCCAGAGAGGGGAGCTTGCTTGGATGAGGTCACAAAGCGTGTGAGTGCCTGACTGAGCTCCTGGCTGTGGCATTATCTGTGGAATGAAGAGCGCCAGCTTGGGGTGGTGGATGGAGTAAGAAAGAGGCTGACACCCATGGGGACCCCCGCTCAATCACCAGCCAGGGGTCCCCGCGCCTATAGGGAGGGTCTACCTGCCGCAGTCCCTGAGGAACTCGAGGCCCAGCCCTCTCTGCCCCTTCTGTGAGGGCCCACGACCCCTGACCTCTCTGCCCTGCCCTTGGGACTGCTGTGTCCCAAGGAAGGGGAGACGGGGCGGACCCAGCCGGGCCCTGAGCCTCCTCGGACACGTCAGCGAAACTGGAGCCAGCCGTCCTGGCCGCCGGCACAGTCCCGCCTGCCTGGAGGGGTTGGCAGACTCCCGGGGCTGGGCTGCTGCCAGGCCTGACCGGCCACACAGAGCCTTGGCGGGCCAGCATGAGGAGCGGGGGCCCGGAGTCTCAGGGTCAGACCTGCAGCGCCTGTCCTGCACCCACGCTGAAGCATACGGCACAGGAGGGGCGTACTGGCCTCAGACTGTCTATCTGTCTGTCCAAGCCTGTCCCCTACTCAGCAGGCACACCGCCTGCCCCAGAATCAGTGAGATGTTCTCGCCAGGGGCTGATGTGGTCACCAGATGCCTGGGTCCCACCCCAGCCATGCTATCCCCTGGCCCGTCCCCGCCTGACCCTGGGCGTGTGTGGTGTACCCCAGAGGTGGGTGGGCGTCCCCCTGGGAGTTGAGATGACGAGTGCCTTGTCCTCCTTACTCATAGGGCCCCTCCCTGAAGTCCTGTGCTGAAGGGGCCGCCAAGGGACAGCTCACCCACCACGTGCCCCCTTCCAGAACCAGAGATACCCCACCCCCGCTCCCCAGCCCCCAGGGTGAAGGGCAGCCTTGGTGTGGGGATGTCTGATCTGTGTAAAGCTGGCCTGAAACCCTCTCCCTTAGTAGTACCCACGCCCAGGGGGCAGGCAGAGTTCTGCGTTTATGAGTGACGCCCTCCGCAGTGAATGTTTACCGACCACTTGGCAAGTGCTCCGAGCACAGACCAAGTCACCCCAGACACAGGCACCACGAGCACCACGAGCAGCGCCCACTGCACAATGGGGGCTGAGGTAGGGGTCGTGGCCGGGCTGTGGACCCTGTCGCCCTATGCCAGTTACTGTGCCAGGGAGGGAGCAAGGCCGGCAGCAGCACTCAGCAAGGCTGAGGAACTTGGGTGGAGGACGGAGGCCCCAGACCCTTGCGTCATCTTCCCACCCCCCGACGTCCCCGAATCCCAGGAATCCCAGGGCTGCCTCCGGAACACCTCCTGCACCAGGCAGAGGAAAAGGTCTCACCTCCCTGCCTGACTAGTGATCAAATATCAAAGCCCAGGTCCTGGGATCACCGGGTGGGAGGGTGGGTGGGCGGCGGCAACCACCGTGTGACCTGTAGACAGCCCCCAGCCCCACGCACACACCAAGCACACGCCCAGACCCCAGGCGGGCGGGACAGCTCCCAGAACTTGTTAAAAGAACTTCCCCATTTGAAAACAAACAGAACAACAGAAAACTACAACTCCAGAGGGTGAGGGGGCAGGGCTGCTTGCACCAACTCCAGAGGTGAGAAACTGAGGCCCACAGTTGAGAAAGGAACTCTGGCCTCTGTCCCCTGCCACCGTCCCCTCCACAGTCAGCCTTCCCTCGCTGGGTTCCTCTCGGGGCTGGCTGATGGGTTCTCAGTGCCAGGAGTCCCTGGCGGTGCCCTCAGAGCTGCCAGCCTGTAGCTTACAAACTCTGGGGTTTTCCAAAGCTCCAGCGCTGCCTCCTCCCTCCTCCCTTTGATGTGGGGGTAGAATTGGGGCTCAGGCAAAAGAGCTCACCGCACATTTTACGGGGCTGGGAAGCAGGCTGGCTGCCGCCTGCTGGATGGTCAGCCCAGGACCCCAGCCCACAGTCCTGACCTAGACCCCTGTCCTGCTAACAGGAACGCACATTCCACAGCTCACTACCTGTCAGCCGGAAAGCCACCCTGTGGCCAGATGGACCCACAGCATCCCCTCTCCCTTCACAACCTTGCTGATTAAAGACCCAACAGATTACGGAGCCCAGAGCTATGGCTGGTCCCCCTCCCCAGTGCAGGGTGAAGAGCACCCCCCAGCACGTGCCCCTAAGAGCTGGCCTGCACACCTGGCCTTGCAGGGCTGAGGACTCCACATGCATCCCCCACTGCAGCCCTGAAGTGTCCCAGATACTCAGATGAAGAAACCGAGGTGTGAGAGCAAAGTCACTGTCTGCGGCCTCACAGCTTGGACACCTCTGAGCACAGGGCCGCCTGCCTGGAGTGAGCGCTCTTAACTGTGACCTTAAACGAGGCCCAAGGGGAGCTGCGGCCACAGTGGTGGCCAGGCTGGCCAGGCTGGCCACGTGGAGGATCCCCTCCCACTCTGGAACCTGGCTGCATCCTTCCTGACCCTGGTCTGGCCCTGCTGGGAGGGCTAATTCAGGCAGAGGTGGCCTCACCCCCCATATGGACATGGGGTGGGTGGGGGTCACTCACAGCCCACATCTGGAGGCCAGGCCGCACCCGCCGTCCTCTGAGTCAGTGAGGGTGGAGCGGGTCCCATGGGGGAAGAGAAGGCTAGGGGTGTGGCCCCAGGGCCTTAGGTCATCAGACACGAGCCCCCCTGGGGTGGGCTGGCCGGGCCAGGGACGCGTGCCTGGGGTTTGGGGTGCTAACTTCTTCCAGTGCTCAGTGCCAGGCCCTCCTGGGCTGTTCACTCAGCAGACCTGAGCTAAGTGGGCCTGGAGACACCTATGGCAAAGGCAGGCTGGGTCTCACCTTAGGGAGGTGAGGGGGCACACGACAGCAAGGGGGACACCGCTAGGTTGGGGAGGCTTAGCCTGCTGGCCTCTGAAGGGTGCTTGTTGTCGCTAACTGGCTAGGGGCTCAGGGTCGGTAGCTCCTAGGGGAGACGACTCTGGCAGTGCGATACTACACGTGGGCAGGGCCTGCGTGGGCCCAACCCCGGGGACAAGGGCTTCTTCCTTCACCTCGAGCTACCCGCAGACCCCAGTGGTCACCTCACCAGTGACTTGTCTAATCTGTCCTGGGACCACCTGCTCCTCCTCACATTCCAGGAACCCACGTACCTGGGGGAGAGGGAGCCCTATGGACGGGTCCCCCCAGCCTGGGGCGGAGTGCAGGCTGGGTCGGGGTCGTGTTCCCTGGACTACCTGCACAGCCTGTGTGGGGGAAGGGGAAGCCCGGACTCCAGCACAAAGGGCTCTTGTGTGAGCTGCAGGCGCCACTGGGCAGGATGCTTCCTGGGGATGGGCTGGCACCCCGTATGAGGCTCAGGGACTTCTAGGGGTGCCAAAGTGGGGAGGGCTCTTCCTGGGGACGGCCCCAGCGGTCTCCCCAGGAGTCTAGGTGATGGGGGCCAGCCACAGACCTGCCTGACTTGGGCAGTGCAGCTAAGATCTGGAGCCTGGAGCGGCTGGTGGGAGCCCCCGCCCCCAGGGCCATCTGGAGGGCACGCACCCTTCACAGGTGGCTGCTGCACACCTGGGCTCTAGCTCGGACTTGCTGGCACCGCAATGGCAGCGAGTCCCTGCACCTCCATGAGCCCTGCTTTCTTCTGTCTGCCCTGACGTGGCTGCTGGGGGGCTACCTGAGGTGACGGTAAACACTTAGTGTTCCTTCGTCCTTCCCACTTCGCTGGCACATGGGAAGGACTTGCACCATCACTGCCAAGGGGATGGCTGCTGCTCATCTTTCTTGGTGCCCAGCTCAGGGCAGACCCCAAGAAACAGTAGACGAAGCCGGGCACGGTGGCTCATGCCTGTAATCCCAGCACTTTTGGAGGCTGAGGCGGGCAGATCACCTGAGGTCAGGAGTTCCAGACCAACCTGACCAACATGGTGAAACCCTGTCTCTACTAAAAAAAAAAAAAAAAAAAATACAAAAATTAGCCATGCATGGTGGCTGGCACCTGTAGTCCCAGCTACATGGGAGGCTGAGGCAGGAGAATTGCTTGAACCTGGGAGGCAGAGGTTGCAGTGAGCCGAGATCTCGCCACTGCACTCCAGCTTGGGTGACAGAGCAAGACTCCGTCTCAAAAAAAAAAAAAAAAAAGTAGATGAATGACTCTGCAGAGTTTTCCCAGGCCTGGCACTGCCCCTGGGGCTGCCATGTAGCCAGTGTCCCCACCTGAGCCCTGTGGCCCCCCAGCTCCAGCTCTGTCACCAGCCTCAGCTCCCCGCCTCCCTCCCTCACAGGGGACACCTGCCAATGCCTGTGGCCTCTGCCCCTCCTCCAGGAACCTTCCCGCCGGCCACTTCCTGGCGGCCCGCAGCCCCCAGCCTAAGCAGGTCTGACTGCCCAAGTGGAAAAACATGGATCCCATAGTTTCCATGTGAAGTCTTCCCGCTGCATTCCCTCCTCCAAGGAGGGCGGGACACGGAGCGTGGCAGCAGGAGCCGGCGGCCAAGGCAGCCAGCTTCTCTGCTTACACACCCACCCAGCTGCCTGCCTGCCCCCTCTTCC
Source organism: Homo sapiens (assembly GCF_000001405.40). Classification (NCBI taxonomy): domain Eukaryota; kingdom Metazoa; phylum Chordata; class Mammalia; order Primates; family Hominidae; genus Homo; species Homo sapiens. The sequence continues at coordinate 4,380,487 of NC_000016.10, forward strand.
AGACCCTGTAGGGAGGAGCTGCCGCTCCAAGTCCCACCATTCTCTCCTTCCTGGTCCATCTCTGAGGCAGGGGATGGGGGAACCTACCTAGGCAGAGGCAGGAGGGCCTGGGGTTCAGGAGGAAGCAGTGCATGGTCACTGCACGTTCAGTGGATGTCATGCCCCATGATGACCTCTGTGTGCATTGACAAGGTCACACAGTGAGGGAGTGACGGGGCTGGGACAGAACCTGGGTCGGGGCACTGGCGACCTGACTCATAACCATTGGGTTCTCTTGCATTTGGGGGCAGAAGCAGTGAATTCCCTCTGGCTCTTCCTGGCGTGTCTGCCTTCTAGGCCCCTGACTCACAGTCTTCTGTCTCTGCCTCCTCTCTGCTCCCAGGGACAGAAGATGTGCTCCAGGGTCCCTCTGCTGCTGCCGCTGCTCCTGCTACTGGCCCTGGGGCCTGGGGTGCAGGGCTGCCCATCCGGCTGCCAGTGCAGCCAGCCACAGACAGTCTTCTGCACTGCCCGCCAGGGGACCACGGTGCCCCGAGACGTGCCACCCGACACGGTGGGGCTGTACGTCTTTGAGAACGGCATCACCATGCTCGACGCAGGCAGCTTTGCCGGCCTGCCGGGCCTGCAGCTCCTGGACCTGTCACAGAACCAGATCGCCAGCCTGCCCAGCGGGGTCTTCCAGCCACTCGCCAACCTCAGCAACCTGGACCTGACAGCCAACAGGCTGCATGAAATCACCAATGAGACCTTCCGTGGCCTGCGGCGCCTCGAGCGCCTCTACCTGGGCAAGAACCGCATCCGCCACATCCAGCCTGGTGCCTTCGACACGCTCGACCGCCTCCTGGAGCTCAAGCTGCAGGACAACGAGCTGCGGGCACTGCCCCCGCTGCGCCTGCCCCGCCTGCTGCTGCTGGACCTCAGCCACAACAGCCTCCTGGCCCTGGAGCCCGGCATCCTGGACACTGCCAACGTGGAGGCGCTGCGGCTGGCTGGTCTGGGGCTGCAGCAGCTGGACGAGGGGCTCTTCAGCCGCTTGCGCAACCTCCACGACCTGGATGTGTCCGACAACCAGCTGGAGCGAGTGCCACCTGTGATCCGAGGCCTCCGGGGCCTGACGCGCCTGCGGCTGGCCGGCAACACCCGCATTGCCCAGCTGCGGCCCGAGGACCTGGCCGGCCTGGCTGCCCTGCAGGAGCTGGATGTGAGCAACCTAAGCCTGCAGGCCCTGCCTGGCGACCTCTCGGGCCTCTTCCCCCGCCTGCGGCTGCTGGCAGCTGCCCGCAACCCCTTCAACTGCGTGTGCCCCCTGAGCTGGTTTGGCCCCTGGGTGCGCGAGAGCCACGTCACACTGGCCAGCCCTGAGGAGACGCGCTGCCACTTCCCGCCCAAGAACGCTGGCCGGCTGCTCCTGGAGCTTGACTACGCCGACTTTGGCTGCCCAGCCACCACCACCACAGCCACAGTGCCCACCACGAGGCCCGTGGTGCGGGAGCCCACAGCCTTGTCTTCTAGCTTGGCTCCTACCTGGCTTAGCCCCACAGAGCCGGCCACTGAGGCCCCCAGCCCGCCCTCCACTGCCCCACCGACTGTAGGGCCTGTCCCCCAGCCCCAGGACTGCCCACCGTCCACCTGCCTCAATGGGGGCACATGCCACCTGGGGACACGGCACCACCTGGCGTGCTTGTGCCCCGAAGGCTTCACGGGCCTGTACTGTGAGAGCCAGATGGGGCAGGGGACACGGCCCAGCCCTACACCAGTCACGCCGAGGCCACCACGGTCCCTGACCCTGGGCATCGAGCCGGTGAGCCCCACCTCCCTGCGCGTGGGGCTGCAGCGCTACCTCCAGGGGAGCTCCGTGCAGCTCAGGAGCCTCCGTCTCACCTATCGCAACCTATCGGGCCCTGATAAGCGGCTGGTGACGCTGCGACTGCCTGCCTCGCTCGCTGAGTACACGGTCACCCAGCTGCGGCCCAACGCCACTTACTCCGTCTGTGTCATGCCTTTGGGGCCCGGGCGGGTGCCGGAGGGCGAGGAGGCCTGCGGGGAGGCCCATACACCCCCAGCCGTCCACTCCAACCACGCCCCAGTCACCCAGGCCCGCGAGGGCAACCTGCCGCTCCTCATTGCGCCCGCCCTGGCCGCGGTGCTCCTGGCCGCGCTGGCTGCGGTGGGGGCAGCCTACTGTGTGCGGCGGGGGCGGGCCATGGCAGCAGCGGCTCAGGACAAAGGGCAGGTGGGGCCAGGGGCTGGGCCCCTGGAACTGGAGGGAGTGAAGGTCCCCTTGGAGCCAGGCCCGAAGGCAACAGAGGGCGGTGGAGAGGCCCTGCCCAGCGGGTCTGAGTGTGAGGTGCCACTCATGGGCTTCCCAGGGCCTGGCCTCCAGTCACCCCTCCACGCAAAGCCCTACATCTAAGCCAGAGAGAGACAGGGCAGCTGGGGCCGGGCTCTCAGCCAGTGAGATGGCCAGCCCCCTCCTGCTGCCACACCACGTAAGTTCTCAGTCCCAACCTCGGGGATGTGTGCAGACAGGGCTGTGTGACCACAGCTGGGCCCTGTTCCCTCTGGACCTCGGTCTCCTCATCTGTGAGATGCTGTGGCCCAGCTGACGAGCCCTAACGTCCCCAGAACCGAGTGCCTATGAGGACAGTGTCCGCCCTGCCCTCCGCAACGTGCAGTCCCTGGGCACGGCGGGCCCTGCCATGTGCTGGTAACGCATGCCTGGGCCCTGCTGGGCTCTCCCACTCCAGGCGGACCCTGGGGGCCAGTGAAGGAAGCTCCCGGAAAGAGCAGAGGGAGAGCGGGTAGGCGGCTGTGTGACTCTAGTCTTGGCCCCAGGAAGCGAAGGAACAAAAGAAACTGGAAAGGAAGATGCTTTAGGAACATGTTTTGCTTTTTTAAAATATATATATATTTATAAGAGATCCTTTCCCATTTATTCTGGGAAGATGTTTTTCAAACTCAGAGACAAGGACTTTGGTTTTTGTAAGACAAACGATGATATGAAGGCCTTTTGTAAGAAAAAATAAAAGATGAAGTGTGTTTCTTGGGCTCAGCCCCAGGGTAGAAGGGCTGGGTGGAGGGAGATGAAGAAGGAGTGGCCCTCGCTCTGGGGAGCCAGGGCCCCTCAGCAGCCCCTGGGCTTGGGCAGCCCTCCCAGGTGTCCTGACCTGGGTGCCATCCACCCTAGGCTTGAATGAGGTGAGGCTGGGCCCAGGTGGGAGCAGGGCTGCCTCTGGCCTCGGACAAGAACGGGTCAGGGAGCCTCACCTTCCCCAGGCCCTGTCTTCTGCCAGCAGGGGCTCTGGCCCATGTGCGGCTGGGAGAGGCTTGTGGCACATGTGGGGCCAGGTGAGTCCCTTGTGGGTTGGTCTGATGGGCAGTTCACTGCCTGCTTTCCTCCAGGGACAGGGCCCTGGGCTCTCTCATTCCAGGCCTCATGGATGGTCCCGGGAGCAAGTGGCCTCCGGGACCTTCTCTACAGCGTCCCGGGAGAGCCAAGCGGTTTGCATGGCCCCAGCCCCATGCCACTCCACTGCCCACCATGGGCGCAGCAGGAAATCCTGCTCCCTGCCTCCTGCCCCTGGCTACAGCGAGGGCTCTGGTGGGAGGGGAAGTGTGAATCATCAAAGGCAGGGACCCCATGGGTGGGGAGAAAGGGGCCGAGCCCCAGTGAGCAGGACAAGCTGGGGGACAGGAACAAAGGGCCCAGGTTGGCTTGCAGACGGTGCCAGGATTGGTGGCCTTGGGATGCCCCCTCAGCCCCTGCATTAGGGATGTGCCCAGGCTTTCTGGAAACCCTAGAAGTGGGAGCATTTTCCAGGAAGGCTGCATGCTGAGGTGGGGGCAGTGATGCTGAGTGCAGCTGTGGCCTGGACTGGGTGCAGGGGGCTTGGGGACAGTGATGGACACACAGCACCTTTTCCTGTTACCCTCAGTGGGATGGAGGGGAGGGGACCCACTGGGCTGCCGCTGCAGGGGCACCCAGAACATGCTGGAGTGAGCCTCCTGCAGACCCCATGCCACTGTCCCACAGGTCATGGCCCCGGCCCCCAGCACTCAGGCTCACCCCTGGTGGGACAGAGTCAGCCCAGCCAGACCCAGGGAGCAGGCCCCGTGGCGCGGGTGTTGATGTCAGTGCCGAGTCAGGCCCAGCCACGCGAGGCTCTGGATTCAATTAGCGGCTGCTGAGGGCTCTGGCACGAGGAGGGAGGAGGCGGGCCGTGGGTCATGGCGGGCAGTGGGTGGTGGCAGTGGGCCTGGGTGGGGCCCCTTCTTCCTGAGGCAGCGGCGGCAGCCCAGGTGGATTTCCTGTAGGCCTGGGTCCCATTAGGGGAGTGGCTGCGGCCAGGCCTGCCTCCCCCGGCCCGTGGCTGCATCGTCAAAGGGGCCTTTGTGGGCCTGAGGCTGCTGCTGAACACGGCGGCTGCTGAAGAAATGTTTTCACTGCAAAGCAAACCTGGCCGAGTGGGATGGTGGCAGGGGGCAGTGGCGGGGGGGTGGCAGGGCCCAAAAAA